>NC_000005.10:103234807-103859807 GCF_000001405.40 Homo sapiens | reverse complement strand
TTGAATCTAGTCCCCAGAAATTTCTTTAATTGGTCTGGGCTGGAAACTGCTAATCTGTACTTTTTAAGCTCTACAGATATTTATCGTGTATACCGCTATAGTTGGGAAGCACTGACCTAGATTAACCAACGAAGGATTACTCCAAAAGAAAGCCTGATGCCACATACCTGAGATTTAGGACCGTAATATTTATTGTCCAGGTCTTTAGCAAGAAAACTATACCGAATCTAAAGAGTAAATCAGATCAATCAAGAGACAGAATAAAATTAGTAGACAGAAAAGTCAATATTGAAGACTGGAGGAGTTTTATGGAACAGATTTTATGACTTGTGATAATTAGCAAAAAGTAGATTCTGCAGGTAAATTGAATGAGCAATTCCAGGCTGAAAAAACTAAGTGTAAATATCTTCCTAGCTCCTTCAAAGAGAAGTTCTGTGGGAAACTTGATTACCTGTTAAGACAAAAAAATTATACTATCCTAACATCATTGTTACATGTTTTATTGAACTTGTAAATCATTAACAAATATATTCAAATCATTTTTGATGTAGGTTCATACTACCTAACATGAGAGTAAAGAAGGTTTGTGTCATGTAAAACTTTTTGGTAGAGAGTAGTTAAAAATCAGACAGAGCTCCATATCCATGGACAGAGGAATGCCATTTGCCTTTAAAATCTTAGTCACCTTACACATTTATAAAGTATTTTTATAAATCTACACTCTCCTTGGACTTTGCTAGCCACTAGAATTAATTCATTTATTAATCTTTTCTTCTGTATTAGCTATGTCCAGTAGGCACTATGCAAAGCACTAGGCACTCAGAAAAAGATACAGCTCTTTTCCTCATAGATCTTACATTCTCATAAACTAGATAGAAACTTACCCAATAATTAACATATGTATATGTATGACATAATTAGTTGTATGTTAAAAGATAAGAACAAGATGTTAAAAGGACACAAGATAATTCAACAACTGCTTCTTGTGGTTGGGGACAGACTGCTAAGAGGCATTAAATTAAATAAGAGAGATTATATTTCTAGTAATTTTTGAAGTAATCCCATTACTAGGTATATACCCAAAGGATTATGACTCGCCCTACTATAAAGACACATGCACACATATGTTTATTGCAGCACTGTTCAAAATAGCAAAGACTTGGAACCAACCCAAATGCCTGTCAATGATAGATTGGATAAAGAAAATGTGGCACATATACACCATGGAATACTATGCAGCCATAAAAAAGGATGAGTTTACATCCTTTGCAGGGACATGGATGAAGCTGGAAACCATCATCCTCAGCAAACTAACACAGGAACGGAAAACCAAACACTGCATGTTCTCACTCATAAGTCGAACTGAACAATGAGAACACATGGACACAGGGAGGGGAACATCACACACTGGGGCCTGTTGGGGGATGGGGGCCTAGGGGAGAGACAGCATTAGGAGAAATACCTTATGTAGATGACGGGTTGATGGGTGCAGGAAACCACCATGGCACATGTATACCTATGTAACAAACCTGTACGTTCTGCACATGTATCCCAGAACTTAAAGTATAATAAAAACAGAAAAAGAAAAAAAGAAAGAGGACATTATGTTTAAAGCCAAAGATAATTCAAATAATATGTATTAGCAGTGGTGTCCAATCTTTTGGCTTCCCTGGGCTACATTGGAAGAAGAATTGTCTTGGGCCACACATACAATACACTAACACTAGCTAATGAGCAAAAAGAAAAAAAAAAAGAGAGAGAAAGAAAAAAAATCACAAAAAATTATAATGTTTTAAGAAAGTTTATGAATTTGTCTTGGTTCACATTCAAAGCCATTCTGGGCCACTTGCGGCCTGCAGGCCATGGGTTGGACAAGGTGTGGTCCAAACAGAAGCTGCAAGCTGGGAATGACATAAGAAAGATTGAATAAGACCCATGTATGGCCTTTTCATATTCAAGATAGTTTATGTTCTGTTTGAAGGTAATAAAGAACATCTTAATTACACAAGTCAAATCGTTAAAATATTAAATATAGAGAAGAATTAAATGAAGTTAAATGGTAGACAGAAACATCAGTTAAAACACAATTAACATAATACAGTGGACAATTACGAGAAACAGAGATAAGACAAAGTCTGTGAAAATGTAGATAACAGAATTCATTGATGAGGTGTTTAGAAATTGACAGTATTCAGTAAACACTAGGAATGAAGAAGGTTGGAATAATCTAGGATGATTTCCAGTATCTGGCTTATAAAACCAAGGCAAGCAGAAGTGCCTTTTGGTAAAAGGATAAATTGAAACGATTGATTTAGGACATAGAAATTATATGCACAGTTTTATACCAGTTGAATTTCAGGTACCACTGCGAACCAATAGGAGTTTTCTTAGATGTCTTACAGATATATTATGATATGTGAGAGAAAATTTGTGTTTGAGATATGAATTGTGGCGTCATCAATTTATATTTGATTCTATAGCCACAGGCCTTGTTAGAAACATTTTTACTTCTAATGCAGAGGAAACCATAGAAGTAGTTGATAGTAATATTCAGGTGACAGAAAATCTGGCAGAGTTCACAACTTTCTTATCCAATATATTTTGAGAAGATAATAGGGCTTACGATGAAACGATGGAAAACAGAGAAACAAAGGGTGTGGTAGAGGATATAGGTCTAAAAAGGAAGCTAAAAAAGATAGCTCAGGCCAGGCACAGTGACTGCTCATCCCTGTAATCCCAGCACTTCGGGAGGCCGAGGTGGGTGGATCCCCTGAGGTCGGGAGTTTAAGACCAGCCTGACCAACATGGTGAAACTCCTCTCTACTAAAAATACAAAAAAGCAGCCAGGTTCGTGGCACATGCCTGTAATCCCAGCTACTCGGGAGGCTGAGGCAGGAGAATCGCCTGAACCTGAGAGGCAGAGGTTTCAGGGAACCGAGATAGTGCTGTTGCACTCCAGCCTGGGCAACAGAGCGAAACTTTGTCACAAAACAAACAAACAAACAAACCAAAAAGATACCTCAAAAAAGTAGAAGAAAAACACACCCAAGAGATGAAAGCATTTTAATGTAAAAAATGAAATGGTCAACTCTACTAGCGAATGTTCTTCAGAAATTAATTATATAAAAACCACAAAGTACACATTAAATTATGCAATGAGACATTTCTGGTAATTGTTGCAAAAGTAGTTCCATGGATTTCAAGGGGCAGGATCCTAATTACAGTGACCTGTATGTCGGTGGCATTAAGTAAGAAGTGAAGGATATTCTTTCAATAAAGTTTGTTATCAATGAATTAAATTATACAAGTGATGCCTGGAAGAATATATCAAATTAAAGTGAGTTCTGGGTTTATTCATTGTTTTAGGTTGGAAAAATAGAAATTTGTTGAAAGGAGTCTGTGTAAAAAGGAATGTTGACGTTAAGAGAGTGAGCCATGATACTGGATGGGTTGAAGTCCCTGAGGAACTAGGGATGATGAGGTCCATTTCAAAGCAGGTAGGAATTTTTTTTTTTTTTTTTTTTGAGATGGAGTCTCGCTCTGTAGCCCAGGCTGGAGTGCAGTGGCCTGATCTCAGCTCACAGCAACCTCCACCTCCCAGGTTCACGCCGTTCTCCTGCCTCAGCCTCCCGAGTAGCTGCGACTACAGGCACCCACTACTACGCCTGGCTAATTTTTTGTATTTTTAGTAGAGATGGGGTTTCACCGTGTTAGCCAGGATGGTCTCGATCTCCTGACCTTGTGATCTGCCCGCCTCGGACTCCCGAAGTGCTGGGATTACCCAGCCACTGCACCCGGCCCAAAGTAGGCAGGATTTTTAAAGTTGTTATTAACAGAATCATTGCTTTCTTCAAAAAAGTAGGGAGAAAAGCTAGAGTGGACACAGGTATTTTGCAGGTGAAAGATTAAAACTAGGAGAGTTCTCCTAGTCTAGCCTGTTTTCTCTATGAATTCAAAGGCATAGTCAAGTTCTAGGACTCAAGAGATAAGGATAAGCAAGGGAATTTGAGAAGAGTTCTGGGAACCTAACATAATAGTATATGGAAGAGACACTGTGAGTAAAAGCTTAAAAGATCTACAGGAAGATTTAAATACCTAACATAATAGTATATGGAAGAGACACTGCAAGTAAAAGCTTAAAAGATCTACAGGAAGACTTAAGTACCCAACTGAAACTAGAAACTATACATCTGCTCTCTCCGGTTCTCCCATAGGTATGTGATATCCTTTAGCAGTGCTCAGCAGCCTGGATGTAGTCAACAGAGACAACAAATAACCTATGTTGACAATTGGGCCTTAAAGTGCAGGGATAGAAGACATAGAGACAAAGCTGTTGAGGATATTGAAGAAAGAGGCTCTAAAATGAGCTTTCATGACTTTAAGATGAGATGCAGGAGAAAAGGAAGCCTGGATAGGAAAATAGAAAATTGAAGAATTAAGGTACTAAAAGTTATCATGAATTCAAAGCATAGATTTAGTGAGGGGAAAAAGTTGAATGTTGAAAAAGTTATATTCAGGCAGTAGAGTGTTACAGTTAACGATTGCATAATACAGCAATTATTTTATTTTGTACATTCATCTTTCTCTACTATGCCTAGCACTCAATAAATCTTTGTCAAATTAAACTCATTCTGACATAGAGATTTTAAAAATATATTTATAGAATCAAGAGATAAATCATATAGTGACTTAAGTTTTAAAATACTTTCCTCCTATAGGCAAAGCATAAAGGTTTTATATCCAAAGTAGTAAGCCACTCAAAAGAAATAGCCAGCACTAAGCCTTCAATTTCAAGATAAAACTCAGGATGTGATTCAAATACCGTGTTTTTGGGCAGCAAGATCTAATTTTAATTTTAGATGTGTCATCCTATTCATGAGATATTTTAAGTAAAGATTTCACTCCATGAAGAGACTCCCTATCAGAGCCTAAAACGAATGCAGGGAAACACAGCAAAGTATAAATGATCTTTATTTTATCTTTATTTATAGATATTGCTACAAGTGATTGCCAACATACACATCCATAGGTTTAGTTTCTTTAGCAGAGTAAAGTGACATTCCGGAAAGTAATCTACTTCTCTGTGGAATAAATAAAAAAAATGCCCATCACTTGTAACGATATCTACTGTTTTCATTTTAGACAAAATAAAGGTCTGTAGAGATCACTTAATCCAAGCACTTTATTACACTACATAAAGAGCAAGTCCTGAGAAAAGGTTAACTGACTTGTTCCTAAGATTACGTACATAGGAAGTAAGCAGCTACACCATAATAACCAGGACCAATATGCTGTTAACCAGGATCTCTCTTCCACTACAGTGAAAATCACTGAAAGAGTAACACAGGGCCAGGCACGGTGGCTCACACCTGTAATCCCAACACTTTGGGAGGCTGAGTCGGGTGGGTCACAGGGTCAAGAGATCGAGACCGTCCTGGCCAACATGGTGAAACCCCGTCTGTACTAAAAATACAAAAATTAGCTGGGCATGGTGGCGGGGGCCTGTAGTCCCAGCTACTCAGGAGGCTGAGGCAGGAGAATTGCTTGAAGGTAGAAAGGCTGAGGTTGCAGTGAGCTGAGATCATGCCACTGCACTCTAGCCTGGTGACAGAGTGAGACTCCATCTCAAAAAAAAAAAAAAAAGAGAAAGAAAGAAAAAAAGGGTAACACAGACATACCTCATTTTATTGCATTTTGCTTTATTGTACCTCACAGCTATTGCTTTTGCTTTTGTTGTTGTTGTTGTTGTTAACAAATTTAAGGTTTGCAGCAACTCTGTATCAAAAAAGTTTGTTAGCAACATTTTTTCAACATCATGTAATCACTTAATTTCTTTGCATCTCCTTTTGGCAATTATTGTAATTTTCCAATTGCCTCATTATTATTTTATCTGTTATGGTGATATGTTTTCAGTAATTTTTGATGTTTCTGTTGCAATTGGTTTGCGGTGTCATGAACTTTGCTCACATAAGACCTCAAACTTAATTGATGAATGTTTTGTGTGTTCTGACTGCTTCACTGATTGGCCATCCCCAGTCTTTCTCCCTCTCGTTGGGCCTCTATAATCTTAGGGATGCAAAAATATTGAAATTAGGCACATTAATAACCCTACAATGGCCTGTAAGTGTTCAAGTGAAAGGAACAGTCACATATCTCTCACTTTAAATCAAAAGCTAGAAATGATTAATCTTTCTGAGGAAGGCATATCAAAAGCTGAAATAAGCCAAAAGCTAGACTTTTTGCACCAGCTAGCCAAGTTATGAATGCAAAAGAAGAGTTCTTTAAGGATATAAAAAATGCTATTCCAGTGAAACAGGCTTATCACTGATATGAAGAAAGTGTGAGTCGTCCATACAGAAAATCAAACTAGCTACAACATTTCCTTAGGCTAAAGCCTAATCCAAAGCAAGGCCCTAACTCTCTTTAATTCCATGAAGGCTGAGAGAGGTGAGGAAGCTGCAGGGAAAAGTTTGAAAGTAGCAGAGGTTAGTTTACGAGGGTTAAGGAAAGAAGATATCAACATAACATAAAAGTGCAAGTTGAAGCAGCAGGTGCTGATGTAGAAGCTGCAGGAAGTTATCTGGAAGATCTAGCTAAGATCATTGATGAAGGTGGCTACACTAAACAGATTTTCAATGGAGATGAAACAGCTTTATTTTCTTTATATTGAAAAAAGTTGCCATCTTGTACTTTCATAGCTAGACAGAAGTCAATGCCTGGCTTCAAAGCTTCAAAGGACAAGCTGAGTCTCCTGTCATGGGCTAATGCAGCTAGTGACTTTAAGTTTAAGATATTGCTCGTATACTATTGTGAAAAATCCTACGGCTCTTAGGAATGATGTCAAATCTACTTGGCCTATGCTCTATAAATGGAAGAACAAAGTCTGGATGCCAGCACATCTGTTTAAAGCATGGCTTACTGACATTTTAAGCCCACTGTGGAGATCTAGTATGCAGAAAAATACATTCCTTTCAAAATATTACTCTTCATTGACAATGCATCGGGTCACCCAAGAGCTCTGATGAGATGTACAAGGAGATTAATGTTTTTGTTCCTGCTAGAAAAACATCCATTCTGCAACCCATGGATCAATAAGTAATTTTGACTTTCAATTCTTATTATTTCAGAAATACATATTATAAGGCTATAAGTACCACAGATAGTGATTCCTCTGTTGGATCTGAACAAAGTAAATTGAAAACCTTCTGGAAAGGATTTACCATTATAAACGCCATTACGAATATTTGTGATTCATGTTAGGAGGTGAAAATATCAACATTAACAGGAGCTTGCAAGAAGTAGATTCCAAACTTTGTGGATGACTTTGATGGGTTCAAGACTTCGTTAGAGAAAGTAACTGCAGCTGGGGTAGAAATAGCAAGAGAAGTAGAATTAGAAGTGGAGCCTGAAGATGTGGCTGAATTGCTGAAATCTCATGATAAAAATTGAATGTATAAGAACTTGCTTCTTAGGGATGAGGAAACAAAGTGGTTTCTTGAGATGGAATCTCTTAATGGAGAGATGCTATGAACATTGTCCAAGTGACAACTAGGGATTTAGAATATTACATAAACTTAGTTGATAAAGCAATGGCAGGTTTTCAGAGAACTGACTCCAATTTTGAAAGAAGAAACTCATATTCTAGAGAAATCCTTTGTGAAAGGAAGAGTTCATCAGTGCAGCAAATTTTATTGTTGTGTTATTTTAAGAGGTTGACACAGGCACTCCAAACTTCAGCAACCAACACTCTGAACAGTCACCAGCCATGAACATTGAAGTGGGACCCCACACTTACAGAAAGATTAGGAGTCACTGAAGGCTCATGTGATTGTTAGTATTTTTATTAATAAAATATTTTTAATTAAGGTTTATACGTTGTTTAGACAAAATTTTATTGCACGCAACAAACTACAGTATAGTGTAACCATAACTCTTATATGTACTGGAAACCAAAAAAAAAATCATGTGACTTGCTTTATTGTGATACTCACTTTATTGCTGTGTTTTGGATCCAGATTCACAGTATCTCCAAGGTATGCCTGCATTAAAGAAGCACTTTAGCTTATTTATGTACATATGCATATCAGAGAAATTGAGTGAATTGGCCATGATTTCAATAGAAGCAATTGCTTTCCATCTATGCTTTATAAGAGTACTGTGGCCTGTAAATCTTTCTCATGCATTCTCTTTTTTTGTTGCAAATAAGCAACACAAAGATTGAAATAGGTGATTGTATACACAGAGAGAGAGAGAGAGAGAGAGAAGACAGACAAAGACAGGAAGAAGGTATATGAAATGTATTATTCACAAACGGAACTTTTTCTCCCTGGACAGTTAGAAACAGACTATATTTGCCTATCTTTTTTTTTTTTAAATCTCTGATGTGTTTGACTAAAATGATAATTAGCTACATTTTCCATTTTGGTTGAGACATATTGTATATCATGTGTAGTGTAGTCCTGGTCTCAAGAGGGAAATGGATAATCAGGAGAATATTTTTCAATGTCTCTTCTCTGTAAAGATTTACTGAGTTGTCTCTAATGTATACTGACAGCTTCTGCATTAAAATTAGAGGAAAGTAGACATCGATATTGTCAAGCTGAAAAAAACCCTTTCCTTTCATTTTCATTCCACTAAAATAAATCAGGTCCATATCTTTTAATATTTTATGAGAATTGTTCATTTCTGAAGGTCAAGAGCAAAAGGACTTTTCAAAGTTTAAAAACGATTCAAAAAAGGTGGCAGCTAATTGATAGTCTCCAGACACCAACAATGGTCTGGACTAGAAGCTTAAAAGCCATATTAATTTCCTTGCTCAAGTTGCTTGTGTTACTGAACTTCAGGGTATCTTGTGTTAGAGTTTTTTGTTTGCAAACAAAGGAAACCCATTCTAGCTAACTATAAAATAAATTTATTTGAAGGCTATCCGAGAGTTATCAAATGGATAGGGTTAAGGAGAGCCAGGATTAGAATCAGAGCAAGAACCAAGACTAGAACTGCTTTTCTGAAAGAGAAAACTGCTGGAGTAAATGAGCTTCCACTATTGCTTCCATTCTGTTTCATTCCTGTCAAGATTTATGGTTCTAAAAGAGGAAACTGTTTGGCTGAGCCTAGGTTTTACATGCACCCCACAATAGTACCTGTGTATAGAGATGTGGGGATCCCTTCAGCTTCCCTAAGTCAAAAAGAAGTATGATGTGATTTACTCCACCATCCAGACCACACAGAATGGGAGAGATCATTTTTTAAAAGAAAATCAAGGTACTGGTAAGAAATGGAAATTGATGCTGGCCAGTTAAAATATAGAAATTGTCTACTTCACGCCAAAACGCTTAGCGTTAATTGTGAGGAAACCAAGACAAGTAATTCTAAGTGTCATGTTTTCATACAAATATTCCTGTTAACATATAAGAAGCTATAATCATTATTAAAATGTTCAAAAATCTAGACAAGAGAATGTATATTGAAAATCTGGGACAAGTTTCCCCCTAAAGTGATAGTGTTTATGAATAGGGTTTGCTTACCAGCAGTAGTCTAAGTACCTATGGTGACCAACTATTTGTTTTTGCTTTCTAGATCAAGCTCTATATTTTATAAAGGTCTGGTGACTCACCATCAGTCTGATGTTGAGGTCGTCAGTCATGCCTCAAGAATGAAAAAGAACCCTCTACAGAAATGACTGAGCACATACTTTCAACTAGCATTTGTGTCCTGAAAATCATTCCTGATGGTATGAACACATGAAAGACATTTGCATTCAGTAGTTTCAGTCTGACAACCATAAACATTAAACCCGAATAACATGTAACGTTGCAAAGCTTCTCTCATATCTGCATTCATAAAGCATTATCTGTCTTGAACAAATATAAACCATAAGCAGCAGATTCAAATAGCTTCAATTTAATGTGATGACTAATAAAATAATGCTTACACTGATCAAAACTCTAAATTCCACCTCAGTGGTTCTGAAAATTTTCTATTTCCCGAAATAATAATTATCTTAATATAAATAAATCTTATATAATATGTATTTTTTATGTGCATTGTATGTTGTTCAACAAATATATTCTTGGATTATACAATGAAATCAATAAACAAGTTTGAATAATTTCAAAAAAATTAAATAACCATATTTATGGACAGAGGTGATATTTTAGTACAATTTTTAAAGGATGTTATATAAAATTTTGAGACATATATCTTCAAAAAGTAACTGAAAAACCCTTTAGTCCAAACTTTTTCATGAGATTATCAATGCTCTAAAAGTGCATATTGTATAATTAAAATCAAAGACAAGTCAATACAGAACAGAGGATTGGGTTTGGCCAATTTCCAGCATGCTTCTTAATATGTGTGATATCTGCTTCCAAAAAAAATATATGGAAGCTGATATGCTATCTACTTCTGCATTCATCTTCAGGGTCAAAAAAATGTCATCTTGAACATTAACTCTTGCCCTTTTTTTAGCTAGAGCTGCCAATTTTCAAGCTGCTCATGGAAAATGTACTGCTGTATTGGGTCTCAAATACCTTTATTCACTCTTTCTTTCTTCCTTCCTCAGTATTACCATAGATCTTTACTGAGAGCAAAGGTGCAGCTCAGGACTACAATATATCTAATAGTTTCCTTAAAAAATTCCTGGCCAGCTGTGGTGGCTCACGCCTGTAATCCCAGCACTTTGGGAGGCCGAGGTGGGTGGATCACAAGGTCAGGAGATCGAGACCATCCTGGCTAACACAGTAAAACCCTGTCTCTAGTAAAAAATACAGAAAATTAGCCAGGCATGGTGGCGGGCACCTGTAGTCCCAGCTACTTGGGAGGCTGAGGCAGGAGAATGGCGTGAACTCGGGAGGCAGAGCTTGCAGTGAGCCAAGATCGTGCCACTGCACTCCAGCCTGGGCAACAGAGCGAGACTCCGTCTCAAAAAAAAAAAATTCCTAACGAATTTTTTTTTTACAAATTGAGATGTCAGGGGGGAAGAGAGGTTTTCATAAAGTATTATCTTAAAAACATGCATTTTTTATAGAGCAAACCATATGATTGTTCTATCTTGTTGAACAAGATAGATGCACACTCACGCACACACACACACAGAATGATAAACTTTTAGCAATAGACAGAATTGTACACATCAAAGAGTCTATTCTTTTTCCTAAATGCAGTGGAATTATTTTAGGTAGAGGAATGTTACCTTTTTAATAGGTGTATAGTATTTATGTTTCAGAAAAAAGTATACAACTTGAATATCAAAATCCCGAGTTTCCAGATATTTTCATTAAGAAGAAGCTAAAAGATTGTTGATGTTGTCATTGTTGTTTGGTTTGGTTTTGGTTTTTCAAAATGTTATTTTAGGATGTTAACAATTGTTAAATACAGGTGAATTCATATATGTATTCATTATATGACTTTTGAAACTTTTCTATATACTTGAAAACTGTTAAAATCTTACTCATTCCATGCCTGTGTATTTTTGCACACATCGAACCTCCCCACCTGCTTTGCCCATCTAATTCCAGTTACCGTTTAAGCTAACTATCATTTCCTCAGCCTGACAATTCACCCACACAGAACCAGGCACCCTCCTATTCATAATCATACTACGTATTGCACCCTGCAATAATATTTGTTTCATTCCTTTGTAATTATTTGTTATCAAGGCCCGTTACACTACCAGGGGTACTCAGCTGCATATGTGCAACAGAAGCACATAGAGAAAAATTTTGAGATACGGAATTCCTCACTCAGACTTGGTGAGGGATAAAAATCTGTATTTTTTACAGTCCCCAGGTTGAGTCCAATGCTTGTCTACAGTAAAGAATAACTGCACTGAACCATGAATTTCTCAATATCAAGGGATTTCACTTACTTGTTTACTTAAAACTTGTTGTTAGTCCAAATATAGTACAAGGTAGGTACAGAACAATGCTTAAGAAAGCATATAATATGTAGTAAATATCAATCAATATGATGATGAAGACAGGAATATATGAAGAAGTACAGAATGAGTTGGAAGCAGTGGACAGGCTTCCATTAACAATGCATGAAGGCTTGCATTGACCTAATCTTTAAGTAAGGCTTGGCTGAAGAGACAAGAGTATTGTGGAAAATCATCGGTTCTAGAAGCACAAGTTGCTTCATGCAGTCAGGCATAAATCTATAATAATAAAGAGTAAATACTTCCTGCTATAGGGATTAGAGCTCACAGTTAAGTCATTCCTCTAACAGCAAAAGATTATGATGCTCCAAAGTAACTGTAAACTTTCTATTAATAAAGAACTAAGTTGCATTTAAATATTTTCAGGTGGTTGTGAAAATATTTCTATGAGATTTTAAAAAATGGACCTTTGTATTTTGTCATCTCTTTTTTTATGGAGTCTTATGTCTCTTTCCTCTGTAAAACTACATTAATTCTTCTTTAACATAGTTTCTTCAAATTGAGTGTTCTGAATGATATAAAGAAACTCTTTATTCCACATAATTCAGATAATTACAACAGACATGCAGGAAGTATTCGGTTTATTGAGTAATGAGTCACTATTTGAACTAAAATATAAGAAAAGTATCCTTGCCCCAGAGACAGCCATTGGGGATGAGTGAGGTATGAGTAAGTGCCTCAGCATCATTGCTTTCTATGATCCTTCTCCCTTCCTTTTACCTCTCCGTATTCATACATAAGCCATTCCTTCTCTCCTAATAGTCTCTTAATTTTGTGAAAAAGAAATCATCAGATTTCAGACGGTAATAGAAACTGAAGTGTTCAGAGACAATCTCAATATGTAACACTAATAACATATTAATTCAGTAGTAAAAAGGGAGAGCACTGTAAAAACATGGACATTGTTGTAATTATCTCTGTATCCCCATTTCCTAGAACAACACCTGGTAGATGATAGGAACATGGCAAATATTTGTTGAAAACAAAATCAATGAATTAATATTATTAGATCCACTCTTCCATAGAGTAAAGTAATGCAGATGTAAGTTGGTCTTCCTGTGTTATAAAATATATTACTTCTCAAAAGCACTTAAGAGAATCCAGAGTAGTGTATCTTCAAGTTCAAAAAGCTGCAATCGACCACAGAAGTAAAACTTGGGACTATCAGTCAATTCTCCTGCTTGCCCTCTAAAGCCTGAGTTACAATGCCCTTGAAAATAATCCATAGTAGAGTGAAAGAGGATTCAGAGGGATATGAAGTTTCTATTCAGTAAGCCAACAATAGTTATGGCACCAAAGAAAATTATAAGACCATCCAGAAATGAAAATTGTGTATTTTATAAGGTAAAAAAGCATTATCTTCTACCGTTGATATGTTTATAAAATGTGAGACAAAGTTTCCTATTATCAAATATCCAGAAACCTGAAAATGTATTTCCCAAATTATCCATAACTTAGGGGAAAAAAATCTCATGACAGATATCACAGGACCTCTGATCCAGTGTCTTTTTCTATTTTTGCTGGGTACAAGATCATTTACAGAGAAATACACCTTGACTAGCATGTCATACAGAGGTCTTGATGCCTTTAATGTTGCTATTAATAGCTAGGAAAATTCAGAGCCTCCTACTTATTCTCTCTCATTGTTTGCACCTGATGTCAACTTACTCAGAATGATTTGTTTAAAATATGTAATTCAGTAGGCACCTCAAGAAATAATCTGGAATGTATAAACCTGGCCTGCCTAATTTCAAGTGAAATACAAGAGAGAAATGCATATTAATGTAAAATGACTATAAATCAAAAGCGATTTCATTTTCTAAGGTAGTGTAAAAGCCAAACCTGTTTGAAACCATAATTCAGCTGTCATAATCTCTTAGATATACCACTGACCTTCCTTGGAAGTTTCTGCCGCATAGAAGTGAATGGATCAGGAGGAGCAAGTTTAAATCACACGGCAGTACTGTGAGCCAGGTACTTGAAGGTAATTTAGCTCACATGAGCAAAGCCTTAACCTCAAGGCACACTTTCCTAAATACAGGTTCCTTGTGCTATACATGTACACATATTGACCTTAAAAGCATGCACTGTATAGACTATACAAAGAGATTCATTGTGTATTTCGTGTCTGTGCTTACAGATTTTTTAATCAATATTGAACTTGATGCTCCAATGTTTCCAAGGAACAGCTGAAAGATTTTGTGTTGTAATTCCTGAAGTCACATTGTCTGATTAACTTAAGAATGTATACTTTATCTTGGTGTTTTACATTTATTATTAATAAATAGCAGTAGCTGACATGATTGCTTGGCTGCTTACCTCTCAAAAATGAATTATTCTATTAAAATTGTGACTTGCAGTGTTAAGCCTGAGGTAGGAAATGGGCTTGAATCTGAAATTGTGTTATCCACAAAGCTTATGGTGCTAGGGATCAAAACAATTCTTTTAGAAGGAGGGTCAGAGGAAAATCTGCTTTTGCAATTTAGTGGGACTTTTAAACTAGAGGAAATAGGTGAAGCTCATTCAACTCTATGTGCAATTGTTACTGAATTTTCAGTGAAGAGTTAGTGTTGTTTCTATAGATGATAATTATTTCATCATTATCCTAAAAGGCAAAGATTAAATTGTTACTTTAAAAACTGTTAAAGTAAGTCAGACTGTCTTATAATTGTGCATGAAGGAAGAGGGTAAGTTGTGGGACACAGAGACCCCTGCTCAGAGCTTCAAACAACTATCTGGGAACTGTATTACGAATGGGTGGGTCTATATTCTACCTTCAAGCATTTCTCTTAATGAATATCTGCTCATCTCTAACCGTTTGTATAGTGATAATGAGAAAAAAAACATTTTACAATTGAGGAATACAGCTCAGTAATTGATTCTTTAAAGAACGTACTCTATCCACAAGGAAGAAACATTTTGAGAATCATTTCTACCATCTACCACAAAGACTGAGAATATGAAGTCCTTGGCTGTATTTCAAACTCTACCAGTAATTTTCTGGGTGAATTACTCTGCAGCTCAATTTTTTTGCTTAAAAGACTTCCAATTTAGGTAATAAAAAGCTAAAAGTGAACAACCTGCATACAGCAAACTCTGAGTTTCTTTTAAAAGATATATTAAAACATTATTTCAAATGATTTTTGTAAATAATAAATGAATGATCAATATTTCTTAAATTTTATTTATGCGGACAACACGTTGGGATATATGACAAATACTATATTTTAAAATAACATGTAGTTCCTCACTTCACAAATGTTACAATTTATATGGAAATGCCAAGTTTTCAATAGTTTCCTTCATATTTTCAGAGTCATTTATAGATTGACCATGAACAATTTTATAATAACCTTATAGCCACCCCTCACACTGGATGAACAGAAGCCTACCAGAAGGGGCTGGGTCACTTTTAAGGCATCTGGTATAACTTCACGTAGTTTCTTGAGAAATACAATACAAGACAGATAATATGGTTTGACTGTGTCCCCACCCAAATCTCACCTTGATTTGTAGCTCCTACAATCCCCATGTGTCATGAGAGAGATCCAGTGGGAGGTAATTGAATCATAAAGGCGGGGTTTTCCTGTGCTGTTCTCATGATAGTTAATAAGTCTCATGAGATCTCACGGTTTTATAAAAGGCAGTTTCCCAGCACACACCCTCTTCTCTGCCACCATGTAAGACTGTAAGATGATCCTTTGCTGCTTCTTTGCCTTCCGCCATGATTGTGAGGCCTCCCTAGCCATGTGGAACTGTGATTCCTTTAAACCTCTTTTTCTTTATAAATTACTCAGTCTCAGGTACTTCTTCACAGTAGTATGAAAATGGACTAATACAACAGATAGTTCCCTTTTTCACATCCCCAACTCCCCAGCTCTTTTAAGCTCTTACATAGAAATAAGATTAACTAAGGGCTATAAGAAAACTATTGCTTTAGTTGTCTTATAAAATCTGGAATTATTTCTTCCCATCACTGAAGTTAGTCAATTTAGTATCTCCCACTTCATGACTCTGTTCAGAATCTCCTAAAACCACTGCGGCCCACCCTGCTGCCTGGAATAAAAATTATGCACACGTGATTCCCAGCCCCCACCACTTCTTCAGACACATGCCTTGTTTCCAGTCACATTTCTAAGCATCATGCTCAGTTCTTCCACATGTAGGACTCTTCTCAAACTTACTCTAAAGAAAAAAAAAAAAAAGCCATGCCCAAAACAACTACTCCAGGAAGCTGCCACCAAACTCTACCTTACAGGACTCATTTACAAAATTTGTTTCTGCCTCTGACTGATGAGTAGATTTATTGGATTATCTGTTATCAAAATCAGTGGCAAATTAGTGGCCAGCTCTACCTCAAAATAAAAAAGGAAAGAAATTTTTTTTTCTGAAGTTCCAAACTCTTTCTCCTGAGAAAATATCATTTAGGTTTGGGTCATTTCCAAAATATAAAGAAGAATAGTGAGAAAGAAAGAAAATGGGAGGTGTTTGGAAAAGCTCTTGGTGAGTACAAATTTTTTCAGGGGCATTGATGTAATACAGAAATGAGTATAAGATAAGGATGTTTTCCTTTTAGCAAGTTCTTAATTAGTAATCAGCAAAGTCCTTGAAGTACCTAAAGAACCAAAACATGATATATAAGATGATATATATCAGATGAAATAAAGAAGGAACTACATTCCTTAAAGAAGAAGCAACATTCCTGATGAGAAAGATATTCAGAGAGTGAAATGTAGGGAAAGTGACTACAAAGATAATTTTTCCATTGACTCACTGATGAAAAAGGGAGATTTCTATTAGAAACAAAAGTAGCTACAAAGAATACTGGTAGGATATTTTATATAACCAAGAGCTGAATTACAAAATGAATATCTCATTCACTCTCATTGTTTCAAAGTTTGCCTGTATTTTGAGGACCCCCTGTGAAGCTCTATTTCTATACCAGAGATATCATCTGAACTCCATATCCACATCTCTAGTATATATTGGACACCTATTATGAAATGTCTGAAGGCAACTCATACTCAGCAAATCTAAGCACTGAACTGATGCATTTTACTATTGACCCATTAGAGCTTATTTAGTGAATTTATCAGTTACCCTATCATTTATGAAATATTTATTCAGTAGCTCACTATGTGCTTGGCATTCTTCTAGGAGTTGGGGAGGCAACAGAAAACAAAATTTGCACAAGTATCTTCCCACTGGAGTTCATATTCTAGTGAGGTTACACAAACTAGAAAAAGATACAGAAGATATGGTTAAGTTCTTAAAACAAATAGCTGGATGCAGTGGCTCATGCCTGTAATATCAGCATTTTGGGAGGCCAAGTTGGGCAGATAGTTTGAGCCCAGGAATTCAAGACCAGCCTGGGCAACATGGTGAAACCCCGTCCCTACAAAAAATACAAAAATTATGCAGGTATGGTGGTACACACCTGTAGTCCCAGTTATTTGGGAGGCTGAGGTGAGAGGACCACTTGAGCTTAGGAAGTTGAGGCTGCAGTGAACCAAGATCACATCACTGCACTCCAGCCAGGGAGACAGAGTGAAACCCCATTTCAAAAAAATAGATAAATAAATAAATAGAAAAATAGAGACTATGTCTCAAAAATAAAATAAAAATAGAGCAGAAAATGGGAAGTGGTTGAAACTTTAGATGGGAGAGCTTCTGCACAGAATTTGGACCCCCTCTTGTTTTTTGTTTTTGTTTTGTTTTGTTTTGATTTTTTTGTCTCAGAGATTATACCAACACACACTTAACTGCCAATCCAAAGACAAAGGTTAATTTTTGATGTTGAAATTGTTCTATATTCATAATAACTCTTCAATTCATTCAGTTATTTCCTTCCCACTGCTATGACATTAAGTCAACCTCACATAATCTCTTGCTAAAATAATTACAACAGACCTCCAACAGGTTACCCTAATTCCAATCTTGCACAGCTTGAATCTGTGTTTCATACCGCAGCCAGAGATCTTACTAAAGCGTAATCTTTAGGACTGCTCAGTTTTGCATGAATGAAATCCAAATGAGCTATATTCCTCTCGAGCCTCTTCTGCATCACCATCACTCTCTACTTCACCCTGTACTCTCAAGCCACGTATTGAGCTACTGACAGTCCCCTACCTCATCATCTTTTCCTTGTCCCTACATATGCTATTTCCTTTCTATGGAATGCCTTTTATTCTCTCTCTCCCTCTCTTCTTCTCTTTTACCTTTCCTCCCTCTTTTATTTTCAACTGGATAGATTCTACCAATATTTCAGTTTAGACATCACCTTTTGCAGAAAATCATCCCTGAGACCCACTGGAACAGAATCCTGGGGCTTATTACAGCATGCCCTGCATACCCATATCAGAAATCTTACAACATTGTATTGAAAACACAATCTCTTATGTGATAGGATAACACTTTATAATATTAAATATATGTTTTATCCATCCTTTTATTCAAGCAGGTCATTGGTCCTGTAAATGTTGCTTTAGGGAGAGATGCACGAGGGTAGAAAGGAAAAATTGTCCATGAATTCCCCAGCTTCCAGAGGGTGGAGAGGATTTTTACATGTAGGCAAATGACTAGGTTGAAACATGAAGGCAAATGGATTTCCCTACAATTAGAAATAAACCATCAGTTATGGGGACAAGGAAGTAGTTGAGAACAGAGGTCTGTGGGATCAAGATGAAAGAGAAAATGGGCTTGACTCCCACAGCAGTCTGTGGGGAATGACTGTCATGGATCTCCGCACATGGGTCCATAGGCAGTTTCCAAAGATTTTCTAATCCCCAATGTGGCCATGTGAAAAGGAGAATGCCCCTGGACCTGAAGCAGCCATGTGGATCAGGGTGGTGGGTGACCCTATGGTATTCTGGAGCAGTGGGGACTAAGGACTTTATGCCTTGGCACTGCATGAGATTCTAGATTTTTTGGTACAACTGAGATGGAAACATCTACAATTACCAAAGGTAATTGTGGAAGACATGCCTAGCTGCTTACTCAATATCTATCCACTCCTCCACCTTATTAACAAGAATGGATTTTCTTCAGGGTGGCAATCTGCCTGCAAATAGCCTATGATTTACAGCCTTCCTCATAGCTGGACAATGAGATGTAAGCACATGTCCTTGGAGAAACTTTCTGGAAAGCTTTTGAAAATGCAGCCAACTCAGCTGACATGCAGATTTTGCCCTTTGCTTTTCCTCAATTTCCTGCCTGTGCGTTAATTGGTGACATTGAAGACTGTCTTTGCCACTGTGTTATCCCCAGCAAAGTACATGCTGCAAAGGGATCATTTAAAAACTATTATTCAATAAATGCATGAGACCATTTCTCTCCATATATGTAAGTTATTATTATTTTTGAGCATCAAGTTTCCCAAAGCACCTAAAAGAACAGCATTTGTGTCACATGTTCCTTAAGCATAAGGACATAACTATTACCTATATTAGCAACATTTTTATAAAGCGTGATGTCATTTTTTGTAATTAACTCTAAAACATCAAAAATAAGTGACAATTTTGAAAAACTACTTTGAATCACTCATTATTCTATCAGTATAAAGACTTTCCCTTTACTGTCAGTGTAAACAGCCCCTAAAATTTTCTGATCATGCTGACTTTTCTATGAATAAAAATGTATAAGCCAGGGCAGGATAGTTTATGCAAAGATAATACACAGGCTTCAAATCTCAGGGATTTGCCCCTATGAACATCCTTTTTTTTCTTGCTCACGCTGGGTCTACTGCCAGTGTATGTGATTCTCCAGAGCAGCTCTCCTCCCAGGGTTGGCTTAGCATTCTAGGTTGCTTTCATCCTTGGCATCTTTATGTCAACAACATGCCTCCAGGACCACAACTCGGAGAAAAAAAGAGTGCCACAACTCGGAGAAAACAGAGTGCTTAACGATCTCACATTAGACATCAGATGTTCTGAGATGACAGTGATGCATGTCACTGCCACCTACAATACATTGCTACAACTACGGCTGCTTAATTATAGGAATGTGAGGAAATATATTCCTTCCATGCTCCCAGAAGAAGAGAAATGGACATGATGATCATCTCCAGTCTAAACTGCATAAGCAATTTTTAGAAGAATGTGCTCATATTCCTTAAGAAAAAGGTTCTCAAACTTTTTGGTTTCAGGGTCTCTTTATACCATTAAAATGTATTAATGGTCTTAAGAACTTTTGTTGATGTTGTCTATTAATATATACCATATTTAAAATTTAAAACTGAGAATTAAAAACATATACTTATTAACTTGTCATACAAGAATAATAAGCCTATCATGTGTTAATGTAAAAAATAACATGTCTTTTTAAATATAAAATAATTATCTTTTGAAAATGAACAACAACAAATAGAGAAGTGGTATTGTTTATACTTTTGGAAGTATCTTTAGTATGTTTAGTAAACAGAAGATAGCTACAGTCACATATCTACTTCTGAATTCAATCTGTTATGATACCACACTTTATGTAGCCTCTAGAAAAAAACGTCTCTGTGTAGTTTTGAAAAAATGACATGATAAATGCAAATAACATCTTTGTATTATTATGAAGATTATGTTGACCTCATTGAACTCTGAAAGGGTCTCTGGGGACTCCAGTGATCCCGCACCAGGCTTTGAGAGACAATGCCTGAAGGTAGTTAATGTAATTGCTCAATGGCACTGCCAAATGAACAAAAGTAAAAGGCTTGCCACCTGTAATTTCTTCTATTTTTCTTTACTTTTGTTCTGAAAACTTTTATTAGGTGAACTCATTGTGCTTTGATTGAAAGTATTCAGTTCCTCAATCAAGGGATAAACTTGCCTGCTGGTTTTTCCAGAAACGATCTGTGAAGAATGTCTCTATTATCTTAAATAATAGTATTGTTTTCTCCTTCTGGTGTGCCATTTCAACTTTCTTAGTGAATCCATCTGTCATTTTCTGATCAGCAGCTGAATAGGCGCATTTGCTTTCATGTCCTCTTTAATCCACTTTCTCTATCTGTCAAGACCCTAAATCTCATAAGGGTTGTTATCCCTAGCACACTCTTTCCTCCTACCTGTGGAGTTTAATATCTTACCCTTTTTTGGATAGCCCTCTGGCTTAAATCCTTTTATCAATAAGACTCATGGATTCACCAAAATGGCATAAAGACACTGCTTCTCATCTTCTTTCTAATTAAAATATTCAAATCAGCAAATAGTTACTGAATGACTACCAAATACAAAAAAAAAAAAAATCCTAGTACGTACAAAACATTCTGCAGTTATTTAAATAAATTCAGTTTAAATTATGGGCTCTCAGCAGTGATTTAAAAGTTACCAAAACAAATAATATATTGGAATAGAAAATAAGATATAAAAAGTCAGAGGATGAAAATAAAAATGTTTTGAGATTTCTTTCACACTTTACATGAAAACAAAGCTAACATAGTTTTCTATCAATCCAAAAATATGAATATATTATGTATCATTGCAAGGACAGAGATGAACACCATGGATTTTAGTGGTATCAGTCTCTCAGAACCTACTCTCTCTAAGAATATAAGAATTGGGCTATGCATTTTCTTACTTCCAAAACTAATTTCTTTAAAAAGGTCATTTTCATAGTCTATTTATCAGTAAGTTCAGAATTAGAACATTTTATTTATTTACAAGAATAGTACAAGTGCAAGTGCCTAACAGGGATGATAAAAGTCCCAATACGGGGCAAGTAATACCCTCAATGGGGATTCAATTGAACTATTTGCCTTCCTCACACTGTATATAAACTCCTTGCCATGGATAATTTTAAAACATTTAAGTGCATAGAACCAGTGAGGAGCGAGAGTTGTCTGTTTGTTTGTTTAAGATATGGAAATGGGCAGCATTTACTGAGTGCCTATCATGTGCTAGACCTCATGTTAAGGTTTTGACCTTCATTCATCTTCATAATCACCCTGTGAAGTGCTGACCTCATGAGACAGACTAGGAAATGGGAGACACAAATAGGTAAGGACACCAACCTGACAGGAGCCCTACCTAATTCTGTCTGGATCCAAATGTGATAGCCCCTGATGTGGTTTGGTTCTGTGACCCCACCCAAATCTCATCCTGAATTGTAATCCCCACATGTCAAGGCGGGGACCTGGTGGGAGGTGATTGTATGATTGGGGCGGTTTCCCCCCTGTTGTTCTCATGATAGTGAGTTCTCACGAGATCTGATGGTTTAAAAGGGTGTGGCAGCTCTTGGTCTCTCTCCTGCCTCCATGTAAGACATGCCTTGTTTCCCCTTCTCCTGATTGTAAGTTTCCTGAGGCTTCTCCAGCCACGCAGTGTGAAAGAGAATCTCAAATTAAAACATTTTTATTTTTGTCCTCTGACATTTTATATCTTATTTTCTATTCCAATATATTGTTTGTTTTGGTAACTTTTAAATGTGAATCAACTAAACCTCTTTTGTTTATAAATTACCCGATCTCAGGTAGCATCTTTACAGCAGTGTGAGAACAGACTAATACAGCCTCCAAGGCGAAACACTTGTCAGGAGTCTTAGGTGCAAAACTGGGACCCATCTGTGAGTCAACCCTCAGTTGGGGAAAACTCCTACTCCACACTAATGTCCCAATGAAAGCCTCAACTTGGAGCATTCTGCTATCAGGGGAGGGGAGACTTTGCTGCTTAGAACCTTAAAAGACAAACAAACAAAAGTCCCCTATATTATTTAGTATGATCAGTTTGAGGGCTATGTAAAGGCTGTCAGCAGATTTCCTCAAGTTCCTTTGTCTCTTTTTAACCTCAGCTTCCCAATCTATGAAATAGAACAGAGTTCTCTGGTGTCTGGGAATTATTTCCTCAGTTGGCCAGGGAGTGGATCAGCTCTTCATTCCTTCCCTCCTTCTCATGAAAGAACCTCACAGGTGCCCTGGGGCTAAGCCCTCAGGACTAGTGGGACAAAGTAGGGTTCCTCTCCATCCAATGGCTAGCAGAGGGGCCTGCTGAGCCCCATGCCCCTGACCAGATGTCAGAGTACAGCTTCTCTCCCAGAGGGAAGAAACAGAGAACCCTCCAGAGTGGAGACACCAGGTGGGGACGTAAACGGGGCCCTGGAGATGAAGTCCCACTGGCAAGAGTAAATGAGACTCAAAGCTCTGGGTTGCTGGGCAACAGCTCCTTTCATCCCCTCTATATGGTCATTGGTTTTGGCAGCTTCATACCCACCTTGGGATCCCTGGGCCCCATTTTCTTCTCCTCCATGGTAGTTGAGGGCCACAGTCCACATGTCTTGGTCATGTCAGCCTGTAGCAGGGGGAAGGCATGCTGGCATGATGCCACTGAAGCTGTAGGTGAGAATGTCGCCCTGTGGATGCCCATGCCCTGCAGATGCCTACTCCAGCAGGAAGACCTCAAAGTATCCTTGTCTTGGTCCAGGATGAAGGGCCTCAGCATTCAGCAACTTCCCCTTCCACAGAAGCATCACTCTATCAAGGGGTCTGAGTTCCAGTGCTGGCTCTGCCACTCACTGGCTATGTGGTCTTGTGCAGTTCCTTGACTCTATGACATGCCATAATATTGATGTAATTATGAATATGATAAAGTATTCATAATAACATAACATTTGGGACACAGTATTGCTTAATACATGTTCATTTATTATTATTATTATGATTTCATATTTACTAGCTGTGCAACTTTATTAGTCAGCTAGGGCTGTCAAAAAAAATACCACAGACTGTGTGGCTTAAAAACAGAAATTAATTTTCTCACTGTTCTGGAAACTGGGAGTCTGAGACCATGGCGCCAGCATGGTCCAGTTCTGGGAAGGGCCTCTCACCCTGGTTTGCAGATAGCTGCTGTCTCATTTGTATCCTCCCATCGTGGAGAGACAGAGACGTTTCTCTTTCTCTCTTAGTCTATTTGTACTGCTACAACAAAATATCAAAGACCAGGTAATTTATAAACAATAGAAATTTATTTCTCATAATTCTGGAGGCTGAGAAGTCCAAGATCAAGTGTCTGGCAGGTTCAGTGTCTGGTGAGAGGCTACTGACTGCTTCCAAGATAGTGCCTTGTTGCTGCATCCTCCAGAGGGCAGGAACGCTGGGCACTCACATGGCAGAAGGGGCGAAAGATGTAAACTCAGTCCCTTAAGTCCTTTTAAAAGGTTATTAATCTCATTCATGAAGGCTCCACCCTCATAACTTCATTGCCTCTTAAAAGGCCACACTTCTTAATACTATCAAATTGGCTATTAAGTTTCAACAAATGAATTTGGGGGGACATTCAGATCATAGCACTTTTCTTTTCTTTCTTTTTTTTTCTGTTTTTTGTTTTTTTTTTTTGAAATGCAGTCTCGCTGTTGTCGCCCCGGCTGGAGTGTAATGGTGTGATCTCACCCCACTGCAACCTCTGTCTCCCGTGTTCAAGCAATTCTCCTGCCTCAGCCTCCAGAGTAGCTGAGATTACAGGCACCCACCATCACGCCTGGCTAATTTTTGTATTTTTAGTAGAGACGGGGTTTCACCATGTTGGCCAGGATGGTCTCGAACTCCTTACCTCAGGTGATCCACCCACCTCAGCCTCCCAAAGTGCTGGGATTATAGGCATGAGCCACCACGCCCAGCTGCACTTTTTTGATAATGTCACAATCCTATTGGATTAAGGCCCCACCCTTATGAACTCATTTAATTGTAATTACCTCCTAAAGACCCTGTCTCCAGATACAATCACATTGGAAGTTGAGGCTTTCACATATGAATTTTTGGGGAATACAATTTAGTCTATAGTGGCAACCTTCACTAAATAACTACTAAATAAACTGCTCTAAGCCTACTTGCATCATTTATAAAATTGAAACAATTGTACCCTTTCTCTTTAGAGGGATGTGAGAATTATTAATACATAGCAAGGTATTTGGCACACACAGAGTGCTCCATAAATGTTAGCTCATTTTACCTCGATCCCTACTTACTAGCTATTTATTTGACTTTCACTTGTTACTTCACTTCTCTGATCTTCAGTTTCCTAGAACTGTGAGTTCTCAACGAGATAATGCTTAGTGCACAGTAATGCCAGACACATTTGCTTATTAATATAATTATTGTTCCTGTTGTTATTAGCACTTCTTACTAGCTGTGTGACCATGGACAAGTTGTTTAACCTCTCTGAGACTCAGCTTCCTCATGGGGGAAGAATCACCCCTCTCCCAGCTTTGCTGTGAAAATAAAATGGCTGCACCAGTGCTCTGTTCTCAGCTTTGCCTCTTGACTATGTGACTTCAGGCAAGTTCCCTCCCCTCTTTGGACCTAGGACTCTTCAACAGCCCCATGGATCCCAGGATCTTGGTCTTATCAGCAGCTGTGGGAATGATGAAGAATAAGGAGAAAACACTTTCAGCCTGATGCCTGACTAGAAATGGTACTGACTAGTGAGGGCCTGAGCCTATGCCTGGGGGCAGAGATAGGCTCACTGCAGAGGAGGAACTTGCCTCTGTCTCCATAGAGCTTCAGCAGGCCTACATAATCGTCTTAGACCAACAGCCTCAGGGGATACTTTCCCAGAAGCATCACAAACTCCTGAATCAGAGTGGGGAAGGGGAGGGGTATGACTTCCTCCCCAAATGTGAAGGGCACCATTTGAGGTCAACTCCAGGGAGCAACCTCCACCCATCTAAGAAACCCAAAACCCTTTTTAAGACCTATATGACCTTGCCCTACTCTAAAAACCCTTCCACACCCTACTGGGAGATATCCAGAACCCTTGGGCTGCTGTGAAGGATGGGATATGGACTGCAATAACCTGAGGTCAAATTCCTACCCCTTCGTTGATTATTTCTGCACAGATCCAGTTTTTTGCCTTGGCTCTGCTATCAATTAATTATTTTTTAGACCTCATTTCCCCCAACCAAAAGAAGAATAATTTATCTTTCACATACATTGACCTTTCTCATTCTATGATTGGAGTCAGGGTCTGATTAACACATCCACCTATTATCTTATCTCTTGACATGTGTTCCTTTTTCACCATCTTTTCCACATAGCTGTGGAAACAATACAAATATTAATGATTACATTGTTGTTAATCATCATCTGAAATTCAGAACAAACTCTAGACCCATCTCATCACATAACTGTCTAAGATAAACAGTGAAAGTGAACAGCTATATGGAATCTCACCAAATAGCTGTTCACTTTTATGCCTTACCAAGTGGTATAAGTAAATTAAATAGTTCAAGAGTTACTAAAATATTTAAAATATTAATAATCATATAAAATATGCTTGAAACTTGAGAACATAAGGTTCTCTAACTGCTATCCCCAAACACCATTGCTTATTGAGAGACAGTTGCATATGATAAGGGAAATCTTGAATTTTGAAATGCATGAATGTTGAGCCTGTTCTCTCAAATTTTAGTTTTCACCCAAACTATTTCTCTTATTGAATCATTTAAAAATTCAGGGAAAGGTGAAACCCTGTCTCTACTAAAAATACAAAAAATTAGCTGGGCATGGTGACGGGCACCTGTAGTCCCAGCTACTCGGTAGGCTGAGGCAGGAGAATGGCGTGAACCCAGGAGGCAGAGCTTTCAGTGAGCTGAGATGGTGCCACTGCCCTCCAGCCTGGGCGACAGAGCGAGACTCTGTCTCAAAAAAAAAAAAAAAACAAAGCAGAGAAAGAAGACAATGTCCAACAACTGAAAACCTTAAATTCTACATCCAGGATTCAGTATGCATCCCTGAATCTTAGATATAGAATTTAAGGTTTTTTATTGTTGACACTGTCTTCAACAGTTCAGTTTGCAAGATAGTTCTCCAGGTGACCTTGATTGACCCAGCTCTCTCCTCTCTCTCACTTGTAGTTCTCAACAATAACCATAGAAAGGCCAGGCGCAGTGGCTCACACCTGTAATCCCAGCACTTTGCGAGGCAGAGGTGGGCAGATCATGAGGTCAGGAGATCAAGAGCATCCTAGCCAACATGGCAAAACCCTGTCTCTACTAAAAATATAAAAATTAGCTGAGCGTGGTGGCACATGCCTGTAATCCCAGCTACTCGGGAGGCTGAGGCAGGAAAATTGCTTGAACCAGGGAGCCGGAGCTTGCAGTGAGCCAAGATCACGCCACTGCACTCCAGCCTGGTGACAGAGTGAGACTCTGTCTCAAAACAAACAAACAAAAAAAACATAGAATGTGCTGGAAAGGCAGCATCCTGAAATAGGAAGATACTGTTCAGAAGAGCCCAGACACTATTTCAATCTCACCTAAAAACGGGATACCCTTCAACTCAGTAGTCCCTCATTTGTGATACAAGTGGGGCACTCACAGATGAGATCCATCTGCCCTAAGCCGCTTCCTCAGCCCTGGTGGACTGGCTGAAGATGAATCCTAGGCTTCTGTTGTTTCTGGCTGCCCATCTGTAAGTAATAAATCTGCTTCGTTTACCTTGTTGTGTCTGGGGGTGCTCTGTCTTACTGGACTTAGACAAGTTTAACCAGGGCACAGCAAACCTACTTTGCAGAGTTCACTACCCAAGAGTGTGAAAGAATCATTTTAATCATTACAGGTAAGACAAGGAAACATGCAAGAAATTAATCCAGTAATTCAGTGGATCACCATCTTTGGAGTCAGAGAAACCTAAATCTATCTCCCACTTCTATCATTTTTGGAGGTAAAATGCTAGGCAACTTATTCAACCTCTGTGGACATCAGTGTCCTTATCTGTATGGGGTCCTCATCTGAATGATTAAAATGACATAGTGCTTGTAATGTACCTGGCATATTTTAGGAATTCAAACTAATTGGCTAACATCTTTCTTTTGATTAAGTTATAAGATTGATATGGATTTGAGTTCTAATTTATATGAATAGGCAATTTTTAAAATATCCAAACTTTCTGGAGTATTCCCTTTGTCCTATTCACTTTCATGTGATTCACTTTGATCACTATAGAGAAACCTGCATCATTCAAATAAAGAGTAGTCTAAGAAGAGAATCAAAGGTCTCATTTTCACTTTGCTGACTGAAGGGTCTTGAAACATCCTTTTACCAAAATGTTTTACACAAGATTTAGAAACATGATTTTTAAAGGATTAAGCTAATACAAACTAAATATAATATTTAACCAGCTTTATAAAGTAAGTTCTTGAGAAAACTCTCAATTAAGTGTCTGTAATATTAAAATTAATATTAATAATAATAATACTTATGCCTATAATGTCACTTACTGCAGTCTCAATGAAATAGCTCTGTTTTATCAGCCTTAATTTCATGTTGGAGAAGCAAAGTGCACTACTAAAAATAATGCAAGACTGAAAGAAACGATTAGCATGCAAATGAGAATGCAGTGCCTTTTGAGTTCTTTTGAGAGGTAAAATGAATAAGCACTGACAGCTTTCATCTAAATGATTAAAAATGATTTCAGAGGAATTGAAGAAAAAGATACAATTGACAGTTTACTAAAACAGCTCAGATGGGCAAGAGTAGGTGTGTATAAGAATGGTGTGGTCAGGAGGAATATCTTTAAGTAGGTTGTTAAAATGTTAAAGGTGGTCTTTACAAGAGAAACAATCTCATATTTGAACTTAAAAGTGGAAAATAAATCCAAAGAAATGAACCTATCAAATAAATGATTCAAGAAACAAACCAAACTTCTTCAAATCTGTGAAGAAGGCTGCACATGAAGCACAACAAGAAGTTTTCCTTTAGAAAAATACAACAGATTTCAATGTTCCTTCATACATAATAACTCTACATAATAAATGCAATAATCAGTAGTCTTTTTACTCTACACATGCACACACAGTTACAATAAAATCCTCACTGTGATCATTTCCCATAGGAAATATTTCTTTTTCTTCTTTTTTTTTTTTTTTGAAACTGAGTCTTGTTCTGTCACCCCGGCTGGAGTGCAGTGGTGCCATCTCGGCTCACTGCAAGCCCCGCCTCCCGGGTTCACACCATTCTCCTGCCTCAACCTCCCGAGTAGCTGGGACTACAGGTGCCCGCCACCAAGCCTGGCCAATTTTTTTGTATTTTTTAGTAGAGATGGGGTTTCACCGTGTTAGCCAGGATGGTCTCGATCTCCTGACCTTGTGATCTGCCCACCTCGGCCTCCCAAAGTGCTGGGATTACAGGCGTGAGCCACCGCACCCAGCCGGAAATATTTCTTTAATCATTACTCCGACATGTCTCTAAGCCTACATTTATAGATATAGAAATTATTCTGATAACATCTCTACGTATTTGTATGCCATTTTCAAGCCATCCCATACATGTCTCCATATTTCCATATCCACTTATCTGGAAGTATAAATTATTTTGTTAATATCTATAGCTGGTAAATATTCCTATGTCATTTTCAGGTCTTAAATCTATTTTACAAATGAGACAATCCCATGAAAGCTTTTCTCAACTTATTGCATTTTGTCCATAAAGGTGGAACCTCCCAAGAAGAAGTCATTTGGGGACTGTTGACAAAGTGTGATTGTGCTCATTTTTTGACTTAAATCAAATCATTTCTGACACACTTCAAATCCTTAGGAGCCTATCTACAGCCAATTCAAACAAATAAACACTCAAGTAAGAAAAGTAGAATGAAGTCCTGCTGTCATATATTTTACTTAATAGTTGCTTTCCTGATGTATCCTAGAAGAGTGTTTGAAAGGACAGTATGTATTATTCTGTGATGTCAAAATGTCAATTCAAAATCCATCTGTTTTAGCAGAAAAATAATACTTTGTCATAAAGCTGAGCTAACAGCCAGTGTTCTACCTGGCACCCAGAGGAGACTGAGAAAATCCTCTATTGTCCTAGCACAATATTAGTTATTATTTATAAGGCCTTATGGAAAAAAAATAGTTGTCTGACATTCATATAGTTTTCTTAGGGGAAATATTCTGTTTTTCCAACAGTGTTTAAAGCATATTCAGGCAGCTAGAGGTATGGTTATTTACCTTGATATTGAATTATTTTTCTAAAGTTTGTCATTTTAGAGAAAAGATGCTAAATATTGATAAGGTTTAGCCGTTTCCACAGCTTCCACGCCAAGAAGCAACAGAAAACCAGGAATAAAATAAACATTTTCTTCCGCTGTGCAGCAAAATACATTTCATTCAAATCTAGTGTGAGCGCCCCCTCGAGGCTGCAGCGCATAGAATTTTGAGACTGGAAGCATATCAAAGGTAAGATTACCAAATTAGTACCAATTTAGTATAGTTACATAATCTTGTATAAGAGAATACAAGCTGAGACTCTCTTCTTTAGTAATATTTGTAGCTGTCTTTTTGGTCTTTCTCGCTTCATTTTGCAGGTATGGCAAACATCTTTTCAAAATATGTGGGTTTCTGACTAACAAAACATTTGGAGGCTAATTGGTCATCTGGTGCCTATCCATCTTTCAAAAACCACAAAACTTAATGAGCTTAAAAATTGCAAAAGGTCTAGCCTTAACATTTTATCTGAGATGTGATAAAAGTGCGACTGATGATTTTTTTTTCTTTATTTCTTCTAAAATAAATGGGATACATGTGCAGAACGTGCAGATTTGTTACATAGTTATACATGTGACATGATGGTTTTCTGTACCTATTGACCTGTCCTCTAAGTTCCCTCGCCTGTCTCCCCACCCCACAACAGGCCCTGGTGTGTGATGTTGCCCTCTCTGTGTCCATATGTTTTCACTGTTCAACTCCCACTTATGAGTGAGAACATGCAATGTTTGGTTTTCTGTTCCTGTGTTAGTTTGGGGAAGATGATGGCTTTCAGCTTCTTCCATGTCCCTGCAAAAGACATGATCTCATTCCTTTTTATGGCTACATAGTATTCCATGGTGTATATGTACCACATTTTCTTTATCCAGTCTATCATTGATGGGTATTTGGGTTGGTTCCAAGTCTTTGCTATTGTGAATAGTGCTGCAATAAACATATGCGTGCATGTGTCTTTCTAGTAGAATGAGTTATATTCCTTTGGGTATATACCCAATAATGGGATTTCTGGGTCTAATGGTATTTCTGGTTCTAGATCCTTGAGGAACCGCCATGCTGTCTTCCACAATGGTTGAACTCATTTACATTCCCACCAACAGTGCAAAAGCATTCCTATTTCTCCACAGCTTCACCTGCACCTATTGTTTACTGACTTTTTAATAATCGCCCTTCTGACTGGCATGAGATGATTCTTTTAAAAGCAGTTTTCACAAAGAAAAATAAACATAATGTATACAAAAAAGGGCTAGAGAAGTAGAGAGTAATGATTTCTTAAACTCGACAATATTCCTGAATTTATTTTGAGTATCTCTGAGCATTGGAGAAAATTTCTTCCCAGCCTCACACCAATTATAATAAAATACCTTTTTGATTACAGGTAAGGATCACTGGAAATATTCATCTTATCAAACCCCACACCTTCGTGTGTAAAATGAGAGTGTTAGATCGTATCAATCTTCCATTCCCTTGCTCTCTCCCTCCCCAAGTATTAATGAGCATGTCAGGCTTGTGCTATGCACTGGAGCTATGTATTACATCACTGAATACAGCAGACCTGGTATCTGGACCACTGAAGACCTACAGCCTATGAAGGAAGGCTGACATTATCCACACACATATTTCAATTTCAATTGTGATAGGTAGTATAAAGAAGCAGTGCAGGGTAACACACACGCATTTAACAAGGAAACGTGACCTAGTTTGTGGTTGGAAGAGAAAGTCTTCCAGGCAGAGAGAACAATATCTGAAAAGGCCCTGAGGTGAGACAGAGCCGGTCAAGTCTGAGACATCAAGAACATGTGGGTGAAACAGAGAGCCACAGGGCAAGATCAGGCGGCAGAGCTGGCAAAGAGTCAGATCCAGGGGGTCTCTGAGACCACATTAAGGATTTGGGGACTTATTCTGAGAAAAAGGAAAAGTATCTAAAGATTGTAAGAAGGAGAGTGGTATGAATCAATTATCCCTGAGGTTGATTCCTACTCTAAAATTCTATATAAATCTATTTTTCTCTTATTATTTAAAAAATTGAAGTAAGCAGAACTAGCATGATTTTGCTATAGAGATGATAAATTGACATAGAACTCAGGTTAATAAATTGCAACTTTAGGCCAGGCGCGGTGGCTCACGCCTGTAATCCCAGCACTTTGGGAGGCCGAGGTGGGTGGATCACAAGGTCAAGAGATCGAGACCATCCTGGCTAACATGGTTAAACCCCGTCTCTACTAAAAATACAAAAAAATTAGCTGGGTGTAGTGGCGGGCACCTGTAGTCCCAGCTACTGGGGAGGCTGAGGCAGGAGAATGGCGTGAACCTGGAGGGCGGAGCTTGCAGTGAGCCGAGGCCACACCACTGCACTCCAGCCTGGGCGACAGTGTGAGACCCCGTCTCAAAAAAAAAAAAAAAAAATTAGCCAGGCGTGGTGGTGAGCGCCTGCAGTCCCAGCCACTTGGGAGGCTGAGGCAGGAGAATCGCTTGAACCAAAGAGGCGGAGGTTGCTGTGAGCCGAGATCCGTGCCACTGCCCTCCAGCCTAGTGACAGAGCGAGACTCCGTCTCAAAATAGATAAATAAATAAATAAATTGCAACTTTATTATTACATTGTTCAACTTAATTTAGCTTATTAGCCTCCATCCCTCAATTTCTAATGATGACAAGATAATTCAATCTTTACAACTCAAGGTAAACAGAGTCACTTCTTTAACCTTGATCTCTGTTTAGATCAACTCAGTCAATTCAGGTTGTTCGTTAGGATTCTTCCACAACTCCCATTCCCATCTGGTTTCCCTTTCCCTGTTTTATTGGACATCATCTATGGTTTCAAGGGCTCTTTCTATTGCCAGGTATCTGACCCAAGGATTTTGACTTTCCACATTGTGTGGAATTCATCTAGTCTCCTTTATAAAATGCTGACATTTTCTGCTGATGTCCTTCATCTTGCCACAACCCAGATCAAGTATGGATCGACCCCTTATCCTGATCCAGGCTTCTTTTTCGTACAATCCCCTTCCCCACACTTATGAGAACAGGGCTCTGAGTACCACCAGGCCTACTGTTAGAGCTGTTTCTCTCAGCTTTTGCTGTTCTGCTTCTAGATACGAGTCCTCCCAAAGAGATTTATAGTGTCACCAACCTACACATTCTGTGAGTCAAGACCAGCCCCTTCCACTCGCAGATTCCCCTAAACATATGTGTGTTTTTATTTACTCTCAAGCCCCACTCCCTACCCCACACTACCCAGACAATGATTCCAGGTAGCCTTTGAGTTCTAGTTTCATTCCCTCTGATCTTCCAACCACTGATCAAATCCGGCTTCATTTGAGTGGCACACTGCTTTCATGTCATTCACAGTCTTCCGTAGTCTGTGGCGTATTGTATAAACTCTGTGCTATGAATCCTCTAGGTTTTGCTCTTGATATTCAGAGCCCATAGTTTGGAATTCAAACAAAACAAAACAAAACTATTCTCTCTGAATATATTCCATCCCTTCCATCTCAGAAGAGCTTTGACTTTCAGACTATTGACTTTGCAATAGATTTATAAAAGTCTACCTGGGAGCTCAAAACCTAAGAATTGCACTCTTTATTCCCTTTAAATTATTTTCTGTGTTCCCTTCACTGGAGCAATATGCCTCAGCCTCTCAAACTAGTTCTATGGGTAGGAAGGTTCCAGGATACAAAGAAAAAAGAAATGTGAAAAGGATAAACTACATCTGATATTCTTTCAAAACTATAACAAAATACATAAAAAATAGGCACTAAGATAAGATAACAGATGGGAAGATTTGAGATTAGAAATATAGCCTCTTGTGCTAATTTGCAAAGGAATAGAAATAAACCATTTCAGCTTTTGTTTCCAGAATGAGGCTTCTCTTTTAATATGCTTACTCTTATAAATTTACAACAAAGATGCCACTTTTTATTGTAGGTCAGGAAATATAGAATTTTTACCTAGAACAATGAGTATCCTTGAATGCAGAATTCGCTCTCACAGGTTCATAGGAAGTAATTAGAATGACTTTCCTTATAGTTCTGGCACTCACAGAAACCAGATTCCAATAACAATCAAGGCATGTCTTTCCTTAAATACAAGGTATTTTCATATAAAATCAACTTATGTCAATGTGTTGTCTAAGACTTTGCCACTCAAAATACAGTGCAGGAACTACAAGCAGTCATCAACTGAGAGCTTGTTGGAAATGTAAGTTTTCAAGTTTCTCCTCAGATCTAATAAATTCGCATCTACATTTTAACAGAATGGATCCCCAAGTGAAGTGTCTGCACAAACTTTGAGAAGCACTAGCCTAACATATTACTCTCTTTGGTTTCTCTTCTACAATAAACAAATGGGACATTTTATTAAAGATAAATGTAACCAATGCAGTAATTAAAAGCTTTTGTCTGAAAATAAAAGGTAATGTTAATGCCATTGTCACACCTTGCAATGCTGATATATGTAGTTACCTAACAAGGTACAGCACTTAGTCACTGATAACCCAAAAATATAGAATATGAGTGAGACTAAACTATCTGTTCTTAATCTATTATTTCCATGCTAACATAAATTATATCAAATGCAGTGGCAAGACAGGGTCTGACTTGGTGGAACTGAATTACTCATTAGCACTCACTGTATCTGCTAACTAAATTGACTGCTGAGGCCTGAAAATTTTGGTGTCTTTAAATATTTTCCTGAGAAATTTCCTCATGATTTCTCTTGTATCTTGTCTGTGTGTGTGCACACATGCATGGGTTTAAAGCTATCACAAAACTGAATAGTATAAATAAAAGAAAAGGCATTAAAGAAAGGGTTATTTTCAAGACTTTAAAAATGTTCATTGGAATAATTCATACACTGATTGAAGTTGTGTTGATGAATATTACTTATTTGAACGTAATCATATTGATGATTGTACCATCAAGCACCTGAAACCATCTGCGGCATGTCTTTTCAGAATTCACAATAAAATCTTACTGTGATCATTTCCCATTCCACTCCCTTATGCAACAATGCATGGCTATGTCTCCAGAGCCAAAGTGAAATTGAGAGTTCAGCAATCATTCTGTAATTTCCAGTGCCAGGTATGGTCTTGGCCCTAGTGGATGCTTATAAATGTTTATTGATAATGATGTCTTATAAAGCTGCCACTATTTGCTATGAGTTACCCAGATTGCCTTTTGGAATTGTGCATGTTTTCTGAATAACTCTAAACTTCATTTTGATTCTTCAACCATGGCATGTCTGTCTATCTTGAATTCGTACTTCCAAACTGCTGTGGAATATCAAATTTTGAAGGCTTTATGTGCTATTCCACTTTCAGTCATCTAATTCTATCTATGAAAATAATATAATACTGATGAATTGCAAAGACCAAACTTCAAAATTCATTCTAAAGTATTTCTCAGGCAGAGGAAGTGGCTTGTTCCAAGCCATCTATAATTTCTTAGCTCTTGTAGTTGATGGCACATAATGGTGAGGCAGCTGGTTGGGTTGGAAATATAATAGAAGGCAATTCCACCACCATCACCATCCCTTTCATGAAACTTCCTGATCTAGAAAGAATGACAATACCTGCTGCCTATTTATGGTTTAGTGCCTACGATATGGTTTATCATATACCATGCTAGGTCCTTTTCATTTGCTACCTCAGTTACTCTTAAAAACACCTTATGAGGTAGGTGTTACTATCATCATTATTCATATTTTACAGATGAGGAAACTCACAACCAGGATTCAAAGCCAAGCTGTCCTGCTCCAAAGCCCACCTCTAAGTCTTTCATTACCATGAAAAACTAATATTGTTCCCTGACTGAAAATATCCCATCCAAACTTAAATAATACCGTTCAGATGAATATAATCAACCTTTATATGTCTGAAGTAGAAACCTACAAACATATATATCCTCAAAGAGACTTAAAAATTGAGCTGTTTCTGGGTCATAATTGCTATGCATAAAGTGACACACACCTGGTATGAAATATAAAATGTAAATGAAATAAGAATGACTATACCATTGCCACTGGATAATACCTAATCTCACAGACATCAATGCAAATGGCCAAATACACATGAAAGTAAGAATTTGTATTCTCTAAATCGGACATACATGTATTGTACATTCCAGTTTTAACCTACATATGCGGATGTCTACTGTTTAGACACACAAAGAATTATTCTTGCCTAAGAAAGTCTTTGAGACCCACTGAATTCAGAAGTCCACTTCAGGAATTTGTTCATTCCATGCGCATGGACATCATTATGGACTGAAAAGCTTATTAACTATAATCAAGAAGGTCCTTTTGGAATTATCTTTCTTAGCCTACTTCCAAGGGAAATCATTTGTGGTTTTCTTCAGGGCAATGGTTATCAACCAAGTGCGGAGACTCATCTTCAAATATTCTGGACTAAATTTACTATAATAATGATAACTGCTCTTTCGGTATCCTGATCTTTTTAACTGCTGTACATCTTTTCATCTATTTCCATTTCCCTTAGGTAGAGTGCAGGCTAAGAAATCATCAGACCCATTTTTCAATACTATATATCATCAGAAACAATTTTGATAATCATATTATTAGTGTGCGTAACCCCTACCTTCAGAACTCTGCTAAAAGAGTCACCTAAATGTCCTGCTCTTGTTCACATACTCTATTTATATCTGCAAATGTCAAAAATTCTAAATGAAGTCTATGAGCCTTGCTTGATAAAGCAAGATGGCTCTCTTTCGTAGCAAGCAAAAAATAGTTAATAATATCCTAGCACCTACTTAAAACTGATCTCTAAGATTCTTTAAAAAATATTCTTTAGTTAATTCAGGTGATGCACATTTGTATCCTGGTTCAGGAATAGTTTTTTAATGTATGATTATTTGGTAGAGAATATTAGATTTATTACCTTTGCTAATGAACACTTAGATAAAAGTGGTATTCTCAAGGTAAGTATTCTCAGAGATGAACTTATATTACCATATATTAATTTTCATTTTAGTTCAGAATTATATAAAGAATGAACCTAGTGGCTTTTACATATAGAAAATGGGACCCCTCCAAAGTACACTCTGCCATAATTTCCAAGTGTTCCTGTCACTTTTATAATGTCACATATCAATAGAAACAGAATTCATCATCATGGAAGAAATTTCAGAGCTTTCGAGAAGTACTGGATGAAACTAAAAGACACAGTAATTAAACCTCAGTTCTTTCAAATATGTGTTAGTCCTGTTTCAGTGGGACTAGGGGAGCTGACTTTAAGAGTGGTCAGTGAATTGGTTGATCTTTCCCTTTCGTGTATATTCTATATCCAAGAGTCCTTTACTTACCTGCTCCTGTTTTCACAGCAGCATTTAACATAATCGAATCCAATAGAGAATGCAATTCTTTTGTAACTCCAAGGTGCAGACTAATCAACTCTGCATCTCCAATATTGAGACAATGCCACAACTTCTCAGTGCCAAACAGTACCTGAAGGACCATAGAACTCACATTCTCTGAAGGATATTTCCTTTTTCTGAGGAATCTTGGGCAGAGGGTTATATTAGGAAGCTAACATAGCCATTATTTTAAGGAAAAAAAATTGACTTGATTATATAACTAACTAGAATTGAGCGCGGGAATAATTAAGTGCTTTTATGAACTTAAAGAACTATTGGTACCTTGACCATTATGTGCCATAAAAATGTATGCCAGGTATTTGGTGTTCTGGTAGACCTAGGAAATAACTTAGTACACAACATTTGCTACAATAGAGAAATGCACATGTACATAATTAATTAGCCTGTTTGTACTTAATAGTGTTTTTCTTCTGTGTATCTTTTTGAAAGTATCTCTTCAAATGGCTACTTTTGTAAAAGTAGCATTTAAAAAGTTGATCAAAATTAGCATTAAACATTTTAACTCTTTATTGTAATATACACACAGAAAAAACTCACAAAAGTATATAGCACAGCAAATTATCTATCACAAGGGAAAACCACCAATGTAAGAAATAAAATATCCAAGTCTCTCACTCCATGTTTCTTTTCAATAACTATCCCCTCCCTTCTTTCCAATGGTTTTGCAGTTTTTAAATATGTGCCCAAATTATTTGATAATCCTTTCTTCAAAAGGTGAAGCCTAATCCCCTCCCCACATGTGTACTGGACTTAATGACTTGCTTCTAACAAAGGGAATATGGCAGAACCAGCTGTGTTTGACTTTAGGGACTAGATTGCAAGAAGCATTATGCGTCCTTCTAACATGGGCTCTTAGATCACTAACTCTGGAGGAAGCCAGCTCTCATGGCAAGAGAACTCAGGCCGTGGCCCTATGAAGGTGCCCACATGGAGCAGACTTGAGGCTCTCTGCCACAGCCAGAAAGGCACTATGGCCTCCTGCCAAAAGCCCTGTGAGTGAGCCATCCTGAGATGTATTCCCCCACCCCAGTGAAATCTTCAGACAACTAAAGCTCTAGCGGGCATTTAGACTGAACTTCATGAGAGACTCTGAGCCATAACCACACAACTAAGCTGCCCCAAAGTTCTTGACTCACGCACACTGTAAGACGATAAATGTTTAGTGTTGTTTTAAGGCATTAAGTTTTGAAGCAATTTGTTTTTCAGCATTATAATGAATACAAAAGATGGCCACTTTCCTGACTGCTAACACTGTGGTTTAGTTTATCATGTTTTTGAATCTTCTATTAATGAAATCATTATTATTTTTTCCTTTGAATTTAACTTATTTCACTCAATATTCTGTTTTTTAGATTTATTCACATATCATGTGAAGCTGTGGTTCATTTATTTTCAATGTTGTATAATGTTCCAGTGATGATAAGTATACCAATATTTATTTATTATTTCTACTGATAACATTTTGTTAATTTTAAGCTTTTCACTATTATAAGTAATATTTCCATGAACAATCTGGTACATTTTTTGCTGTGTATGAAAGCATATTTTTATTGTATATATAACTAAGATTAGAATAATGGATCTCAGGATTTGCAGATGCTGAAATTTAGTTGTTAGTAACAAATATCTTTTTAAAATGGTTGGAAAAATTTACACTGCCATTAGTAGTATTTGAGAAATCCTATTGCTCTCTATCTTAGTAATTTATATCATCAGGAATACATATTTCATCACTTTTTCCAACTTAAAATTGATCCCATTAAGATATATGCAGATTCTAAGAAGATATAAGCAATACCTATATCTGACAGAGAACTTATACCAGAGAATATAAAGAATTCCTACAAATAAATATAGGAATGTAAATGAAAAAACAAACCTCAATTTTTTTAAATGGGCAAAATATTGGGAGATACTTTTTTTTTTTTTTTTTTTGAGATGGAGCCTCAGTCTGTCACCCAGGCTAGAGTGCAGTGATGTGATCTCGGCTCACTGCAACCTCCACCTCCCGGTTCAAGCAATTCCCTGCCTTTGCATCCCAAGTAGCTGGGATTAAAGGTGCCTTCCACCACACCCGATTAATTTTTGTATTTTTGGTAGAGACGGGCTTTCACCATCTTGGCCAGGCTGGTCTTGAACTCCTGACCTCATGATCCATCCACCTCAGCATTCTAAAGTGCTGGGATTACAGGCATGAGCCACCACGCCCGGCAGGAAGAGACATTTTTTAAAAGGGAATATCAAATAGCCAGAGACAATATGAATAAATGATCAACATCAATAGTTAACAGGAAGGAAATGCAAATTAAAATTACAATGACACACTTACCATATTATATACACCCACCAGCTAGGCTAAAATTCAAAAGACTGATAAAACCAAGTTTTTACAAGAATATTAAACAAATGAAACTCTTACACATTGCTGGTGAGTGTAAGGTGGTATAATTTTGTAAAACTATTTATCAACTTATTTGATATTTAAATATACACTTACCCTAGGTATTCTACTTATAGATATTTACAGTAGAGAAATAAAAACGTATGTCCACTTTTTAATTGCAGCTTCATTTACAACTTCCTGGGCTGGGCACAGTGGCTCACACCTGTAATCCCAGCACTTTGGGAGGCCGAGGTGGGTGGATCACGAGGTCAAGAGATCAAGACCATCCTGGCCAACATGGTGAAACCCCGTCTCTACTAAAAATACAAAAATTAGCCAGGCGTGGTCGTGGGCACCTGTAATCCCAGCTACTCGGGAGGCTGAGGCAGGAGAATCACTTGAACCCGGGAGGTGGAGGATGCAGTGAACCAAGATTGCACCACTGCACTGCAGCCTGGTGACAGAGTGAGACTCTGTCTCAAAAAAAAAAAAAAAAAAAACAAAAAGAAAAAGAAAAAGAAAAAGAAAAAAAAAGCCAAAAAAACAAAAACAATTGCCCAAAACTAGAAAAAAAAAATCAAACATCTATCACAAGACAATGGACAGATAAATTGTGATTTATTCATGCTGTGGAATACTACTCAACTATAAAAATAGCCAGTTTACACTGGGTAATGGGGACTTCAAGAGACAGTACAGACGTCCCCAGAAAATCCAACAAGGAGGTTCAGGACTCTTACCTTGTTCCAATCTGTCCAAATCTTTTGAGTTTCCTCTGACTCTGAGATACTGGCCCCTGTCTCCCTCTCCTGCCTCAGTTTCCTACACACACACATTTCCCACAGGTGTCCTGGCTCCTGCCCTTCAAGATGCACACAATTCCCAAAACATGTCATATATCCTTGTATCTCCCTACCTTTCCTGATGCACTTCCGTTCCATGGAACACTGATTCCTTTCACTTCTCTCTGGATCTTGGTTCTTCAAGATCTACAGGGAAAACAGCCAATTTACTGATATGCACAACAACATGAATGATTCTTAACACATGTTGAGTGAAAAAAGCCAGACACAAAATGAGTATAATTTCACTTATATAATATTAGAGAATAGACAAAATTAATCCATGGTAACTGTAGTCATTGGCTAGGTCTGCAAACACTACAGGTTGGATGGATTAAATAACAGAAATTTATTTTCTCACATTTCTGGAGGTTAGAAATTCAAGATCAAGGTGTCAGCAGGCTTTCTTTCTGAGGTCTCTTTCCTTGGCTTGCAGATGGCTGCTGGCTTTTTGCTATGCCCTCACATGGTCATTATTCCATCTATGTTAGCTGTGTCCTAATCTCCTCCTCTTCTAGTATTATATTTGAGCCCACCATGTGACCTCATGTTATCTTAATTCCTTTTTGAGGGATTCTATCTCCAAATACAGTCACATTCTGAGGTTCTAGGGATCACAAGTTCAATATATAAATTTGGTGGAGGTGAGGATTCAGCCCATAACAGGAACAGAAGTCAGAATAGTAGTTATCTCATTGCTGAGAGTGCGGACGGGAGGAAAGAGGCATTAGGGAACATTTCACGGTGCAGGAAGTACTCCATATCATGATTTGAATGGTGAAAATATGTGTATACATATGGAAAAATTAATAGAATTTTACTTTTTTTTTTTTTTTTTTGAGATGGAGTCTCACTCTGTCGCCCAGTGGAGTGCACTGGAGTACAGTGGCGCAATCTCGGCTCACTGCAACCTCCACCTCCTGGGTTCCAGCGATTCCCCTGATTCAGCCTCCTGGGTAGCTGGGACTACAGGCATGCACCACCACACTGGGCTAATATTTGTAATTTTAGTGGAGATGGGGTTTCATGATGTTGGCCAGGTTGGCCTCCATCTCCTGACCTCGTGATCCGCCCTCCTCGGCCTCCCAAAGTGCTAGGATTATAGGCGTGAGCCACTGCACCCCGCCTATTTTATTTTTTTTAAACAGAGTCTCGTTCTGTCACCCAGGCTGGAGTGCAGTGGTGTAATCATCTATCACTGCAACCTCTGCCTCCCAGGTCCAAGGGATTCTCCCACCTCAGCCTCCTGAATATTTGGGATTACAGGTGTGCATTACCAGACCTGGCTAATGTTTGTATTTTTAGTAGAGACAGGGTTTCACCATGTTAGCCAGGCTGGTCTTGAACTTCTGACACCAGACGGACAACCCGCCTCAGCCTTCCAAAGTGTTGGGATTACAGGAGTGAGCCATGATGCCCGGCCAATAGAATTGTATGTTTTTGTGTGTGTGTTTTGTTTTGTTTTTTGTTTTTTTTGAGATGGAGTCTCACTCTCTCACCCAGACTGCAGGGCAGTGGCACGATCTTGGCTCAATGCAACCTCTGCCTCCAAGGTTCAAGCAATTCTCCTGCCTCAACCTCCTGAGTAGCTGGGATTACAGGTGCCTGCCACCATGCCTGGTTAATTTTTGTATTATTAGTAGAGATGGGGTTTCACCATGTTGGTCAGGATGGTCTTGAACTCCTGACCTCATGATCCACCCACCTTGCCCTCCCAAAGTGCTGGGATTACAGGCATAAGCCACTGCGCCCAGCCAGAATTCTATGTTTTAGAATAGTGTATCACTTAACATAATGTAGGAATTACTCAAGAAAACATAATTAAAGCTACTTTCAGTATTGTGATGGATAGAATTTCTGAGATTATAGTTATGGTGTCTTGATATTCCATGTTCAATGAAACACTGATACCTCTTCATTAACTTTAACACTACCAGATGTTCATTCGTAAAACAAATATTTATTGAGAATCTACTAGGTGCTATGAGTTGGGATGTAAATATAAAGGCAGCTTCCACAAGTGTTGCAATATTTAACTGGAAGAATTTGGAAGAACCTTACTTTCTTTTCCTCATCCAAATTCGCACTATTCTTACCTCTTGAAAGTGGGGGAAAGGCCTGAGGCGGTGGTTCACGCCTGTAATCCCAGCACTTTGGAAGGCTGAGGTGGGTGGACCACGAGGTCAGGAGATTGAGACCATCCCGGCCAACATGGTGAAACACCATCTTTACTAAAATACAAAAAATTAGCTGGGCTTGGTGGCGTGTGCCTGTAGTTCCAGCTACTTGGGAGGCTGAGGCAGGGGAATTGCTTGAACCTGGGAGGCAGAGGTTGCAGTGAGCTGAGATCCCACCACTGTATTCCAGCCTGGGCAACAAAGCAAGACTCCATCTCAAAAAAAAAAAAAAAAAAAAAAAAAAAAGGCGGGGGTAAAATTTCATCAAAAATAAAACATCAGTTTCTTTTTTCTTTTAATAAATGTGTAATTATTTTAAAATATTAAATGTTTCTAAGGTAAGAAGAAAGGGAAATATGCTGTAAAACTTTTTTCCTAAATCATATATTTGTTTAATGATATGATAATTTAATATCATCAGACTTAAAGGAGATAATGTTTTATGTTGAAAAAATGCTTTATAATCTATGTAATTAATAGTGTCCATGCAAGTTCTTATTCGAATGGTAAATTAAAGGACTCCACATCTGTATTTTGCCTGGAGTTGAATATTCTTTATTAAGTTCAAACAAATGGAGCCCAATAAGGTACTGGTAAATTATAACATAGCAGATAAGTAATTTATAATATGACCTTCTTAAAATTCTTCCCCACACATGTATTACTGTTTCAAAGGCAGGTGATGTGTCCCACAGACTCTTAGTTATGTGTAATATAACTAATATATATATTAAACATAATATAAATAGTTATGACAAATAGGAAAAGGAAAACAGCTGATATAAAAATACATTAGCCCAGCCAGGCGAGGTGGCTCACGCCTGTAATCCCAGCATTTTGGGAGGCCGAGGCAGGCGGATCATGAGGTCAGGAGATCGAGACCATCCTGATTAACACGGTGAAACCCCGTGTCTACTAAAATACAAAAAAATTAGCCAGGCGTGGTGGCGGGCGCCTGTAGTCCCAGCTACTCGGGAGGCTGAGGCAGAAGAATGGCGTGAACCGGGAGGTGGAGCTTGCAGTGAGCCAAGATCGCGCCACTGCACTCCAGTCTGGGAGACAGAGTAAGACTTCATCTCAAAAAACAAAAGAAAAGAAAAGAAAAGAAAACGACAGGATTCAAGGATGACTCCAAAACATTTGAGCTTAGGAACTGGATGAATTTTTACTGAGATGGGAAAAAGTAAAGGGGGAAAATAGTAAACAGACGATGGAAATCAAGAGTTTGGCTACAGACATCCTAACTAGTAAAGGCCTATTAGATATCAAAGGAGTGGTATTAAGTAGAAAATGTGATGCATAAAAAAATGAAGCTTAACATGAATGTCCCAAACTGGAGATTATGTATATAGGAGTCATTATGTTTTATTAGATTCAAAGTCTCAGGACCAGAGGAGATTGCCCAGCAAGTGAGTCTAGTATTCAAATTCCTTTCAGCTAATCGCATCTCTTCCCTTCTATGCCATGCAGTTGGAAAGATATTGAACCCAAACTGAAATTCCTTGGCTTGTGCAAATCAGAAATCCCATCTGTTTAGCTAACCAATGAATTCAGAGATGGATCATGATCTGACTTTGGCTATGAGAAAAGATAAAATTCAGAGAAAAAATTTTCTTGATTTTCTGTAAAAGCTACCAGAAAAGAAGTACTCTTTAGAAGAAAGCCTGTATTAAGAAAGTAAAAGAAACTAGCTACTCAGGATAGTCAGTGATCAACTATCAGCTGAAGCCAGCGTATCTCTGAACTTTTAATATGAGAGAACCAATAAGCGTCTTAACTCAAGCAGATGTTTTAGTTGTTTTTGTAAAGTTTTAAAAGCATCTGAGACCAGAAATAGAAAGGTAAAAAGGAAAGGAGAGAGACAGGAAGGGAGGGAGGAAAGAAGGGAGTTCTTCAGTCTGAGGAGTACAAAATAAAAATAAACCAGAGGAATTTATTTGTTCACTCCCTAAAGGGGCTGTTCCAGGTATTTCTTGCATAACCTACTAATGTCACCAGGTAGGAAGGAATCTTTAGAAATTTGATCCCCTCCAGTGGTTAAGATACCTACCAAAAAAGATCTCACACTTCTCCATTTTACACATTAAAATTGACACCAGTGAAATGAAAGTTGGTTGCTTGATCAATGTTGCATTATTTTACTGCTACCAGGTACCACATTGTCAGAACCCTAATAGCCCTACTGTTGAAACTCACTTCCTCAAGTCACTTTGAAAAGAGTGATCAAGGCATTCTAAGGCTTCTAAGAATCCAGTTAGTCCATGTGAGGGAAAATTTGTTATTGTTGTGTTCTGAAATCTCAATGAATAAGACCATGGACTTTGTTGGGCTTCTTTATCAGGGTAGTGTACTCAGCTGTTCTTTTCAGAAGATCAGTAACGATACCATTTAAAATATTTCTTCAATCCATTTTCAACTAAAGCATAACAACAGGCATTTCCTAGTACCAGAATTTTAAAGAAATTCTCTGAACAAAAAGAAACCATTCCAATTAATGTGGCATTAATTCTGCTTTGAAGGAATGGGAAGAGGACTGTAGGGTTTATTTTTCCCTAGACTGTCTATGCTGTTCACCTGGACTTTGCCTTAGTGCTTGGCAAATGCAGGAAGAATAATTGAGGATTATGTTTATCCTTTCTGTTGACATCTGGAAAAAACCCCAGGCAAAAGTCAGCAGCCATTAATTCAAATAAGTATAGTTCCCTTGACAATGCAGTTGAACATCTTTCTTTTCCTAAGATGTAAAGTCTCCTTCTAATCCATCATGTTTTTACCTCATCTAAGCCTTGCCACATAACTTACATGTTGGAAAGTTGTTCAAATAATATTGTAAGTACTTCCTTAATTTCTAATAAAAGTGTAGTTATTAAAAATAATATTTTTCAACAGCTCAATGTGGGGTAGCTTCACACATCAGAAACACCTGCTAGCTACCTCTACAAATGCCTTACTTTCTAACATTGTATATTTTAAATATTCCTATGTATTACTCATTAAATATTCCTAATTGGTATTTGTTATTCAAATGAACTTCAAAGCTCTAGATCTTCCCATTCTTAAAGAGCAGGTAGTCTGGTATACATGAAATTCAAATCAAATTCAAATATTTTTATTTTTTGTTTGTTAGTTTCGGCAAGCAATGTTCATTTGTATTTGTGACTAGCAACTTCTGGCTCCTGCCTCCTAAAAAGGCAAAATGGTCTGACCACCAAGACTGTCAGAAACAACTTTGAAGTGCTTTTGACAAATTTCTTATATCTCAGCTGCCTGCTGTGTGAAAGAGCAGAGTATTCAAAGCATACCAAAAAAAAAAAAATTAAAAAAAAGAGAGAGAGAGAATTTTAAAAGATGTAAAATAATTACCACAGTAGCAACTTAATTGCATTTGGGTAGTCACATTTTACTAGAGCTATTCAAACAGTACTTTAAGTCATAATTCCTTTGTCCTAAGACCTTACATTTTAGTCATTTTTAATAAGTATGTCATGTTTTGATCTTTTTCCTTCTTAAAAAAAATTTGTTCCAATGTACATTGCTTACATGGTATGGATATTGCTGAGAAAGTTTATTATTTGTCTTCATTGTAATGTTTTAAGGTACAGCAAGTGGTGGCACACACTCAACAACTAGTGAAGTCTCTGACAGCATAATTAAACATGTCTTTCCCAAGATTTCTTGAGAAACCTCAGATTGGTAAGCCCTAGTCCCACGGAGAAATATTTCCTACTGCACTATCAATAAATCCCGCATCATAATTGAGGAACCCATCTGCAGTTCTCTAGGAGCACTGCGTTTGCTGCTGCTTAGTGCAAATATTCATTCATCACATATTATGTGTGTGTGATTTATTTTGATCTATTCCTAATTACTGAATTTTTTAAAGGCATCTTGAAATATCCCTAAATACACACACAGGCAGGTGACTTAACCTCTTTTCTCATTTTTTTCTTCATTGTTGCTTTTGTCTTAGCTGGATGTCCTTCTATCTTAAAGTAGATTTTTTTTTTTTGAGACAGAGTTTTGCTCTGTTGCCCAGGCTGGAGTGCAATGCAGTGACCTCGGCTCACTGCAACCTCAAAGTAGGTGTTTTGTTCAAAGATGTCAATACCCAGTAGTCTATCCCATCATGCCAGAAGTCATTTTCCATAAACAGAGAATAAAATGACTTGAAGGGTAAAAAGAAAGAAAGAATAAGAGAAAACAAGCAAGCAAGAAAGAAAGAGCACCGTTTTATAATCATGGTTTGACACTGATTCTGTTGAATTTATAAAATTGCTGAACTTTGTCTGGGCACGGTGGCTGATGCCTGTAATCCCAGCATTTTGGGAGGCCAAGGCGGGTGGATCACCTGAGGTCAGGAGTTTGAGACCAGCCTGGCCAGCATGGTGAAACCCCGTCTCTACTAAGAATACAAAAATTAGCTGGGCATGGTGGTGTGTGCCTGTATTCCCAGCTACACGGGAGGCTGAGGAAGGAGAATCGCTTGACCCCAGGAGGCAGAGGTTGTAGTGAGCTGAGATCACGCCACTCTCCAGCCTGGGCGACAGAATGAGACTCCGTCTCAAAAAAAAAAAAAAAAAATTGCTGAACATTATTGTTAGGAGTCCTCTGATAACCCAAAGGGATCTTCATTAACCTGAATGATCAGACAGACAAAAAAAAGTAGTAGACAATGTAATTTAGCTCTTTGCCACGTTTTTCTCGTCATTGCTGAAGGCACCACATTCTGACATAGTGTAAAAGAAAAAAAAATGGAATGTGAATTTCAAGTGAAGAAAACTAAAACACTATGGTATTAAATATTCACTTATGGTGTTTACATCAACAAAACTAAGTGCTCTGGGTTAGTTTGAAAGGAAATTCATATTGGGGTGTGGTATTTGATTTTAGGCTCATAACTGCACATTGGAACAATGAAAGACATTTTCTTCCCATGAAAAATTGTACCTGAAAGACTGATACTGAAGTACTACAGAGAATTTAGGAAATTGGCTTGAGTTATTTTTGTTATATTCCTTCAAAATTTTGATATTATAGCTTATGCTGTATTTAAAATAGTGTAATTCCTATTTTTAAAACAAAATGACACAACTTTGTTTTCTCTATCCCATAAACATTACTTTTCTAGAGGATTTGAGCCACACAGCTATAGATTTATATTTAGATTTGACAGATTTAGAGTATGTGGTGTTTAATTTCTAGAGAGGGATGTGCCATGTGATGAATAGGACTGGGAACCTTAAATATGTTCCCGAATCCAACTTGGATGTTGACAAGGCCTGGATTAAGAAATGTATCTTCCTTTAGAGTTTTCCTTTCTCAGGTAAAAAATCATAATAGCTCTCCAGTTTAGAGGTGACTTTAATGCTTTTATTTATTATTTGTTTATTTATTTATTTATTTTTGAGACGGGGTCTTGCTGTGTCTCCCAGGCTGTAGTGCAGTGGGGCAATCATAGCTCACTGCAGTCTTGAACTCCTGGGCTCAAGCAATCCTCCTGCCTCTGCCTCCTGAATAGCTGGGACTACAAGTGTGGCACCACACCTGGATAATGCTTTTAAATTTTTAGAGTGAGTAAATGCTTTTAAGAAAAAATATATCATATGCACACACACATACATACACATAAAATGTGACAAAGAGGTGAATCTATACCTAGGGCTATACATAAAACCAGATGCTGCAGCATGTTTAAAAATTGAACTCTGAAATCACACTGCTTAAGTTCAAATCAGATTTCTAAGCATTACTTTATGGTGACCTTACACAAGTTACCTAACTTTTCTGCAACCTCATTTCCTTATATGAAAAAATTTCCATGTCCCATATAAGTTGTTTTGAAGGTGAAAAATGTTAATATATGTGAAAGCACTTAAAACAGTGCCCAGCTTATAGTCAACACTACATGCAAATTTTAGCTATGATTGTCATTGTACTAATGCACATGGAGCAACTTAGTTACCCCACTAGAATATAAACTTAAGCTATCAGACAATCTAGATAAAAAATATAAATAAAAAATAAAAGCAGTAAGATTGTATGCTTGTCTTCATCCAACGAAATTACTATTACAACTTTAATGTATTACTTCTGCTATACTTATATCTTCTATAAATGTTCTAAAATTTATCAAATTCTATCACTTCATGTGTTCTTTACTGTTTTGCTTCCAACAAACTACCCTCCCCCCTAAAAAAGAAAATAAAATGAATTGCTAGGAAGCTTAATCATCGTTATCTAAATGATTTCTATGTCTGAGTAGGGTTGATAAAATAAGACCAATGTGGCTGGGCACAGTGGCTCACACCTGTAATCCCAGCACTTTGGGAGGCTGAGGCGGCTGGATCACGAGGTCAAGAGATCAAGACCATCCTGGCCAACATGGTGAAACTCCATCTCTACTAAAAAAATAAAAAAATTAGCTGGGCATGGTGGTGCACACCTGTAGTCCCAGCTACTTGGGAGGCTGAGGCAGGAGAATCTCTTGAACCCAGGAGGTGGAGGTGAGCCGAGATAGCACCACTGCACTACAGCCTGTCAACAGAGCGAGACTCTGTCACACACACACAAAAAAGACCAATGTCATTAAGCCATCTCATGCTTAGAACTACATGCTTAGTTCAACAAAATTAGAACTACAGGAGCTAGAGTAAATACATCTGCTTTATTTTTGAAGAAGTATTATTAAATGTATACAAAGTCTTATGGAGAAGGAGCCTTGTTGGGAGTGTAAACCTGAGCTATATGATTTGGAGGATAAATATAAATGTAAATTCTGTTATTCAAGTAGAAACATGGGTATCAGGATGTGATTTACCCTTAGATATTATGTTACTAAACAAGTATCAATTTTTAAAGCTAAAAACCCAAACCCATAAAAAGCATAAACATTTCCAATTTTTCCTGCAGCAGAGTATCTTTCAGAGTTTTGCTTTATATACTAGTCATAGTGGTATACATATATTTACTGGTTTATTAGGACATCTCTGGTCAGGTCTTCCTAGTATGCTTATACTGGGAATTTTATATTATTATTATTACTTGCAACCAATCCCTACATCTGCAAGCATGGAGTTGTAAGACCAATACCTTTTCCTGAACAAGTTAAAAAATACAAAACTTGTTTCAGGGCTTGGCAACTATCTTGGCATTTAGCTTTCAATTCAAATGTGATTTTTATGTTAACATATATATTGGAATTGAAATGTTCAGTATTTAGTTGATTTTAAAAGTCAGAAATTTACTAACCCATTTACTACTTATCCAATTATATAAAACATGCCTTTTTTTTTTTTTTTTTTTTTTAATTCTGAGTCTCTCTCTGTCGCCCAGGCTGGAGTGCAGTGGCACGATCTCGGCTCACTGCAAGCTCCGCCTCCGGGGTTCACGCCATCCTCCTGCCTCAGCCTCCTGAGTAGCTGGGACTACAGGCACATGCCACCACGCCCAGCTAATTTTTTTTGTATTTTTAGTAGAAAAGGGGTTTCAGCGTGTTAGCCAGGATGGTCTCGATCTCCCGACCTCGTGATCTGCACGCCTTGGCCTCCTGAAGTGCTGAGATTACAGATGTGAGCCACCGCGCCCGGCCTGAAGTTTTAGTTCAATATCTTTCTGAGATTTGAAATAAAAATATATTATTTACCAAAATAATCTCAAATATGTTACTATTTTAGAAAATATCTCATTATAAGTACCTGTTAAAGTTGTAATTTTTTAGGCAACAAAATTCATTCAAATAAGACTCAAAATTTTAATATTATCATAGAAAAGAGAGACTATTTCCAAAATCTTGGACAAAGAACAATTCCCTCTATCAGAGAACATTATCTTCATCTATTTTACTCTACTAAACAGCTTGGTGGAAAGAGATGAGAGTGAAGAGTGGCCATAAAAAAGAGATACTCTTTCAGCCAGCTAGTAAGTTAAAATCGTGTATTTATTTGAGCACCAAAGTGAAGCCATATTGCCCTGCTATCTGACCTAACTTTGAATATATACATAGAACATGTATTTTAACTAATAGAAAATCCAGATGGGTCAGCAGTTAGAAGGCTGGGCAAACACTCAAAAGGTAGCAGGGACCTAGTTGTCAAAATCAAGTTGATAAGTAAAATTCTAGTAATTTGAAGGTAAAAGGAGAAGGGAGAAGGGAGACTGCCAAGAATCCAGCCCTTCATGGGCACTGCATGAGGTCCAAGACAGAAATGCAGGCATGTAGGAAAATAAAATTCAGATAAGGACTGGAAAAATATCTTCCAAGATGATTTAATGGTAAGTCTCAAAAATTAGACCTCTTTAAATACCTGCTACCCAAGGTAAGGAATAGACTGTAGATAGCAACGAAGCTACAGCTATGGGTGAAGGTCAAATGGCGCCAATTTGAGAAAAACTTCAATGTCTTTTGACATCCTGGAATGGAAAGCTTGCTTGGCAGAATACTACTCAATGGAAAGAATACTAGCAGCATCTAGTGGCTGGCCTCTGTAAGTGCCCCTGGGCCTAGGTCCTAAGGTAGAAAAAGTGAGATCGTAAACATGGTGAGCTATTGATAGACTTTAATGTATTTCTTATTTCTAGGAGAATGACAGTAGAAGTAAGGGCAATTGTCTACACTACCACTTTCAAAGTATCATGGGAAACATAAAGAAGCATAAGGTATTCAAATAGTTTAACAGAACTCTGTTCCTGCTATAATTTACTCTGTTAGACCAAATCAGCAAAGTATGGCTGAGCATACTTACCTTTTCATATTTTTTATCAATCTACATATAGCATTAAAGTAATAAATAATTAATTTAGAAAGAATAACCTATGACATAATTCCTGTGCTCAAACTACATATGGTTATAGAGCCTGCTTGGATTCTACTTCCAGATCTACAACTGGTATTTTTCACTTACTTATTGCTGAAGTAGTCTCCATATTGTAATATTACATGGAAGAAGGATTTTCTTACTGTTTGGTATTTACCGTTTTAAATTATTTACGCTTAGTGATCAATATATGATTTTGATCAAAATCAAATGGTGATCAACATGATTTATCCTAAATGTTCTGAGAATCATTAAGACAAATTATTTGGTAGAAGTATTCTATTGAAGAAACAACTCTATGACAATTTTGCCAAATATCTGGGCATGATAGGGCATCAGTGTAGTTTTTCAAAGGAATGCACATTTAACAAAATATCAAAAGGATCTTAAGTGGATGGAAGAATCTTCTAACAAAGGAGTGTTAGATAGCTGAAAAAAATCAGTTAATTAAGCTCCCCTTTAAAGATAGAAAAGAAATAGAAATTACTTGAATTTTCATTTACTTGGCTGTTTTTAAAATATTAACAAGTCAGTTAAATCTCACCTCTAACTGCTATATTAGAATTTAGCTTTGATAAATAAGGATCATTCTTTTTCTGAATGCAGCAGAGTTGCAAGTTTCTTGTTAAAGCCTTTTAGAAGGTAGTTTTTTTTTTTTAATTCACAGCTCACTTCTCTTCTTTTCTTAATTAGTAGCTTGAATGTGATTTTCCCTTTTTAAAATTGAGCAGGCTGTGTTGCTAAATGGTGTTTTTGACATTCCTGCACTGGGGACAGATTCAAAACAGAGGCAGAAGACAATAGAGATTGACTACATACTTCATGGACCCAAATCGAGGCAAATGCTGGTAATTACAGGAATTCAGCAACACTTTGTTTGCTGGCATCTGTACTTGGAAAAGCAATGAAATAATCATGGACAAATATGATGTGAAATGTGTTTATGGAGCAGCATGTTTTATTAACACTGAGCACTGCGGAGAGATAAGCACCACTTGCTAATTTTAAAATTTCTATGAACTGTGGCAATTAAGCCTAATAATTATTTAAAGACTATAATAAAGATGAGACCATTTTGAACTGCGTTTAGAGAAAAGAAAAAGTGCTCAAGTTCAGTTTGTATGATACATCACCTATGCAATTTTTCCTATCTGTTATGATTTGAAATGGGAAACATTTCCTGACACATTCCCCTGAAATTTAAGGATTTATCAGTTTTCATTTTGCTGCTTTGTTAATTTTTTCTTGTTTTTGTTGTTGTTGTAACTATTTACTGGGAGTCTTTTGTACCTAGATGTTAATTTTATAGAGTGTTTCCAAACATTCTGGGGGCCATCAGAAAACAATAGGTCTAATTGAATAAAGCATTAAATATATTAACTTTTTCTTTCAGAATAGCAATTTTTCCACTTACAGATTATAATAAATAACAACAGGAAAGGCAGTGATTTTTCTGAGTCCTTTAGTGGCAAACTATTTCCAAAGTTTCAAAGAGACTTGTTAGAGCCCTGGGCAGAGTACAACACTGTCTTTCACTGTGTTAGCCCAGTGATAACAAAAACAGACTGGACATCAAAGCAACCAGAACGAACGCTGCAGGATTTAAAACACAAACAGACAGGAAATTGAATTACTGATCATTAATATTTATTTTAAAGAAAAGTTTAATATATTTCGCTTAATTTCCTGTGGAGAAAACAAAACATTTTATTCTCTCTTTTTGCCCCTCCATATTCTTATGCTATCCTTTGCAATTCGTTGTCATTTCTTGAGTTATTTTAAAAGATAAACTTGCACATTTTACTTTGCAGCATAATAAAATTAACGAATAGCTATGTTCTGAGTATAAACAAGGGAATGCCAAGGTTCATTCATCTCTCTTCTTCCCTCACAAAATAAGTTTATTATGGCATTTATACTGAAAGAAAATCATTTCTTTGGCACAGAAAAGGGATGCTGCCAATAATTACTTCTGAATCAGATTTCTGTCAATAGAAATGGAATATGATTGCCCCACCATCACCCCATAACAACAACAACAACAACAAAACCAGATGAGTTGATTAGCAACCCTGTGTCTATTGATTACATTCTTCTTGAACTGTCAGCAAGATCATTCCAAAATGTTGGTACGTATTCCCTAGTTGCAAAAGCAAATTCTGTAAAAAGGAACACGGAAAAACGGATTGTGTCAGTAGCGTATTTTCAATGCCTCTCTTTTTTATTTGCACTCACATAGCTGAAGAGGAACAGAGCTGGCTTTGGGCAGAAAGATGAAGTAGGAAATTTACACCCAGCTTTTTTCTGTGGTCTCTAATCTTCCTGAGTTGTGAATTTATCCCACTTCCAAACCTCCAATCCCTCACTGCCCCCACCCTCAACACATATACTTCAAACTCTCCTCTTTGTTTTAAAGTTAAAGGCTTAGAGCAATTTTTGACTCCCAACACAAATGATTCTAAGTCAAAAACTGATTTTTCCTGAGACGTGCATTTTAATTCAAATTTCTGTTTGTGGAATATAAAAATCATGTCCGGTTAGAGACAGGGAAAGGTGAAGTTATTGTTCAAAGACAAAAAGGTAAAGCTCAAAGTGGGAATAGGTTAGATTTCTGGGATGAAGTTCAGGCAGGTCTTTTTGTTTTGCCAAAAAAAATTTTACCAGCCACCTCTCAGACTGATTCTGAAGGCAAGCTTAATTCAGTTGTATCAGAGAAATGGGGAAAAAAAAAACAAAAACAAAAACAAAAAAAGTGTGCAGTACATGTGGGAAACCCACACACTTAATCTCATGTTGTCGCAAATTCAATGGGGCTCGTCCCATTAGAAAAGAAAAAAAAAGAATAAAAGAAGGAGGAAGGAAGAAAGCAAAGAAAGAAAGGCAGGGGGAAATTACTCCTCACCAGGAGCTATGAGGCTATGAAAGAAACATGAAGCATAATATGTTTCTTCCAACTCTAATAGACCCTAATTCCTGAGTCTTACTCAGAAATTAGTTCTGAAGTCTGTTAACATGCAGAAAATCATGTAGAATCCACATTACATTGGATATGTCATAAAATTATTATGTCAATAATTTTGCTCAATTACATATGTTTTCAGTAAATTCAACACTAACCCTTCGTGGTCGTTTTTTCCCCTACAGTTTTCAAGTCAAGTTACTGTCTCTTAGTTGAGTACTGATGAAGTTTAAGAGTTATGTTGTATGGAAAATATTTGCTTTGATCCTTCTCAGTGTTGCGATGTGCCCACACTGTAAGAGGAATGAGGCAACTGAACTAGAGAGAAAGTAGACTCATAGCTCACATTGTGCTGTGCACAATATTACTGAGTGAAGTAGCTGGCAAAATTGCTTACATTTATAGCCATGGAATCTGGAAGCTGCCCTCCTAGAAAACTGGCTTATCAGCCCTGATCTAGCATGGTGATTTAACTATTCCTCCAACAGAAGCCACCCACAGGTTCTTGACTCAGAACTCTCTTTAAGGCAGTTCTAAACCTTAGTCATCCAAGGCTTTTAACGACCAAGACTTTATCTATTTATTTGTTTATTTTATTTTTTGGAGACTGAGTTTTGCTCTTGTTGCCCATGCTGGAGTGCAGTGGTGCAATCTTGACTCACTGCAACCTCCGCCTCCAGGGTTAAAGCAATTCTCATGCTTCAGCCTCCTGAGTAGCTGGGATTACAGGTGCCTGCCACCATGCCCAGCTAATTTTTTTTTTTTTTTGTATTTTTAGTAGAGATGGGGTTTTGCCAAGTTTGGCCAGGCTGGTCTTGAACTCCTGACCTTAGGTAACCCACCCACCTTGGCCTCCCAAAGTACTTGGATTACAGACATGAGCCACTGTGCTGGGCTCCAAGACTTTAATATAAGCTTAGAAACGACTGAAAACTGAATTCAGTCCTCAAGATGAGTAGGCTCAAAGTATTAGGCAACTTAATAATTCATAACAGTTCCAAAAATAGTATTAGTATGGGTTTGAAGAAATTATAAATAATATATTATTAGATGTTGTTATTTATAAATAAATATTCAATCTTTTAAAACCTGAGGATTCTTAGGAATTGCATATGCTGTAAAATTGCCCAAAATTTTATTCTGAACTTTTTATTAAACTTCACTTTCCTTCACATGCACTAAAACCTAATTTTCAAAGTAAGGATTTAATGTAGCCAGCTTTCCAATATTTGTTCTAAAAGCTGCCAGGTAGAAATATGACATTAAATGGCAGGTCCAACTTTTGTTTAAAAAATGTATCTGTGTTAAAGTGAATATGGTACTGAGAATTGTGATCGCAGATCATTTAAAAACTCTTGTTTATTCTCACTTGTGTTCTAGTGGTTCTATGTTTATAATTTTTATAATCAGATAAAAATAAGTTAATAAAGGAAATATTCAATGCTGAACAACAAAAACAAAAAAAGGTTGCCTGAGATGAAAGGCCGCATGTCAGGGAATCAATAAAGACTGGCAGAGAGTGAGGGACATGAATAAAGGTCTGGCATGAGAGCTTAGATAAAACATTGAAGGAAAACATCTATAAGGAACTGGGGTGCTGGTGGTGGCTAGATGCAAGACTTTATCTTTTAAAATGTGTGCACATGTCTTGATGTGAATATACGATTATTAAATGGTGAATGGTATGAAAAGGAACTGTCAACTTTGGCATAGTTTTGAGACACTAGTGAAGTAATAAACAGAGAAAAAAATCTACAAAAATTGATTTCACTATGAAAATAAATCTTGGTTATAGAAATTCACTATAGAAATTCATTCACTATATATATAGAAATTCATTCACATGAATTACTATAAATTTTATAGCATCAATGGCCAAGTCATATTACACTTATTAAAAGTATGTATTAGATTACTGTTGCTTTCTTTGACTTCATGCTTTCTTATGTGTGTAGGTATGTGCTCTTCAGGATGTTCTGCTCATGATTGTTTTTAATCTGAATAACTTGACACGTAATTAATTTTGTTTGCCATTACAAAACATTATTTGAGAAGAATTCTGTAAATGTATGTATTTAGCATTACTGAGCGAATTAATATGAACACCTTGTCAAATAACTGCAAGAAGCCTTTTCAAAACAAACAGCAAAACTTATGCCAAACTGAATTTTCTTTCTGTAAAAAATAATGCATATATACTTTGATTTAGATACTGCAGTTTATCACATTCATTGTGAAAAAAGTACAGATATTATTTGGATTAGCATTAGCATACCTCCCTCAAATGTCATTAGTTTGTGATGACAGAAGTTTATTTCACTTAGAAGTTCAATGCAAATATTCCTATCAAAAGTGCTGCTTTCTTCCATGTGGTGATTCAAGGACCCAGGATCCAAGGATCTTGTAGCTCCTCTATACCCTAGGGTGTTGCAGTTCTTTGCAGCAGCTGGTGAATGAAGAAAGGATATGGAAAGGGCATATCTATTTTCTAAAAGACTTGCCTTAGAAATGACACATAATTACTTCCACTGATATTCTATTTGTATGAAGTAGCTCACATAGCCACACCTAAATGCAAACAGGGTTGTAAAATGTAATTTCTGCTAGACAACCATGTGTCAAAGGTATCTCTGCTCACTCCCCAGGGATGTCTCCATGTTATTAAGAGGGAACATAAAACAGACAGTTGACTATCTCTGCCATAGCAGAGCACTTAATCTAGCCTATAATTTTAGCCTTTGCATTTTGCTTCACCATAAGGATTTGCTGTCATCATCTTTATTTTCTCTTGGTTCATAAAAATTATTTCTTTGTCCCATTTCCAATCAAGAAATTAAGAATACAGGCAGTGAGGACTATTCAGAATAGAGAAGATAAATATGTCATTTAGTTGTAGGAGTTACATCATTGATGACCTAACACCAGTGTAATTGTGGGAAAAAATTCACTTAGGATTCACTAGTCCATCATTTCTTGTTCTGTTGGCATCTGCCCTTATCCTGTTGGGTGACCTTGGGAAAATACTTGTATTCTTTGGACCTGTGTTTTTGTCTTTACAAAATAAGGGAATTATATTGGATCATTGATTCCCAACCTTTCTACTATGAAAGACAAACTCATAAAACCAAACTTTGAGATTCTAATACTATATAAGCCTACATTAATTAAGTCACAGCCTACATGGCCTTGCCACCAGTATGATTTCATTTATTCTTTTTGAAATAGAAATAACTTTTTTTTGAAATAGAAATTTCTTTTGAAATAACTCAGAAACTTTATGACTATTAGTACTACCACCACTACAACTATTATTACTACAATTTGAATTAAACTGACTCTTTTTTGAGTGTTTACTATATTCCATACATTCTTCTAGCTGAAGTTTAATCATCTGGAAGAAATAGCACAACTGAGAAACAAACCCCAAGCCAAGTCTGAAATCACAACTCTGCATGGCTGTAGTGGTGATTCAGACACCACTGTGAGAAACCACTGGATAAGATGAATTACCATTAGATGTTACTATCATATCTATGTATCTGTGAACGCATACCAAAGAGTGAAAAAAGTCACTGTTACCCATGATTCCTCCAAGTACCCTTCCTCAGTTTCAAGACTGTGTGTCTCAGTTTCCTTACTTGAAAAATGTAAGCTTATCCCCATAGCTTCCTGAAATGCCTTAAGTGCCAATTAAGTGACTGCTCCAAAGTAATAAAAAGCCCAACTTCTGAGAATTAACTATATGAACATAGGGAAATGAAGCCAACCCAATTATCCATGGTAAGAGATGACAAGGAAAAATAAGACTAAATTAAATCTACAGGTGTTCCTAAACCACATTTTTGCCATTCACCTAAGCTCTTAACTAGCACTACTAATAAGCTGCAAATAGATAGATTTGAATTTTATCACTTTCTCTCTCCACCCCCTACTCTTGTCTGGTTTAAGTGCTAGTGGGCGGTCAACCACCCTCTTAAAGACAGGAAAAGCAGAGGCTGGACCAAGCAATCAATAGACTGGATAATTAGCCCTTGAGTAACTGAGAGTAAAATGTCTTATATCAACTTCACCCCATTACTCCCAGAATATGAACAAGCCAAAGCAAGATGGACAAGAATATGAGAGAGCAGAAGCAAAAAGAAATATAGTAAAGGAACAGAGTTCTTTACCTTGGGGTTATCATATGACACAAACTCCAGTGACATGAAACCAGATGACAATGGCAGGTTAGCAGGGCAATTCAAAACATGACAGGATGGCCACAAGAGCTGTAAGATAGTTGTTTCCCCTCAGCACCAAATTATTTTTCTCTCTCTTTTTTTTTTCTGCAACAAAAGACTCACTCCAGGCTTTGGCTGTGTTCCCAAAAGATTGGGTAATTAAGCAGATATGATTTCCAAGGAGAAATAAATATTTTTCAGTTACTAGACACTGTCATTGGGCTTTGATTCAAATGTGCATAATTTTTGAACAGGAAACATAATGAAAGTAATGTTTCACAAATTAATATAAAGCCCAAAGGCATACCTGGCAGTCTCTTACATGAAATCATTGTCTTTTGTATGCCAGGAATGTGAACGGAGTACCTATCTTGGAAAATGCTTTTCTCCTTGTAGTATTAGCACTGACTTTAAGGAAAGAAAACTCAATTTTAATAAAAGTGCTCATAAAATATAACCTAAGCCCTTTTTATAGGTTGTATAGATTTGAAGGCATTTTAAAATATAATAGTATTGATTTCAGTATAACAATAAAAAGCGACTCTTCTTCATAGGTTGAGAAGCTAAAAAGAAAGGTTAAATGACACGAATAAGTTCACAGAGTGACAAATTCAAATGAGAGATTAGGATATAGAGTACTGGGCTCTAGGCCCAGAACCCACAACTATTATTCTCTAAAATTAATGTGGAACTTTAAAAGGTAAAATGACTTGAAGAGCTAAGAAAATTCTCCCCTACACATACACAAATGTAATTTTAACTATACAAGTGAATGAGTAATCACCTAGAAGATTAAACAAAATTTACCCCTTTTAGCAATAATAGCTTTTGCATGGTCATTCTACACTCTCTCATCTGTTCTACCAACAGTAAAGAGTATAATAGTAGCTTAGCCATGGGATGGAGGTTGTACTTAATAAGACCATATTTTGTATGAAATTAACAAGAAATTAAACATGTTTATGAATCTCATTTAATGCATAATAGAAAGTCAAAAAATTACATACATTGGCCGGGCGTGGTGGCTCACGCCTGTAATCCCAGCACTTTGGGAGGCCAAGGTGGGCAGATCACGAGGTCAGGAGATTGAGACCATCCTGGCTAACATGGTGAAACCCCATCTCTATTAAAAATACAAAAAATTAGCTGGGTGTGGTGGTGGGAACCGGTAGTCCCAGCTACTTGGGAGGCTGAGGCAGGAGAATGGTGTGAACCTGGCAGGGGGAGCTTGCAGTGAGCCGAGATCACACCACTGCACTCCAACCTGGGCGACAGAGTGAGACTCCATCTCAAAAAAAGAAAAAAAATTACATACATCGAGAATTGCTTAACTTCTAAGATGATGGTGAGCTGACTGAATTATAAACTTGTTTAAACTGGTGCCTGTAATCCCAGCACTTTGGGAGGCTGAGGTAGGTGGACCACCTGAGGTCATGAGTTCGAGACCAGCCTGGCCAACATGGTGAAACCCCATCTCTACTAAAAATACAAAAATTAGCCAGGTGTGATGGTGGGCGCCTGTAATCTCAGCTACTCGGGAGGCTAAGGAAGGAGAATTGCTGGAACCCTGCAGGCAGATATTGCAGTGAGCCGACATTGCACCACAGCACTCCAGCCCTGGTGACAACAGTGAGACTCCGCCTCAAAAAAAAAAAAAATGTAATTTGAACTGGTCAATATTCCTATCATCTGGGCAACATATTTTTATATGTTAAAATATAAGTGATTTGTGGTACATATACCATTGTTTTCATATATGTCCTTTAGAATCTTTTTATAGTCTTTATTTTTCAAGTGATCATTAAACAGCTATCAGGGTGGAAAGGGAGGATCCCTTTCATCCCCATCATAAAGGTCACAGCCGACACCCGTATAACAATGACAGGTTAACAAGAGAAAAGCATAATAAATGTACTTGATTATAGTTTTATGTGACATTGGAGCCTTCAAAATGAAGACATAAAGATGCAAGGTAAACTATTTTTATGCTTAGGTCCAGTGAAGAATGGGCAGCCCCATAGAAATATGAAAGAAAAAAAAGGGTATGATCTAATGGTGTGACTAAGTGGAGAAACTCAGCAAGACCTGTCTATTCAGAATTTTCTCAGCCTCTCTGTACAGCATTCCTCCTTCCAGGTACAGTATAGGACCCCTCTAGAAGGAGAGTCTTAATTTCTTTATGCCCAGATGTTACACAGAAAGGTTGGGAGAAGGGACAGTTAAAGTAATATGTTTAAGCATTATGGATGACTTTGAGAAAAATGGGTTCTGGTTTCTATGACTTGCCTTGGTTGGGAAAGAGGAATTCTAGTTTCTATAGTTTGTCTCAGGGAAAAATGAAGGACAAAAAACAGGAGAGCAAGAGAACGTCAGGGAGAGACTTTGCTTCTGAGGCCGCTTCTTAGGCCTTTATTTTGGGGTATCATTGTCTGAGCCTCAATATTCCCCAGTCTGAAACTTCCCCCAAGAAGTTTTGGGGCTAAAAAATTGGGTTGGTGGATGTCTCATAAGCAACTGAATCAGTCTCTCAGTCCTGAGAATAGGACAGTCCAGTTCAACGGTTAATAGTTGTTTTTCATTTTAGGCAGTGCTGCTGCAGTTGGGCTTCTGCCGTCTATATATCATATATATCTATATCAGGGCTCTATATAGTGTAAGCAATCACATATCTAATAAGAGGCATTGTTATGGAAATAAAAGAAAAAGGTTAATGGTTACATCAAACCATAAAATTCAGTCGTTTTTATTTTTTGAGTCCAGAAGGCAGCAGTCGAGAACATTTTTAGATGTTAGACTTGAAACATGTTTAGATGGAGTAAGAGCAGAGAGTGGCAATCTGGCTATAGCTTCTCTTCTGAAACATAATTTTCTCTCTCCAGTTTCCCCAATTTTTACCAAAAATAATCATGATAAGACTAATTTATCTGCAAATTAAGTTTAGTCTCATTAACTTGGACTGATTATTTGCATAAAGTACAAGAGGAATAGTGATTTATCATATAGGCTCTTTTAAAGTTAACTTTGCTAGAACTTTTCAGAAAGAATATTAGATTAGACTTTTAAAAGCCTCTGGAGTCTTATGAAGCCAGGCAAAGATTTGACTCACCCTCAAATTGTGTCGGTAATACCTGTACAAATTGCTTAATCTACTCTATTTATGAGGTCCCCAAAATATCTTGAGTTTCCTTGGCCTGTCAGAAAGTGACATTCTTTACTTACCACAATTCTTTTTTTTTTTTTTTTTTTTTTTTTTGAGATGGCGTCTCACTCTGTCACATCGGCTGGAGGGCAGTGATGCAATCTCAGCTCACTGCAAACTCCGCCTCCCAGGTTCAAGTGATTTCCCTGCCTTAGCCTCCTGAGTAGCTGGGATTACAGGAATCTGCCTCCACATCCAGCTATTTTTTTGTATTTTCAGTAGAGACGGGGTTTCACCGTATTAGCCAGGATGGTCTCAATCTCCTGAACTTGTGATCCGCCCGCCTCAGTCTCCCAAAGTGCTGGATTACAGGCGTGAGCCACCATGCTTAGCCTACTTACCACAATTCTAAAAATCCTGAAAGGAAAGGCTGTGGACAAGGTATCAGGCCAGTTTTTCAAATTTTATTTTTTTTAATTGGATCCATAAAAGTGAACTTCAAACCCTGAAAACAGTCTGGTGGTATCTGAAAATATGACATTCCAATCAAAGCTTTGGTAAAATTGAGAGGTGAAGCCAGCTGGACTTCCTGGGTCAAGTGGGGACTTGGAGAACTTTTCTTACAAGGGGATTGTAAAATGCACCAATCAGTGCTCTGTAGCTAACAAGAGGTTTATAAAATGAACCAATCAGCGCTCTGTAAAACCGCACCAATCAGTGTTGTGTAGCTAGCAAGAGGTTTGTAAAATGCACCAATCAGCACTCTGTAAATGGAACAATCAGCACTCTGTAAAACTGACCTATCAGCAAGATTCTAAAAGTAACCAATCGTGGGGAGGATTGAGAAAAGGGCATTCTGATAGGACAGAAACAGGACATGGGAGGGGACAAACAAGGGGATAAAAGCTGGCCACCCCCAGCTAGCAGCGGCAACCTGCTCGGGTCCCCTTCCACTCAAAACTTTGGTAAAATACTCAGGGTTTTCAGTCACCCTAATGTCAGAAGAACAGATTTTTGTTTTGTTTTGTTCAAGACAGTCTCACTCTGTCATCCAGGCTGGAGTGCAGTGGTGCCATCTTGGCTCACTGCAACCTCCACCGCCCAGGTTCAAGCAATGCCCCTGCCTTAGCCTCCCAAGTAGCTGAGACTACAGGTGTGCACCACCACACCCAGCTGATTTTTGTATTTTTAGTAGAGACAAGGTTTCACCATGTTGGCCCGGCTGGTCTCAAACACCTGGTCTCAAGTGATCCACCCACCTCAACCTCCCAAAGTGCTAGGATTATAGGCATGAGCCACAGAACCCAGCATGAAGAACAGATTCTTATTAACTTATGCAAATATCTATATTGATAAACGATAAGAATACTGACCAATAGTTTCCAAATTTTAAATACATCAAGTAAAAAGAAAGGCAGAGGTTTTCATTCTTATCACAAGAGTATACTTTACAAAATTGCTGTAAAGCTATGGAAGTCCAAAAGAATCAGCAATGCCTCAAACAAAAAGCCATTAAAAATAATAATCCTTTATCAGTTCAGTCGCAGGTAACTAATTCTTGTTCTGCTTGATGTTGTTAATAATTTTGAGTCACTTTTATTAGAGTTCTGAAATTTTTACTCAGTACAATTGTATTATCTTAAAAGTTATCAGAAATTTGTGTTTAAGAGCACTTGTCAGAGTCCTTTTCATGAATTTTCTTGAAGAGGTAAATTCCAATTATAGCAGATTGTAAAATGCTTTTAAAAGAGTATCAGAGTAAAGCAATTAACTATGATCAAAAGATTAAAATGGGTACAGTTAAAAATGCAATCGACAATGAAATTTTATTATTTTCTGTGGCCTACAACAACTTAATAGTCATAATTATCACTAACATATACCAAGACATGTCAGAATTTTAAGACTTTCATACCATTTTAGAACTCATATTAATAACACATCCATACAAATATAATGCATAGAATGGTAATCATTATTTTCTTTTTTCTTTTTTCTTTTTTTTTTTTTGGAGACTGAGTCTCACTGTGTTGCCCAGGCTGGAGTGCAGTGGCACGATCTTGGCTCACTGCAACCTCTGGCTTCCTGGGTTCACACCATTCTCCTGCCTCAGCCTCCCGAGTAGCTGGGACTACAGGCTCCTGCTACCATACCTGGCTAATTTTTTTGTGCTTTTAGTAGAGATGGGGTTTCACCTTGTTAGCCAGGATGGTCTCGATCTCCTGACCTCATGAACCACCTGCCTCGGCCTCTCAAAGTGCTGGGATTACAGGCATGAGCCACTACACCCAGCCCCAGTAATCATTATTTTCTATTTAACAACACTTCCCATATTAAATAAGCCTGATTTGTTTCATTATTTTTTTTCAGAAGCTTCAGGGACCCTCTGGAACATCCTACAGTTAGTTTGAGGTCAAAAAGATAACTTAGAATTTGAAATTTAATTTTGGTAAACCTGTCAAATATGTGAAAGGATTAAAACACTTGATCAAAATAGGATCATAGATCATTATGAAATAATTATCATTCATTTAACTACAATGTTAACTAAAAGATTTTTAAAATCAAAAACTTTTACTCTTCAACAGAGAAAAGCCTCAGTTTCCCAAATAGTGAAAAGATCTAATAAAGACAGTCTGCTGAAGCACATAGAATCTGTTTCTGTACCTCACCTTTCCTTTTTTTTTTGCAGTTTACTCTAATGTGAAAGAAATCTTTTACTATCCCTTATTAATACTACTTTAAAATCTTGCTCAAAAGAGAAAACGAAATTTTATTCTTGTATCAGTGTATTATGAATACTAAAGCTAATTTTATAAAACCTTATAAAGAAATCCATCCAATCTTAGCTTTGACCACACAGATAAGATTTTTATAAACGCTTCATATCCTCTTACATTTTATCTTCTTTTTAAATGTGTTAGACATTTAGTTTTGCCTATATTATTTTTTCTTTCTTCACTTTTAAATCACCTTTAAATAAACTTTAAGCTAGACAAAATTATTTTTTCTCAACAAAAACACATTCTTATAACATTTTACTTTCCTTGTTACAGAAATATTTCTCTTGTATATAGTAGTTTTAATTACATATATTAATTAGAATTTTAATCCTTAGCAATTGTAAATCTGTATTCTGTAAACTAAAACTATTTTATATATTTTAGAGAGATACTTTTCTCATTTTTGTGTTTATTAACATATCTAGATATATTTAGCTTTCGTATCATATAAAAGCAATATACCAAAATATATAAACTTAAATTTATGTTTAATAATTAATGTTTTAGTATTTTAACTTATTTAGAAATGACTCAGACACTTCATGATTATCTATTAATTTAATATAATATGACTTTAAGATTTTAAATTACTGCAAAGATTTTTTAAATTATAACAAGTTTATGGCCAGGTGCAGTGGCTCACGCCTGTAATCCCAGCACTTTGGGAGGCCAAGATGGGTAGATCACAAGGTCAGGAGATCAAGACCATCCTGGCTAACACGGTGAAACCCCGTCTCTACTAAAAATACAAAAAATTAGCCAGGCATTCTGGCGGGCACCTGTAGTCCCAGCAACTCAGGAGGATAAGGCAGGAAAAGGGCATGAACCTGGGAGTTGAAGCTTACAGTGAGCTGAGATCACACCACTGTACTCCAGCCTCAGTGACAGAGTGAGACTCCATCTAAAAAAAAAATTATGACAAGTTTATTTATAACTGTTTATCTCATTTACATTTTCCTATTTGTTTTGAACAATTATATTTGAATTGCTCATGGAAAACAAAGCTGCCTATTTCAGTTATTTTTTAAAAAGCAAAATCAAGCTAACCCTGAATCAGTCAGCCTTGTTCTAACCAAGGCCTCTAAGACACTAGACACAGAATGGGTCCTACTGGGCATGGCCCTGTCCTGCAGCTGGCAGCTGAGATGCTGTGGTCACACACATGTCCCCAGGCTTTACCATAACCATCTGTTCATATGCCAGAATCCAGAAACTTAAAACTAAAGATATATGCCAATAGCAAGATGTATGCATGCCTTCAGGAGAGCCCAACAGCTCACCAATAAATTAGGGAAGTATCAAAAATATCACAGAAGGAAAAAAAAGACAGAAGTTAAACATTTGAAACTTTTTTGACTGACATGTGTTAAGTAATTAAGTAACTCATCTTTACTGTGTGTTCTGCTGTTAGGTTGCATTTATAGTTTTGTGATTTTAAAGCATCTAGTAGAGACAGCACAAACCTGTCTGACTAAGAATCCCAGGCAAAAACTGTATGCTGACAATTCTGAAGACACTTATATTTTTATTTCACCAACAGTTTTAAAACTACCTTTATTTAACAAAGATTATCTCATGTCATATAAGCTGAAGGTAATTTCAGTTAGTTTCTGTTTTATTTTATCTCTAGGAAAGTGCTTAGAGCATAGTGTGTACTGTCAGAGAAATTTTATGGAAGCTGTGGACTAGATTTTAGGTCTGAATGTTTCCAAAGCTTATCGGGGTGGAGAAAATATTCATTTCTTCTAAAACTAGATTTGTTGCACTTTTTCCTAATTTGGTCTTGAAGATTTAGTCTGGAAAGAGGCTATAAACTCTAGCTTTGGTCTGACAGGCTTATCAAGATAGCCACTCTCTAGGAGAACCTTGATGAGTAGAAGTATTGGGTTCAGGTGCGTCAGTTAGATGAGACACAGAGGATTCAAAAATGGATGCTCAGGCAGCCTGAAATTATAGAAATTTATTGCAGGATTTTACAAAAAACATAAGGATGAGCCTAGAAGATTTACAGGTCTTTTCAAATTAACCAGCTGAATATCCGAAAGGCATATTTTGGAAGCCATTCTAATTAGATAAGTCGCATTTTAATTTATTTTTGTTTCTTAACAAAAAATAAATCAGGTAGAACCCATTAATGAATAGGACTGACAAAGCATTTGTAGCTCCCACTGCCTAATACTTACACATATAAAAAACAGGCATAGCTGGAAGGCAGAGCATCCAGATCTCTAGAAATTAAGAATCACATTTTTATGTTGAATTTCAGATCTACCAGAGTCCAGAAAAATGTCCAAAATGGAAAGACCACAGGGATGGGCTGTGCTGTGCTCTCACAGTACACCTCACCACAAGGATACTCCCCCTGAGACTGAATGGGCCATCCAACATCAATCAATTTACTTTGTGACTAGCTTGCCAACCACAGGAGCCCCAACCTTTGATGGTAAGTTTTGCAACAGCCTCCAACTGCCCAATATCCATTGTCAAGTTGTGGCTTTGGCTCTATGATCCTTTTGATCAACATAGCCAATAGTTTTCTTACACCAAAGTGCCATTTACTGTCAGTTTCTCTTTGACTCAGTCAGAAATATGAGGCTATTCTTATCTAAATTTGAAAGAAATGGGACAAAAAGCCAGAGTTCAACCACTGTAGTGATAACCATTCATTGTATCTGCCATCAGTTACCTTTAAAATTGTAGCTTTTGCTAGTGAATCATTAGTTATCACACACCCAAAGGTCAAGTGTCGTCTCACAGTTTAAACTAACCCTTGGTACCTCCAAAATCCAAAATGATCAGGGAACTCAATGTAAAAGGAAGCAGAGCTTTAGACTTGAAAGGCACCCACCTACCACTCTTGGGGCTCATTTAGGAAGACAGGGGACTCAGAAAGGGAGTTAGTGGCATGTGTTCTGTGTTCCTCAAGGAGTATCAGAGTTGCAAGAGTCTCATTTAAGTTCCACCATATGGTAGCCAGAACTCTGATGTTCTCAATCCAACAGAGAGCACAGAGGCCTTGAAAAATGTATAGCCTGAATATCAGCTTTTAATTAAGCCAATGCTACAGCTTAAATTTTTGTCCCCGTAGGCCGGGCACGTGGTTCACACCTGTAATCCCAGCACTTTGGGAGGCTGAGGCGGGCAGATCACCTGAGGTCGGGAGTTTGAGACCAGTCTGACCAACATGGAGAAACCCTGTCTCTAGCAAAAATACAAACTTAGCTGGGTGTGGTGGCACATGACTTTAATCCCAGCTACTTGGGAGGCTGAGGCAGAATTGCTTGAACCTGGGAGGTGGATGTTGCAGTGAGCCGAGAACACGCCATTGCACTCCAGCCTGGCCCAAAACAGCAAAACTCTGTCTCAAAAAAAAAAAAAAAATTTCTTTTTGTCCCCCAAACCTCATGTATAAATTTTATCCCCAAAGTTGGAAGTGGGACCTAATAGGAGGTGTTTGGGTCATGGGGATGGATTCCCCCCAGATTGCTTGGTGCCGGCCTAGCAGTAATGTGTTAGTTCTCACTCAATTCATTCCCATGTGATATGGTTTCGCTGTGCCCCCACCCAAATCTCATCTTGAATTCCCATGTGATGTGGGAGGAACCTAGTGGGAGGTAATTGAATCATCGAAACAAGTCTTTCTGGTGCTGTTCTTGTGATAATGAATAAGTCTCACAAGATCTAACGGTTTTAAAAAGAGGCTTCCCCTGCACAAGCTCTCTCTCATTTTTTGCCTGCTGCCATCTATGTAAGATGTGACTTGCTCCTCCTTGCCTTCCACCATAATTGTGAGGCTTCCCCAGCCACATGGAACTGTAAGTCCGATTAAACCTCTTTCTTTTGTAAATTGCTCAGTCTTGGGTATGTCTTTATTAGCAGCATGAAACCAGACTAATACAGTAAATTGGTACCAGTAGAATGGGACACTGCTGAAAAGGTACCTGAAAATGTGGAAGCAACTTTGGAACTGGGTAACAGGCAGAGGTTGGAACAGTTTGGAGGGCTCAGAAGAAAACAGAAAATATGGGAAAGTTCGGAATTTCCTAGAGACTTGTTGAATGGCTTTGACCAAAATGCTGATAATGATATGGACAATAAAATCCAGACTGAGATAGTCTCAGATGGAGATGAGGAACTTGTTGAGAAGTGGAGCAAAGGTGACTCTTGTTATGTTTTAGCAAAGAGATTGGTGGCATTTTGTCCCTGCCCTAGAGATTTGTGGAGCTTTGAACTTGTGAGAGATGATTTAGGGAATATAGTGAAAGAAATTTCTAAGCAGCAGAGCATTCAAGAGGTGACCTGGATGCTGTTAAAAGCATTCAGTTTTATAAGGGAAGCAGAGCATAAAAGTTCAGAAAATTTGCAGCCTGACAATGAGATAGAAAAGAAAAACCAATTTTCTGAGAAGAAAGTCAAGCTGGCTGCAAAAATCTGTGTAATGAGGAGCTGGATGTTTATCACCAAGACAAAGGAAAAAATGTCACCAGGGCATGTCAGTGGTCCTCATGGCAGCCGCTTCCATCACAGGCCCAGAAGCCCAGGAGGAAAAAGTGGTTTTGTGGGCTGGGCCCAGGGTTCCCATCCTTTGTGCAGTTTAGGGACTTGGTGCCCTGTGTCCCAGCTACTCCAGCTGTGGCTAAAAAGGGCCAACATAGAGCTTGGTCTCTGGCTTTAGAGGGTGCAAGACCCAAGCCTTGGCAGCTTCCACATGGTGTTGAGCCCGTGAGTCCACAGAAGTCAAGAATTGGGGTTTGGGAACCTCTGCCTAGATTTCAGAAGATGTATGGAAATGCCTGGATGCCCAGGCAGAAGTTTGCTGCAGGGGTGGGGCCCTCATGGAGAACCTCTGCTAGGGCAGTGCAGAAGAGAAATGTGGGGTCATAGCCCCCACACAGCATCCCTACTGTGGCACTGCCTAGTCAAGCTGTGAGGAGAGGGCCACTATCTTCCAGACCCCAGGATGGTAGATCCACTAACAGCTTGCATCATGCACCTGGAAAAGCCACAGACACTCAATACCTGCCTGTGAAGGCAGCAGGGAGAGAGACTGTACCCTGCAAAGCCACAGAGATGGAGCTTCACAAGACCCTGGGAACCCACCTCTTGCATCAGCGTGACCTGGATGTGAGACATGGAGTCAAAGGAGATGATTTTGGATCTTTAAGATTTGACTGCCCTGCTAGGACTTGCATGAGGTCTTTAGCCCCTTTGTTTTTGCCAACTTCTCCCATTTGGAATGGCTGTATTTACCCAATGCCTGTACCCCCACTGTGTCTAGGAAGTAACTAACTTACTTTTGATTTTACAGGCTCATAGGTGGAAGGGACTTGCCTTGTCTCAGATGAGACTTTGGACTGTGGACTTCTGAGTTAATGATGAAATGACTTAAGATTTTGGGGGACTGTTGGGAACACATGACTAGTTTTGAAATGTGAGGACATGAGATTTGGGAGGTACCAGGGGTGGAATGATACAGTTTGGCTCTGTCCTCACCCAAATTTCATCTTGAATTCCCATGTGTTGTTGGAGGAACCTGGTGGGAGGTAATTGAATCATGAGGGCAAGTCTTCCCCATGCTATTCTCATGAAAGTGAGTAAGTCTCATGAGATCTCATAGTTTTTAAAAAAAGGCTGTCCCCCACACAAGCTATCTCTCATTTTTTGCCTGCCACCATTCATGTAAGACGCGACTTGCTTCTCTTTGCCTTCTGCCATGATTGTAAGACTTCCCCAGCCACATGGAACTATAAGTTCAATTAAGCCTCTTTCTTTTGTAAATTGCTCAGTTTCACATATGTCTTTATCAGCAGCATGAAAATTGACTAATACACCCTGAGAGCTGGTTATTAAAAGAGCTTGGCACCTCCTCCCGTCTCTCTTGCTTCCTCTCTTGCTATGTGATCTCTGTAACCACTAGGTTTCCTTTGCCTTCGACCATGAACAAAAGCAGCCTGAGGTTCTCATCAGAAGCCAAGAAGTTTCTGGTGCTGTGCTTCTTGTACAGCCTGCCTAACCATGAGGTGAATAGATTTATTTTCTTTATAAATTACCCAGATTCAGCTGGGCATGGTGGTTCATGCCTGTAATCCCAGCACTTTGGGAGGCCAAGGCAGGTGGATCACCTGAGGCCAGGAGTTCAAGACTAGCCTGGCCAACATGGAAAAACCCTGTCTCTACTAAAAATACAAAAAATTAGCCAGGTGTGGTGGTGGGCACCTGTAATCCCAGCTACTGGGGAGGCTACGGCAGAAAAATTGCTTGAACCCCGGAGTCAGAGGCTGCAGTGAGCTCAGATTTTGCCACTGCACTCCAGCCTGAGTAACAAGAGTGAAACTCCATCTAAAAAAAACAAAATTACCCAGACTCAGGTATTCCTTTATACCACCATAAAATGGACTAAGATGGTTGATTTCAGACGATACAGCACTTAAAAAAAATCCCTTTAAATCTCTTACCATATTTCAGCTGGAGAAAACAGAAAATATTTCTGACATTTGTTTTATTTTTTTCTTTTAAATCAAAAGTATCTACAGAACCAAAGCCAATAAGCCTTTTATGACTTACCCAAACATCTATGAGACACACTCAAAGAAGTGCAAAATAAGAGGTCCTCACAAGATCCATAGCCACCACGAAAGACAATTAAAAGAAACTCTTTGAGGGCTAACAATAATTAGTATGCTAGCTGCAAATAGAGTTCAACACACATTCCTGTCAACCATATTCTTTTTATGGGCGCCCCAACTTTTCAGTTGACTGCTTGTCCAAACAAATCCAGTAACCTGCATGCCCCCTACAGGCAGCAAGCTAAGCCAAGTTCTCAGAACACCAAATGAGACAAAGAGGAAAATGGTAAGTGTCCATGAGAGCAAAAGGATCAATAACAAATGGGAATACTAAAACCAAATTTACCCAGAGCCACAATCCAGACCAATGGTTTTCTTCTGTCACCCTGAATTTGGGGAAAACAAACAAAAAAAAAAGGTTGGGGGTGGTGGGGAATAAAGAGCAACTTTTACCTTCCATTCTTGATTGGGCACTACAGAGATCCTGGAGAACTGATCTTGATACAAATTCCTATCTTTTTTGCCAGCTTTTTATAAGTTGTCTTAAAATTTTATCTGCATAGTTTGGAATGAGTCAGGTGTCACCACCATCTCACCTTTGTTGCCAGAATTGCAAGGGTTGAAATGGAATAATCCCTTTCCTCTCTATCCTAAGGGACACAGCCAACACCCCTATGACAAAGACAGATTAATAAGAGAAAAGTATAACAAATTTATTTGATCATAGTTTTATGAGATACAGGAGTCTTCAGAATGAAGACATAAAGATACAAGGAAAACTATTTTTATGCTTAGGTTCAATGAAGAATGGGCAGCCCTTTAGAAATATGACTGGAAGTAAAGGGTATGATCTAATGCCAATAGACTGAGTAGGGGGGCTCACCAAGGCCTGTCTCTCAGATTTTTCTTGGCCTCTCTGTGTAGCATTCCTACCCTCTAGGTATAGGGTAGGACTCCTCTAGAAGGAGGGCCTTAATTTCTTTATGGCCAGCTGTTACACAGAAAGGTGGAGAAAGAGATAGTTAGAATAACATTTTTAGACTTTATGGCTGACTTTGAAAAGAAAAATGGGTTCAGGTTTCTATGACCTGCCTAGGAGAAAAGGAATTCTAGTTTCTGTGGGTCATGGAGCAGGGTAAGCGAGAGTGGGAAAAAGGAAATGAGGGGTGACAGACAGTAAAGCAGGAGAAGGTCATAGAGAAAGTTTGCTTCTGAGACTGCTTCTTAAGCCTTTAGTTTGAAGTATAGTATTCTGAATCCCAAAATGGCCATATTGCTGCTTGGTGCTACTGAGAAGAAAAAAAACCTGCAAATCAGGAATTTGGTAGTAACAATTTAGAGGTAAAACTATATATAAAGATAAAGGCTGTGCCAGTTATCAACTTATTGTTCCCTCAACTCCAAATACATCCTTCATTTCCTGCTGTATAAAAAATAAGGGTTCTTTAAATATTTTTTCCTTTGCTAGCTAGATGATGTTAAGCTTTGTCAAGAGGGCTCTAAGGGCACTGCATGAGAAAGGTTTTCTTTCCAGGTTCTGGTGTGTTCACTGGCAGCCTCCTGCAGCACTTGCAGCTTCTCTAGTACCAAGCACCTACAGCACAGAAGATTCCAACACACCTGACTCCTGCTGTGTATGGGATTCAGCTACACCCAGGGGCCAGTCAGCAGCTTCCCTAGTCACCTGTCCCACGAGGGTTTTGTTGTTAATGGCCTTTTGAAGAAGCACTTCATAGCGAACATCTTTCTCTAGCACCGTCATAAATAGATTTCTAACAAGTTCTAGAGGACAGATTCTAGTAAGGTCTGCCAGCATAGCAGTGCAATGACATTCAGTAAACCACAGCTGTGCCTCTCCAACAAGGTCTGCATCTCAGCCATGGAGTGGCAACTCTGCCTCGGGTCCACTATCTCATCCCTAGGGCAAGGCACTGTTCTTTGTATCTATTAATACTATATTCTTCAGAATTCTCTTCTTACTAGTCAATGCCTAATAACTTCAATCCTCTGTTACAGTTAATAATTCTTTATTATAACCTTCCTGTTCTAATTACTCTATGGATTCTGTCTCCTGAAAGGACTCTTACTGATACAAACTGTGACTCACCCACTGGGATTCTCCATAATGTTAATATTAGAGAGATCACTGAGTCTTTTCGAGAAAAATGCTGAGAAAATAAAAAGTTTTTTTTTTTTTTTTTTTTTGACAGAGTCTTGCTTCTTCACCCAGGATGGAGTGCACTGACACGATCTCAGCTCACTGCAACCTCTGCGTCCTGGATTCAAGCAATTCTCCTGCCTCAGCCTCCCAAGTAGCTGGGATTACAGGCACGTGCCAGCACGCTCAGCTAATTTTTGTATTTTTAGTAGAGACGGGGTTTACTGTGTTGGCCAGGCTGGTCAAGTGATCTGCTCGCCTCGGCCTTTCAAAGTGCTGGGATTACAGGCATGAGCCACTGTGCCCGGCCAATAAAAAGAATTTTTAAGATATGCTAGAAAGTTGACTATCTATGCATTTGAAGAAGGCATCTACTGTTTACATTTATTCTTCTAAGAAAATTTTCTTGATTTATGCTAATTTTGAATTATGCCTGGCTTCTAGGCACACAGCCCTGCCATGTGATGCTCCTACATCCATCCATACAGACAATCTTTCTAAAATTTTGTGAATGTTTTCTGCCAGCCAGAAAGATCACCATGTCTTGAGTCTGCAATTTATGTGTAAATATAACACTTTATAACTGCAAATATGGAACCATACACTGACCAAGATTACAGAATGTTTAAAAATATTGTGAAACTGAAATGAGGTAAGACTTTATTCTCAAAGCAGTGACATTCTTTTATGCACCTACCAATACTTACATCACGCTGATCCTGTCTGCCCGGTCAAGTATCTTTTTCTTTGCACTGAAAGGAGTCACAGTGGAATAAACTACTAGGCAGAATGAATCAGCATCCAGCTTGCAGACCATTGTGAATATTTATAGAACATTTGAGTATTATTAGCTGAGTCTTTTTCTCAAAGTACTGTTTTGTTTAGTATGTGAGCAGAATAATATTTGGTTGTGTTATATCATTTGAGAAAAACTATGTGAGTGTGTGCTCACATTTACGTAACTTGCCCACTGATATACTCCCTGTGATACTTTCAATCTCCTTCTCAGGCCCAATTCTGTCTTTCATCTTTCATTTGAGGTATCTTGCAAAGTCTAGGACTAGGCCTTCTTTCTCTGCATACTTACTCCCTTGAGATATGACGAATGGAAGCAGAGTTAAGTTACTTTACAGAAGCAATGCAGGCTCACTCAACAAAAATCAAGTCATACAGACAAGCAAAAGTACATAACCAATACTCATAACTTCTCTAATATAGCTGGAGTCAGTTTCTTCTACCACCTTCTATAGGCACACATGTATTTTGTCATTCGCATTCAGATACACAACTCCTGCTCTTCAGGATATTTTTCTAAATATGCACAATATATTTACTGTTTTCCAGTAGATCTTCCCAACTATTCCACTAGTATTATATCTTACATTTCAGTACTACATTTCAATATTGCAAAGAGTAGGAGGTAAAATTAAATGACTAGAAGTATAATATGAAATAAAGAATAAAAACCATCTGAAACAATCCTGAAAATAAAAATATTCATTTTCTAACAATACAATTTGTTGGTCAAACTAATTGCTTCTAAGTCCCCTTCTATTGGAGGAAAACAGCATTGTTTTTAATGATTAGAATTATTGAAGTGGAACCGAGAATGCATGAAGTATGTCCAAGCGTATCAGAAATCACGGTCAGGTCAAAAGTTTAAGATTCAAAAGACTGAGATTTAGGGTAGAAAACATCAAAGTAGATCAGGCCAGTTGCCTCTCTTTGAATTTTATGTCTTATTTCAATGCCAAAAAAGAAAGAGTTGATATAGCTGTCTCAAAGTCAGTTATGAAAAATCACTCTCTCTTTCATAGATCGGTCATAATGACCTTCACAAAGCAAGTAACTTAGTGAATTAAAAGTTTGCCATAGGATCAATATGTACTCTCTAAAGCAATGTGTGTATATAACTTGTAAGAAGACAAAAACTAAAATATATTAAGCAAAGGCTGTTCTTTATTATGCAATCTTATCTCAGAAAGTGACTCTACTAATGTGTAAATTCTAGCATAGATTTTTCCTTCTGCCAGGAGAACTAAAAACGATCAGTTTGTGTCACTATTATCTAAGAACAAGATGACATTCTACATTATCCAACTCAAGAGGATAAAGAATTTCCTAGTATGCAACAATTTGTTTTTGATGTTAAACAAGTCACTTCTGAAACTGTGTAACCTGATTTAATAAATGTTTCAAAACATTGTGTGTTATCAGTAAATGGAATCCTTTATCAAAATTAAATTATTGTCTTAACAACAGTAATAGATTTACTATACTAAAACTTTAGCCAGAAAACAGAAAACACAACGTTTTGAATAATTTCCACTCACAAGAAATTTTCAGTATGATTCCTAAAGGATTTCAATCTAAAAAAATTTCCAATCTATCTTGTAGTATTAATGTAGTCTACTGCTGCTAGTCTTATTTCCAGTGTAAGAAGCTGCCCTAAAGAATCATAATATTAGGAAGTCCCATTCTTTAAAGATGAATCTGGAAAACTTCCCAGATAATATATCTTCACAATAAATTATATATAACTCAAGTTTAGACTGAACAAAGAGGCAAGGAAGACTCAGTAATTAAACTTATCCTCCATGGATGGATTGCTCACCAGGGAAATTTCTACACAGGATTACTATGGCCTGGTGTGCCTATTGCCCAGCTACTTGAAAAAACATGAGGTTATTACAATTAATCTTACCATGTCCTAATATTTAAACTCAGCAACTCCCAATACTCAACCAAATCACCCACAGCATGACTTAGCAAATGTACAGAATCACAAGGTGAATTTTACTTCTTTGACAATCGCATGCCTTCTACACAGAAAACCCTGTTTTAACAGGGATTCAAGCATACACAAAATCAGATCTCTACCCTCTAAGAACTTAAAATGTGATTAGAAGGAGACACAAATATGCAAATTACAAATAGTAGCTTATTTTAAGGGATAGCATTCAAACAGTAAACCTGTACATATGTATATTAAGTAAACTATGGTTTCAACTCTAGCCAGAAATATATTTGCTTAATTGCCACATTCAATTTTTTTCATATTTATTTAATCTTATCAATATCCAAGTAAATCATTTTGCTGGTTTAAGTAGAAAAAGATCATCAGTAATTTCAGACTGTTTTTCCTTTTATAACACAAAATGTCAACTGTGAGAACGCCAGTACCTCACAGATAATTACTCTCCATCTACATTAAAAACTATTATAATCTTGACTTCTTTGAACAAAGCAATGAAATTAAATCTCTGATACATAAACTTAAGGTTATAGCCTTGGTAAATAATTACAGACTATATTCAGAATTATAAAGCATGTAACAAATAGAGTATGTACAAGTCTTCCAAGAGATGTGTTGGATGGTTTGGAGAAGGATAATCTCATTTTTATATCTCACAAACATACAAACACACACATACACACAATAACCATGGGAGTCACAATGCTCTCAAAAGGCCCATTGATGGTAAAAAGTACAGCTGATTTAGGGTCAAATACTAGTAGGTAGTTCTCTATTTATGCAATATGCAGTAATTTAATCTTTTTCTAAGAGTAGACGACAGTTAAGGAAAAGAAGTTGTACACCAATGTTAGTTCTAAAAGGTGGAGACAATAGAAGAATTCTTAAAATTTGGTGTATAATTATGAAAATTGGATTTCAAGTTGCAGTGAGTGTGGGAAAGTTATTATTAGATACTTTGTGTCCTGTGAGTCTACCTTCATTGCTTCTTACAAAAAGTACCAGATTTTTCCCAATTCAGAAGTGTGACTTCCCCATGATACATTTTGAATTGAACCATGGTTGACAGTTTTATTACAAATATGTTGCATTTGTAATTGTTACACTGAATAAAGTGATTGAAAATTTTGCAAAGTTATAAAATTGAACTTTAGTTCTATAGAGAATGAAGAAATAAATGTTAGCTTTAAAAATAAAATCCTCAGAGATGTATATATCAAGATGAAAAATTGAAATTTGATTTATTATTCACTTTGAGTATAGCATTTTCTGATCTGGAAAAAAAAAGTCTGAAATTATTTCACTTTACATAAGTGGTGACAAATCACTGCTTATAGATTTCTTTCCAGAAGCCTCAGTGTCCATGGCATAAAAATTGCTTGAAAGGATTCCGGGTGTTGCTATTTTAACATCTCCCACCACGCTATACAAATGCCAGTCTGACCACTCTGCCTTTAGGGATTTTCACAAAGCAGCTTTCTTTAAAGGTTACAGGTGATGTTATGTCTTCTAAGAATGTCAGCTCTCTTGACAGTTCTCCATGATGTCAATATGGTTGATACTAAAATTTAGGTAAACGAATTTAATCTAAGAATAGATTCTGTTCATGGGTTTATTTTTATGCTTGCTAATTGTTTCATATATTAATTTTGTTTTTAACAAAAGCCATAGTACCTCAGTTACATAACTTTTAGTTCTAATTCTTTTATTTTTCACTTTTCATTAGGTAAAATAATACCTTTAGACCCTTAGACCCTGGAGAAGAGATGTTTTGTTTAGAAACATCACTCTGTCCCATCTGGGTAACAAAGACTGTCAGACTCTTCATTAGAAATCCCCATCCACAAAAGCACAAAACTATAAAATTTCTCTAATTCACTTGTGGTTAGAAGGGATTTGATTTTGTAACACGTAAAAAGTATTATTTTTGTGTTATTTCAATTTCCAAAGCTGAAATATATACGCATTAGTGTACTTAGTGTATTCTTGCACAACTCAAAAATTAATTCACACAAGAAAAATAAGTGTTACAAGCCTATACTTCGTCAACTGAGTTAATCACTGTGCTTTTTAGAATTAAAAGTTGCATAGAAATTCAGTTTATAATAAAAGAAAATTTTAATGCAAACATGCAACATTTTATTTTATCCTGGTTTTTGAAAAGGTTTACATCTAATGCCCAAGCAAAAGCCGCAGACGAAGCTAATTAGTGTTTTAAATTGAATTAAATATGCATTAATATGTTCTTCTTCCTTATCTCACCAATTTGGAGATCATTCACTTATAAATTAAATTTTTACTTTTTTTTGTGTTAAAAAACAAGCTAAATTGTTACTACCTTGTATTTTTAGTCACAGTTGAAATGGCAGTTTTATAATGTTTTTCACAATGACTTAATGTCAACCAAAAATATACCTCAATATTAACAGATTATAAAAAAATCAGATGATCCTATACCAAGGTTTACCTGGGAAAAACTGCAGGCAAATTGATAATATGTCAAGTTTTTTAAGATTCACAGGACCACAACTGAAATAAAAGCATCATTCAAGCTTATGACACTATGACATGGACTCTGTCCAATTACCCACCTAGTTCATAAAAATCAGGAAATAATGTTTAGTTGCTCCTGCCCAGCACTACCGTACAGAAGTCATTTAAATGCTCACCAGAAACTTCTTGGCTTAACACTATCTCTCATGCTGGATAATTCTTTCAGCATTTTTGAAACATTCCAGGAATGGACTACAGAGAGCTATGAAGTAATTCATCTCTGCTATTGGTCATCTTTTAAGAGTCAACATAGGTTCTCAGAGCTGCTTTTTAAATTATAGCCTATGTTAGTATAAGATTGTTGTAGGACCGCATCCACAATAGCCATGACCTTCCATTTTTTAATTTGTGCAGACAACTCTGCTAACCCCCCTCAGCTGTGAGATGTGATAACCACGTTGCACTGCCATCTTACATGCCACCACCTACTCTTAAGTTTACCATCAGTATATAACATTTTCTACACTGCACACTTCTAATAGATATTTGTTTTCTCTTTCACTCCTGAGTACCAGGATGCCATCTTGGTTCATTTGGCCCCCATCCTTATGGCAGGTGTACAGTCATCTAGTTTGCTGCCATACAGTGATTTTCTTTTTCCACCTCAGATCCCCACCTCCAGCTGTCTGCGACCCAACTCCAAATCATGTTCCAATTGTTACTGGTTCACCAAATTTGCAGCAGCTTCAACAGGAGTTCATAAACTTAGATGTTCAGACTTTAATAATGTTACATGTAGCATATACCCCTGTCACAAGTATATGCCATTCCAACATACCCTACATGTGAAAAGAAGTAAAAAAAAAAAAAAAGACAGGAGTGGGGGGAGACAGGGACTTAGGGAGGAAAGAAAAAAGAAAGGGAGAAAAGGAGAAAAAAGTGGGGGGAGGAAGGGAGGTATGGAAGGAAAAAGGAAAATTCTGCTTTTAATTAGCTGGTTGATTATGAGAAATAACCTAATGGCATGTCTTTTTTTGCAATTTTAATATATAAATTATTGTATTGTACAATTTTTTTAAACCAAACATTTAATTAAATCTGAGGTCAAACTCCAAAATATGAAACAAAAGCTTCCTGTTCAGTACTTTCGAGACAGAGTCTCGCTCTGTTGCCCAGGTTGGAGTGCAGTGGCATGACCTCGGCTGGGGGCAATCTTTGCCTCCCGGGTTCAAGCGATTCTCCTGCCTCAGCCTCCAGGGTAGCTGGGATTACAGGTGCCCGCCACCACACCCAGCTAATTATTTTGTATTTTTAGTAGAGATGGGGTTTAGTACAGAGCCACCGCACCCAGCTCAGTACTTTCTTCTCTGGCCTCCTTATTAGTCCCCAGAATAAGAAATAATACTATATTTAGACTGGGCATGGTGGCTTAGGCCTGTAATCCCAACACTTTGGGAGGCCAAGGTGGGCAGATCATGAGATCAAGAGATCAAGACCATCCTGGCCAACATGGTGAAACCTTGTCTCTACTGAAAATACAAAAATTAGCTTCACGTAGTGATGTGCGCCTGTAGTCCCAGCTACTCAGGAGGCTGAGGCAGGAGAATTGCTTGAACCCGGGAGGCAGAAGTTGCAGTAAGCTGAGATTGTGCCACTGCACTCTAGCCTGGCGACAGAGCGAGACTCTGTCTAAATAAATAAATAAATAATAATATTATATTTAATGAGATCTCACCACATAGCATTTATTCTGCTATGAGAGTCACATATACTGTCCTTTTTTTTTTTTTTTTTTTGGCAAAACAGGCTGTTAGGGTAGTGACTGATGACATGGTTTGGTTCTGTAACCCCACCCAAATCTCACAATGAATTATAATTCCCAATGTTTGGGGAGGGACCTGGTGGGAGGTGATTGTGAGAGGTGACAACGTGCTAGCAGCCCTTGCTTGCTCTTGGCACCTCCTCGGTCTCAGCGTCTGCTCTGGCCGCGCTCGAGGAGCCCTTCAGCATGCCACTGCGCTGTGGCGGCCACTCTCTGGGGCTGGCTAAGGCCAGAGCTGGCTCCCTCTGCTCACAGGGAAGTGTGGAGAGAGAGGTGCCAGTGGGAGCCGGGGCTGCGTGCGGGGCTTGTGGGCTGGTGCAGGCTCTTGGTGGGCATGGACTCAGCAGGCCCCGCACTCCCTGCCGCCGGCTGGCACCTGCTGGGCTTGATCCTGGGAGGAGCTCGCTCTGGGCTGCTGGAGTGCCCCGGGCTAGGTGCCTCAAAGTCCCTTGGCCAGTGCCATTGAGAGGTGAAGACGGCTGGGCTTCCAGGTAGGGTGGGGACTTGGAGAACTTTTCTGTCTAGCTAAAGGTTTGTAAATGCACCAATCAGCACTCTGTGTGTAGCTAAAGGTTGGTAAATGCACCAATCAGCACTCTGTGTGTAGCTAAAGGTTTGTAAATGCACCAATCAGAGCTCTGTGTCTAGCTAATCGGGTAGGGGACTTGGAGAACTTTTGTGTCTAGCTAAAGATTTGTAAACGCACCAATCAGCGCTCTGTCAAAACGGACCAATCGGCTCTCTGTAAAATGGACCAATCAGCTCTCTGTAAAATGGACCAATCAGCAGGATGTGGGTGGGGCCAGATAAGGGAATAAAAGCAGGCCACCTGAACCAGCAGTGGCAACCAAGTCGGGTGCTCTTTCCTGCTGTGGAAGCATTTGCAATAAATCTTGCTGCTGTTCACTCTTTGGGTCCAGGCTGCCTTTATGAGCTGTAACACTCACTGCGAAGGTCTGCAGCTTTACTCCTGAAGTCAGCGAGACCACGAACCCACCAGAAGGAAAAAACTCCGGACACGTCTGAACATCTGAAGGAACAAATTCTGGACACACCATTTTTTTTTTTTTTTTTTTTTTGAGACAGAGTCTCCCTATTTTAACCCAGGCTGGAGTGCAGTGGCGAGATCTCGGCTCACTGCAAGCTCTGCCCCCCAGATTCATGCCATTCTCCTGCCTCAGCCCCCTGAGTAGCTGGGACTACAGGCATGTGCCACCATGCCCAGCTAATTTTTTGCATTTTCAGTAGAGAAGGGGTTTCACCATGTTAGCCAGGATGGTCTTGATCTCCTGACTTCATGATCTGCCCAGCTCGGCCTCCCGAAGTGCTGGGATTACAGGCGTGAGCCACCACGCCCAGCCCGGACACACCATCTTTAAGAACTGTAACATTCACCATGAGGGTCTGCGGCTTCATTTTTGAAGTAAGCGAGACCAAGAACCCACCAATTCCGGACAGAATTGGATCATGGGGGCAGATTTCCCCCTTGCTGTTCTCATGATAGTGAGTGAGTTTTCATGAGATCTGATGGTTTAAAAGTGTGTGGCCTTTCTCCCTTGGCTTGCTTGCTCTCCTGCTGCCATGTGAAGATGTGCTTGCTTCCCCTTTGCCTTTTGCCATGACTATAAGTATCCTGAGGCTTCCCAGCTATGCTTCCTGTACAGCCTGTGGAACTGTGAGTCAATTAAACCTCTTTTCATTAATTACGCAGTCTCAGGTAGTTCTTTATAGCAGCGTTAGAATGGAGTAATACAGGTGGAAAGGGAGTACAGAGTGTTTGTTTAGTGACTGGGATGTAGAGTCAGTCTGCTGTGCAGCTGTAATGTCAAGGTTAATACTTGCTTAGCTTTATCATTTGAGCAAATTATTTAATTTGGCTGTGACTCAGTTTGCTCATCTGTAAGACGGAAATAATACTACTTTTCTAATGGACTTGGTAGTATGGGGTTTAAGTAAGATAAAACATCTAAGTACATTATAAGCTACTAATGCATATTAGCCATTCTTATTATTGTCAATTTAAAGATTAGGAAAGTAGAGGTCAGTAAACTTAAGTAACCACCTAAATCACACAGCAAAGGCCATAACCAAAAAACCAACCCTCTCTGCTGTCCCTAACCAAATCTCCACCCACTACACGAGATTATTCCTTAGATCTTCACCTGAAGAATGTCCACAATTCTATGCTATGTTTACCCAAACTCAAATCATCATACTCTTCTGATCTCTTCAATTAGCTTATGTTTCTGACAAACGGATTCTTAATAATATTAAAATATTAAAAAATAGCTATTTTGGTAATTCCATTAGGTTTTTTGTTTTGTTTTGTTTTTTTTTTGAGACAGAGTCTTGCTCTGTCACCAGGCTGGAGTGCAGTGGCGCTATCTCAGCTTGCTGCAACTCCCACCTCCCAGGTTCAAGTGATTCACCTGCCTCAGCCTCCCGAGTAGCTGGGACTACAGGCACACACCACCATGCCAAGCTAAGTTTTGTATTTTTAGTAGAAACGGGGTTTCACCGTGTTGGCCAGGATGGTCTCGATCTCTTGACCTCATGAGCCACCTGCCTCAGCCTCCCAAAGTGCTGGGATTACAGGCGTGAGACACCACAGCCAGCCAATTGTATTAGTATCTTTAAACTATTGTTATGTACACAATAGATAACTTTTAAAAATGAGACTATACTACTCTATTGTTCTGAAAATTGTTTTATATTAATGTGTCTTGGGCACCTTCTCATGTCAGAACTTAGAGGACTACTCTTTAACAGCTTCATAATGTTACATCATATGGTATTCTATAATTTTTTTTTTTTTTTTGAGACGGAGTCTCACTCTGTCGCCCAGTCTGGAGTGCAGTGGCGTGATCTTGGCTCACTGCAAGCTCTGCCTCCTGGGTTCACGCCATTCTCCTGCCTCAGCCTCCTGAGTAGCTGGGACTATAGGCGCCCGCCACCACGCCCGGCTAATTTTTTGTATTGTTAGTAGAGGTGGGGTTTCACTGTGTTAGCCAGGATGGTCTCAGTCTCCTGACCTCATGATCCACCCGCCTCGGCCTCCCAAAGTGCTGGGATTACAGACATAAGCCACTGTGCCCGGCCCTGCAATAATTTTTAACGGTTCTTGGTCATTAGATTTTTCCCCCAGATTGCAGGGTTGGGGGGTGTTGTTTTTTGTGTACTTGCATGACTTTGTAGGAATTTCCAACATTGATAATGTTGATATCATTGATATGTCAAAAGGTGTATACTTTTTATATTATGCTTGATGGTGCCAAATTGCCCTTCATAGAGGCTATGCCAATTTACATGCTCACCAACAGGGCATGAGAGTAACTATTTCCCCTCTCCTTTTTGACATTTTTTAAAATGACATCATAAGTTAAGGAAAGAAAATTCAAATTGTATCTGCAAGTACATTACACTGATTTGTTTCTTATTTATCATTTATTTGTGGTATACTATATTTTTTAAAAGATTTGAGGTAGCGTATAACGTTAAATACACATAAATGGGACTACTCAACTTTTAAAATAAATATTAATTCACACCAACAAAAGAAAGGGCAAACATATCAGAAAATTGAGGAAAATGGACTCCCTTCCATACAGCAGAAACTAAAACAGAATTAGACTTGGTTCCTTGACTGGCATCTTGAGATTTTTCTGAATAGTCAACGAATATTTCCTCAATGTCTGGCACTATAGAAGACAACAGAGATATAGTTGAGCCCAAGACAGACAAGTCCTTCCTATCATGTTGCTTATATTTTAGTAAAAGAAAAACAATTAAATTAGAATATATTAGACTATAAATAAATTCACTTCACCTAATGAGAAAAACCATTTAAAAAACTCATAATGGTAGAAGACTTTAACATAGATCAATGTTAAACAGAGAGAACATGTGAGTATATACTATAATTCTACACCAAATAATTATTTCAAGTAAAAGCAATCAGTAGGTTTTCAATCACCAATTGGAAGAGAAAAAAACTCTATTCCATGTCCATATATAAATGAGCTACTTGGCAAGCCCATGCCTTTGGTGATAAGGGGAAACAAGCAGAGGATTATAGGTGGCTTATGGAAATTCAATCATTACACTTAAAAAAATCCTCACTTCTTCATATATGTATCTTGTCGTTTTCCACAAATAGTGAAAATTGAATCCCTGATTCCTAATCATCTCCTATATTCTGTGGTGAAATAGAAGGAATTACACTTTATATCCAATGGAGGTCAATAGAAAGCTAGAAGGATAGAAAACAACAGATATACTTCACTTCCATAACTGGCTAACACAAAGAATTCCCTAATCTTTCAATAAAAGTGTTTTCAGGCTTTTCACACCTCCAAGTTTCCATTCCAAAGTTAAGATATGAAAGTTGAGTATGATTTCCTGAAAGTCAGTGATAAGGCGAGACAAGCTGGGTATTTATGAGTCTCTTATACTGTCATGCTTGAAACTGTAGAATGTTAAGCAGTCTACTGATTCACTAGAGAAATACTCCCAGTCATCCCAGGTTTGTTTACAACAACAGACAAAGTAGAGACATAGCTCATAGATCAGTGTGTCATAAAATGGAGACAGCTCCCTGCCAAGGGCAAATTTAGAACTCTGAATGAAGAAAAGTTACTGTACCCACACAGCACCCAGACACAGAAATCCAAGTGAGATGATAGGGGTGTCAAAACTAAAACTGCCACATATAATACAGGGAAGCTCATAAAAAGAAACTTAATTCTCCTGTTGTAATTAGAAATTAGTGAAAATATCTCAGTAAAACCTTCAGAGTGAAAACACCGCCCGGGGGATCCACCTGAAATAATTTACCAAATTAATGATTAATTGTCAAAAGACCTACACAAGCAACAACAAAGAAGATTTTTTAATTATGTATGCACATCACTGTGGTAATAAATTTGAAAACATCAGTGAGGTGGATTTCTTTCTAGGAAAATAGTTACAAAATTTAGTTCAAGTATAAGTAAAAAAGCTGAAACAAATCAAAAGCCATAGAAGAAAGTTGTTATGAAACAAATTACAAAATGTCTCGAAAGAAAGCTTTGCCAGCTAATTCTTTCACACTCCCAAGGAACAGATAATTAACATGATATATACACCACTAAAGAACACAGGAAAGAACAACTTTGGATGGAAGGATCTTTAGAGTTTGATGGCCTGATTTTAACTCTGCCATGAGAATTAGACAATGTCCTAATCCAGACCTTTCCTGAAAGAAAACCTTTCCCTAAGACTTTTTTAAACAACAATATTGCCTTTTCTCCTGGTTCCTTCTCAGTTTCTTTTTAACCAAAGGAGTGTGGGAGAAATGTTTGATGCTATGTTTCTCAGGAGTCTCTGGCCTTGCTTTTTGATGTTCCAGGATATATACCAGGATGTAATAAGTCTATCGTGCTAACTTTAAAGATCCTTATTTATCTAAATGTTAATTGTGGGAGGAATTTGGGGAATAACTTTCTAAAGCAATTAGTTGGTACAACCAAAAAACATAAAGGAACAACAGGAAAGACATGGAATTGTGTGGCTTTTCAAAAGCACGCTGCCCTGAGAAAAGTGGTCAGAGACCTAGCAGAGAATGGTATAATGGGGAGAGTTTGAAAATGTTCTGTTGTTCTATATTTGTTTAGAATTCTATTTTGACAGTAAGCCTCAATTTGATTAATACTACACATTTAACAACATAAAAAATAACCTTAGAGGAAATTCATTTATGAATATAGGTAGGAATGTTTCTTTTTCTTTTTTTTTTTCCTTTTTTTTTTTTTTGACAGACAGGGTCTCACTCTGTTGCCCAGGCTGGAGTGCAGTGGCGCCATCTGGGCTCACTGCAACCTCTGCCTCCTGGGTTCAAGCGATTCTCCTGCCTTAGCTTCCTGAGTAGTTGGGATTACAGGCACCCACCACTACGCCCAGCTAATTTTTGTATTTTCAGTAGAGACACAGTTTTGCCATGTCAAGCGGGTCTTGAACTCCTGACCTCAGGTGATCCACGCACCTCGCCCTCTCAGAGTGCTGGGATTACAGGCATGAACCACTGCGCCCAGCCAGGTAGGAATGTTTCAAAATAAAATACAAGCAAATTGAATTCAACAGGGCGTCTGCCATGATCAGGTTGCTTTTAATTCAGGAAGACAAAGATATAACCGTAAGAAATATCTTTAATGGTAGTATGGTCAAATAAGACAATACTCCTGATAATCTCAACATATTCCAGAAAGACCTATTATAATACTCAATACTTAATCCTGATATATGTTTTAGGAACTGAACAATTCACCATTATATATTTTTAAATAAGACCAAAATTATTTTTGGTGATTTATTTTTAGAGGTTTCAGGAATGAGATTAGCAGGCTAGCTTTCCCAGTAGTATTTAACATTTTTTAAATTGTTCTAACAAATACACAAAGATGAAAAACAGGCATAAAACTATAGCAATCAGAAAGTGTTAGCAGTGGAATGTATCCAGACATGGCACCAAAGTGTTATAGGTGGGAATCAATACAGGTCTGCAGCAACCTCAGTTCTTGCCTCCTCGGAAGAAAAAATTCGACTGAGGGGCATAAGGCAGAAGGAGAGACCAAGGCAGGTTTTGGACTAGGAGTGAAAGTTTATTAAAAAGTTTAGAGCAGGAACAAAAGGAAGTAAAGTACACTTAAAAGAAGGCCAAGTGGCAACTTGAGAAAGTCAAGTGCGCGATTTTATCTGAGTTCCTTCCTCAGGAAAGGACCTGCTAAGCGGCCTCTCAAAAAAAAAATCAAAGAACTGAGACTCACTAGATCACCACATAGAGAAAATGAGATGCATGAGCTCTCCTTCATCATGATTGCTTCCTCATCCCTCCCTAGTTCCTGTTTTCTTATACATTATTACATTTCTTCCCTGCTAGATAAACTCCTAGTTTTAGTCCAACAGGGAAATGGATTTGAAACTGATTTCGCATCTCCTTGCAGCAGCACCCGATTAAGGCCTTCTTCCTTGGCAGTAATTGTTGTCTCTGTGATTGGCCTTCTGCACAGGAAGCAGCAGGTCCTACACAGAACCCCTGGAGTTTTGGTAACATTTTCAAAGGTGTCACAATGATTCTCAAATTTATATATAGGAATTAACATGCCTATTATATTTCTGAAAAAGAAAAACAGTGAAAATAAATGTCACAATTTTAACTAACGTTTGTCAAAAAATGAATAGGAAGTGAAAAAGCAAAATAAAATTTGGAAAGATCAATTGCACTAAGAAACCTTTATATATGATTTAGACACATCAAATCAAGGTCATTGGTTTGATTGCTTCATGCACAAGAAACAGAGCAAAAACACAAGTTTGTTTGTTTTCTTTTTTGCCATTATGCTTAGAAATTGGAAAGCAAAGTAGCTCAGAGTGTCTGAGAAATGTGAGGTGTGCAAAATTTATCAGGCCCAGGCAGTCCAGTCATGCCTCCTGCACCTATCCCTGGGTTAGTGGGGTCAATTTCCTCAATGCATTTTGTATTTTTCTTTCCAGTAGTTTCCAGACTAGCTGATAAATTACCTTAAATGTTACCACAAGTTGCATAATGTGACCCTCACTTACTATCTTCACCTTTTCCAGAATTTGTGATACAAAGAACAACCTATATAGATACCTTTTGTTAGTTTAAGAACTTCTCTTTCTTTTTCCCTTTGAAAACCCACTTGTAACTGCAGCTAGTTGGAGTATATATTTGGTGCAACTTGGATCTATGTCTCCCAGGTTGCAATCTTCAAACTTGGCCAAAGTAAACTTTCTAGTTATTTTAATGTTGCCTCAGTTTCTTCCTTTAAGTCAACAGAAACAAAAAATGAACTAGAAATCAGAAACTTGTGATGGTTAGGCTCAGCTGTGTCACTCATGATGTGGCTATTTATGCATTTATATGCTTTCTGTGTAAACCTTTTTCAGAAGAATGCTTAAAGAAGCACCTTGGGAGGCTGAAGCAAGTGGATCACTTGAGGTCAGGAGTTCAAAAGCATCCTGGCCAATCTGGTGAAACCCCGTCTCTACTAAAAATATGAAAATTAGCCAGGGATGGTGGTGTGTGCCTGTAGTCCCAACTACTCAGGAGGCTGAGGCAGAAGAATCGCTTGAAGCCAGGAGGAGAGGTTGCAGTGAACTGAGATCATGCCACTGCATTCCAGCCTGGGCAACAGAGTGAGACTCCATCTCAAAAAAAAACAATAATAATAATAAAATTTTAAAAAGCAGCAAATAAGCAGAATGAAGAGAAGCAAAAAAATAAAATTATTTTTGTTGATGATATTGTTTTGGTTATTATTACTAAGTAACAAAAGAAAGGTTAAAAAAATATAGAGAAGTGATAGACTTCAAACTTCCAACATAGGGAATAAGAAAAAATCTCTATTAAGGATAGATGACTAACAGCAAAGGAGATCATTTAAGGCTTAATAAATTTTTTACCAGTTGAGTTTCCTGAAGTCTGTTCCCACCTCCCATGAAGTCATCTGTTTGGTCATATAAGCATTACCCCACATTAATCCACATTTATTACCATCCCTCTTCTCTTCTTTCTCTCATCAGTGCATTATCCCCCACCTCTTATTCACTCAAGTCCTTGGTCATAACTGGCTATCTTATGTAATAAACTAATTGCCACCAAAGTACAATTATACACAATAGGATTATCTATGTCACTTCAGAGGATAGAACATGACTGGTTTTGACACTTGTATGCTCTAAAAATGTGGTCACCAAAAGTATCTTCAATAAATAAATATCTCTTAGACATAATGCATGTGTGTGTTTGTATATGCATTTTAGTTGTGCATAGAGACAGCATGCAAAATAATTCACTTTGGGATAATGCATGCCACAATCCTAGGCAACTTTAAATTTCTGTGGTTGAATGAAGTTTCAAAAACTCTGTCCAAGTCTGATCTAAAAGGACTACTGATCTAGGCCCTTTGAGAAGTGAAACTTTTCAAAAATACAAAGTAGGAAATTGTGATCACTAAGCCAGAGTTGCCACTGTGATGTTCCCTGTGTATGGCTTATTCAGAGCTCGACAAAAAAGAACACAGGTAAGCTGGTGGCCTCTGAAGCTCCAGCCCCATGCTTCTTCAAGGCTGCAATCCTGTGAGCTATTCTTGCAGTGGCCTTTGATGTAAAATAGTGAAAACATTGGATTATCCTAAGAATACCATTTTAAAAGGAGGAATTTCTGGGATTGCTTTTTTCTATAGCTGACCCAGAAAGACTCGCCAATCCATGGGCAAGCAGATTGAAAAAGAGTGTGACAAGACCATCAGAGATTGCTTAGTTACAGTGAAGGACATGGAGCCACCACCATTTTCCACAGCAGGGATAAAACACAATTCTGGTGTTCATAAGGCAGGAATCAGTGAGGGAAGGGGAGTTGTACATGGGGAAAATTCTAGAGCCAATTCACTGTGCCAGTACTCCTGGGCTACTTTTTCACTAATGAGCAGGGAAAGAATTCCTTTCTACAACCATTTACTGATAAGCATACATAAAAGACATAATTGTCTGTGAATGCCTCTTTTGAAATATAGATGCTCTGATCAAAGACCTGACCTACATTAGCTCAATTAACTTACATATGTGTTCTGTTTAGTACTGTGGGACATGTGATGTCTTAGTCGCTGCCCCTGAAAGTTTTCCAATTTAATCTTAGTTGCAATCACTGCCTTGGGTTATTCATTCTAATGCACTTTGCATTCAGCCCACCTGTCCTTGGTCACCTGGCCCCTGCTCACCCATAATATACCTGTTTCATTACTCCAACCATCATCTCCTGGGCTTTACTTTAATAAACACTGAAAGCAAAGTGAGACTATTGCTTTCTGTCCGCCCTTCGGATATGACCTGAAGACTGCTTCTCCTCATCTCTGGGAGACAACCAAGCTGCTTGAACTGATTTTTCAAGTCAGCCCTTTGCTCTACATCGTCCACTGTCATTCTCTCAGCTTATGCTGAGAGTATAGGATACATGCCCTTGAGTCCAATACCAATTCGAGTCCATTTTCTTCCCCTGTTTTAGCCAAGAGTGGCTCCTGCCTCTAAACTTTCATTGCCTTTCCTTCTGCCATCACAGCTGGTTGTTGTCCTAGAGTTTTATCTCCCCCACTGACTAAAGTACAAGATTGATTTCTGCATTGGGAGGAAAGAATTTAATTGGTGAATAGCAGTCATTTTTGTTCCCTTGCATTCAGTGAATTTACAAGCTATCTCAGTATTTCAAAAAATAGGACCTTCAGGCAGGAGTAACATTTGAATCTGAACATCAGCCATCTATCTACCTGAAGCACTTAGCACCCAGTGAAGTTCGGTTGTTACTTGGAAAGCCTTAATAGGCACCATGGGACCCTAACAAACTTACTCTTTCATGCACATAAGCAGTCTGTCAACTATTAATATCTAAAAAACAAAGACATAACCCAGCAGCTCTCCCCACTTTCCTATCAAGCTCAATTCCTGCTCACTTAATTTTTGTGTATCCCAAATTAAATTATTTAAGGCACTTTCTCTGCTAAAATTACAACTAAACTATTGTTATAAACAATTAAAATACTTGTTAGTCTTTCTCAGAAATATAAGAATTGAATATCAATACTTTTAAAAGAATAAAGGTATTGTGGACTACTGTGCCCCAAAATTCAAATAGCAAACATAGCTCTAATGAAAAGATGAACAGAAGGGCCCCCAAAAGGTCTTGCCTTTCGGTTTTAATATCCTAAGGAGGAGACGAACTGATACAAGTTATGTCCCAGGTCACTCTATACATCTGCCACAGCCACAGGGCCCACTTCAGCTCTGCACTATAGAACCAAACAATATCAAATACCCCTGCATGCTGAAACTGATCAAAACCAGCTATAAATACTAACATTGAAATAAATAAAATATCATAGGATATAGATTCATTGAATAAGGTAATGGAAGGATTTATTTTGCTCATGGGTTAAAAAGAGGAGAAAACTCATCCTGAAATTCTAATAGGAGAGAAGGTGAATCATTTGACTAGGGGATAAACTGAGTGGAAATCTGAGAAGCCAAAGTAGAAATCAGACAAAATTGAGATCCTTAGAAACCTAAAGGTCGCTTTCCAAGCCCTCACTCCCACCCTCACCCCATCCATATGTAATTTGCAAATAATACTAAATTATATATTTGCTATAAAGAATTATCCAGAGATAGATTTTCCCTTGTATAATTTTTTGATATTTCAATTAATAATTTTTCCTCAAAATATCTTTCTGCTGCTGTCAAAAGCACATGCTAAAAATGCCTACAGGCTATTTGCTGTTTCAACACCAATAGAAACATAATTTATTATATGCAGTGATAATAAAGAAGTCACACGGAGGTGATAATGTTCATTTTGATTGACCCAGAATTTTTCTTTTTCATATGTTCTTAAGGACGACGAAGCAGTAAGCTAATTTTATTTTTTGGAGGACACTAGGACTATTCTTAAAGAAAAGATAAAAGACTTTTGTAAATAACTTTGATAATAATCTATGGACTGTGCTATTAGAGATGAGCAACATTACAGGAAAACTGAAGAGATTTGTGTTTCATTTGTGAAGGAGGGAAGAGGGAACATATCAGGGAGAGCTTTGGAAATTAGGTTGCATTTGAACTACATAGATCTTCAATGTTGAGTTGGATTTTAACAAATGAGTGGTGAGAGTTGGAAGGCAAGGGCCATTGTTAAATGCAATAGATTAGTAGGCCAGGTGTGGTGGCTCACACCTGTAATCCCAGCACTTTGGGAGGCCGAGGTGGGCGGATCACTTGAGGTCAGGAGTTTGAGACCAGCCTGACCAACATGGTGAAACCCCATCTCCACTAAAAATACAAAAAATAGCTAGGCATTGGTAAACAACCAAGAGGTATGTGCTCTGTTTTACTGAATAGCACTTTTGCATCAACTATCTCAGGGCAAAAATACAATAAGCTACATCAAATTAAAATGCACAAAACAACTACAGCAGATAATAAAATGGCACTTGACGTATAAACTTAATCTGTCAACTATCAGTTGTATACAAAACAACAACAAAAACATGTTCTATCATTTTGTCCTAACAGTTAGATCATGACATATTCTGGAAGCGTGACTATTCTAGAAGCATGAAGTTGCACAGCAATCCCAGCTACTCGGGAGGCTGAGGCAGGAGAATCGCTTGAACCTGGGAGGCTGAGGTTGCAATGAGCCAAGATGGTGCCACTGGACTCCAGCCTGGCAGAGTGAGACTCTGTCTCAAATACAATAAATAAATAAATAAATAAATAAATAAATAAATAAATAAAGATTAGTAAAGGCACAAAATCAAGAAAGCATGAAGCACATAGGCTATCCCTGTTTGCTGTCCATGTTATTAAGGAAACAAATTCATTTCATTCTTATTATTTTTTTGCTTATAACATAAACTTCTAATCTTTAATGTATCCTTATGAAATCACCTTTCTACTACAAACTAGCCAGTGGGGCAAAGGATATGGATGATATCTTCTTTTTTTTTTTTTTAAGAGACGGAATCTCGCTCTGTCGCCCTGGCTGCAGTGCAGTGGCGCGATCTTGGCTCACAGCAAGCTCTGCCTCCTGGGTTCACGCCATTCTCCCGCCTCAGCCTCCCAAGTAGCTGGGACTACAGGCGCCTGCCACCACGCCCAGCTAATTTTTTGTATTTTTAGTAGAGACGGGGTTTCACTGTGCTAGCCAGGATGGTCTCCATCTCCTGACCTCATGATCCACCCGCCTTGGCTTCCCAAAGTGCTGGGATTACAGGCGTGAGCTACCGCGCCTGGCCATGGATGATATCTTCTTAATGGAGATGACAAACCTGAACCAAAAGAAAGCAATAACAACCTTAAGCAACGTCAAATGTCCTGACACAAGTTCATGCCTTTTTCTCCTTACAGAGGACCTTCTTCAAACTTGATCAGCCTCATAGATAATTTTATCTGTTACTAGGCAGAAGCCACAAGAAGAACTATCTTTCTAAGTTATATAACTTAATTCTGACCAACAGAAATGACAGAATAGTAGGGAAAGTACCGATATTTTTTGAAGAAGAGGTAGTTTTGGGTTTGCCAATTTAAAAACATGTAACTTTGGGCAAATTTTATAAACTTAAATTTTACCATATGTATAATAAAAGAAACACAATCTATTTTACATGTATATATATTATATATATGTGTTTTATATATGTACATACATACATATGTGTGTGTGTATATAGAAAGAGAGAGACACCAGCATTACAGCATTTCTGGCTGAGAGTAGACATCCAGTATGTTGTAAGCATTATTGAATATAGAAGTGTGAGAAACATTATGGGGGAAGGTTACTAAGTAATCTAAAGGTCACAATAAACAACTAAGGGTTTGGTGTAGTCTGGGTTTCAGAAAAACTTTTTAAAGCATTTATATAAAAGATGCATATGCAAATTTCTTCATCACTGAGGACTCTGTTAATTTCTCTATTAAGAGAAATAGAAAACTCCTTTAAAAAATAAATTCTAACTCTACCATCTTGATTCAATTTGGTCCATATGTCCATGCTATTTCCTTTGGCTGAAATTTCCTTTCTCACATATTTAAATTATATTATTTCACAAATTAGAAAGCAATTGTCTCTCTATCTCTAATGCCTGCCTTATATGTAGCCATGTTTTCCTTTTATTCTTGCATGCTCCTTCTTCCTTTTTTATTTTCCCCTTTTTATTATTAGAAAAACCAGTAGTTAGCTGAATCATTGGGAAAACCACAGAATGCTGGCAACTAACATTGTACCCTGCCCCTGACAGATATCTCATTACAGGTGTCACTGGGCCACAGAAAGATGGGTGAGGGTAAGAACAGTCCATCATAAGTGACCTCATTTGAGTTTCTCCACTGCAACTCCACTAACACTAAGACCTGCAATTCATGAAGCTACACAATCAGCACTCTCATCTCCTTCAGGGCAAAGACCAGAATACCCATTGTTGAAGCAAGAAGTTCATTTCCGTTTTGTACTTTAGCTCTCTTAATGTATATCAAAAGGAAATACGTAAACAACCAAGAGGTATGTGCTCTGTTTTACTGAATAGCACTTTTGCATCATTTATCTCAGGGCAAAAATACAATAAGCTACATCAAATTAAAATGCACAAAACAACCACAGCAGATAATAAAATGACACTTGATGTATAAACTTAATCTGTCAACTATCAGTTGTATACAAAACAACAACAAAAACATGTTCTATCATTTTGCCCTAACAGTTAGATCATGACATATTCTGGAAGCACGACTATTCTAGAAGCATGAAGTTGCACACTAAAGTCTTCAGTTTCATAAAGTATAAATTTAGAGGGGATTAGCAAAAATATACCAACTGATAGCAATATTCATAAGGATGTAAAAGATCATTTTCTAAAAGAGTTAGGGCCCATATTGATGACAGCAGCAGCCCATCCGAAGCGGCTGTTGCAAAGACGACAGCTGTAGTGGGGGAGGCATGGCCAGGCTGCATGCTCCATGGAGCCCCGACTAATTCCGAGTTGGTGGAGCAGGCGCCCCATGCTCCTGGGCGCAGCTGCAGCTACAGCCGCCCAGCCATAGCTGTGGACCCAAGCATCCCTGCCCTCTCAGGGGCCTGGGAAGCCACCAATCCCTGCCCCAACGGTCTCCAAAGTGCCTACTCCCACTGCCTGGCCTTTCCTACTCCTAGCGTCCGCTTTGATTTCAGAGCAAAGTTGTGGCTGAGCCCAGGCATTATCACAACCAGGCCGGGTGTGCGTGCACTCAGGGCAAAGCTGACACACCAGCGGCCTTCTGCCTTGGCCCCTTCCGGACTTTGGGGACCCATGAGCATGAGAGGGAGGCTGAGAGAGGGCTAAGGGTGGCTCGGTGCAGGCCTGCAGGTGCCCCTCAGCATGGACAAGCCGGGGTGCTGTGGACAACATATTGATGGCAACAGGAGGCAGACAGGTTCCTGGGTGGAAAGGGGTGGGTCCCTGGTGAAACCCCACCTTCAAGCCAGGTACTGCCAGAAGCCAGGGGGCTCAGCTGCCAGTTCCACAGACTGGAGTGAGAACTTATGGTGCTTTTTCTGGGCCTGCCCATGGCCGCCCATGGACCAATCGGCACACACTTAACTCCCTTCTGAAGCCCATAAAAACTCGACGCAGCCAGACTTGGGCAGATGCTTGGAGGACCTGCCTGTGGACAGGAGCTACTCATTGTGGGTTTCCTCTCCGCTGAGAGTTGTATACTTGTCAGGACAACCTATCTGCAGATAACAGCTACCTACTCCAGGTCTCCTTTCTGCTGAGGGCTGCAAAGACATCAGGATGACCTGCCTGTGGAAAGGAGCTATCCACTTTTGGTCTTCTGAGATCTGTACTTTTGCTCAATAAAAAAGTACCTCTTCACTTCACTCACCCTCCAGTTGTCCGCACACCTCATTCTTCCTGGACACAGGACAAGAACTCTGGACCCACCGAATTAGTCGGACTGAAGGAGCTATAACAGAAATAGGGCGGAAACATGCCCCTCTGCTCTCCACATTGCCTGTGATGAGAAGGAAAGAAGAGCTGCGGCCCTTCGGGAAGCCCAAACTTAGGAGCTCTCAGAGCCAGCGCTGTGACACCCTCTATGGGGCTCTGTGGTTCCTGGCATCTCCAAGATTCCTGGCACCAGCATGTTTCCCAGTGCCCGAGTGGAAGCCTCTGTAGTATGTCTGGTCTAGCCACAGCAAGGAGCCAGTGCCCATGTCAGCATCTGGAGCTGCCCACCCTGACATAGCCAGCATGCCTGGCTGTTCACAGTGGTCAGACCCCACACTCACTCATTCACACACCCCTCACCACTCCACACCTGACTCGCCCTTGGCAGGCATAGGATCTGGGCCAGAAGCAAAAGCCAAGCACAGCCTGCCAGGCCAAGTGATCAGAACAAGCCCAGCAGGCCCAAGCAAACTTGGGCAAAGGCACCACCAGCCACAGAGGTTTCTGGATGGCAAAGTGACACCCTAAGGATCTTGTGACAATATCATAAAAATACTGATTTTATTCTTTCTTAAAATTAATGTGTGCGTTTCAAAAGGGTATCCCTGTAAAAGATAAAATGGATATACAATGGGGAATAAAACAAAACAAGAATAAGCAAATATTAAGTTTTATAGACTGTACCCATATTTAAAAACAGAAAAAGGAAAAGAGAAAAGACTTTGTTCTTCTTAGAAAATCACTGACCCCCTTCCCTTCCCTACAAATGCTCTGATTAGCTCAATAGCAGTCTTTTTCTCATCCGAAGCCTTCAACCTTGAAAAAGTACTCATCTCTATGCAAAGCAATTAGGAAAAAAAGTGTGCCTTGCACAAGGTACGTTCTCAATAATGATGCTTTGACCATCCAGAGCAACATGGAAAGGAGACAGGCATTAATGAGTCAGGTCTGCTGGAAGTAGCACACATCTTAGAAATAAAAGGCTTTGAGATAAGGGGCAAAGTTCCATCTCTGAAGGCCATGGAGTCCTTCACATTTGCTTTATTTCTGGATATTGTACGCTGAAATTAGAATAGTTCTTCTAAGCTTGGTTAGTGTCTGCTGACTCAGGTTAGCAGAAAGAAATTGACTTTAACATGATTTGAAATTCTAATTATTTCTACATGGTCATTACTTTTAGAGAAATTATTGCAGGATCATATACTTGTTTAAGTATGCCTGTTTAATTTTGTTTGTTGCTCTTAAGCATATGATTAAGCTGGGGCAATTTACCAGAAAAACTAAAAAATTCCAAATTCCTCCCAAAATATGACAATAAACCTAGAGGAGAAGTGTCTGGAATAGACTCACAAAACAAGGCTTAATATCATTATTTATGTTTAAATTTTATAATCCTAAACCATAATTTAATTGAAATTTCAAGATACCCACTACAGTTGATTGTATTTTCCTCAAATGGCCATGATGAGATTTCTAGTCTCATATTTTCTTCCAGACCCTTGCCACTAACCTTCACCTAACACCCTACCTTGAAATTGGATGTAACTTTGTGACTGTCTTGACAAACAGAATACAAGAAGTGATGTTGTGTAACTTCTGAGACTAGATCCAAACAGACAATTCAGCTTTTGCTGGCTTTCCATACATACCACCTCTTCTAAGGACAAGAGAATTGGGAGCCAATGAGTGAAAAATCTGGCTACCATGAAGTTGCCAAATTGTCAAGATCACAGAGAGAGACTACAGAGACATAGCGAAACATGCTCAGAGAAGCCATCAGATAATTCTAGTCTCTGGTCTTCAAGTCTTCCAGCTGAGGACATAGGCATTGTAGAGCAGAGACAAGCTGACACTCTTTGCCTTAACAATGCCCTCGCCCCACAGAATCTGTGAATACAATAAAGGGCTGTTTATAAAGGGCTGTCTTGTGCTACTAGGTTTGGGGACATTTTATCATACACCTGGTAATAAGTGGAACACCCACATACAAGACAGAGTGAACTTGCAGATAAATTTCCACTAGTGACTCTGACTCTTCCATTTATCTTCACTGTCTTTTAGATATGGTATCAACATTTCCATATCAGTGTTAGATTTTTTAATCAAATAAGAGAACTGCATGACCCATGGAATACATGAATACAAATGGTATAAAGGCCACTAAATACTTTGACCTGTCATTAAGATTAAGTAAGGTGAAAAATCTTCCCAAATGAGTCTTATAGGGCTGTCCTCAGTAAACACACACACACACACACACACACACACACACACACACAATCTCTAATATGGCCAAGTGATAAAGCAAACAAGCTAGATATACCTCTCTCTTATTCTTTACATCTCACTTCCAATATTCCAGAATCTTGTCCTTGAGATTCAAAGTCCAAGCAAAAGAAATTACTAACTTGTGGAGATTGTCAGAAAAAAATCAATAATACTCAGCAGTAAATCTCTGCACAAAGAGAAAGAGTAATTTTTAATGAAAGATTTTCTCATTACTTAATTTTCAATACAAAATGAAGGCTGACATCTAATTAAATGTGTAGGTTTTTGCTATTTGTACATACTTGCCACCATCATCATAATAACAGGCCTTTTTTTGAAGGATCTTTAGAAGCACAATAACTTTTTAAAAGAACTTCAGGAAATAAGAAAAGTGGTATTATGCTTTTTTATATTCACTCAGCAAATATTTATAGAGCAGCTAGAATGTGCAATGGAAGCTCTAGGCATTTGGGGTATAACGAATCATTCAGGAATGTATAGGAGAGGAGATAAAGCCATTCCATAAATAAAATAGAAAATGATGAAACAAAGAAAAATAGGTATGGTTTTTCAGAGATATGAGGGATTTCTTCTATATGTAGCAGGACAGGGTCATGAAAGACTATATAAGTGGAGGAGAATAAATTGAATATTTGGAAAAGAAAATTTTATGCAAAGAATTAACATGTTAAAAGGGAAGAACTTGGAAGACTGTTGAATCAAGAGTGCATGAAAGGGAGGAGGGAAACAGGATTGGAATGGTAGATGAGTAGAGGCCGTGTGTGTGTGTGTATATATATATATATTTATTTCCAATTTCAGGGTCTCTAATCTTCCATCTACGTATGTTTATAGGCTGTCTTGGGCTACTAGGTTTTGGGACATTTTATTTTACAACTGTAATAACTGGAACATCCACATACGTATACATACGTATATAGGTGGGAGATCAGAGACCTTCAATGATTTTTTAAAAAGGTTGGAATTTAGGCAAGAGGCAATCATTTAAGATTTTTGAGAAGGGAATATGGGCTGTGCCTCAGGAATAATGGTGTCTTTTATTTATATGGCACTACATTAAAAAGCACCTCTAAGTATTTATGTTCTCATCACAAAACTCTTCGAAACATGTAGAGAAGAAATTATAATCAAAATAATTCACCTACAATCTAGCTGTTATTTGGTGGCATAATGCAGACTCAGAGCCAAGCCTTCTATCAAATTTCTGTGGGCTCTCTACTAAAACGCACGTAAGCTCATTGGTGGTGTTTCAGAATGAAGGTGAAGACACCAGTTGGGTGGGGATCAGGGAGGACTCAGAATTAATCCCATTGAAAGATAATGACAGTGGGTGCAAGATGAGTTATGCCCTATTTATACAGGAGGCAACATTATCTAGTTGGAAGATGTTAAACCACATTTCTCACTGAAAAAAAATATAAAACTTTTACATTTTGTTCCATATGTATTGCCCTCAGCAAATCATTCTGTAATTTTTCACTTTATAAAAGAAGAACTCATGGTTCTCTTAGTAACTGAATTACCATTATAGAAAATTAAATGGAAAATGTATATGTTCTTTCTAAAACAAAATAAAATCTTAACATTTTTCTTATTTTATAAAATTTATTGTAACACTGGGTAATGAAAATATCATGATTTAACACTTACAATGGGAATGACATTAAAGCCAATTATTATAAGAAGGTTTAGAATATTCAATATTTTCTAACAAAAGTAAAATTCTCCTTTGTTTTCACCACAATCTCCATAATGAAAGTGATTACCAAACAAAAGATAAACTGCTTCTTTTTTTTCCCCTTTTTCCCAGATCTTAAAACAATTCATAAAAGTTCCATCAACACTTTGGACTTTTATATACAGATCTAATTAAAAAGCCTAGAGGCGCACGCTAAGCTAAGCTTTAAGAATTTAAAATTGCTAAAAATCAATAAGAAATTAACATGGTAAACTATAGTTGGTCTTGAAGATCTTTGCAAATTCACAAAATGCTTCCAAGTCATGACAGTTTATCCCCAGTGCTCCAAGGAAACAAGATAGTTTTTTCAGAATTATGTTTCCTTATGAATGGTAATGGTAATTATTCTCTCCTCCTCCCCACTATCTTGTCCTGTTTCTTATTACAGAGAGGAAAAAAATAATTTATGAACATGAAATCACACCAAAGAGAAGCAGGGCCAAATGAATATAAAATAGCAGCGAGAACCGCTATGCCAGAAGAATTGCCCAGGATCTCCACATAGAAGACATGTGGGCAAAGTTTCAGGAGCTATCTTATCAGAAATTGAACAAAAACAATTAAAATGTTGATGGATTTTTAACTGACAGAGAATTACCTTTTCTCCTTCTTACCAACTCTGCCAAAGCTACCCTCATACGCAAATGTCAGGAGACACATTTCATAGTTAAGTCGATAATCAAACAAGAACAGCTGTCTGTGTCTGGCACATTGGAGATTCTGAGAGCATTTACCAAACAGACAATCTGGAAGCCAGATTTGTTAAGTAAAGACAATATCCACCTAGATATCCATGGAAAAATATTCTACCAAAGTCCAGGAAGAAAGGGAAAGAAACATTTACTTCCAGGTATAAATATGTTCACATTGGCACTCACATGAGCTCCATCCTGTGACACTCAGAGCTCTCAATGCATTCATCTTCAGTCTTTCTCAGATGCAACTTTATAAGTAGGAAATACCTAATACTGGATATGTTGAGTGGGCCCTTCTGCCTGTAACAAGACCACCAACTGTACTGAAGGAAGTGCTGCAAATAATGAGGGAGAGAAGTGCCATCAACTTTTCTTCCCATATTGTTAACAGTGTCGCAGTCACTTCACCACCCAAATATCATTAAAAAAAAAAAAAAACAACTCATTGAACATCGCTGAAAATACCCTCTTGCCTACAGAAAAGTATGCTGGTTGGAACTAAATCGGCATAATCTTTTTACTGTTTTAATCTTAAGGGCCTTTAGTTTTTCTGAATCTTTTCAATTAGGAAAGTTTTTTTTATGATCTCTGTTCATCAAGTAATTTGCTTGACTTGAAAGTCACTAAATCTTTGTGCAAGTGTTTCTATTTTTAAGATGTTAAAAAGATTGTAAAATCTATAATGCAAACTGCTACAAAAATTTAGACATTGATTTTTAAGACAGTGGGTCATGTACATTTTGTTTAATTTTTGAGTTCCCATTAACTTTCAACACATCAATCACAGTCTTTCCTAAGTACATATCAAATATCCCTAAACTCCACACGCTCAAAGTCGAGAAAGGATTGCAACTTTCCTCCTGACTCTCCTTCGGAGGATATTGGTTATTTACATTTATATTTTCACCTGGATATACTGTCTTGACACACTGATAATAAACATAATGTCTTCAAAGAGACATAAATCTTCAGTGTAACATGCCAACAACTGAGTAACAAGCCATAAACGTGGCTGCTGGAAAAATATCTCTATAACTGCACCACCAGTGATAAAGAGTTACACCGAGTGTTAAAATAAAATGGCCACCTACAGTGTTTGTATCTCCTGTAGCTCTTCCGTGTTGACATCATACAGATATTTATCAGTATCAATATTGTATCCTATCCTTGAATGTTTTACTGGAGTGTTTGCTTACAGTACTCTATGGTACAGCTTCAGCCCCAGCTTTTCCCAAACACACCCTTTTCCTCCCTCCCCTCACCTGTTATCACGTGTGGATGGCTGATGATAGCTGGCTTAGGAGAATTTAGCTCGTAAATATGGATATCAAGCATTAGGGAGACAGAAACAAAGTGTTACAGGTGAGTCCGATTGCATGAGATTTCCCTGCAACACTTTTTTTCTCATGATTTCATGAGATTGCCCTGATTCTCTCCCAGCTGAAAACACTCTGGTGGATTTCCATAGTTTATGGGAAAATATCCCAACTCCTTCCAGTGGCTCACAAACAGTGCATGATCTGATTTTTGTGCCCCCTCTTTAACTCCAGCTTTGTCTACATGCCTACCTTCTCATCATGCTTCTGCCACACCAGCCTTCCTGCTATTCTTCCAGGACCAGCACCATGTATTGCATTAAAAACATAGACTGCATAAGTGCAAATCGCAGCCCTGGCTCTGTCACTTTCCAGCTATGTGATGTTGGCCAATTTACTTAACTTCTCTATGCAAGAGGGGACAATTTCTCTACTTGTAACTTGGGAATAATAATAGTAGCTACCTCAAAAGGATGCTATGAGGATTAAGTGATTCAAATTCACAAAGGACTTGAAAATGTATCTTACTTATACTAGGTGTTTTGCTGATTATTATTTTTCCTTTCCAAACTTATATAATTTCTGTCCCCTCTGTCAGGAATGTTATTACACCAGTTCTCAGCTCAGACGTTCGCTCCTTTCAGCAGCCTTCCTCATCCAAACATGTAAACACCACCCACCCTGACAGGTTATGTTTTTTCTCATTACCCTCGTAGTTTTCCCTCATTATCTTGTTCTCACATTTCTTTCCTTTCATTCTACCAATTCTCATTAGGATGCAAGCTCCATGAGGGCAGAGACCTTGCTTTCTTTCAAATCCCTAGCTCTCGACATAGAACTTGATGCATATTGAGTATTTGTCTAAATATGTGTTGAATTCATTAGTTAATGGCATTTGGAGATCTGGATTCCAGTATCATTATTTGAAAAGTCATTTAATTTCTCAGCATTTTAATTACATTATTTATCATTGAAGATAATTATAGGCTATCTGTGCCTCAGTGTGAAGCACAAACTGGATAATCTACATAAAAGTCCTATAGAAACTGTAAATATTACAACATTCATTGTTATCTTAAAGAAACCAGTTAATATAGTAGAATCAGCACCAGACTTAGAGTCAGAAACCTAAATGCAGCTCCCTTCAAGTCCTTATTTTGAGAAATGACTTTTCTGAGCTTCTGATTCTTCATTGCAAAATGGTGGCAATATCATTTTATAAAGATTATATGACTCATTAGACAGGAACAAAAGTCATGTGTGAAAATAAATGAAATGTTACTTATAAAGCAATGAAATCAATCCAAGACAGCTTTAATATTTCCCTCAGATTGGCAGGCTTCTTCCTGACTATAGGCCCCTGACCTGCCAGTTCTTAGAGCATTTGCTTTAGAAAACTTGCAATTGTAAATTCTTGTTCTGTCCTTTTGTGATATTAATATTATTCTAGCCTCTTGCCAATCTTATAACACAACTCCTTGGACCTAGGAGACATTTATTTGAAAAGTAATTATTAAGAATAATAAGGCTGGGTGTGGCAGCTTTAGTACTAGCTGCTCAGGAGGCTGAGGTGTAAGGATCACTTGAGCCCAGGAGTTCAAGGCCAGCCTGGACAAAATAGTGAGACCTTGTATTTTTTTTTTTTTTTAAAGAATTATAATGCCTCTATCTCCAGGATCTGGGGGAATAGTAGGAGCCTAACATTGTTAAGTGAGAATTAGACACAGATGGCCTAATTACATTGAACAATGTCCTCCAGTACTTTTGCACTAGCTCAATTATGCTTAAAAATACTGCCTTTTTTTGAAGCAGAGTTCAACCTGTCTCCTCCATTATAATAATCTCTATCATTGTTGCAATAATCTTAAATAAAGTCTTTCTTGTCTGCTTAACTTTCCTCGTGATTTTTTTGCCCAATTACAGAAATAAAAACCACAACACTAATGGCTTGGGCTGAGCTAATTGCAAATCTCTCCTAGGTAAGCTCCATCAGAGATTTGCTAATTGCAAATCTCTCCAAGGTAAGCTGTCTACCTCTCTAAATACTTTTCTCTTCTCTTTTTCTCTTCTCATATCTTCTCTTTTCTGTGTCAAGTGCATCTGAAAAGACTACACCTTCACATTTCTCCCTGTAATTGATGTTCACATGTAAATAGTTTGATAACAGTGATTGCTTGTCTAATTTGATTGTATGATCTTTGTAACAATTGGCATAGTTGTTATTCAACACAGGTTACTTCTGAGTCTAAGTTTCTGCTTCTGTGAGAAGAGTAGGTCGGATCAGACAATGCCTTTCCAGTCCTGTTACTGAATGAATCGAAAATACTTTTCAGACTTTTTCTTTATGTCTTGATAGTGCATGTACAATACCTTGGGATGTTGAAGAGAAAAGATACAAACTCTCTATCCAGAAGATACAATGGTAACTCTGCTATAAAACTTGTTAAAGTTTAAAATGTATAGATTGTTATCACTGTCTTTACATCATCACTCCTGTACTAACACAACATTTACCTGCAATTTACTTAAACCTCCCTAAGATAAATTCAGCTCTGAATGACACTTGGTGAAACCAATTTTAGATACCCAAAGTCAAAATTAACATTTATTTAGCATAGAATTATCACACTGCTTTAGCTTCCTTCCTTTCCTTTCCTTTTCTTTCCTTCCTTCCTTCCTTCCTTCTTTCCTTCCTTTCTTTCTTTCTTTCTTCTTTTTTTTGTTTTTTTGAGTCAGAGTTTTGCTCTTGTAGCCCAGGCTGGAGTGTAATGGTGCATTCTTGGCTCAATGCAATCCCCACCTCCTGGGTTCAAGCGATTCTCCTGCCTCAGCCTTCTGAGTAGCTGGGATTACAGGTGCCCGCCACCACGCCTGGCTAATTTTGCATTTTTTTAGTAGAGATGGGGTTTCACCATGTTGGCCAGGCTGGTCTCGAACTCCTGACCTCAGGTGATCTGCCCACCTCAGCCTCCCAAAGTGCTGGGATTACAGGCATGAGCCACTGCGCCCGGCCACTGCTTTAGATTTCTAAGGATTATTTTAGTTTTTAGTTTTGTTGTTCTTTTTACAAGTTGTCAGTCCTTTGAAAATATTATATGATTCAAAAAGTTTCTCCTGGCTACATTTATATTTATTGATTCCATGCCTTTAACATAACGATCTCCCCATTTACTGAACTTCTGTGTTTAGAGTATCTTTCAGTTTAGAACTATTGAAGCATCTGCTTTCAATAGATACAGGTGGAATTTCTAGACAAATAGATACCCACGAAAATCAAATCAAAAGGGAATATCAAGGTAAATCAGATTTATATTTGATTCAGCAACTGACTTTCATTTGATCAATTGTCTGATTTCTTTATCATCCCTTTGCAGGTTTGTACTGTTTAATCTAATGGTTGCCTTATGTCAAAAAAAAAAAAAAAAAAAAAAAGAGTAAATATGTGATACAATCAATCTGTGGACATGAGTTCAAATTCAGTAAAAATTTTCTTGAGAATCTATGTGGAAAATCTTCCTTGATTTGCGAAGGACTAATCAGTATAACTAGAACACAATTAGTGCCCTCAGTTTTATTTGGCTTTCCATTTTGACAGCATTTGATAAAGACTGCCTTGTTGATACCAAAAACACATAGTCAATGAGCATGCCAAAACATTCATTTTCTAGAAATAAAAATTATTGTTTAACCTGTCAACAAATCAATGTAACATGGAATCTTAAAGAAACATACTACAAAGAGTCCAAAAGAAGAAACAAAAACTTGATATTGAGCCATATCAAAACATATAAACAGTCTCAAAATGATTCTGCTTTCCTTTTTTTCTGAATAATCCTGAGTAATCTTTTAAACAACCAAGATATTTTCCAAAATACCCTAATAATAACCTCCTCTTGTGGAGTGAGAGTTAGAGGAAAAGAAGTTCAATGTTTTTGGAACACATATATTGTCTCATTTATTCCTCCTAGTAGCCCTACAAAAGAGGAATTGTTATTTCCATTTTGCAGATAAGAAAACTGAGCCTTAAAGTGCTTAAGTAGAACTTATCCAAAGACAAACAATAGAAATGTCAGAGCCAGAATTTGATACTAGTTCCATTTAAATCAGAACCCATATGTTTTTTCTTATACTACACTGGCTCTGGTATTAAGAGAATGTTTTTGTATCATAAGGCTAGGGACAATGTTCAAAAGAAACAGCAAGTCTTGGTGATATGTGTGCTTTGTCCTGTCAGTCCCTACAAATTGGAAGGACTGAAGTGAAGCATAGGTTTGATGTGGAGTCTTATTTGATAATGGAAGTGATTTTGCTCTAAATATTTTCCAAGAGAATAAAGATAATGTAAAAAATTAAACATCTCCCTGCAAATATAATGGGAAGCACATCTTTCTGGCATAGATTTTTGTGAGGAGCTTTCAAAGATATAATTCAAGGCCAGCAATACCTCTTTGATTACAAATGCCATTCAAGTTTGCTTATAGTCACCTTAATGAAACACATTTGCTGCTTTGTCATATCTCTGAGAGAAAGGCCTTTCCATTACCTAATTGCTTTCCCTATGGTACGCTATCTACTTTCTCAACAAGGGGTGTGACAAGACTTGTGTAACCCCAAAGCCAGAGTGTGTCTTTCTGGTCATTGGTCATCTTTCTCGAACTATTATTGCTAAGATTCCTATGATATGGCCCACATAGTTTGTTTCTTCAGAGTTGTTGTACCTAGAATTCAACTTTCTTAGGTGGAATGGTTAATTTTATGTGGCAACTTGGTTAGGCCACAGTATCAGATATTTGGTCAAACATACTTAGATGTTGCTGTGAAGGTTTTTTTTAGATGAGATTAACATTTAAATCAGTAGACTTCGAGTAAAGCAGATTGACTCAATTACCCTTCATAATACTGGTAGGACTTATCCAGTCAGTTGAAGGCCTTAAGAAAGTGACTGGTCTCTCCTGAGCGTAAAGAAATTATTCTAGCAGTATATCTTTGGACTTACACTGCAATATTAAATTTTCCCTGGGTATCTAAGCTGCCAGCCTGCTTACCCTACAAAATTTGGACATGGCAGACTCCTTAAAAGAGTGAGCCAACTCCTTAAACTCTCTCTTTCTCTCTCTCTCCATGTATATAGATACAGATTAGATATAGAAACACACACATGTGCACGCACGCATTCACACACTCACACACACACATACACAGACACCCTATTAGTTGTGTTTCTCTGGAGAACCCTGATTACTATATACTAGGTGGACCATACTACTCTGGAAGTAATCTTTAATATCTGATGATATCATGAATCTCCCTCTTCTTTTGATTTCCTAGGATTCTCAGACCTCAGGTTACCAAATGACCAAAGTACTTAGATTGTTTTCATGTTCGTGGTTCCATGGAAAGCTTTTGAAATAAGTACCTACTTCTAATGCTTACTCTCATTCTTCCACTCTTCCCTTTATTAATTTAACATGCACTCTTAATTAAAATTTGAAAAAAATTTGAAAAAAATATAAACAGACCTTATTGTCTATTGTCCAAACTTTTTCTTTTTCTTTTTTTTTTTTTTTGTGATGGAGTCTCACTCTGTCACCCAGGCTGGAGTGCAGTGGTGCGATCTCGGCTCACTGCAACCTCGGCCCTCCAAGTTCAAGCGATTCTGCAATTCTCCTGCCTTGGCCTCCCGAGTAGCTGGGATTACAGGCACCTGCCATCACACCCGGCTAATTTTTTGTATTTTTAGTAGAGACAGGGTTTCACCATCTTGGCCAGGCTGGTCTTGAACTCCTGACCTCGCAATCCACCCACCTCAGCCTCCCAAAGTGCTGGGATTACAGGCGTGAGCCACCACGCCCAGCCTTGTCCAAATTATTAATACTACAACAGTGACCTTACAAAGAAGTTTATAAAGAAGTAACCTTCATTGCTCCAACTTTTCTTTCTTTCTTTTTTTGAGACAGAGTCTCGCCCTGTCGCCCAGGCTGGAGTGCAGTGGCATGATCTCGGCTCACTGCAAACTCCGCCTCCCGGGTTCACACCATTCTCCTGCCTCAGCCTCCCGAGTAGCTGGGACTGCAGGCGCCTGCCACCACACTCGGCTAATTTTTTATATTTTTAGTAGAGACAGGGTTTCACCATGTTAGCCAGGATGGTCGAGATCTCCTGACCTCGTGATCTGCCCATCTCAGCCTCCCAAAGTGCTGGGATTACAGGCGTGAGTCACCACGCCCGGTCTGCTTGAACTTTTCTATTACCCTTAAAGCAGTCAACATGATCCTTTAAAAACATAAATTAGTTCATGTTACTCCTCTGCTTAAAATCTTCAATGGCTTTCCTGCATTTATGACAAAATCTGAATTCACTGCCATGGCTTATAGGGCCCCAGCTGATCTGTTTGCTTCCACCTCTTCAAATTCATCTCATACACCACCTACTGCAAACTAGCCACATTTCTTACCTTGCTCAAACAAGGTAAGTTTTAAAGGTAATTGGCATCTTGGGCCTTTGATAATTGCTATCAGCAAGGCTTTGAATGCTCTTCCCCGAGTTTCTCTTGTTGACTCCACATTTCCATAGGGAGCACAGTGAAACAGTTCCCTTCTCTGACTGAACATCTTTGCCTGCCTAGTCTAAGTTCAACCACTTCTCCGATTCCTCTCTATCATCATCTCACACTGATTTGTTTTCTTCACAGAAATTTTTTATCTTCTGAAATTATCTGATTTCTCTGTTTATTTGTATATTGCCTGTTTCTCCCATAAGAATTAAAGTAGTATGAGAGTATGAAACTTTCTACCCTGTTGATCCTGAATTTCTAGGGCTATATAAATACACTAAATACTTATATCTCATAAATATTCATTGAATGAAGAAATCCAGAACAAGATACTTTCCATATTTCAAAAACAAAATTAAACAAACTTACAAAAAAACGTTCTCAAGACAGACACCTAGGAATCACCTATTTAACATGGGATACAATCAAAAGGCTGTCCTCAGGAATAAAGCAAAAGATGAGTTTTCAGGCCTACAATGTAAGATGACACCATCCTGGCTAACACGTGAAACCCCATCTCTACTGAAAATACAAAAAATTAGCCGCATGTGGTGGCAGGCGCCTGTAGTCCCAGCTGTTTGGGAGGCTGAGGCAGGAGAATGGCGTGAACCCGCCACTGCACTCCAGCCTGGGCAACAGAGTGAGACTCCATCTCAAAAAATAAATAAATAAAAAATAATAAAAACATTTGAGTAAGACTAAGTCTGAGCAAAAGAAGTAGAAAGAGATTTTTTAAAATATAGGCAAGGACCCATTTATACCACAGAATTAAGAAATTCAAAGGAATCTCTGATTATAAATCCCTGGTTGAATATTGCTTGTATTGTTAAAGACTGCAATGATCTAGAAGTATTTCGCTTCTCAGAAAATATTCCATTTAGTTGGTACCAAATAAAAGCCAAATGAAAAAAAAATCAATAATGACAAAGAGATATAGAAGTCTAGCATACAGTAATTAAAATAATAAATATGCCCATAGAGTGAGACTAAGGTTAGCTGCCCTCTTTATATTTAATTCATTCTTGAGTATGCCCCTCTCCCAGGTATTTCCTTTTCCATTAGAGCTTGTTGGGGTAGGAACTACTTTAAGTTGGGATTTTACAATGATTCATAAGCATATACATTAAGTCTAAGGGAAAGAATGCCAGTTTCACATGGCAATATTTTTTTAAGTACTGGCAAGTAAGCAATAAAAAGGAGCTTGCTTTTGGCAAAATTATTCTAAACGGCCAAAAAGAAGACAGAGAGGTGAGAGTGACTGCAGGACAACTAAAATTTTAATGGTGGAAATACATCTTTTAATTTAATGTGGTCCTTAGATATTTTGAAAATGCATCTTCTTTCTCAGAAAAAAAATGGCCCAGAGAGAAAAATTAGATGATGGAATCAGTAGTAAACATAAGTTTATATGGGTATGAGTAGATATGATAAAAATTTAGAAACAAGTATTATTGCCAAAGTTTAAAAAAGTTCAGTAATTAGAAACACTGTTTCTAAATTACCCAAGGTTATTTTAGAGACCCAAAAATACTTCTCCCTTACACTAGAGTAGTTATTATAAAAATAAAACAAATTTTTCTCAAGAAAGATGTTGTTAAACATATTGCCAAACATTGAATAAAAGCAAATAGCCGCACTAATCCTATCTATAGCCTCCTCCTAGTGCACAAAATTTTTAAGTTCTGGAAAAATCAAACGAAAAGCAAGAGAAATATTTAAAATATACAGAAAATGATATAAAAAGCAAAGCAATTTTGATCCGTTGTAAGAGAAAACTGCAATTTCTTCAAATTTTAATTTTGATAAAACCAAAAAAATAGCAAAGGAAATATCATAGACATAATACATTCTGATTCTGAAAACACTTTATTTGTGTCTCATACTCAAAAATTAATTTAAATTGGCCTGGCATGGTGGCTCACGCCTGTAATCCCAGCACTTTGGGAGGCCAAGGCGGGTGAATCATGAGATCAGGAGATCAAGACCATCCTGGCTAACACGGTGAAACCCTGTCTCTGCTGAAAATACAAAAAATTAGCTGAGCGTGATGGTATGGGCCTGTAGTCCCAGCTACTCAGGAGGCTGAGGCAGGAGAATCACTTGAACCCGGGAGGCGGAGGTTGCAGTGAGCCAAGATCGTGCTGTTGCACTCCAGCCTGGGCATAGAGCAAGACTCCATCTCAAAAACAAAAATTAATTCAAATTGGCTTCTATAAAAATACAGTTCTATAGAATAAAAACCATTTTCAAGGCTGCAAACAAAATAATAATAATAATAATAATAATAATAATAATAATAATAGGGTTCAATGGGGGAAGTGATTATAAGGACTGAAAATAAATCTCTCATTTCCCACCATCAGTAATGGTTTGGAAGAAAGATCATGAAATTTTCAGTTTACATAAAATTGGGTGGTGTTGCAAATTTGAACAAGCATGTAGAAGCTAGACAAATGGATCTGAGTGAAAGGAAATATGGGCAAGGAACAAAATTAGTTTCAGTTTAGGAACATTGAAGTTAATATTGTACATTATTGGAAATGTAAATCATCAGGGGGAAATATAGGAAAGAAATGTCAAGTTGAACGGCTGGAATTAGATAACATTTTGAAATAATAGCAAGATGTGCCTAATCAGACCTAGCTATCATTTCAAAATCAAAGTCCTGAGTGTTTGGAGAATATACCTTTGCAATCGAAAGTATTTGTGCATACTGACTCTTGTTTGTCAAACTAAAGGAAAACGTAAAATCATGACATACAATTTTTTTATGTCTGAGATGTCACAAAATTGAATTGCCCCTCTATACACATGCCTACTTTATAAGCCACTATATTTATTTAATTGCATTTTATCTCTGAACATAAGTGTTATACTATCAAAAGGAAGAGCTGTAGGAATAAAGGAAAATTGGGGAGGAAGGGAGGAAAAAAGAAAAAGGTGGGAAAAAAATATTTTTCTTTTTTTTTTTTGAGACAGAGTCACTTTGTCGCCCAGGCTGGAGTGCAGTGGCACTATCTCGGCTCACTGCAAGCTCCGCCTCCCAGGTTCAGGACATTCTCCTGTCTCAGCCTCTCCAGTAGCTGGGACTACAGGCGCCCACCACCATGCCCCGGCAATTTTTTGTATTTTTAGTAGAGACAGGGTTTCACTGTAGCCAGGATGGTCTTGATCTCCTGACCTTGTGATCCGCCTGCCTCGGCCCAAAAAATATCTTTTTCAAAAGGACCATTTTGATGATGAAATGACCTCAAAATGACCAATTACCTGAATGTTTCCTTTTATCTTCTACTTTCCCAAACACCTTAAAGTAACATCGCACAGATCAGCCAGGAAAGTCTCATTTAGAATCTTCCACACAAGTTTTCATGACCATACAAATAATTACATTCTTCACAATGTCAAATGAGTAAAATCAAGATGAGAAGAAGAAATAGGACATGGTTGAGTATATCCTATATTGCAGACAGGTTACATATGTTATCAAAGTTAATTGTCACGACAATACTAAAAGTATATCATTTTAAGAAGGTTGCTGAAAAAGAAAGAGAAGAAATTAGGCCAAGGTCAGAGAACTTGCAGGTCACAGAAAATTAATTAAAAGCCAAATCTGTCTGACTCCAAACTTTTCAACTTTTCTACCTGTTCCACAAACTGTATTAAGCACCGTAAAATAGAAAATGTATTCGGCTCTATCACTGAGCCAGCAGTGAAATGACATACAGGAAGAAGAATAAAAGGGACGAACAAGAGGAGGAGAAAAAAGAGAAGGAGGAGGAAAAACAGAAGCCATCATGGACCTTGCCCACTGTTATTTAAAATCCTGTTGAGGAATGAGAAAACTAACGTTTAAATGTATGATTTGTAAATATAAAGTCTCCAAGATTTCATAGAATAAATTTCAGTAGAAATTCTGACAGGGAAGTTTTCTGGAGAAGGAAATCTTCAGTGTGGGTAAGACTTGGGAAGGAAAATCAGAGAGGGAAGAAATCCAAGAGAGAAAGCAGCACAAGTTTTAGAAGGAAATGATGGGCAGCACGGAGGAAAGACCATCAGCTCCAGATGTTTTCCAGAAACTCACATCCTCTCATATCTCTAAATGATGTTCACGTTTTATACTTTAACCAGCTTAATTTTCCTCATTTTTTTCTGCTTATTGACTAGACTTTAAAATTCACAGGGGTATGCAGTATTTAACTTTTGAAATAAAATCATGGCTCATAATCTAAAATCATTCAAGTTAGGCTGAATATTCCATTTGGCCAATTATTCCTAAACAGCTGACATTATTTGTCAAATTATAAATTCCCATTCTTAAATTCATCCTGAATGAGTGATGATCTCTCTTTCATGATGATACTTCTTTGTATTAAATGGCCGTATTATTTACTACCTCAACCAAAATTCTGCATGGGACCTATCACCAGGAGCTAGTTTCTCCTGGGATTTATGGTAAAAGAACTGTTAACTTTTCTAAACATTACTTAGCAAGGTCACAATCCATTCATATTTTATGCCCAAACAATAGGTACATTGTTGAGGATTAGAAATGAATAGCTTAGTTCAGAACCAGTAATAAGGCAAAGCTGTTACATAGACTCTTATCCATTAATATTAGTTATCATTGCTCTCCAAAGGACTACATCCAAAGGAAACTGATTTGGAAAATCAGTTTCATCTTCCACTTTTTTGTCTTTCTCTGGGAGACAGACAACATCCATTTATTAAGGTATAAATTATCAGAATGGGCCAATGAGTACAAGTGTGAAACTGTGTAAGCTAAAATAATTGTCAGCATTTTTGTAAATCCCAGGGACCCAGCTTGGTCTCTCGTTTTTATATTCTTCCTTGAAGACCCATGAATTACAGTTGAGGCAATCTCACTGTCAATAAATGTTCCTAGTCTCAGCACACATGAGATTGCGATGAAATTGAGATTCTTAGTCCTCAAAACTCTGCCTTTTACTTATTTAGTCAGTCACTCAACTAATATTTACTTAGCACTTAAATCAGATGATATTCTGGGCACGGGAGAAACAGCAGTACACAAAGTCCCTGCCCTAAAGAAGCTTACATTCAACTGGAAGGAAACCAACAATAAATATACAATTAAATGTATAATATGTCAAATAAGTGCCATGGAGGAAATCTAAGCAAAGAAACTTGGCAGGGAATACCCGAAACAACTAGAGGGAGAAGTTGCCACTTTTCATAGGATGATCAGATGGTTGCAAAAGGTTCTATTTAACACTCCAGAGGAAAGTGAGGTTCATTCTGAGTGTAGAGAAATAGTATGGATACAGAGACAACATGGAAATACTGAGATCATGCCTCAGTAGAAAGGTCACTAATGCGGTATTAAGGAACTCTAAACTGGTAGCTATTCAATCCCTGAGCCCCAAGGGCTTAACTGAAGTGTTAGGAAGTCTCAGTTTCTAAACTGTTGCAATAGTTCAATTAGACATATGGAAGTCAGAATCATACCAGAATGAAGATATTTAGCAATAATTGGAATGTCTGAGAGACAGAAGACCTGGAACTAAACATGGTACTGGAAGTGAAAACAAAAGTTAGATTACATGATTCCCAAAGGAAAGCAAATTTAGACCTTGTGATTAACCTTACGGTCCTGACACTGTATCACAGGAGCTTTTGTGACTTGGCTCCAGGTTGTCAGAATTAATGAGATTACATGATCTTTCTACTAATAACAAATCCACAATGAGTGAAAGTGTATAATGGGGAGGCTGACAGATGTCAAGTTACAAGACATCTGAATAGGGACATAGGGCTCCCCCAAATTTGTATCATAACTTGGGCCCTGAATTTCTCAGATAAATATTTGATACACATACCAAGTGTCCATGTATCAGTAAATAGATTAGGAAGGGAGAAATTATGAGATAGACTGTGAAATGGAAATGTAGGTTAAATCATGGCATAATAATGTACAGACAGGAAGAGAATAACAAGTCTTCATATAATCTTTCTTTCCAGCTGTCAAGAATGACAACATGAATAATATATAACTTTTGGGAAAATGTTAGTATGTTCACATTATACTTCTTCCTACTTTCCTACAGTCATTTAATTCATATACGTTTTATATACTCTGAGAATTCTTAAGGTAATTGCCTATATTCTTTATCTGCCTTAAACAAACAAACAAAAAGAAAAAAGAAAAAAATTCCCCTTAGCTACTGAAATCAAGGGAGACGGTTCCTTTGTTCCTGCTGATTGATTTGACTAATTTTTTTTAGACAATTTGATTTGTTTTTTGAGACAGGATCTTGCTTTGTCACCCAGGCTGGAGTCCAATGGCAAGACAATAGCTCTCTGAAGCCTCTATCTCCTGAGCTCAAGTGACCTTCAGCCTTCTGAATAGCTAGGTCTACAGGCATGCACCAAAACACCTGACTAATTTTTAAATTATTTTTTGTAAAGACGGGGTCTTGCTCTATGGCTCAGGCTCATCTCGAACTCCTGGCCTTAAGTGATCCTCCCACCTCAGGCACACAGGTATTCTCATGGATTTATAAAAGATTGCTTTATATAGTATAATTAAAAAACATGGTCTATTTTCATAGAAAGAATACAGGTTTGTGTACACATCAGCATTGCAACATTTAATTAATTTAAAGTGTAATCTTTTGGATGAGTAGCCCACAGATTGCTACACAAAATATAAGCCATTTTGACTAAAAATATATATTGTTTAATAAGGACTCCTTCAAAATGTAATTATGATATAAAACTCTGGCCATGTTTAAGTTTCAGTTATAGTTACAAAATTTGGGGGTTTGCTTGACTAAATTTTAGCCATTGAAGCAGTCATTCATGTATATCCTTCAGATCAACTTCCACTAGGGAAAGCAAGCCACCGAGAGGCCATGGCAATGCTTCAAACCACAATGAGTCAAGGCAATTTTTTATTTTATTTGGCCAGTGCTCCAGGTCATTGTAATTTAATGAGTAGTAATCCTATTTAAAAATATGTTGCAGGCAGCAAGGTGCCTGCTGGGAGAAAGCAGCTACGCATGAACAGCTCAATATGTATTGTGTGCTTTCAACCGTTCAATAATCGATTCACCCTTGTTATGAGAAAATAAATGCCAAAGTCCCCAAAGTTAATTTCTGAAGAAAGCATTTACAAGGCAACCAGATTATTAAAAGTTTCCGTGGGTTATCTTCTGTCTGATTATTTGTTCCTGAAATCTCTGTGCTGCATCTTCACAATATCCCATTCAGAAACTGTAAAAGATCCTAACAGTAAATTCCAGCAGGAAGATTGGCTACATTTCCTTACTATCACCAAAGTGCTGAAAGCTTATTTGGACTAAAGCATTTTACAGATTCAACTCTTTTTTCACTCTCTAGTCTTACTTTTAAATATACCAGATGCATTTAATAAGCTATCAAATAAGGCTTTCAGGAGGCTTAACTGTAAGATGTCAGATCTTCTACTTCATGTGTTATTCAGTAATTTTCAATTTCTGAAATTTGTGCATTAAAAGAAGATAACATATTCTTTAGACTAGTCAGAATTTTAGAAAGTCCTAGTTATATGTTATGGGCTTTCTACATTTCCCTGTTACCATAGAAATGGTTTTATGAAGGACTGAATCTGTGCAGCATAATCGCAAACATTAAATTGGCATATAAAAGCATTCCAGCCTAGCATCTCTACTGTCTATGTTAATGGTTTTGCTGCTTTTATAGCAGTATCTTACCATGCTGTAATTCATTCAGGGAGCCTTAAACACTATCTTTCATTGAACTGGATTTCAGAGGAGTGTCTTATGCATTGTGCACCGTTTTTGTTACCTAGCTAAGCTCCCAGTGCATCATATTGCCACATCAATGAGTTTTGTGGATTAGAAATCAAACCAGAGAACTATACACATCAGAGCACCAAATGTAAATGCATGACTCTTACTCATTTGACTTCAATTAGTAAGAGAATGTGAGTGGTAAACGAGATTCATTTTCTTGGATCCCAATCACATTGCCATTTAACAGAAATTGATGAAAAGTTCACCTCAGTGAGTAAATATACTTGCTCATCTAAGTTACTAAACTTAACTTTCTCAAATCTTCTCTCTTAGAAGGTTACTACATAAATTTAAATAGCATAGAATTTATAAATAAAGATGAGTTTAGGGTTTCACCTGATTAATAACAAACCCACTCTGCTGTTAAAACAGTCCAAAACAACTCAAGCTAGTCATCTAGGCAGCTTTAGGAAAGTAATATTTTGGCACTTGTTCATCTGCCATAAAGTTCAATCAGAATTCCCAACCCTTCTATTTTAACGGCTCAAAACTTTGATTTTAACTCCCTCTAGATTAAGAAAGCAGATGTTCTATTCTGCTATCTACCCAAACTGAAGTTAATTAAATTCTTTCTTGTAACTAAAACTAGCAAGAATCTAAAATTAACAGCTACTTTAATTCTTCTGTGTGTCATCTTTTACTGCAATCTGCTTGTAGAATAGGCATTGTTCAGCAAATTTTTACCTGATTGTGGAGAACTAGTTTTCTCTGAGCTGATGTCAGTGGTGTTACTTTAACGCTTACAAAGGTCAAGTCACTTTCGTAATCCTCAAAGGAGACACTAAATTCATCTCAACCTAACTAGGCAAAGAGAGTGCCCAGTGCCATTTGTCAAAATAATCAAGTGTTGACTGTTTTCCTCACACTTTGGATATAAAGCAAGGTCAAGAAAAATCAGACCTAGTGATTATTTGTTGATTTGGCAGCCTAGCATCTACCCCTCTTCCTGTGATAATGATGATTCCACTCTCATTCTATTTTTCTATTTTAATCTAGTAAAACTGAATCCATCTCCAGGTATGAAATGCATAATTTATGCTTAGCCAATCAGAATTTTGCAACTGCTCAATCACAGGATTGGTTGAGGGAGGTCACAAGATCCACATTAGACCAATTATGGCAAAAGGTCTAAAAGCTAAAATTCAGGTTCCCCTTCCCCCTAAAATTGGTTTTGTGATGCTAATAATTTGTTACTCCTGGAGAAATGAGGCCAACACAGTAGAATGCAGAGCTAAGAGATGAGAGAAAGTTGAATTCTGATGACAGTTTTATAGCCCATTAATCCAGTTGCACTCTAGGACCTTTCAATAAGGTGAGCCAAATTGGCCCACATTTTCGTTCATGTGCAATGGACAAAACATTTGGCTTCACAATTATAAGACAAACAGTTCTTGAAATTCATTCTGGTAAAGATAGGACCATTAAAAATCAGATGCAAAACAGTACAACATGGTACAAGAAACAGAATTAAAATACTGCTATATTCACTATTTAAAAAGAGAAAAAAGATGTCTATCAGAGAAAATTACTGCTTTTCTTAGTTTTCAGTCAATTCCTATTTTTCCTCCAAATCTTAACACTTTTGGAAATATCAATTACAAGTAACACACGATTTACCTGATAATGACAATACACTTATTTATCATTTATTGTGGGTCCACCATGTTATTTGTCTGGGAATAAAGAAAGAATGAAACATACCCCACTTCTCAAGGAGATTACATTTAAGTAGGAGATACAGCAAAGAATTGAATAGAAGGTATTTGATTCATGGTACCTCTTTGTTTCAAAATAAATTTTAATAAAATAAAACAAAGTAAAAATATGGTATTGGACAATTCCAAAATTAAGTAATAAAGCAAATTCCTCATCTTTTGTTTCATCAACAAGCCCTGATCATATAGTGAGGTCTGAGCAAAATTAAGTTTTGCCTTATTCAGGCCACTATGACAGCTGTTGCTGTGAATTACTTAGATCATCCATCGATTTCTCTTTTAGCAATATTACATCCAGGGTCATGTTCATGACTCATGTTTTTATCAGGACCAAAATTACAACCAACACAAATTAAGGTCATAACTTGAATTAATATCAAAATCTTCTTTTAAATGTAAAACAAAATGCCAACATTAGCATGAAGCTAGAAAGGGTACAACTTTCAATTCATTTAAAATATATGTCTCAGTACCAGCACACTAGGAAACAGGTAAAGTGTCTCTTTAGAAATCTACCCAGATTACAAAATTATAAATGATACAGGCAAACTTTTCTTAATGCAAAATTCTCTTATTATCTTCTTTAATCTTCATACTCTTAAGAACATTTTACCTTCTCCCTCCAAAAAAACTTACTTGTTTTAAATATGTCCACATCACATATCAGCTATTTGCACTAATGAAGATGATGGATAATTTAACACTCAAGATCTTTTTAGACTCGGATAGCTCTATTTCACTTTCCAAAGATAGACAAATTAATTCACCTCTTTTAGGATCAGTCTCTTTATCTATAAAGGGGACATAATAATAACTGACCTGATTGGCTGAGGAAAAAATGAAGTGAAATGAAATATGTAAAGCACTTAGAAAGGTACTTACATATAGCAGCCCAAATAAATGGTGGCTAAAAATTAAATATAGCAATCCAGAACATTATCTTTGAAGAGAGACACTTTAGCCTAAACACTGAAAATCCTTTGTGTTATATGGACTATATATCATATTTGCTGCTGTAAAAATTACTAGAAAATTTTTTAGTGGTTTAAAACAACACAAATGTCTTATCTTATAGTTCTGCAGATCAGAAGTCCAAGAAGGGTTTCACTGGGCTAAAATGAATATCTCAACAGAGTTGCATTCCTTTTGGAGGCAGTAGGGAAAACATTTCTTTTTCAAGTCCTGTAGACCATCTGCATTTCTTGACTTATGGTATCCATCTTGAAAACCAGCAACATAGGATCTTTAAACACCTCTTCTCTTTTCCTCTTACAATAGGGCTCTTGTGATTACATGGAGCTCACTGGATATTCCAGGATAATATCTTTAGTGGCAGGTTAACTGATTATCAACCTTAATTCCATCTGTACCTTTAATTTCCATATGATACCCACACAACCCACATACACATGCACACTATTATTACTAACAAGTCTGTTGTTTGATTTTAAGTTTTATATTCCAAATACATCTTAGGTGTGCCTAAGATGTGTCTGCCATCTTAATATAATATGATATATAATATGCCATATAATATGATATATTTATAGGTTCCATGTGTGAGGACCCAACAGTAACTCTTTGGGGAGTTATTATTTTGCCTACCACAACACCCATCCTTAAATTTTTTTCTTTGAATTGCAAAATGGAAATTACTAGATTTAAGACTTCATATTACACATATTTCTCATTGGCCCAGAAAACACACCCACCCTGGACTGCTATAATAATTAAGTTCAAAAGAGCAAGATTATTTATTATTTATTATGTTTAATTTCATGGATGATTCTAAAACACAAAATTATGCATAGACCCTCTAGATTGCCAAAAATAATCCATTCACTTATCAAGCATAATTTGAGCCAATGTTCTAAAATGCCATGGATCACAGAAACATAGATTTGGAAAACACCTTAAATTTATTGTACTCAAAATGTATTGTATGGTGAAAATTTTAATTTTAACCAGATTTTTGTAAGCTTCATTTTTACTTATTAATTCTCTGATTTTCTGCATAATGCACACCTAAGATGTATTTGGAATATAAAACTTAAAATCAAACAGCGGACTTGCTAGTAATAATAGTGTGCATGTGTGTGTGGGTTATGTGGGTATATGGGGTTGGGGGTATATTCCTCAGTGAGCAGGTATATGTAAACCTACTCCCAAAGGCAATGGAAGCTGAGAGGCCAAAGAGGCTGACAAGCCCAGTTTCTCAGAAAGAAACGCTTAATAAGGATTTACAAACAGAAGTGACAGACCTATCTAGAGACAGTGGATTCCCATACCCACTCTCCGGAAAGTATCCTTTATAGAGCAAACTTTTATAGTAAAGATATGTGCAACTGGTCATGCCTCAGACTTATTTGCAAGATTCGTAACCACTGGGGATGTTAGAGAAACATCTTTATGAGGAGTTATCTATACTATAAGCATTGTTTCTTTATGTCAATGCTACAGGAACACCTTGGTATGCAAGAGTCAAACGCTGGTCATCATGGTGGTTTTGCTGCAAGATGGTGTCACCTTTACCATGCAATAGGCTGTTTTCCTACAAGAGATGAACATGGGAGAAGAAGCATTCTCAAAGACCGTATGTGATTCTATGATTCTTGGTATTTTAGAAGCTTGACTTAAATTAGAGTTTTAAATGATTTGAATGCTTTTCGTAATCTTGGTGAACTAAAGTATGACTTTTTTTTCCGAATCTTAATGAAGGATGAGAGGTTTTAGTCTTCTGCAATAAATTTAATCTAGGAGTCCAGAGTTGAGACATTTTCTGTGTCAATGAACAATTTGAATAAAATCCCGTTTATGCTTTATAGAATGGATGCCTCTGTCTTACTCAAGCTACTTAGACGTGGGACATAGAACCCTCACACTAAACAGCACTAGCATTGCTAGAAACACTATGGCACTTTAGTTGAATTTGAATTTTAGATAAATGAATTTTTAATATAAGCATGTCAAAAATATTTTATAAAATATACTAAAAAGTAGTCATTTTTGGAGTTTCATAAAAAAATTCAAATTTAATTGGACTTCCTGTATTTTTATTTGCTAAATCTGACAATCCTGGAGAATAAAGCTCATTCCAGACAATCCTGAGAACCATTTCTTCCCAAGGACCCTTCCACAGAGGTAGCTACAGTACTCAAGCTATCGAGTTCAGCTAATCCTAATTTTTAATTCTTTTTTTTTTTTTTTTTTTTTTTTTTTGAGTTGGAGTCTCGCTCTGTCGCCCAGGCTGGAGTGCAGTGGCGCCACCTAGGCTCACTGCAAGCTCCGTCTCCCGGGTTCCCGCCATTCTCCTGCCTCAGCTTCCCGAGTAGCTGGGACTACCAGCGCCTGCCACCAATTTTTTGTATTTTTAGTAGAGATGGGGTTTCACCATGTTAGCCAGGATGGTATCGATCTCCTGACCTCGTGATCCGTCTGCCTCGGCCTCCCAAAGTGCGGGGATTACAGGCGTGAGCCACCGCGCCCGGCCCTAATTTTTAATTCTTAGAGAAAACAAGTTTAGCATAGATTTTGTGCAAAAGCCAAGAAATTCCATCTTCCGTCTGGACTGTCATAACAGATACACCTTTAGAAAGCCAATCACATTCTGCATGAGAAGAGTGCTATAAATGTATTCTGCCTGAAAGTCAAGAAGCAATGGAAGAGCCAAGTGTCAGATATGTTGGAATTTGCAGAACAGATCAATTAAGCACCTCTCTCCTGCTGTGTTGAGGGTGTGCATATGTATGTGTTTGTATGCATATGTAGTTTAGCAACAATTTGCCTAGAATAGTGGTTTTTGTCATTAATTTTGAGGACACGTATTCACTTCAAAGACTGGTAAAACTCTATAAAAATGCATGTGGACACAATTTTGCTATTCTGCATAATTTTCAAAGAATGCAGGGGCCTGCTAAAGCTCATGAAATTTTGGTTGTAATTCTTTGCCATATATGTGAAAATACATTCTCAGAATATTAAATTTTGAAAAGCACATACTGATAAAACTTTCCCTTTATGTTTTAATGTCTCACTTAAGGAATATTGATTACAACAAAGTCTAACAATGCTGCCCATAATCTGTTCTAATTGCTTTTAATTTTTGTCTCATATTGGTACTATAACTTACATAGTTTAATTTGTATATGGTATACTAAATTTTCTTTCCACATTAAAGCCAATTGCATAAACATCATTTATTTAGTAATCTTTCCTCCCTTATTGCACATCAAGTTTCCATTTAAGCATCAGTCAGCTTCTGAGTTTTTCTTTTATCAAGCATTCTTCATATTATTATATTTTCTTACTGAACTATTAATGGACCATTATTTCTTCAAAAGAATTTTTTTTTTTTTTTTTTGAGAAAGAGTCTCACTCTGTTGCCCAGGCTGGAGTGCAGTGGCACGATCTCCGCTCACTGCAAGCTCCGCCTCCTGGGTTCACGCCATTCTCCTGCCTCAGCCTCCAGAGTAGCTGGGACTACAGGTGCCCGCCACCACGCCCGACTATTTTTTTTTTTTTTTTTGTATTTTTAGTAGAGACGGGGTTTCACCGTGTTAGCCAGGATGGTCTCGATCTCCTGACCTCGTGATCCACCTGCCTTGGCCTCCCAAAGTGCTGGGATTACAGGCGTGAGCCACCACTCCCGGCCCTTCATATGAATTTTTAAATCACTTTGTAAATTTCCACAGGAAAAATTACTTTTGGAACTATAATTGGAACTGCATTGAAGTACAGAGTGATTTGAAGAAAAGTTTTCATCATTTTAAAATTCATATTCTCATCAACATAGTATATTTTTCCCTTTGTTCAAATTTTCTTTTATGCCTTTTAATAATTATTTCCATTTTTTTTCAAATGCCTGTAGTATATCCAACAACTTTGTGGAGCTCTCTCTTTTTTTTTTTTTGAGACGGAGTCTGGCTCTGTCACCCAGGCTGGAGTGCGGTGGCGTGATCTCAGCTCACTGAGAGCTCCACCTCCCTGGTTCACACCATTCTCCTGCCTCAGCCTCCCGAGTAGCTGGGACTACAGCTGCCCGCCACCATGCCTGGCTAATTTTTTGTATTTTTTAGTAGAGACAGGGTTTCACCTTGTTAGCCAGGATGGTCTCCATCTCCTGACCTCATGATCTGCCCGCCTCGGCCTCCCAAAGTGCTGGGAGTCAGGCGTGAGTCACTGTGCCCGGCCGAACATGGGATTCTTTTATGATCAAAAGTAATAAAACATTTCAGCATGCGTTATCTTGTTTATCTGTTTGACTGTTTTTGGTACTCTCCTCCTAGAGTTAAAATTATGTTCTGCTCCAAATGACATTTATTCTCAGTTAATGTGGTAAGTAGATTAGTGCCCCGCCTTGCCAACATTATCCATGTAGTAACCAAAACCTCTGAATATGTTGCCTTATATTATGACAGGTACTTTGAAGATGTAAGTTAAGGATCTTAAGAGGAAGGAGGGCATACTGTATTATCCAGGTGGATCCAATGTAATCAAAAAAGTTCTTTAAAGGGAAAGAGGGAGACAGCAGAGTCAGAGAGAGGAAGATGTGAAAATAGGTCACAGAAGGAAAAAGAGAGAGAAATTTGATGATATTGCCCTGTTGGTTTTGAAGATGAAGGAAGGGTCTAATAGCCAAGAAATTCAGGGAGCTTCTAGAAGCTAGAAAAGGCAGGAAAGCAGAGTCTACCCCAGAGCCTTCGGCAGGAATGCAGCCCTGCCAACACCTTGATTTTAGGACTGAACTCCAGCACTGTAAGTAATGCATTTGCGTTGTTTAAAGCTACTAAGTTTGCCACCATTGGTTATAGCAATAAATGGATATTAATACAGTCCACAATATCAGATGTATAAGTATTACCAAATTTTTTCATGTTCTTTCCATCAAATTAGTTGTGACTATAAATTTGTCTCTCAGAGAGAAGGGCATGAAATTCAACATGCATCATTATTCTCCCACTGGTATCCCTTCCACCACGGGATGTTTCACAGGTGCCAGAGTCCTACAGCGTGTCAAGTCAATAGTTCTTAGTTCACACTTATTTTGGTCAAAGTAGCATTCATTTGGTCCATTCAGCTACAGTGGTTCTCATGCTTTGACACTATGCTTGGAGCACAAGGCTTTTTGGCAAACTGAGAAACAGCCATTTTCTTTTCAGGTATTGCCACCTAACCCAGGATGAGACAGGAAGAAGGGCATTAGTGCCCCATGGTTAAAGAGCTCACACATTTCTACTCCTTTCCATATTCCAAGAATCTCTTTTTAATCTGAGAGAAAGCATGCACTCTCCCAATTCATATTTCTTTCAAAGGCAGCCTCTTTCCTCTCCCTTCAGAAAGCCTAGCATAATCTGATTAATGGGCTTCAGTTTTTAGAAAAGGAGGCATCTGGCAGGCAATGTTGAATTTCTGCCTTCCCTGAGGCAGAAAATGCAGAACTTGCTACTTTCTCCAATGAAGGAAAGAACACAGAAAATAATCAGGGAAATATAAATTACGTCTTTTGTCTATCAACCCATACCTGTAAAAGAGTTACTCAGTGTTACAGTTGTCCTCAGTCACTTTCTTATGCTTTTTTTGTGAATGTAGAATAAAACAGAAGTTTTAGGGTAAAAATACCTAAAAACTGCTTATCTTCAACAAGTCATTTAACCTCTCTGATCTCCATTTATTCACCCATAAAATGTAGGTGATAGCATTTGTCCTAACTCACAGAGTTAATGGGTGGATTTATTAATAAAATAAGTAAAAATACTGCACAAAGTAATGTTATTCTTTAATAATTGATATCAAGTATTGTCAGGAAGAAAAATTTAGCTTCATTATCAAACTTTAAAGTATATACAAACAGTATTGAAACCCAAATTGCCACTCTAAATTATCTGCAAGTTATGTTTAATCTTTTGATGTCTGTAGAGCATGATGAAGTTTGGGTGGAACCATGGGAGGAGGTCAGAAAGGGTCCTGGGCAATCAGCTGGAACACTGGGTGTCTATGCTTTACATCTGGAGAATCTTGCCTTCATTGGATAAACCATTTCTTTCCCAAAATACTTTTCTGCTCCCCTTCATTCTCAGTATCCCATGTTCAGTGTATATATCCTAGAACACATATGTTCCATATGTGATAAAATAATATTTATTAAGTGCTCGATATATATTCTTGACACAGTTCTAGATGCTGAGGATGCCAGAGCAAAAAAGATTAAAGGTTTTTATTCTCACAAAGCTTGCATTCCAGTGTAGGATAGGACAGGGTTGAGATTAGTACTCTTTTTTTTTTTTTTTTTTTTTTTTGAGAAAGAGTCTCGCTCTGTTGTCAGGCTGGAGTTAAGTGGCACAATCTTGGCTCACTGCAACCTTTACCTCCTGGGTTCAAGTGATTCTCCTGCCTCAGCCTCCCAAGTAGCTGGGACTACAGGCATGCACCACCATGCCCAGCTAATTTTTGTATTTTTAATAGAGACAGGGTTTCACCATGTTGGGCAGGATGGTCTCGATCTCCTGACCTGGTGATCCACCTGCCTCTGCCTCCCAAAGTGCTGGGATTACAGGTGTGAGCCACTGCGCCTGGCCCGAGATTAGTACTCTTATAAGAGACCCCAGAGAGCTAGCTAGCCCTTCCACCACATAAGAACACAGTGAGAAGGCACCATGGATGCACCCAGGAGCAGGCCCTCACCAGACATCAGACCTACCAGCACCTTGATCGTGGACTTCCCAGCCTCCAGAACTGTGACACATAGATAAGTTGTTTACAAGCCACCCAGTTTATGATGTTTTGTTATAGCAGCCTGAAGGGACTAAAACACATGGTGATAAGTGAACGTTTTGAAGAAAATAAAATAGAACGATGTAAAAGAGTCCAGAGTTGGAGGTATGGCCTCATACAGGGAGTTAAAGTCTTTCTGAGGAAGCAGCATTTGATCTGTAGGAATATCAACAAGGAATAGTTGTGCAAATATATACAGACCAACATTGTAGGCAGAGGGGACAGCTAACTTTTATATTAGCTCAGTATGATGGAGGAGCAGGAAGAAGAAAGACAGTGTGGTTGGAACAAGATGAAGAATACAAGTATTAGGAAATAAAGTTGGTAATAGTGTCCAGGGCCTCATGCCAAAGCCTTATAGGAGATTATAAGAATATGATATTTTTGGCTGGGCGTGGTGGCTCACACCTATAATCCCAACACTTTGGGAGGCCGAGGCGGGCGGATCATGAGGTCAGGAGATCGAGACCATCCTGGCTAATATGGTAAAACCCCATCTCTACTAAAAATACAAAAAGAAATCAGCTGGGCATGGTGGCAGGCGCCTGTAATCTCAGCTACTTGGGAGGCTGAGGCAGGAGAATGGCGTGAACCCGGGAGATGGAGCTTGCAGTGAGCCGAGATCAGACCACTGCACTCCAGCCTGGGCGACAGAGTGAGACTCCGTTTCAAAAAAAGAAAAAAAGAAGAATATGATATTTTTATCATACTCAAGTCCCCCTTCAAGAAAGGACTTACTGCCCACCTGTAAAACATGTAGTCAACCAATAGCCTTCCCCTAGGCCATACCCTTTCCAGGATAGACTGTATGCATTGAAGGGCTGGGGAGGCATGGCATGTACCTTCCAACAGTGTCAGCCTCCTGGAGGAGAAATCTGATGGGCAATATTCACTCTAGAGCACTCTATGGAGGGTTTGACCAATATTCTGTCAGCCCTGCATCACATTTAGACATTTTCCTCTGCCAAATCTGCTTCTCTTTCTCTACTCAGCTTGGTAAACATCTTATAGCTCAAGGAACCCACCTGTGACATCTAAACATAACAGAGAGTTTTTGGAGAGTTTTGAAGAGGGGAGTAATGTAATCTGACTCACATTTTTAAAAGATCATTCTGACTGATGTTCAAAGAATGGATGAGTGGGAGAAAATATAAAAGCCAGGAAATGGTAAGGTGGCCATTACAGTGGTCCAGGAGTGAGAAGATGGTGGCTTGAGTCAGATGATGGTCAAGAGAAATAGAGAGATCTGGATATATTTTTGGTATAACCAACGGTTCCTGCTGATGGATTGGATATGAGGAATGAAGCAGTAAAATGGAATTGAGAATGACTCCTATATATTTGACATGAGCAACATGGATAATGTGGTAATATTTATTAAGAAGGGAAAATAATAATTTAATTTAAAAAATCTACTTCAAAATGCTTTTTTCCTATTTGATCTACCATGGTTCTTTATGCCAGAGGGGAATTTCTCATAATTTCTTAATTAATTTATTCAAATACTAATAATTCAGGCTGGTCTTGGCTAGCTCATTAGTCAAGTGAGTCTACTCAACAACAAAGAGATTTCCTAAACTTCATTGTTGAACATTATTGAAAGGAATACTAAATGGTGGGTGGGTAGCACTAGCCTACATTTAGTTATGGTTTTGTTTGCGTATTTTAATTTTTCATTTTATTAGGTCATATAAACACTTAATTTAAAAGTCTAGTTAGAATGAAAAGGCTTGTGGAAAAAGAATGGTAATTTGCCTGTTCACCTCTCCACACCTATTTGCTATGATACTGAAACCCACTCCTTAGAGGCAAACACTTTCATATCTTTAAGATATTTTTTCTTAACCTATATTTTTGGGAAAAAGGTTTTCATCCTCTGTATAAAGACTCAGAAATAGTCTACAGAAATAGGATTCACAAATATATATAAACATAGATATTTTCAATAGGGCAATTTCTTTGAAATGTAAAATTATATTACAGAATTTCCTGTTAAACATGGCAGATTTTACACATGTATTTGTGTCTATTCCCTTCTGAACCCCTATGAAAATGACAGTAACAAGATAATAGAGTTTTAAACCACAAGGAAAATAAAATGAAACAACAGAGAGCAAGAGATATCCACAAATGTTAGGAGATGGAAAAGAAATGCATAAGTTGTAACATACTTAATTGTGTGGAGACAACTAAAATGTTGGCCCATTCAGTGGGGCACACCAGTGAGATGAAGCCAGTTTATGCTACAGAATTCTGAACAGCCTCAAGAAAGCCTTTGTAAGTGGAGAATTTGGTGAGTAGTGGGCTGACAGCAGAAGTATATATTAGCACTAGTTAGACAATCCCTCTTCTCAGGCCGAGATGCCTACTCCAGACAACCAAACTACTCCCTCTGGAAAGAGAGGGAGAGCCTTAGTCATTAAATAAATTGACCAGAGAGGCTGAGAACATGGGGATGGCAGGGAGGAACTACAGGAGAATAAAGTTAAATCCTATGTACTAAACAATGAGTTTCCAATTTTCTCTCCCACCTAAGTTCTTATTATGCTAGCAGCCAGACACTCTAACAGTATAGTGAATTAATCTCTGGAGGAAATGATCAGAGAAAAGGTCAATAAGACATTCAGGGGGACCCACAATGAATCTGGTTCTCTCTTATACCCACATTTTATAAATAACACCTCACTTGATGCATACACCATAAAGTTTCCAATCGGTTTTTTAATCCTCACTTTTAAATTTGAATGATTTCTGAGAACCAAAAGAGATTTGAGAAAACCCTCTAACATGAAAAGAGACAACAGATAAAAGAAACTTGGCAGAAACAGAGACAATGTAATGCAGTAAAAAACATTATTTGAAAGATAAAAGAAGCTACTTCATTCAAAAAAACAAGAAAAGGTTGAAATTTTTTTAAAATGGGGTCCTAAGAACAGAAAGAGCACATAAAAATGTTAAAACAGTATAGCTGAAATACAAATTTCTATAGAAAGTTTGAAAGATATGAGTCAATCTTCTATTAAAGAAGGTTAAAAAAAGAAAAAAAAAGATCAAGAGACAAGAGTTGGAAAACTCTCCAGGGAAAAAGGATAAGAAAAATAAAGGCTAATACAAGACACCCAACATCTACCTAATAAGTGTTCCTGGTAAAATGGAAAAATAATGGAAGCAAAAATTATGGAAGAAATAATATTTCCCACAACTGAAGTTAGTTACCATCATGAAAAAGCTATTTAAGCACCAAGCACAGTGAACTGAAAAAGACCTACCCTAAGGCACATTAACATAAAACTTCAACATACCTTGTATAAAGAGCTTCTATAGATAAAAATAAATGATTATACATAAAGGACCATGATACAATATGACATAGCAATTCTCAACAGTAACAGTGAGAAATGCCCTAAAAAGTCTAAGGAAAAATATTTTGAACTATAATTTTATAACCAACCAATCAAGCAGGTATGAGAGTAAAGACACCATCAAACCTGAAAGCTTTTCATGCCTTGCTTGTTTTCCGGGTACCTACTAAAAAAGAGCTCCACTGAAATGAAGCAGAGAACCAAGAAAGAGGAAAGCATGAAATCCAGAAAATGGGAAATAGAACAGAGAGAGAAATGAAGGGAATAAGGGAAGACCCCTGACAACAGTCCTGCATCAGGCTTAGAGAACAACTAGTGTAGTTTGGAACAACTAGGTAGGATGCACGAGGAAGCGAAGGTCTTCTGCACTGCACAGCTTGGTCACAGTGGGGCTAGGGTCTGCCACTCGCATCATAGCCTGTATGAACGCACACTCAGGAATCATGCACAAGATCCCTTTTACATACAGTTAGTCTGGGAGGACTCCACATCAGGTGTCTCCTGATTTTAAAAAAATGAAGTTGATATAATATCTAATACAGTTTACCACGTGGAAAAAAGTACTCAAAGGTGTTTCAGTTCTATGGAAGAGTGTGAAATAAATTAGTGATAATTAGAGAGAAAAATAGCTTCGTTATTATGAAAAGTGACGCAATTTTCAACTCTAAGAAAAACAAAATAAATGTGCGATAATGGAAAGGTGAGTAAACATTAATTTAATTAAATAGTATGATATAACTATGGTGGGACAATACTAGAAGAAAAATAACATAAAGTTTAAATAAATGCACACATAGAAACCATTTAATTTAGAAATATGAGGTTAATATGGAACAAAACAGCCAAAAGAATTGAATGTAGTTCTTCAAGGAAGCAGGACCTGGGTGTGGTACAGGAGAATATGCTTTTATTCGGAGTCTTATTTTATAAACCCATTAATTTTTAAAATAGATATTACTATTATTTTGATAAAAAATACATTTAAAAATGTGAGTCATACACCAAATGCCAACTGTTCCTGTTTTGATTGCACATTGTAAGAGTATTATTTTAATTTGTTAATATTGCTTTCATGATGTAATCTGTGACACAATATGAATTTGATCTAGTAAAGATTCATAATGAGGAAACTATTTTTCTCAAGTCCTAAATGCATCTTTTATTTTGTCTTTATCAATTTCTTTTAGGAAAAAAAATGGAAAATAAATAGGGCTGATTACGGTCTATTAAGAACAGATGGATAATGTTTCCATCAGGAAGTGGATCAAATGGACCTAATTTTTCTCTCTCTTTTTATGTCCATCATCTGCCTTGGATACTAAAACAGGCAAATATGCATATTCATAGTATATAGATTGAAAAAACAAACATTACTAGACTACAGGTTCAAAATCAAAAAGAAAGAATTTTATTTTCCTTCCAGGGAAAATAAACAAATGACAAAGCAATCTTCACAGTTAATGAGATCCCAAGGTAGTCATGATAGTCTCAAAAGTGAAATAGTTGAATAGCTGAATTTAAACTAAAAGCTTTTCCTAGAACTTTCTAGTTGTTTATAACAAAGAGTGTGGCATACAGAATACTGGACAACAGGGGAATAATGCATTTTCACATTATTGGGAGCATCAAGATTTATTATCAGGAGTTCAGCACTGATTAATGATATCACAATGAATACCAAAAGGGAGCAAGGAGAGATTTGTCACTTATTATAAAGTGTAGTCACATTTGTTTTAGTTTCTTGCTGAGGGTCCAAGGAACCAAAGTCATTACTTTCTGAATGAAATATTGGAGGCCAGATATTAATAATAGGGCATCTGGAGCTCCCCAGTTCCCCTGGATTATCATCTATGCATACAATTTTGGTAGAGAATTGAGTGACTTGTTTAGGGCTTTGGAATACTTGAGAGTGATAGCATTGCCTAGGGCAAGACACTGGCCCCTTCAGGCCACAAGGTAATTGTATAACTGGCAAAATCCCTCAGCTCTAACCTGAATTCCTCTCCATCCCAGAATTATTTTGCTCTCTGATGTCAATAAGCCAAGGGGTAATTTTGTTATGAATATAAATTAATTTCTGTCTTCCATGTGAATCATTTTTGGTGCATTAAATCATATAGCTATATTTTACCAATTAATTTTGTCTACAAGAATGCTTTGCTCTCTAATCCAAGGACATACACTTGAATCAGTTATAGCTAAAGGCAGGTTACAGATACTGCTAACAGGTGAACTTAAGGGGTTGTCTTCAGCCAATAGCTGGTACTCATGTCAGTTTTCATTTTAAGTGTCTGATATATATAACTTTGTTTGACAAGAACTTGAAATGTGTAATTTTGGGTGGTTAAATGATATGCCTAATGTGCTTCAAGCCCACATACCCTCAATTGGACTTTCTAGTAAGTTTTCAAAAGTGCTTATTTGTTTTGTTTTTGTTTTTTTGAGAAGGAGTCTCGCTCTGTCGCCCAGGCTGGAGTGCAGTGGCGCAATCTCGGCTCACTGCAACCTCCGCCTTCCGGGTTCAAGCAATTCTCTGTCTCAGCCTCCCGAGTAGCTGGGACTACAGGTGCGCACCACCACGCCCAGCTAATTTTCGTATTTTTAGTAGAGATGGGTTTTCACCATCTTGGCCAGTCTGGTCTTGAACTCCTGACCTCGTGATCCACCCGCCTTGGCCTCCCAAAGTGCTGGGATTACAGGCGTGAGCCACCGCGCCTGGCCTGAAAGTGTTCATTTGTTTATGGTCTCTGTCCTCTTTGACTTTATAGATGTTTGATGAAGTACATTTTTGTTTCTTATTGTTTGTAGGTCTTTCTCACCTCCTACTATCCACTCTCACCTCTGTCTCTCACACACACACACACACACAATTTCTGATGCTAGCATTAACCAGATTTCTAGGAACGCTGTTTCAAAATGTTTATTTTCTTGCGCCGCTCAAAGTAAATTTTCAGAGCCCTGTATAAACTTATTTAGTGCCTTTGCTTCTGTAAGTACAATAGAAAGTCATATGGATAAATTTCTACTGTTTGTCCTGACTCTTAAACCAAATTGCTTTCAACGACATAACTCTAGAGAAATAAACTTCAGCCACATATAATCACAAAGAAACAAGACTTGAAAGTTTTTAACCACTTGTGGTAGAATGTATTTATATAACATGTCTTCAGGAAATAATCAACAAAGAAATGAAATGATCACCCCTCGACCAGAAGGAGCAGAATTATCTATAGGGCATCAGGACATTAAATTAAATATTTTTTGTTACAAATACTGGGATCTAAGGTAATATCTAAAATTTTAGTAGTCCTATTAAATGCCCCACCAGTACTGCTCTTTGACTGTAATGAAATCTTTGAGTATGTGTCAGATTTGTGACAGAAATTGACATTCAACTTGAGTTCTCAAGACCCTGTTGTTCCCATATCCATTTAGTCCTAGAGAACTGCTAGTCCTGAGTCAAATCTGCTTCTGCCAGCTTTCGTGCCCAGGTATAACCAGAAGAGGTGCACTGAACCATCTTCACCCCAGACCTTCTGAATACATTTAACAATGGGATGTGACACAGTGTTCACATCTATCTCTACCTTATTTTTTTTTTTTTTGCTACTTTCTTTATACATGGAAAAGTACACTGTTCTCTCTTTTATGTAGACTATAAGGCTACAGAGTAGGAAACACATACACACACACACACACACACATTTTTTTTTTTTTTTTTTTTTTTTTTTTTGAGACGGAGTCTCGCTCTGTCGCCCAGGCTGGAGTGCAGTGGCGGGATCTCGGCTCACTGCAAGCTCCGCCTCCCGGGTTCACGCCATTCTCCTGCCTCAGCCTCCCAAGTAGCTGGGACTACAGGCGCCCGCCACTACGCCCGGCTAATTTTTTGTATTTTTAGTAGAGACGGGGTTTCACCGTTTTAGCCGGGATGGTCTCGATCTCCTGACCTCGTGATCCGCCCGCCTCGGCCTCCCAAAGTGCTGGGATTACAGGCGTGAGCCACCGCGCCCGGCCCACACACACATTTTATCCATGTCATCATTTTGTTAGCCTCTGACAACAAAGAATAGTATGTGGACATACGTAATCAAGCCTACCCATCTGCCAGGACAAACCTCTGATTGTGCAGAGCACATCCCCTTGGCTGTGGATTTGTTAGGAAGCAGGTAAGATGGTAAATGAGTACTTCACCCATTCTCTCTTGTGTATCACTAATTAGGGGATGAAAGAGAGGCTCCACAAGAGAGTCATGGCTACAGAGTGGAATAGATGACAGTCCATATGGTGGGACATGAAGGGCACCATAAATTTGTGAGTTACTGAAAGGTAATTCACAGAATATCAAGGCAAGAGAGGGCCTTAAATTTAATCTGGTCCAACCCAGCATCTGATAGTTCAATTTCTACCAGAATTCCCTGTCAGTGGTTGTTTACCATTTTCTTAAAAATCTTCCATAAATTTTCAGGGGCTGAAATTGAAATAAAGTGGTCTTAGGAGGTATGAAAGTTAAGACAATAAATTCAAGAATAACTGTGGAAAAAAAAAAGAGAAGAAAGGTAATTTAAGGAAGAATGATGAGGGAATTCACCCGCATCTGAGGGAGTTCTTACTCTCTAAAGATTCTAGTTGTTAGTTCAACCTTCAATGTAAAACAAATTTGATCTTTTGTTACTTCATTCTACACACATTACTGAATACCTAGCTTTTGCTAGGATTTGAAAATACATAAAAAATCAATACCTACTCTTTCCCCATAAAGAAGCTTAGACTCTGGCTAAGAGTGACAAATGCTACTCTGTGAGGAATAGTGCTAGGGCAAAGTACTGTTGTAACATGAAAGAAGTTCCCTGCTGAGATGATTACACAAAGGAGGTGAATATTTGAGTGGGAATATTTGAGGAGGACTTTGTTAGGGGACAAAGCAGATGGAGCAGGTAAGTGGGAGGCTGATGGAATCCCAAACAGTGCAATCAGAGACATAAAATCTATGACATGATTAGTGTAGTTGGAAGTGAGATATGGCTCTACTGTCAGATGTATGTGAAAAAGGTGGGAAAGGATTCTGGGAAGATAGTAGAAACTTCATTCAGAAGAATATAGCATGTTAGGGAAACTAAACTTGACCGAGCAAAGAATCTACTTTCTACTGTGGGGATTTGGTGGTTCCAAGTTAAAATAAGAAGCAAAAGACAGGCTGGGCACGGTGGCTCACGCCTGTAATCCCAGCACTTCGGGAGGCCCAGGCGGGCAGATCACGAGGTCAGGAGATTGACACCATCCTGGCTAACATGGTGAAACCCCATCTCCACTAAAAAATACAAAAAATTAGCTGGGCGTGGTGGTGGGCTCCTGTACTCCCAGCTACTCCGGAGGCTGAGACAGGAGAATGGCGTGAACCCGGGAGGCGGAGCTTGCAGTGAGCTGAGATAGCACCACTGCACTCCAGCCTGCGTGACAGAGCGAGACTCCATCTCAAAAAAAAAAAAAAAAAAAAAAAAAAAAAAAGAAGCAAAAGGCAATTACATGATGGACTGGAGCATTTACAGTATACAGGGTCTTATGTTATCCAGAACAGCGATTGGTCAGATAGTTGAAAAAGCAGGAAATATATAATTTTAAATATTTTATTTTATGTGAAAAATAAGGCACACCCATTATCTAATATTTTTGATGTAGAACAAGGTATTTCCTTAAAAAATATGTGAATTTGCTGGTTGTAATTCCTCATTTTCTTTCTTTAACCATATATATAAGCCATTACAAACAATTTTTACATAGTGTCTTTTAAGTAGGTCAAGAATTTTTCAATATTACTGAAAAGCAAATATCTACATTCTAATAATGTTCCCTTCAATTGTCAAATATAAACAACACTTAATTTGACAGCTCACACTTAATTTGACAGTAAACAGTATTTTTAGCAATTCACCTTTATCAAGCCTTTCCAGAGCATTCTAATTAGTTATCATGAAAACAACTCTCTTTTCACACTCATACTACATTAACTCACAGATTATCAATTAAATTACATAATTATAATAATAATTGACACAAATGGTTTGGGAATACACTGTGCTAAGCATACAAGCCAACTGGTAGTAGAACTGCACAAACATACCAGACACTAGAGTAGGCTAGTAGCCTGCTAGCTCTGCTTGTTCAGCAAGTCCTGGACAGAGAATAGCATGTTCTGTGAACAGAATGGATAGTGTTAGCTATTCTGAGTCAGTTAAGTGCACAAGGGAGAAAGGAGAATGTGACTTTAAAATCACTTTTTAAATCTCTCCTCTGTGTATATAATAGACATTTTACAGACTGGACCAGCTTTTTACATCAGATATTTGCATTATGTTTCTATCAGGAGAAATAGTAATTTCAAAGATATCTGCCCTAGGGATTTTTTTCGGACGTACTAGAAATGCTTCATTAGATTCCTAATATCCAAGAAATGACCCTTGGGTTTAGGTCAGAGGACTTGCTGTCCAAAGGAGTTCTATATCAAGGAAAACTGACCCTCAAATTTTATTTTTAAAAAGCACTTATGTAGGATGCAAGGAAGTCAGTTAGACCTCTAGTGAGACAGAGACCAAGGTAATAGTCACTATTGCAGTACATAAAGGCTTTGCCTCACTCCTGCACCAAAATATATTTGAAGTTAAATTTATACCCCAGAGGACAGTAGGCTGACAAGGAAGGGATAAGTTTTGGAACTTTAAGCTTAGAAAAAATTGCATATTTTCTAAGTCTAGCCCCAACCACAGATTAACAATTCTTCACAATCTTAGAAGTGAAATCAGTAGAAGATTTTTGTAGCCAATGTGGTTGCGTTATCTCCACAAATATTCTCATTAGGTAGGGGGGTAAAGAAGCCAAACCATGAAGAAGTGTTGTGACTTGTACGTTGACACACATCAGCCTCAGAATAATATGAAATTAGAAGACTCCTTGTTACGGGTTCTTTAGGATCCACCATATAACTTTTCAAGCTTTATTACTTTCTGAGTTAGTACAGAAAGTGTCTCAATATAGTGCCATGAAGTCGCCTAGAATTCCTAATCTATTTCATGTGAAAACATAGTTCATTTAAAACCAATCTGGACAATTTCCTTAAGATAAATATAAGAGAAGGCAAATTATATTTATATATGTTATATAATACAATAAAAACTATATATAAAATGTATATTCTTCACTGTCCTCAAATGGCCTAAAGAACACAAGAAAACTTAAAATAGCTGTATAAAATGTGATCATAGTAAAAATATAATTTAAATCATTTGAAGTCACCAGATGATGATTCTTCACAAAGAGGTGTAACTGACTTGTAAGAAAAAAATTCAATTTGTCTTTCTATTTACTGCATCCATTTCAGTTATGGTTGGAAACTATACAACATTTGGAGGAACCCATAAATGATAGCATGTACACATTTTAAACTGAGGTATGCAAGACATTGGCATTTATAACAAATGTCTGGTGTCTGATACACAAAAACAAAGTGAGTACTTCTGTTTCCCCCATGAATATGAGGTCATAATATAACATTACATATTAATAATAATCTCTTAAAGATGAGAAAATATGGTGGCTGTGTATCTGGATAAACAACTTTTATTTGAGGAATTCTGTGTTTGTGTTTTAATCAGGCAATAGAGTAAATGTATACCTATCATATTTTCTTTTAGCATGCATGATTGATACAGTTTGGCTCCATGTCCCCACCCAAATCTCACCTCGAATTGTAATAATCCCCACATGGCAACGGGGTAAGACCAAGTGGAGGTAATTGAATCATGGGGGTGGTTTTCCCCATGCTGTTCTCGTGACGGTAAGTGAGTTCTCATGAGATCTGATGATTTTGTAAGTGTCTGGCATGTTCCTGCTGTCACTCCTTCTCTCTCCTGCCACCCTGTGAAGAGTTGCCTTCCACCATGATTGTAAGTTTCCTGAGGCATTCCCAGCCATGTGGAACTGTGAGACAATTAAACCTCTTTCCTTTATAAATTACCTAGTCTGGGGTATTTCTTCATAGCAGCATGAGAATGGACTAATACAGTAAATCGGTACTGGGAGTAGTGGGGTATTGCTGTAAAGATATCCAAAAATGTGGAAGCAACTTTGGAATTGGGTAACAAACAGAGGTTGAAACAGTTTGTAGGGCTCAGAAGAAGACAAGAAAATGTGGGAAAGTTTGGAACTTCCTAGCAACTTGTTAAATGGCTTTGACCAAAATCCTGACAGTGATATGGACAAGGAAGTCTAGGCCGAAGTAGTCTCAGATGGAGATGAGAAATGTGTTGGGAACTGGAATAAAGGTGACTCTTGCTATGCTTCAGCAAAGAGACTGGTGGCATTTTGCCCCACCCTAGAGATCTATGAAACTTTGAACTTGAGAGAGATGATTTAGGGTATCTGGCAGAAGAAATTTCTTTTTTCTTTTCTTTTTTCTTTCTTTTTTTTTTTTAGGTGGAGTCTCACTCTGTCACCCAGGCTGGAGTGCAGTGGCATGATCTCAGCTCATTGCAACCTCCACCTCCTGGGTTCAAGCAATTCTCCTGCCTCAGCCTCCCAAGTAGCTGGGACTATAGGCCCATGCCACAATGCCCAGCTAATTTTTTATTTTTAGTAGAGATAGGGTTTCACCATGTTGGCCAGGCTGGTCTCAAACTCCTGACCTCAGGTGATCCACCTGCTTCAGCCTCCCAAAGTCCTGGGATTACAGGTGTAAGCCACTGTGCCTAACCTAGGCAGAAGAAATTTCTAAGCAGCAAAGCATTCAAGAGGAAGCAGAGCATAAAAGTTTGGAAAATTTGCAGCCTGACGATGCAATAGAAAAGAAAACCCAATTTTATAAGTGTCTGGCACTTTCCTACTGTCACTCATTCTCTCTCCTGCCACCCTGTGAAGAGGTGCCTTCCACCATGATTGTACGTTTCCTGAGACCTTCCTAGCCACACAGAACTGTGAGTCAATTAAACCTCTTTTCTTCGTAAATTACCCAGTCTCAGTTATTTCTTCATAGTAGCATGAGAATGGACTAGTACAGTAATTTCTGGGGAGAAATTCAAGCCAGCTGCCAAAATTTGCATAAGTAACGAGGAGCTGAATGTTCATCACCAAGACAATGGGGAAAATGTCTCCAGGGCATGTCAGAGACCTTCCTGGCACCCATTTTCATCACAGGCCTGGAGGCCTAGGAGGGAAAAATGGTTTCATGGGGTGGGCCCAGGGCACCCCTGCTCTGTGCAGCCTCAGGACATGGTGCCCCGTGTCTCAGCTGCTTCAGCTACAGCCATGGATAAAAGGCGCCAAGGTACAGCTTGGGCCATTGCTTCAGAGGGTGCAAGCCCCAAGCCTTGGTGAATTCCATGTGGTGTTGAGACTGTGGATGCACAGAAGTCAAGAATTTAGGTTTGGGAATCTCTGCCTAGATTTCAAAGGATTTATGGAAACGCCTGGAGGTCCAGGCAGAAGTTTGCTGCAGGGGAGGAGCCCTCATGGAGAACCTATGCTAGGGCAGTGCTAAAGGGAGATATAGGGTTGGAGCCCCCACACAGAGTCTCCACTGGGGCACTGCATAGTGGAGCTGTGAGAAAAGGGCCACCATCCTCCAGCCCCTAGAATGGTAGATCCACCAATAGCTTGCACCATGTGCCTGGACAAGCCACAGGCACTCAACGTCAGACCGTGAAAACAGCCAGGAGCACGGCTGTACCCTGCAAAGCCACTGGGGTGAAGCTGCCCAAGGCTGTGAGAACCCATCTCTTGAATCAGTGTGACCTGGATGTGAGACATGGAGTCAAAGGAGATCATTTTGGATCTTTAAGTTTTAATGACTGCCCTATTGGATTTTGGACTTACCTGGGGCCTGTAGCCCCTTTGTTTCGGACAATTTCTCCATTTGTAATGGGTGTATTTGCCCAATGCCTGCACTCCCATTATGACTAGGAAGTAACTAACTTGCTTTCTATTTTACAGGCTCATAGGCAGAAGGGACTTGCCTTGTCTCAGATGAGACTTTGGACTTGGACTCTTGGATTAATGCTGGAATGAGTTAAGACTTTGGGGGACTTTTGGGAAGGCATGATTTTGTTTTGAAATGTAAGGACATAAGATTTGGGAGGGGCCGAGGGGCCGAATGATATGGTTTGGCTCTGTGTACCCCTCCACATCTCACCTTGAATTGTAATGATCACCATGTGCCAAGGGTGGGACCAAGTAGCGGTAACTCAATCATGGGGGCAATTTCCCCCTGATAGTGAGTAAGCTCTCATGAGATCTGATGGTTTTATAAGCATCTGGCATTGCTTCTGCTGGCACTCATTCTCTCTCTTCCTGCCCTGTGAAGAGGTGTGTTCCAACATGATTGTAAGTTTCCTGAGGCCTTCCCAGCCATGCAGAACTGTGAGTCAATTAAACCCCTTTTCTTTATAAATTACCCAGTCTTGGGTATTTCTTCATAGCAATGTGAGAATGGGCTAATATAATGATTCTCTTCTGAAAATCTTTAAATAGGAGTGGATAGGATTTTTGTTTAGAAATTTATTAAGTCAAAAATGAATTATAAACTCACCTAATGTGGACTTTTCCATATTCTAGAATTGGATAAGAAATACTACATCAAGAAAAATAGTGGAATTTCACATTCTAACCCCAAAGTGTCACTGATTGTGGTAAAAAAATGAAAGTGAACTTGCCATGATTTTAAGAATACTGATAAAACATCTCATTAGCTCCCACAATCAGGAGTACTTTAATTTAAAAAATAAATATTGCCATACTCATACTAGTTAAAGCTTTCAGATATGAGCTAAACCTAGGCTTAATGTCCTAATGTACAAGCTAGCTGTGAGATCCTTCTGAGCACAGGATATGTTTTTTCACTTAGACAATCCCTAAGACTAGCCAAGTTCTGGCACTCTTTAGATATTCATTAGCACACACCAACATGCTGCTAATATCTCATCTGGAAGTTAATGAATATAACTTCCCCCACATAGGAAGGAGATATTTCAAAGCAAGCAGGAGTGACTTAATTTTTCTGTTCATCACAGATGCTTGGAAATTCTAGCAAAAGCTTTGTGGTAGCTGCTAAAAGTAACTCTTCCCAATCATGGAAATTTTAGGTGGTGAAATGGAAGGAAAGTATTCTAACCATGGGAACAATTTTAGTGAAGTGAGAAAATGAGCTGAGATAGAGCATAGGATCCCTGGGATGGCGTAGAAGCTGACAGGGAAGGTAGGTTAGGCCAAGGCTGCTGTCCTTGGATGGCATACTGTGATGTTTAGAACTTGTCCTGGTTTCAAGCATCATAGTGGCATGATAAAGCAGTATTACAAAAAATGACTCTCATAGTAGTATATGAAATCTCCAAGCAGATATAAAGTGCAAATTAAGTAGAAATAGGAGTGGGCGGGGGGAGTTTCAGGAAGAGTCCACTGTTAAGAAAAACATAGTCCTCAGGATGGACAAAAGGAGAAATAGTTTTAATGACAAGGCAGCAGACAGAGCCAAATGTCCAGAGAGTATAAACAGAGAAAAAAATTGTTGAATTTGGCAAATAGGATTTTGTCAGCGAATTTAAAGAGAGGATTTCAGTAGGCACAAAGGTGGCAATGCTAAATAAATAGTGGCTTAAAATTAGAGTACATAATTATGCAGACACAATGGTTGTTAATTTTGAATCCATAATGTTGGTAATAGTGAAAATTTTGGCAACCTGTTTACTTTACAGGTTGCAGGGATGAAAGGTTTGGAGGTAACAAGATTAAAGATGTTTTAAATTAAGAAAATAATGAGGGAGCAAAGACTGTGAGGAGGAAATGGATTGAAATTAGCCCCAGAAAGAGAAAGGGGCAGATCTGCCTCAGATACAGAAAGGAAGCAAGGAAGAAAGATGAGTATAAACAAAGGATATTTGTGAGTATAGAAGAAGGAAGATAGGTAAAATAGTGACAAAAGAGATAAACTCTATTGTTAAAACAGGACATGAGATTATCTAACAAGATTGAGACTAATGGAATGAGATTAAAGGTTTGAAGTAATCTGAAATTTAGAAAAAGTGTTACTAGGATATTGATATATGAATAAAAAATTTGCTTTTTGCAGTGTACTAAATATATTGGAGGCCACAATGAGTCAAACTGACACATTCCAGTGACTCTTCATAGATATTCTATAGCCTATGAGCATTAAAAAATGATAAATTGGTCAGGGGTTTATCCAGACACAGCAGATCTGGCTACAGGTTAAAGGTACAAGGCAATCTAGAGTGCTAGGTCTGTGTAAAAGTGACTGATGAAAATTCTGACCAAGCAGGGAAGCAAGTGCAGTCAGAGGGAATAATGACTGAAGAAAATGAGGAGCTAGGCCATTAGAGGTCTCCATGAGGGCAGATTCTGGTCAATGAGCATGGGAGAGCATCTGAAACACAGAGTGCAGCAATATTACAATGCCAAAGACACGGTGGCCTTTCCTTCCTAACAGTCCCCCTGGAGTCCCATAAACTTTAAAAAATGGATGAAATAATATAGAAACTTGTACTGAAAGATAAACAATTGTTTACTATCATTTGAAGTCTTATTGTTTGGCTCATAGAGCATTTTCAGGAAGATCCAACCTCACTGAATAGAGAGACATGTCTACTATCACCGCCCAAATAGCAATGAGTGGTTAACAGCCATCATCAAAATTCACTCTACGTAGAAGGTAAGATTAATAAATTCACTTATCTCTTTGTCTAATCATCTCTCTGAGTATACATCAGGCAGCTTTGGTACAGAGTTAATTTTCTCAGAACTCTAGAATGGCATTTTCTTAAGGTAAGTTTATATTAATTTAGTAAGCATCTATTGAAGGCCTACTATGTGCTGAGACACTGTTACCAAGGAACCCAAGCATACCTAGCTCACAAAACTCCTTTGATAAAAGTATCTACTGGAAAGTGCTTTAAGACTGGTCAAGGGAAAAAGAAAAAATAGGGAGGCAGTCAGCAATTGAGCAACTATGACAAAGGAATAAGTTAGTAGTAGTGTGGAATACCATATACATGAGAAAGCAAAGGAAGCTATAAGTCAAATAACAATTCAATCCTGAGACCCAGTTGGAAAAAAAAAAGGGAGAGGGAAAATAGGTAACAAAATACATAAACCAAGCAAAGTCATGAATTAGGAAAACCATGGGCCAAGCACAAAAGAATAGTATCAGTTTCAAGGATAAAAATGTTGCAGTTAAACAATACGATAAGCTAACCACACCTGGGTTAAGAGGACATGATTGTTAATATCCAATCATAATGTGATTGTTTGCACTCCAAAAATAATTTATACTCTGGTAATTAAACATATAATCAATATTCATGATGCTGGAGAGATTGTAGATAAGAGAAATAACAAGCTAGAGGGGAATTATATTGTATTTTACATATGTGTGACAAACAGATAAATAAATAATTAATTGCTGGAATGTACATATCTCCATGAGTCATTTTTGTGATAGGATACTTTTATATACAATAGACAGAAAGGCAACTCAATTCATTAAGGCCAAGAAAAAAAAGGCACTAATGTGCTATTTTATATGACAAAAATTCTCAGGGGAAATGTTAGCTTCAGGCATGGTTGGATCCAGAGACTCAAACAATATGATCAGTATTCCATCACTTTCCATTTCTTGGTCCAACTTAGTTTTGTGATGACTGTATTTTAAGTATGACCTCTCTATAGTATGGCTACTGACATTTCCAGCCTTGCCTTTTTCTTACAGGAAGCAATCCCCTGCTCCCAGAAAAATAAATAAATGAATAAACCTTCATAATATTCCATGACAATTTTTTTTCTTGGAATTTAATCTTGTGCACCTACTTTCTTCAAGTATCAATCTCTGAACTGCAGCCAGGGATAAATAATCCATATGAGACATTGCCCACTTCCTAGGCTAGTGTTGGAATAAGCTCAACCAAACCATATGGACCTAGAGAGAGGAGGGCTGTTCCCAGATCAAAAATTGAGTCACTGTTATTCAGAATCATGTTTTAAATTAATATTTCTCAGCTAGGTTGGTAGGGAAGAAAGTGTGTAAGGATCTTAGAAATGGGAAGAAGAATTTTATGATAATAAGTAGGGGATATGGAAAGAAGGGGGAACATGTATTAAATAAAACTGAGAACTACTATTTGAAATATATTACTGTCTCTGATAAGGATATAATCTATGCTATTTCTATATCCAAATGTCCACACAACATATATATGTCATTTTCTGATCCAACTTTATAAAAAATAATAGGAACCTTTCTATTTACTATCAACCTACTTGTTCCTGAAGAAAGAGAAGCTGTCTGAGTTCATTCCCCACCCAGTCTAGCTTTTATTAGAGCTGTCCATGATAAACATGCCTAGTAGAAATAAATCATTCATCACACAATAAGTAGTATGAGATAGTGGAATCTATGTAGAAGTGTGGGTGTAAATATTATATGTTACTACTTACTCTGACATTTCCCCAAACTTTAATTGTCTACTTTCAAACTTTGCATACTGTTTAGGATATCATAATGTATGTCTAAGTTTCTCTCAAAAATAATATCCCAAGTCCATTTATCATAAAGTGAACTCTGGGCTTAAGACATTTAAAGCCACACTACACTATAGGTTTTATTGAACCTCTATTGCATTGTTTTATACAAAAGACTCTAGTGCACATAAGAATCACATTGTTTATGCATTAAATTACTGAAGACATAATTATATAATGTCATACATTGTTTAGAAAATGTATTGATTTACATATTTTAAGGCTTTGGTCTATTTATGAAGATAAATCACCACAATTCAATTTGAGAATATTAAAAACCAATAGTATCTACTACAGCACAGCATATGATATGGAAACATATTGTAATTCAGTGAATAAAAGGTATGAAATATAAAAGAAAGGTTGTATAAATGTCATCCTGGCCGGGCATGGTGGCTCACGCCTGTAATCTTAGCACTTTGGGAGGTTGAGGCGGGTGGATCATGAGGTCAGCAGTCTGAGAACAGCCTGACCAACATAGCAAAACCCCATCTCTACTAAAAATACAAAAATTAGCCAGCCATGGTGGCATGTGCCTGTAATCCCAGTTACTCAGGAGGCTGAGGCAAGAGAATCGCTTGAACCCAGGGGTCAGAAGTTGCAGGAGCCGAGATCACGTCACTGCACTCCAGTCTGGGCAACAGAGCAAGACTCTGTCTCCCCACCCCCCCACCCCCTCAATCCCCCACCCCCCCACCCCCTCAGCCCCCGACCCCCAGCAAAAAAAAAAAAAAAAGTCATCCTACATGTTCAAAATGAAAAAAATGAATGTGCAATTATTTTCAAGAGCTGACTTTAGTTTTCTATATTTCATTCTAGAACAATAAATCATTTTTAAATCACCATTCACGTTATGGCTATTAAAGAGATGTCTAGTAAAGTTTTTTAAAAATTCAGGAAATGTGAATATTTAGGATTTTAACATTGTTCTTTGTGTGTTCTAGTTCAGCCATTATTTTTGGAATTTATATGGACATCTGACTAGGGTCTTTTTCTAATCTTAGGTTCCCTATACCACTTCATCAATGATGAAATCATCAGAAATACAACTAAGCTAACAATTTTTAATAATCTTCCATGTTATAAACTCACACATGGATTTCACCCTAGCTTTGGGATTCGTATTTCTCTTTACAGTCTTCTTTGGCAGGTAGTTTCCAGACATACTTTTTTCAAGTCAGGCGTTTTTCAATTATAGAAATATTTCTAATTTTTGGTCATTTCTATATTTGCAAGCATTTATTACTAGCTGACTTGGTTCTAGCTTTTATTGTCTGTTCTAATATTTCATGATCTGTTCAATTTAACATGTCTGTGAATCAAATTGTTAGCAATTGTGTATATCCTGATATACATGCACGAAATTTTATCTAATAGGTCACTGATTATTTTTTAACTTGATACAAATTAGTTATGTCAAAGAAAACTTACTCCACTTTTGAGCCTGAGAGAGCAAGACTTCTTTATGATGTGGTTTTCTAGACATCTGCACACCCAGTCTATAGAGACTGACACCTGATAGAGTACATTGGCTAATTTTTTCTTAATTACCAAGACATTACGCTTTCATAGGAGAAAAAAATAGTTTCATCCTGTCTGTACCCAATGCTAAGGATTGTCCTGGCTGTTTCAGTATCTTTCTTGCTTTTGAATTTTATTCTAACTTATCTATGGTTACAGGGTTGTTTTTAAAAAAAAATTTCCCTTAGACAATTTTGAAAGGCTTTGCTATCATCCAATAAATTTTCAATAACAGTCCCTAGTGTTTTTGCATCATCCGCCCTCATCTCAGACATCGCAAATGGCCTTCATCAGACCGTGCTGATTTGACTAAAGCCCATAATAAATACACATCTGCCATTTCCTCCCTATCCTTGAGAAGTTTGTCACATGGCCTTGTTTAGTTGTCCCTCACACACACTTGCATTTAGATAAAATAGAATGAGTGATTCTGAATAAGCTGACGTTTATTCCTCTAAGCATACTACAGTTTTCTCTGTCTTCCTAACCAAAAAGGGCTGCATACAATTTAACATTTTCTGAACGACTCAGAGCCATCACATGAAATCTATTCAGCAGAGCATAACATAGCTATAGGAGTGCATATCCTGCCTTAGCCTCTTTTAACTGTGTGACCTTGTGCAGATTACTTAACATCTCTGTACATCTGTTACATCAACTATAAAATAAGGGAATCAATAATATGTATTTCACACATTTATCAAAAGGATCAAGTATGAAAATCCACGTGAAGTAAATCTTAGCACACAGAAACAGTCAGGAAATTAAAACCACTACAATAACTACTATTATCATCATTGCCATTATTATTGTTGCCATCATCACCACTTTCTCCTTACATCATCATTATTCTGAGTTGTGCAGGCTGACCTCAGAGATCATGGAGATTATCAGTCTGTATCCTGCCTCACCTGCAGAGTGCAAAAGCCCTTCACTTTACCTGGGTCTGTTCCTGTACCTCCCTCTCCCTTTCTTTATTTTTGAAATAGATGCGGGGTAATCAGAAAATAACCTTATTAAATTTTTATAACGTAAGCTCAAACAATTGCTATAAAAACCTAAGAAGGTTTCTTATGAGCACGATTCATAGTTTAGTATATAGGAATATGTGCTGGCAGACCACGAGCCTTATATATTTATTTCCTCTTTCTCTATTGTGATCCTAATAGAAGAGATACTAGATAAATGACTCTTTGATAAGCAAGGGAATAATTGCCTTCTTTTTTTCTGTTTTAGCCCCCACTGAGCTGAAAATATTGTACATTGAACCTTTTCCGGAGTCTTAACTGCAGTAGGAAAAAACATCCCACCCATGCATAAAAAGACATTACTGAATAGAAAACTTCTAAAAACAAAAAACGAAGCCAAGCTCTTCTCACACTGGGATTGTCCTAAGGAAAAAAAAAAAAAGGTGCTCTGGTTCACTCATATTAATCCATCTGGATCAACAAAAGAAGTATTTGTTCTCTTGAACCAAGTAGAATGAGGATAAGGCCAGAGAGAACCAAATTCAGAGACTGATTGCTTTTCTGTGTAGATACATTGGCTCAGAATTCCAAAATACTAAAAGTAATTCTTGAGATACATCAGCCTCAGGAATTTCCAGGCTATTTTAACATCAGTTTCTGAAAGTTTGTTTATTTCATGTCTTTGAATAAACTCCAATCTCTCAAGTATCAATAATTCACACACACACACACACACACACACACACACACACACACAATAGCTATTTAATAACATCATCTATGATAGAAAAATACCTTACAAACAAAATAGGCAATTTTAATTACTCACACATTTCCCTTCAAGGTAACTAAGTAGACAATAATTTTAGGTAACATTTTATGAAGTTTTACAGGCATTTGGAATCAAATGAAAAATTTTTTTTGAACAATTTAATATTTTAAAGGTGTTTTTGTACATTTCTTTTTTTCATTTATAAATACTCAGTGCAATACTAATTTATGTATGTCATAATTTATAACATTGGCGGCAGTTTCAATATCTGGAAAATCTTTTTAGAGCTACTAATTAAGAAGGAAAAAAGCATCTTATGAATTCAAATGTATGAAACTTTTTTTTAACGAAATAGAGAGTTGATTCTGGTTAGCATTCATTAAATAAAATCTCCTTTCAAATATAACGTGTTATTACTAATTTATGTATACTAGGGGCACATTTTATGCCAGAATGTTGATGTTCTAAGTGATTTTCCTCTTCTTAAGTTGTTGGCAGTTATTACTCCTGCACACTTGTGTCTATATGTTAGAATTCTTAGCTTTGTCAGAACTGTCTTGAAAGCCCCTTGTTTTGCCTTTTTTCTTTTCTGTTTTTTTTTTTTTTTTTTTTCAGATGGAGTTTTGCTCTTGTTGCCCAGACTGGAGTACAGTGGCCCAATCTCTGCTCAATGCAACCTCCGCCTCCTCGGTTCAACCGATTCTCCAGCCTCAGTCTCCCGAGTAGCTGAGATTATAGGGTGTGCCACCACCCAGGGCTAATTTTTGTATTTTTAGTAGAGACGGGGTTTCAGGGCGAGGCGCAGCGGCTCACGCCTGTACTCCCTTCACTTTGGGAGGCTGAGGCGGGTGGATCACCTGACGTCAGGAGTTCGCAACCAACCTCATTAACATGGTGAAACCCTGTCTCTACTAAATACAAAAAAAAATAGCTGAGTGTGGTGGCGCATGCCTGTAATCCAAGCTACTTGGGAGGCTGAGACAGGAGAATCGCTTGTACCTGGGAGGTGGAGGTTGCAGTGAGCCAAGATCGCACCATTGCACTCCAGCCTGGACAACAAGAGCAAAACTCTGTCTCAAAAAAAAACAAAAAAAAAACAAAAAAAAGAAACGGAGTTTCACCATGTTAGCCAGGATGCTCTTGAACTCCTGGCCCCTCAGGTGATCCGCCTGCCTCAGCCTCCCAAAGTGCCGGGTAATCTTGCCTTTTAAGGCTGGACCAAACAATGCAGTGGATTGAAACATATAACAATATATAACTAGAGAAAACCTTTGAGGTTAGGTGGGTATTACTTAACCAAAGTTATATACAGGTTTAACTGCATTTGTAGATTTTTTCAAATTTTTTTACTTACTGTGAAATGTAGGAGGGAATATTGACATTAATTTTCTAAGAACAATATAGCAAAAGTTGGTCCAACTGAAAGAAAATAACCATTTCAAAGGAGAATAGTCCTATTAAGACAATAATGAGCTGGCCATAAACAGAAGAAGGAAGCAAACAATCACATGCAGAACCCATGAAACTCAGGAATTAGAGTTGCTTGTTAGTTACATCTGGAAAAGAGGTGAAAATAGAACTAAAGAAAGGAAGGAGGTTGAAAATCTATATTAGAAGCAGTTAGAATCCACAGATAAGTTCCCTCTCCTGCACTCTGTGCAACCAAGGAACTACTCCACAATCCCTGCAGAAGATTGAAAGTTTGTTTTCACAGAGTTAAAAAAAAAAAAAAAGACTCTTTGGACCCAGAGTTTAACAGCTCGGTTGACAGCAACTGGGAGAGCAGAAGTAGTAAATGAACATCTTACTCCTCAACCACAGCACTCTTCTCTCACCTGGATCTCAGAATACCAACAGCCAGGCCTACACTCCCCAGGAGGACAATTAGATGATACTTGTCATGGGAGTCTGGACATTTCATGAGGAAGTCCTAAAGATATTGGTATCAGGGGTTTCCAAAGAAAACAGCTCAGCCAAGTCAATCTAGAGTAAGGTACCCAGATGTAAACCCCATCCAAATGTTCAGAGTTTCCAATCAGCATTTTAATGCCTTCAAAATGTGAAAGGACATCTTAGAAAAGTTTCTAACAGGAGGGAAACCAAAATAATATTTAAAAAAAAAATGTGAAATAAATAAATCATACCATGTAAGAAAATATCAAAAAAACTGTTATTAATATCCAGATAATATAAGTTCTGGAAAGATAGAAAAGAAGGGAGAAAATCATTAAAGAAATATATTTTAAAAATTCCCAGAAATGAAGAATATGAGTTTCCAATCAAATAGGCCTCTGGGCCCAGCTCAACAAAACATGTCATTGAAATTCAGAAAACAGGAGATAAAAGAAGATTCTATAGGCTTCCAGAGAGGAGGAAGAAGTCATAAACTAAAGATCTAGTATTAAAGGAGCTTTGGACATCATCAAAGGAATAATGGAAAGCAAATTTAGGGGGATCATAACTTCAAAGTTTTGAGAAATAATTATTTTTAATGCTGAATTCTAAACCCATTTGATGTAGTCAAGAGTTCTGTTCACTAAATATTTTCAGCTCTCTCCTTCCCACTTCTGTGTAAAAATGAAAAAGTAGTAAGAGTGTTATATATAGCCAAAGGAAATAAAATTAACGTCTTGAAGAGCTATCTGAATCCTCATGTTTATTGGAGCATTATTCACAATAGCCAAGATATGAAAACAACCCAAGTGTTCATCAACAGAAAAATGGATAAAGAAAATGTGTGTGTATGTGTGTGTGTGAATACATACACAATGGAATATTATTCTGTCATAAAAAGAAGGAAATCCTCCTATTTGTGACAATATGGATGAGACTGGAGGACATTATGCCAAGTGAAATAAGCCAGACATAGGAAGATAAACACTGGATTATCTCACTTATATATGGAATCTAAAAATTCAAACTCATAGAAACAGAGTGGAATAGTGGTTACTAGAGCCTGGAGGCTGGGAGCTATCAGGAGATGTTGGTCAAAAAATATAAAGTTTCAGGTGTAAAATAAGGTTGGAGTTCTAAGATACAGCATGGGTGGTGATGGATGTGTTAATTAACTTAATTGTGGCAACCACTACACAATACGTATGCATATTAAATCATCATGTTGCACACCTGCACGCCTTTATATATGGTATTTGTCAATGAGATATATATTTTTAAAGTATACTACATTGTTCAGTTTTTTTGTTTTCTGTTTTTGGTTTTTTTGTTTTTTTTTTTAGATGGAGTCTTGCTCTGTCACCCAGGCTGGAGTGCAGTGGCGTGATCTCAGCTCACTGCAAGCTCCGCCTCCTGGGTTCACGCCATTCTCCTGCCTCAGCCTCCCGAGTAGCTGGGACTACAGGCGCCCACCACCACAACCAGCTAATTTTTTTGTGTTTTTAGTAGAGACGGGGTTTCACCGTGTTGGCCAGGATGGTCTCGATCTCCTGACCTCATGATCCACCCGCCTCAGCCCCGCAAAGTGCTGGGATTACAGGCATGAGCCACTGCGCCCAGCCTGTCCAGTTTTATATAGCATTTATTCATCATACTTAATATGGATCTACCCAAATGCATACCATGATATTTTAGGAAGAAGGAAAATATACATGTGTGATAAGTGAAATAAAACTAAAGTGAAGATTCAATAAATAATATCTTAAACTGAAGTACAATATGCAGATGCTCTTTAAACTTACAGAGAAAGATACCAAAGGAATCAGCTTGAGACATTTCAAGCTGAACAGGAGGAAATATGTGAGAATGTGAATTAATAGTCAATGTTGGTCTGATGGAGAAAGGTCTGGATATATTATCTAAGTTTCCTCTACATCTATAACTAGTCAAAAAGAAAAAAAGGAGAAGAAGTCACTTTACAATAGGTTAGCAATCCAAGTAATCAATCTAAATAACTTTTATTGCAGACAAACTTGGCCTCCTTATTGAGTTCATAAAACTCATACTATGAGTTATTTACTCTGTAAATACTCTGTAAATTACTTTGTAAATGAAATATAGCACTCCTTGTTTAACATGCCCAAATAAAAGTCTTTTTTGTCAAACTCAAGGTAGCAATTCATATGACACAGTATTATTATTGTATTTCACACCAAGGGTGTGTTTTTACAAAAGTTCAGGCTCTCATTTGTCATTTAGATACTCAACAGGTGAGCCAGTGGTCATGTGTGTACCATAAATGTATAATCACATGTGGGTCACAATAAGATATATAATCATATATGGGTCATAATAAGAAATAGTGTGACTGCTGAGGCATGTAATAATCACCCTTGGTGCAGTGCAGACATCACTAATGTAAGTACGAGATCGATAAGTACTAAACCTTCCTTTCTTTTTTTCCCTCATTTTGAATGCTCCATCAACATTCTCAAAGCATGTTTTCTTCCAATATTCATCAAACATATCTGTCATCTTCCGTAAGCGCTATCCTCCACACTTCTTAGCTTTCTGCTCTCATTGAAGTGCTATCCTCCACACCAACAATCCAATCCCATGCCTAACCTAGAATCGCATCTTTGACTGGACTTTCTCTCTACACCTATAACCAGTTTATTTTTACCTCTCTGAATCCTTTTAGACTTTTTCATTCTTCCAGTCCCTATTCTAAAAGTCAGTTCACTTCCTTTGAGCTCTATAGCTTGCTGGAGTTTTAGGACTGCAGAGGATTGAGGTTACAGGGTATGGGAGTGCTGAGAGCCTTGTGATGGGGGAAATACATTCAAAATTTAGGTGAAGTCTTTAGGAGACAAGGAGGAACAAGAAGAAAAGTGAGAGAAAGAGTCAGGGTCAAGTTGTAACTGTCATAAGAAAGGGGAAGAGAAAAGTTAAAATATTTGATACCATTTGTGTTGGCTTTAGAATGGGCTTTTATATCCACCCAAGATGGCTACATTTACCTGACTTTTTCTTTACTTTTATTAAGAATGTTAAGTGGATGGCCTCTATATTTATTGGTAGTCATACGATTTCTACTTACAAGGAAAGTTTTTGACCTTGCGAGAATTAGGACTATACCATCTGAGTTTATTTTGTCCTCTAGCATGGAAAAGAACACATTATCACAACAGACCTCTCGAGTCTCATTTTCAAACTAATGCATTCCAAAATGCATGCAATTTCTAACAAAGAGCAAAGGATAAACAATTAAACATTACATGTAACAGAACTCTTACCCACCTGCCAACAATTAACCCTGTAATTAAAAACTGCAGGAGAATTCACATAAGCATATCTTCAGCAACAGTCATACCACGGTCAAGGGGGGAAAAAATCTTTCCTAATAAGTTCCTTTCCCATTTCCCAGGCTGCTTTTCTTGACATTAAACAGACACAAGACTCTGTCAACTGTTTCACTTTCTTTAGAAAGAGGGAAATCCCATTCTGTATCCCCTGGGAGGGCTATTATATACAGATGAATGTATTTTGTTATTTAGTTTAATAAACGTAGTGTTTAGAACAGATGTTTAGGCTTGAAATTGTCCAGAGAAAGGAACAGCTCAGGTGACAATAATGCAGGTTTCCCGCCTGCTGCGCTTTCTTCTTTGTCTTTGGAAGGGCTACTTTCACAGGTGAGAAGGTATTATAGTATTTATAATCACTCACATCCCCACCACTGGACTGAAGCTGACAAATGGGGTGCTAATTAGTACCAAGAGTGGTGGTGGTGATGGTGGTTTTATGACACAGACATCTGGCCAGTAAATTGGACTAAGAGAAACAACACATTTACAGAAGTACTACAATTCCAGCCATGCATGGTGTAAAAGATAAATGTGAGGACTGTTTTTAAAAGGTAGATTTTCCTGAACACTAGAATATTTGGCCATTGCAAGGCTATGTTCTTCTGTGGATGTTCTCATGCCCTAGCTACTTATGTCACCATCAACCAGAAGAATTTTCTTTTTTTTTTTCTTTTTTTGAGACAGTCTTGCTCTGTCGCCACGCTGGAGTGTAGTGGTGCGATCTTGGCTCACTGCAACCTCGGCCTCCCGGGTTCAAGCAATTCTCCTGCCTCAGCCTCCCGAGTAGCTGGGACTACAGGCGCCCGCCACCATGCCCAGCTAATTTTTGTATTTTTAGTAGAGACAGGGTTTCATCATGTTGGCCAGGATGGTCTCGATCTCTTGACCTCATGATCCCCGCTCTCGGCCCCGCAAAGTGCTGGGATTACAGGTGTGTGCCACTGCACTCAGCCAATATATGTTTTTAAGTACACCTGTGAGTAAGCGTATGCTTCTGAGAGAGGCAAGATATTATTTAGCCAGAGTGAATGTATGTCCTCTGTGAATGATAGTTTATAAAATAACAAATCTCAATTTAAATGGCAGCAGTCAGAATATTGTTCTGCAAGCTAGGAGGCAGTAAAACAGTAAATCCAATCAAATAATAATTATTTTTGAGTATTTATCAATAATAAAATTCATTAATACTTATTGTATAAATTTTATAATGCTTTATTTAAGATCTACAATTCATAAATGTGGTTGGCACATTTACATTGTCTTCATTGATTTGGGTCTATGGTTGCTGTAATAAAAAGAAAGCATAATATAATGGGGAAAAAAAGGTATTTGTTATTAGGAAAATTGCAGTTAAGCATCAGGAGCATAGTAGTATTGTTAAGAACAGGGACTTTCAATTCCAGTGGATTGGGTGCCAAACCTAGTCACTTACTGTGCCACTTATTGTCTGGTCTTCAGCAAGGCAATTGCCCTGAGCCTTAGTTTCCTCATTCATAATACCTACTTTATTGGGTTGCTGAGTGGATTAAATGAGATGATATATATAAATCAAGTAGCAGAATTCCTGATATATTACAATTACTCATTAAATGATAGATACTATTAAAACTATTAGCTATAGTAAGGAAGTCACGACCCTTTCTCCATTTCTTTAATCATTCAAATATAAAGTTTCAAGTTTATCCCTAGATATTTGAGGATTAAATGTGCTGTAAACATGATAAAATATGCAAAATCACTTAAAAATTATTAAAAGCTTCATACATACTGCTAGAAAACATGTGTCTTATTTTTCCACTGAAAAACTAGTTTTTAATAAAGGCAGGCTTTCCAAAAATAATTTTTATTGCCACCATCATTCACTTTGCACATATTTAATTCTTCCAAACCATCTTTCACAAAAACTAAGATGTTTCTCCAGAGTAAAATACATGTAGCTTGGCACCAGAAAATATAAGTGCAAAATGGCTAATTTTATTGTGAGGAGCAGAATGGTGATGGCTTTAAAGAGTTTGTCCAGTTCATAAAAACAAACTAACATTTCAAGTTCAATGCTTAAAACCACATCTCAGCGAGGTGTTGTAATGTGATATAACAAAGGAAATAGTGGAGAATTCAATTCTCAGTGCATATGTTTTTTAATTCTTTTTTAAAAAGTACTAGGTGGTCACAACAAATACACACAGACACACACACACACACACACACACACATATCTGCTATAATAAAACATGTTCTACATCATTTCTATCAGGGCAAAAGAAGTAGAGTAACAGGTGAAAAATTGGGCAGATTTGGGGAGATTATTCATTCAGCAGATATTAATTAAACTCCTACTATGTGCCAGACACTGTTCTATACAAAGCAAAATAAGCATCATAACTAGATGTAGGGTTGGAAGCAAAACATGGTTGTAAGTAACTGCCCCCAGGGAAGTTTCAATATAGTGTAAGATTAATGTGACAGATTATATTCTGAGATTTTGTTTTTTGTTTTGTTTTGAGACGGAGTCTCGCTCTGTCACCCAGGCTGGAGTGCAGTGGCGCGATCTCCGCTCACTGCAAGCTCCACCTCCTAGGTTCACACCATTCTCCTGCCTCAGCCTCCCGAGTAGCTGGGACTAGAGGCACCCACCACCATGCCCGGCTAATTTTTTTTTTTTGTATTTTTAGTAGAGATGGGGTTTCACCGTGTTAGCCAGGATGGTCTCAATCTCCTGACCTCATGATCTGCCTGCCTCAGCCTCCCAAACTGCTGGGATTACAGGCCTGAGCCACTGTGCCTGGCCTATATTCTGAGATTTTAAAGTTTGAAATTAGCAAATGACCTGTGCAAGATTAGAGAATCCAGTAAATTGTAAACAAAGTTTATCACAAAAATGCAATCACATACAACCTTATGTCTGAATCATGAGTCAATGAAGTCTACAAAATCATACATGAGGGGGAGAAAAACCTTGAAATGTTAATCAGTTTGTCGAAAAGTAAAAAGTAAAAGTAAAAATAAAATGCAGCTCAGAAGTGGTTTATTAGATTTCCTCTAGGAACAGAACTTTTTCCAGAAATTCCTCTAACCCAAGTAATAAGAACAGACACGTTCCCTGTTACAGCTTCCTTATTTCCTTTAACACGAGCTTTGAAGCTCTGTGCAAAATCTCTACCATGACAGAGCTTGTTTAGTGTGTACTGGGTATTATATTAATTCCTAATTTATACTTTTAGGAAAAAGAAAATTGCAAAGTGACCGCTGATTTTTTTCTCAATTAAAACTTCAGCATATGTGATGATTCTTAAACCTAAGAGTGCATTAAAATTAGCAAAAGAGATCTTTAAACGTGTGCATCTGTCCCTAGATTTTCCAAATCAGTAAGTCTAAGATGAAGCCTTGGCGTTTGAATCTTTTAAAGCCCTGTGGATAATTCTGATGCACATCCAGGACTGAAAATCTTCACAAAACAACCAAAGGAAAATGTCTTCTTTTTCTTTCCCAGTATATTCCCTGGAAAAACAGCCTAGATAGAAAAAGTTATGTAGCCTGTGTTGGACAATAATGCCCATTTATACGCTGAAGAGATAACTAGTTTTAATCATTGAACTGGGCTGGTCGAGGTAAATTGAAGCCAAATTACCCGACAGAATCTTCTGTGGACTGTCACATCTGTCATACTCTACCTTCATAGATAACTGGATGATTCATTACTTCCCATAAAACAGGATATTCCAGTGTTGGCATTACATAATGATGATATTCATAACAAGAGAAGACAAGCACTCCCTGATTTGAATTCAAATAATTAAATTATTTACCTTTCCAGAGATTCAATCTAGGAATCATAGTCATAAAAAGCCCAGTAACTAAGTGATTTGAATACTTCCTGAATTTATAAAGGACAGTCAACTTTACATCTTGGTCCATTCCACTTATCAACCCAGGTATTTGCATATTGCTTTACTTACCATGTGCAATAAAAACAGCTGCAGAAGCTTATCTCAAAAGAACATATATGATTTTCTGATCATATTATTGGATATATTGAGTAAATGTTGCTAGTGTGATTGATAACACAATCATCTGAGATCTGACTTAATAGAGAACAAGACTGAAAAGAGAAACCAAGAGGCAAATTCTCAGTAAAACTGGAGTGAGCTGGGAAGCTTGATCTGCGACTCTACTATAATTAAGTGTTTTATTGTCATTAACCAAGTGACCTTAAGGGGGAATAGTGAAATCAGTTAAGCCATTTGGCCTGATCCTAAGGGAATATGGATAAATTCTTTGAAAATAAGGTGCTTGGCAATCATGTGTTTAATAGCTGATTAGTTTAAAGCTTCATTTGCTAAAAGGGGACATATTTAAATATCGTGATACCCATGAGAAAGAAGTTGGTGGTCTCATGTCATTTGTCAGTTACTTAAAAAAAAAAAAAAAAAAAAAAAAGTCAATGTATATCAGTTTTGTTCTGAGTTTTAAAAATGACAACAATACAAATAACCTGTATTGAGCATATGTGTCAGGCACTGTGATAAACAGTTTACATGCAGGTACATCATTTACTCATCACAATCACATGGCATATGCACTATTATCATCTACATTTTACAGACAAGGAAATTGAGACTTAAACTATTTAAATGTCCCAAAATCACAAAATTCTTAAGTGGTAAGACTGGAATTTGAACCCACGCATGTAGAGCTGGAGGCTGTAAACTGCACTTTATCTATGAATGTAACTCAAGAAAGACAAATGTACCACAGAGACTGACTTCAATATATCAAGGAGGAAAATGAAAAACACATTAAAAACAGCCACAGGCTGGCCAGGCGCGGTGGCTCACGCCTGTAATCCCAGCACTTTGGGAGGCCAAGGCGGGTGGATCACCAGGTCAGGAGATCAAGACCATCCTGGCTAACACGGTGAAACCCCATCTCTACTAAAAATATAAAAAATTAGCCGGGCGTGGTGGCGAGCACCTGTAGTCCCAGCTACTTGGGAAGCTGAGGCAGGAGAATGTCGCGAACCCGGGAGGCGGGGCTCGCAGTGAGGCAAGATCGCGCCACTGCACTCCAGCCTGGGCGACAGAAGGAGACTCCGACTCAAAAACAAAAACAAAAACAAAAAAAAACAGACACAAGCCTGGGCGCAGTGGCTCACGCCTGTAACCCCAGCACTTTGGGAGGCCGAGGCGGGCGGAGCACCAGGTCAGAAGATCAAGACCATCCTGGCTAACACGATGAAACCCCGTCTCTACTAAAAATACAGACAATTAGCTGGGCTTGGTGGCATGTGCCTCTAGTCCCAGCTACTCAGGAGGCTGAGGCCGGAGAATCGCTTGAACCCGAGAGGCCGTGAGCCGAGATTGCACCACTGCACTCCAGCCTGGCGACAGAGCGAGACTCCGTCTCAAAAACAACAATAACAACAAAACACACAAACAAAAAAACTAGCCACAAATAAAAGCAGAGGAAATTGTTATCTTTATAAATTAAGAAATCAATTCCCAAGCACAATAAAGCAAACATCCAAGCTATTATTGTTTTTATGCCATAACACTAGCCCAAGGTGTTGGTGGATTCAATTGTATACAATTTATTTTTCATAATATAGCCACCTTGGATGTGTTTATTGTGACAATATTTTTTACAAATACATGTAAAGAGCAAGAAGTTAAATTGGACTAAATTACTATATTCATGATAAATGTAGAATACCTATTGCGGTGGTTTTAAAATATGCCCACATATTCTTTGACATTTCCCCCTTCAGAAGATGAAGACTAATTGCTCTGTCCTTGAATATATGCTTGACTTAACGACTGACTTCTAAAATACTAACTGAAATTAACAAATTAACAAATAAAAATGGCAGAAGTGACAGTGTATAACTCCTAGTCAAGGTTATTGTCTTGGTCAGTTCAGGCTATTATAACAATTACCATAGACTTGGTGGCTTAAACAGCAAACACTTATTTCTCACAGTTCTGGAGGCTGGAAGTCCTAGATCAGGGTGCTAGCATGGTCAGGTTCTGGTGAGGATCCTTTACCAGGTTGCAGACAGCTGACATCTTGTATCTTCACATGGCAAAGAGTAAGGGCTACTAGCACTTTTTATCTTCTTACAAGGACACTGATCCCTCATGACCTAGTTACCTTACAAAGCCCCTACCTCCTAACACTATCCTATCGAAGATTAGGGTACCAATATAAGAATTTGAGAGGGATAAAACCTGAAGTTTCTAGCAATCATACAAGGTATTGAAGCCTCTCTCTCTCTCTTTCTCTCTGCCTCTCACTCTTGCTCTTTCTTTCTTGATCATCATTCTTTTTGGAAGCCAACCACCATGTCACAAAAAAGCTCAAGCACCTCTATGGAGGGGGACATATGGCGAAGAACTGAGGCCTCCTGCCAGCAGCCAGCACAAATTACTCAGGCATGTGAGCAACTAACCCACTCTGGAATCGAATTCATCAGCCCCAGTCAAGCCTGCAGGTGACTGCAGACTCAGTTTACACCATACTGCAATTTGATGAAAAACCCTCAGCCAGTAACATCTAGTTAAGTTGCTCCCAAATCCCTAACTAACTGAAAATGTATAAGATGTTTATTGATTTTACCTCCAAGTTTCAGGGTAATTTGTTACGAAGCAACATAAACCGCCAATAACTAGTACAACCACATAACCAGGGTAGCATGATATTACAGCTGGAGACAGCTGTTGCCTCTCTTTGTGCATGTCAATGTTCCTTTTTGTGCCTCAGTTCTCCCACCTGTAAAATGATGAAATATATTTACCTCCTGAGCTGTGAGAGTTCAATGAAATAATTCACAAATATTCATTAGAGAAGTTTCCAGCAGAGTAAGCCATAAATAAATGTTACCTGTTATTATTATTATTGTTACTATAACATTTCTCTTTTGTCCTTGGAGTTTTAGTGGTACTGTGGCATCCTAGAAGGAGAAAAAGTTGAACTACCCACCTGCTAGTGTTAGCTGTGCTTCTTCATTTCACCTCCTTTTCAAATCTCCACAATTCTCATTTCCCTCATCTTTATGTAAAAGATGGTGAAAGAATATTAAATAATAATATCATTTCTTTTATCCTTGTTACTTCTTAAGACATTTTGCATTTGGTCTGCATAGCATTGGCATCCATGAAAAGTTTAGCACAGCAGAAGAATATAGAACAAGCTTTATCGAGTGTCAATAGCCTAAGCTCTAGGAAGCATCAAGCATATAACAAATATAAGAAGTAAAAGTAAAGTTTTCTACTTCCATTAAGAGAAAAAGCAATGAGAGCTCAGATACTGATATGTCCCTAAGAAAGATACCTGCACATTAGCCACACTCCTCATCTTAGACCAAGACCCCAGAATGGAGCAAAACAATAATTTCAAATAGTTGTGGAGAAGTCCAGATTACAGAGAAACTACGTCACTTCCCAGTAGATCCTGGAGAGGTAGGAAGACCTCAGAATATCCCCGCACACTAGACATGACACAGGAGCAATGGCTGCATGACGGGTTGAGGAGAATGGACCTCAGACAATCTCACAATTTCCACTGCCTGCCAGAATGATTCAGAAAGAGAAGAAACCTAGAATGGGGATTCATCAGACCCTATAAGGACTGTTAGCCAAATTTAAGGCATAAAACAGCAATGGCCTGAAAAAAAAAACCCGCAAAGACCAAGGACCCAATGAGATGTACAGCTCAACAAATATTAAGCACCAAAGGGTGCTCCAATCTCAATATATTACTCAAGTTATTAAAAGTCCCCTTGAACTTATAATCAACTTCAAAGAAGGGTTGACAATTTGCATTGACAATTATTTCTATTACTCAGTAAAAAGAGGCTTGGAGTAGGTTGTAAAAAGCGAAGTTATAAAGGTAAAGTGAAGTTAAATCACCTCTGATTTCGTGACTGAGATTTATGCCACTACAGAGTATATGGCATGAAAAAATTTCCAATGTCAATTTTAATTATCCTATTCCCTTATACATCTCAGTTTGTCAATATCCACAAAATGACTCCCTGGAAATTTGACTGGGATTGCATGGAATCTACGATCAACTTGAGAAGAAATGACATTCTGACAAGATTGAATCTTCCTATCCATGAACATTGAATATTTCTCTATTTAGTTCTTCTTTGATATCTTTTGTTAGCTTTGTAGTTTTCCACATATAGACTTTGTACATATTTCCTGAGATTTATACCTAAGCATTTAATTTGTTGGGGGAGGGAAGTGCTAAATAATAATGTAGTATGTAAATAGTACTGTCTTTTAAATTTAAGTTACACTTGTTGATTACTGATTTGTAGAAAAGCAATTGACTTTTATACCCAGAATCTGGTCTTAGTGAGTATTCTGCTGGTGTAGGATGAAGTAGTCCATTGATCGCGTTGAGTTTAAATATGTGCTTACTGATTTTCCACCTTGAGTTTTGAAAAGGGTGTTGATGTCTTCTATTATAATAGTGGATTCATCCGTCCCTGTCTCCTTGTAGTTCTATAAGTTTTTGCCTATATTTTAACTCTGATGTTAGGTACACATATATTAAGGATCATTATGTCTTTATGGAGTATTGGCCCCTTTATCATTAAGTAATGTCTGTAATTTCCCTCTATATCCCTGATATCTTTCTTTGCTCTGAAGTCTGCTCTGCTTAAAATTAATATAGCAACTCCCATTTTGTTTAGATTAATGTTGGTATGGCATATCTTTCTCTATCCCTTTAATCGGTATATGCTTTTATATTTAAAGTAAATTTCTTGTAAAAAACATATAATTGAGTCTTATTTTTTATTCACTCTGACAATCTCTGTCTTTTAATTGGTGTATTTACATCATTAATGCTTGAAGTGATTATGGCTAAAATTAGATTAATTTTATCATATGTATCATATGTATCATAATAACACTATTATTGTCTATTTGTTGCCTTTTTTCTTTATTCCTAAATTTGTATTCCACATATTTTCTGTCTCTTGTGATTTAATTGCAATTTTATATGACTTCGTCTTCCTCCCTTTCTTGGCATATCAATTATTTGTATTTTTCTACCATTAACCTGGTCTTGCATGTTGCCTACATTTTCCATTAAAATCCTTAACATATTAATCACAGTTTTGTTTTTTATTTAAATTCCTTGAATCCGTAGTAAATGTATATTGCAAACTCTAGGACAACCCCTAAAAAAGAAAAAAAGAAGTATAATTGATATGCCAAGAAAGGGAAGAAGATGAAGTCATATAAAATTGCAAAAAAAAAAATTTGTTTTTTATTTAAATTCCTGATCTAATAATTTGAACTTTCTTTGTCATATCTGACATGGGTTCTGTTGCTTGTTCAGCCTCTTCAAACTGCATTTTTGCCCTTTAGTATGCCTTGGAATCTTTTGTTGAAAAGTGGACAATGTGTAACAGGGAAATGAAACTTCTATAAATGGGTTTTTAGTAACATGGTAGTAAGGTGCGGAGGAGGGAAGGGAGCATTCTACAATTCAAAGATTAAGTCTCAGTCTTTTATTAAGACTGTGATGTCATGATTCTCAGATATTTTTTCCCTCTTAGGTAGAGAAGATGACTAGAGGGTGCTAGAGTTGGATATTTTTCTTTCTGTAGGGAGATTAGGCTCTGCTAAAACCCCAGTAGGTATTACTGATAAAATAGTTTCTCCTGAAAGCAGATGTGTTAAGAAAAACAGAATGCTCTGTTGTATTTTAAAATGGTTACTTACTACTTTTCCCTACTTCTTTCAAAAGTATGAGGGTATTGTTCTTGAATATCCACCGTGAGAACCTAGTAGAGCCTCTGGAGGTAAAACACACAAATATGTGGGTCCTCCCCTATGACTGGGCACCCCTGGGTTTCAAACTCTCAGATCTGCCCATACTGAGCCTTCAGCAATTTGTCAATTACAGTTCTGATTTTTCTATCCAGGCATTGTTCCCTCTGATATTTCTATTAGTAGGTTCTCCTCAGGTAAGTTTTGATTGTCTGTATCTGCCTGTTTGCCTCTCAGATTTGGGGCACAGCAGTTTTTCCTTGGCACGTCACTTCCCTGATGGATCTAAAAAGAGCTATTGATTTTTAAGTTTTTCAGCTTTTAACTTCTTGGGATGAGGTGGTGGCTTCTAACTTGCTGAACCAGAACTAGAAGTCCTCCAAAAAGAAGTCGTTTGTACGCACAGCATTAAGTAGCTTTTTCTGTTACTATTGCTGCAACCTTGTACTTGTCTTTCTTTGTAGTAAAGTCTGAGGTTATTTGCAGGGACTAGGAATACCATTTTTATGAAAGATGGAGGATTACTGCAGGAAGCCAGAAACCAGATTTTATATTTCATTTGTCCCCAAGAGTCCTAGCATGGTACCAGTTTCTACCACTTACTGTATAATGGAAGCCAAGTTAGTCACCTCTCAGAGCTTCAGTCATTTCTCTTCTAAAGTGAGGGCAATGACTTAGTTCTTGTGAAAATTCAATGAGATTACATATGTACATATATGTATATATAAATTATATGCTGTCAAATTTACTTATATTATAAATGGAAGCTATTTTTGAACCAACAAAGAGGGTTGGATTATCAAATGAGACGCGCGTGAATTAGAAGTCTTCCCCAGAATCAAGAGGCAAAGATGAAGTGGGGGAAGCTCTGGAATTTCCCATATGGCTCCACAAGATCTTCCATTCAGTATTTGACAAACTTTTTGACCCAGAGTAATAGATTAGGTCACAGAGAGTGATGTTTCATCAATCCATAGATGCTATGTTTGCTTACCATAGGCAATCTAAAACAAGGACATCCTACTTTAAGCATTCTATAGATAAAGACTCTCCTGCTAGCAATATCAAGAGGAGAGTTACCAGCATGGTGTTGAAGTGGGTCACCTGCCTTCTTACAGGGAGGGGATACATTATTCTCATGTTCTGGTAACAATTATTGGGAGAAAAGTGGATTGCAAGCCACTTGTTTTAATCCTTTCTATTTTGTACTATCTTGTTCAACCATTATTAAATTTTAAGTGATCTTCAAATATAAGATTCTGGCCATTTGCTCCAAATTAATTCTTCTTTATATCTTGAGACCTTTTCTTTATGCTTTACAAATAGTTCCACATTTTTTCCCTTTTAAAATGCTTAGAAAAATATTTATAACAATGTCTCTCTCTCTCTCTCTCACATACACACACACACACACACACACACAATGATTGCTTTTAATCAGAGCTGCTGATATATGCTAATGTGTTAGTCAATATTCACTCTTCTGTTGTGTCATATATAAAGCTGATTTTTGAGCATAAAAGTGGAAAACTACTGATTTATGAAAGTATACACTTACTACTCACTCAGGATGAAAGAATGAAAGGGGAAAAACACTACAGAGGAACACATGAGAGAGACAAACTCTGAAACTTTGTTTTAAAACCTTAGAAAGAAGTCTGATTTTTAAAAAATCTGCTAAAGTGGAGAGATTTGTTCACTTTACTCAGCTCAAGTCTCTGTTCCCCTTGGTGGTTGAGAGGTTCAAATGGTCCTTTAGTCTTGATGTAATGATGCCAGAGAGGTGTCTGTATTGGAAATGAGTATATTTCCACCCGGTGCTTGTATTGGAAATTAGTGTGTTTCCACCCAAGGACTTTTTAAAGTACCTTTTAAAAAATACTTTTTAAAGTACTTTAAAAAATGTTTTAATGAATTTTCATTAAAGTCTTGTTTGCCCTTGGAACATTCTTTTTAAAATAAAGTGTGCTAATTTCTCCTCCCTAAATGAAGTCACCCAATTATGTAGTTAAGTATGTGTTTTTTAAAAATCCTGGGTACAGAACATTGTTATATATCATCTTTGCTTCTTTTCTGTCCTCAGACACTGAAAACAAAAATGAGATAATTCTCACTGGTTCACAGACATCTTTAGCAACATATAGTCAAATATCATGGCAAAGAAAGTGGTTAGATAACCATAGGGTTCACAAATACAGGCATTCCCCAAACATATTCTAACACAAAAATACAAGCATCAAGAGTAATGGTCCATATCTGGACTATTTTCACACAAAAAATAACTGTGATTTGCCTTTGTGGTTTTGACTTGCTTAGGATGGAAATTAGGGTCAAAATGGTCAATCAACTCTTTGCTATTAAGAAGACAGAATGTCCTAACAAAAATGAGAATTAACCTCAAGTAAAAAATATGCTTACAGAATTATTTTAATGCCTCCAAGTTTGGCATTTATTTTCATCTTCTGTTCTATTTCCCCCATTTCATCTCCTTTCTGCCTCTACTTTATACTATTTATTTCTAGGAACCTGACGATACACTTTAGAATTTTCTTTATTTTTTACAATTGATTCTTTTTTTTTTTTTTTTTTTTTTTTTTTTTTTTTGAGACGGAGTCTCGCTCTGTCGCCCAGGCTGGAGTGCGGTGGCGCGATCTCGGCTCACTGCAAGCTCCGCCTCCCGGGTTCACGCCATTCTCCTGCCTCAGCCTCCCGAGTAGCTGGGACTACAGGCGCCCGCTACCACGCCCGGCTAATTTTTTGTATTTTTAGTAGAGACGGGGTTTCACCTTGTTAGCCAGGATGGTCTCGATCTCCTGACCTCGTGATCCGCCCGCCTCGGCCTCCCAAAGTGCTGGGATTACAGGCGTGAGCCACCGCGCCCGGCCACAATTGATTCTTAAATGCGAGAACCAGGCTGAAGCACATCCTTAACATCTGTACAAATTCTTGCATTCCAGCATGGCTGTGCTTCTTTTGTCTTTAGCAAGGTGCATATTTCTGTATTTTTAGGTTCCAAGACTAGATAGAGAGACAGAAAGATTGGATATGTAACTAGTTACCTGCAAATGCATCCTAAGGTTTCTGTATCAGTCTTAACTATATGTTATATACTAAAGAAAAATGTGTAAGAAATCTTTGTTATGTTATCAAACTATCTTTGACCGCAAGACCAGATATAAATTATAATTTTTTAACATTTATTTAGTTGTATAATTTGAATGACAGTTTAGAAGAATAGAGAATAAAAGCAATAGTGTGGGGATAATAAATTAGAAAACAAAAAGTTTTGTAGAAGAATCTAAAGTAGAAAGGGTAGAAGTACAAAGAAGTAAGAGAAAAATGATTTTCTAGGAAATATGTAACAAATTTAAGAGACTATATATGCTATCATTGCACAGAGCTTTTAAAAACCCGTGTGTTGACGGGATATGTTATCTGGTCCAGCAGTTTTTACTAGATTCTTTTATTCTCTCTAGTATACTAGTTATGTGTCATAATGGAAGATGAAAAAAAATACAGCTTCAATATTAATAGACCAAGTTTTGATTTTTACTTATGTGTTAGTTTACTTTTCCATGTACTGTTTCATTGCAGATCAGGCAAATTTCTTCCTAAATCTAAATTATGGGTCCTCTTAGCTAGTAAATGTGTATTAAATAAATGAATGCATTAAATGTAGCATATATTTAACATATAGTAGGTGATTTAAGTTAGAGACAGGAAGCCTATTTCTATTTTATATGTATGTGCATGTGTATTTTTTCTTTTGAATACCCAACTATTAGTGTTTAGAAATGCAATTATTGTGGTAACGTACTGAAACTATTTTCCAAAAGTGAGTTTTGACAAGAGTTCTGGAAAAGAACAGCTGGTCTTCTTGCTACCTCACAGGTGCAAGGAAGAAGAGGGGACAAAGTTAAGTCAGAGTCAAGGGATCAAGGAAACAGATGTGAGAGACAAAACAGCAGCAAAACATTCATTGGGAGGAAACAAATAGATATGGGAACTAAGAAAGGAAACAGGCAACGAGAGAAAGCAGACAGTAAGAGGGAGGCCCCACTGGGAGACATCTGCAGAAAACATCTGTAGATACTTCTCTATCACCACCAGGAAGGAGGATCCTGCCACAGAGGCAAACAGAAAAAAGGCTTAACTACCTGTGGTATTTGGTTGAAGGACACACATAATGCTCAGTATACCAGCCTCGAATTATTCTATGGCATCCCCAGTTCCACCCTCCCAGTGGAATACATGTCAATGCAGCATTTAGTATTGATTGAAACATACGGAAATTATTTGATTCATCTCTTTCCCTACCACATGCTGCCTTATTTCATCCTCATTTGTCTGAAGAATAAGAAGAAAAAATTTTCTTCCAAGAAGAGATAAGAAATGGCTCTAATCCATTCATCATGTAACTGTTTTGCTTTTCTTCTGTACCTGAGGTTAGAAAAATTCTGCCAACACTGTGCTGTCAGACTGGCATTGAATGCAACAGTAAGTATGACAAAAGTACCAGCAGCTGGAAGGGTACACTGTCTATAGTGCTAGTACTGATGTCTGAGCTGACCACCCGGAAGACTGAATCAGCCATTAGAACATCTGCTGTGAAAAGGATCGCCCTCCCTGCTTTGTCCGCTTGAACATCCTATCTTCCTGTGCTCAACATTATCTCATTTACAGCTCATTCAGGGCTAATGTAGCAGAGAGGAACCATGGAGAAATCAGAGACTGAGTGAGAAATCTTGCAAATGGAAAGAAAATCCTTTATTCTGACAAGTGGAGTTTATAGTTTAGAAAACGAAAAATATGGTGATTTCTGCACACACATTACTACCCCTGGTGGCCTGTTCAACTCATTCAATCTGATTAGTATTGGCCCTCATGGAATGAGGGCATTTTATGGGTCAATCACAGGCATGTCTGTGTGGATGGGCTGCTGTCCAGAGCAGAGTTCCCAGGTCAGTGATGAACCAAATGCCACCAATGGTGCTACTCCCAGAGCTACTGCTTCTGAGAGCTGGTGCTTTTGAAGCATGGCTGGCTGAAAGAAACAAGTGGCCACAGAAAACATAATGGAGCCTCTATGAGGACTGAGAAAAAAATGCACATATACAAGTACCTGATTTTTAGGCTTTTCATTCAATTTCAGAAGTATGCATTATTTTGACAATGACTTGCTGAGCAGTGCTAGGAAGTCACCAAACTTTCTATGGTACTCAGTTTTTCCATTTATAAAGTAAGTTAATAAAAGCAATTTGATATAGAATAGTGTTCCATATAAGCAGGCATCCTTGAAACCATTCACTTTATTTAAGAGATCAAATAGATGAGCTTCCTATTGACCACATCACATGCTATCACAGAAAGTATCTGTGAAGGACAACAATCACATACCTAGGACATTCATAAAACCAAAGTTTAGAGTCAGTTGGCATTTGAGAAGGCTGCTTCTTCTCTTCCCTTGTTCTGGCCCTCAAATTAGGAAGGATCAAGGATGCCAACCCTCCAGACAAGCAAATTAATCTAATTCTTTTAATATAGTCAAGAACAGTCACAAAGGTGAATTTACTGTGACCAAGATTCAAGTCAAGATTTGAGGCCAATAGAAAAGAAAAAACTAAAATACTGCCCCATAAGCAATCCAATCTCTTTCTTCCTCTACTCTAACCACCTTGGGCTCAGCACTTAAGTATCTGAGAAATATAAGAAAGGAGAAAATTTTCTAAAAGGAAGAAGGAAAAGCAAGCCCAACACACAGTTTATGGAACACAAACTTTCACTCTCATTTCCCTTTTTTTCCCCATCCATAATCACAAACGACTTCCCTCGTAAGAACAAAACCATTCATAGTATTTCTTATGAACCTCTCCCCATCCAAACTATCATCTTCTAGCTGGGCGCGGTGGCTCACGCCTGTAATCCCAGCACTTTGGGAGGCCGAGGTGGGTGGATCATTTAAGGTCAGGTTCTTGAGACCAGCCTGGCCAACATGGTGAAACCCTGCCTCTACTAAAAATACAAAAATTAGCCGGGCATGGTGGCAGGTGCCTGTAGTCCCACCTACTTGAGAGGCTGAGGCAGGAGAAGCACTTGAACCTGGGAGGTTGTGGCTGTAGTGAGCCAAGATCGCACCACTGCACTCCAACCTGGGTGACAGAGCAAGACTCTATCTCAAAAAAAATTAAAAAAGAAAAAAAAGCTATCATTTTACCCTCACATAGCTTTTAATGAAATATCATGCAGACACAGTAGATGCTTCATAAATATTCTGAGTGTAAGACTAATGGTTTGAACACAGTGATTACTCTTGGAAATAAATACAATTTTTCAATATTTTAGTGTTATATAATTTGGCAGAAGAACAGATGGAGAGAAGTATAACTCTTGGAATGTACTGAGACATAGCAACTTGAATTTGTATTTGTATTTATTCATGCATGAGACTTTTCTCTCTTCTCCAAAACTTATTATATACTCCTGTACAAATAATTTTAAATAGCTATTTCACTGGTATATAGATTTATGTAACTGATGTAAGTTCTATCACCTTCACAAGACAGTAAATTTCTTTCGAGCAATGACTTGTATTGTCTTATACCTCCAATTCACAATAAATGCTGATTGATCAAGACATACATATTTTAGGGCCAGTCTGTTAAAGTATAATAGTTCACCTCTTGCCATTGCTAGTTTTATACGCCTGTTTTCAGTCTTTTGTTTGTTTGCTTTTGTTAATATGAACCATCTGTGCCTCTCATCCTGTGTTTTTAAATAAGCTGCCTAATTATAGGGTTTAAAATTTTTATATTTTACCCTCAAGCCTGCTGTTGAACACTTTTGTCAAAATTGAATGCCTGCCCTTTAAAAGGTCATTTCTGAGGTTTAAACCTGTTGGTTTTTGTTATTACAGCAAATCTCACCACAGAATGTTTGGTGTCATACAATAACCACCCATTCACTGCTGTGTGCAATGAATACAAAAGTCAAAAGCCTCTATTTCCTCTTAGTGGTGAAGATCAACTTTCAAACATATACACATTTTATGGTTTGCCTTTTCACATTTTTCAAGCAGCTAATAAGACAATGCTCCAAAAAAGTTTACAAAGGCAACCGTTTTTGAGTAACTTTTTGAAAGGCAGTATTATTATATAGGAAGTATGGTAAGACAATGACAAATTTCACTAATACCATCAATAAATTATTTCTCTAGCCACAATTTTCCTTGGCTTCATAGATTTAACAGCTAAATTACCTTTTATTTTTATTTTATACAAGAGAGTTGTGGTTATTCAGTGGAAAGAGAATATATGTTCTTTCTAAAAAGAATTGGAGACTATCTAAAATATAAACATATTACCCAAGAAATGCACATATAAGTACAGGACAACAAAACAAATTTCAGGAATAAAATTAAAAACTTGTAAAAATGAGAAAGGATTTTTAAACCAGGAATAGGAATTAGTTACAACAACTGTGTTTTAAATTTGACCCTAGGCCAGGCGTGGTGGCTCACACTTGTAATCCCAGCACTTTGGGAGGCCAAGGTAGGTAGATCACCTGAGGTCAGGAGTTCAAGATCAGCCTGGCCAACATGGTGAAGCCTTGTCTTTACTAAAAATACAAAAATTAGCCAGGCGTGGTGGCACGTGCCTGTAGTCCCAGCTACTCAGGAGGCTGAGGCAGGAGGTTCACTTGAACCCGGGAGATGGAGGTTGCAGTGAGCTGAGATCACACCACTGTACTCTAGCCTGGGCGACAGGGTGAAACTCCATCTCAAAAAAATAAAAACAAATAAATAAACAAATTTGACCCTAGGCTTCTAGGTAGCCAGTGCTAGAAGGAGGTGGCTGTTGGGTTGGGGAAACTATTGTGCTTGCCAATTCTCGTTTAGTCTTTTAAGAGGCACACACCACCATCTTTTCCTTGATATCTGCAGAATTTACAGAGTTCCTAAAAATAAATACTGGAATTGCTTTTTGGTGTTGAAAACCATGGCTAAATAGGAAGTACTGCTTTATCATGGAGAAATGAAGGAAGAAATTCAGTAGTCCTGAAAATGATTTACTGCACCAATAAAGTCTCTACTTTGGGGAACTAGTAGTAAGAGTAATACTGATAATGTTAAACATAACAAATGACTAGTATATTGGTCCTCATACTGTAAGAATGTTAAATACATCATTATGGACACTTGAAAGACAACCAGCTCAAGATAAGAGACAGGTATTTCAGTCACTATTACTTTTTTTTTAGTATATAGTCTAAAAAGTGCAACTAAAAAAATAACTCTATTTATTTTATTTTGATGTCTTAGAAATTATAAACATAAAAATATTCCTTTATCTTTAAATTAGTTACCTTTGAAGGTTTAAAATGTAGACAATTGTCCAAATACTATTAGAACATAAATAATAGGAATTGGCATTAGAACAAGTTTACAAGAACATAGGCCTTAAGTTTTAACAAATGCCTTGCATCCCATGGTCATATTTTTTGTTTTTATTAAAGGGATGTAATGGTCACAGTATGAACTTGGAAGGCAGTCAATCCTGGGTTTGAAACCTAAGTTTAGTACACATTGTCTAACCCAGGGCGCATTATTACTTAACAGCTTGGTACCTCTGTTTCATAGCCTGCAAAACAGGGTAACAACACAGACCTTGAAGACTTTTGTAAATGTAAAATTATGTGTGAAGCACCTCTTAAAGACTCTTACACACAGTTGCCATTTAAGAAGCCTCATTTTTCTATAAACAATCCTTCTACAATTACATAAAATGTAACAGCAGAAGTACTTCTACTGAGTTACATTCTGGAGATTATTTTACTAATATTACCAGTGATAAAGGCAATACTAGCAGCAAGGAGAGCTTTCGTTTTTTGTTACCACTATCAGTGGAATTCCATTTTATTTTACAATTCCCTTGTTTATCCTCTATCTCACTTTTAGCTTCCTCCACTTAACCATCATTTCTACCTTTTTGCCATAACACAATTATTGAAGAACAGGAGATGAAAAGAAAACAAAAGCGTGTACTCCTACAAGAAAATCCAGCTGCCAATAAACCAACTATTTTCAGCAAATCAACATTTTTGAAGTTGTTACATTCTCCAAAATTAACCTTTTAGCTTTTTTATTTATATTGCCAAATAACTCCCCAATAAACATTCTAATCATAACCTTTGCCTTCCAAGACTTGGTAAGAGTTAGAAATAAAGGGGGTGGAAGGAATATTTGTATACACTTTGTTTGGTTTTAAAAATTGCTTTTCTACCTTGATACATCAAAGAAGTGTCATGAATTTATCCTGCTTTATTCAACAAAATCATGCAGCTCCCATTCTAAAAATGTCTAATTAAAAAAATTTTGTTATTAAGATGCTTGCAGAGAAAAGGCTATTCTGTGAATAACATATAATGTTAACATGTGATAATGGTGTCTGTCAAGGGTTCTCAAGGATACATTTTATTTTAGAGTTATTTAAATATTTAAAACATAAATTGATATATAAACTTGTTATATTAATAAATATAAATATAAACCAAAACTGTGAATTAAATATGATCAGAGCTATAAATCAACATATGAAAATTAACATTAATTTGTAACATCTATGATGCTTTGCTTTAGCCAAATTACCAGATTCAACATATATATGTTACCAGCTGGTAGAACATTTTCTCTTAAGTTCAGTATAGCTATACAACTGCTTTCTATAATGATTTAATTTTTTCCACTACTTTACAAAATGCTTATTAGACATATAAAGGGATAATTGGTAGGTAAATATAGTCTGCATATTTGTCTCTCCAAATCTCATGTTGAAATGTGATTGCCAGTGTTAGAGGCAGGGCCTACTGGGAGGTATTTGGGTCATGGGGGCAGATCCCTCATGAAAGACTTGGTGCCATGGTAATGAGTGAGTTCTGCTCTGTTTGTTTTCTAGAGCGTTGGTTGTTGGAAAGAGTCTGGCACCTCCCTGTCTTCTCCTTCCATCCCTCTCTCCCCACATGGTGCCTGCTCCCCATTGCCATGAGGGTATATATTCTGCCATGAGTGTATGCTTCCTGAGGCCCACACCAGATGCAGATGTTGGTACCATCCTTCTTGTACGGCCTTCAGAACTGTAAGCCACATAAACCTCTTTTCTTTATAAAATTTCTGGTCTCAAGCATTCCTTTATTGCAACACAAATGGACTAAGACAGTAGGCAATTGGACAGAGGAGTCTGGGTTCAGGGAAGCGGTTTAAGCTAGAGTTATCAAGATTATAGTTGCATGAAATTTTGTGATATTGCATGTGATCATGGTAGAAATGAGTGTAATGACAGAAATTGTGATAAAATAATTCTCCAAATCCACCAAAAGAAAAAAATACCTCGGTATGACTGGATCCCACGTTTTTATTCATCACTTATTTATGAGCTTATCTGTGTCTTTAGTTCAGATCAGTGGGTTTTAAACTCTATGAAGAGGGAAGAGAGTCTACAGAGTTGTCTCAGTGGGTAACAATGGGGAATGAAGAGGATGAGAGGAAATTGTGAAAGACACTTTAGCTCCCACCATTTCTTAAAGTATACAGGATTCTATTTGCTTTATAATATTAGAAAGCTAAAAAATACTTCATGTCAATAGTAGATTCTGGGCTCACCATGGTGGCTCACACCTGTAATTCCAGTGCTTTGGAAGGCCAAGGCAAGAGGATTGTTTGAAGCCAGGAGTTCAAGACCACCCTAGGCAACATAGCAAGACTCTGCCTTCATAAAAATAAATAGCCTAGTGCAGTGGCATCCACCTGTAGTCCAAGTTACTCGGGAGGCTGAGGCAGGAGGATCACTTGAGCCCTGGAGGTTGAGGTTGCAGTGAGACATGACAGCGTCACTCCATTCTAGCCTGGGCAATAGAGTGAGACCATGTCTCAACAAAAAAAAAAAAAAAAAAAAAAATGTAGGCCGGGCACAGTGGCTCACGCCTGTAATCCCAGCACTTTGGGAGGCCGAGGTGGGCCAATCATGAGGTCAGGAGATCGAGACCATCCTGGCTAACATGGTGAAACCCCATCTCTACTAAACATACAAAAAATTAGCCAGGCGTGGTGGTGGGCTCCTGTAGTCCCAGCTACTTGGGAGGCTGAGGCAGGAGAATGGCGTGAACCTGTGAGGTAGAGCTTGCAGTGAGCGAAGATCGCTCCACTGCACTCCAGCCTGGGTGACAGAGCAAGACTCCATGTCAAAAAAAAAAAAAAAATATATATATATATATATAGTTGTCTAGTTCAAGAAATAGAAACATACTTCAATTATCTTATGTAATGGGTCATGTACCCTAAGGATATATGGCTACAGAAACCCAAGACACTCTGGTGTCCAGAAAGGCAAAATCCTTGTAACGTGGCAGAATCTTTACACCACTGTTCTGGCATTACCTAATTTGGTTACTCGCCAATTACATGTTTTGTTATTCCTGTTCATACAGCTAGAGACAGATCTGCAATCCTTTCTCCTCTTTGTAACTTCTGCTTAGGCAGAGTTCTGCTTCCTCGGAACTTTGGCTTCTAGTCATAACTCAGGGTTCTACCTCTATCCCATGAGATCATTCAGCTTTACCCTCTTACCCTTATTAATCACTAATTACATCCCCGTTTTCAAATTCAAATTCCCAACAGAGAATATGATAGACCTAGAATACCTTTCCACACCAGGCTTTGCTTATGCTACCAGTACCTTCCTAGGGTCAATCAGCTAAATCAAGGGGGCTAGAACTTCATCATCTGCACAGGTTGGATTCTTCAACAATGGCTGTGGATAGGGAAGATTGACCTGAGAAGGGTCATAATTTGTTAGGCACCAGGGTTGACGTCTATAACATAACAATAAATACAATTTATTCAACATATACCTTTGATGAGAATAAAAATAAAAGTCTGGGTTTTAAATAATTTACCAAAGGACAAGGATTATCATGGCATAGCATCAGAGAATAGCTATGACAGTAACTACTTGCAAAATGTGTTAATTTAGTCCAAATAATACCTGATCTCAGTGATGTTCATGTGTGTCATGCTGAACTATAATTTAAGAAGCAATTTATAAAAATCAATACAGTATATGGATAACTTCTTAATGAGTTCTGACATATTTTCTACTTCAACTGGAGGAGATTTAAGTACTTCATATTACAGCCATATGGGATCACTAGGTCATATTCAAATAACCAGAGAAATCACAGCTGCCAAAATAATAAAATTGATACACTGTAGGAATTTCACAAAAACATTTCATATTCATTCTTTTCATAAGAGCGGTTGAGGACAAAGAAGAATAAATCAACCTTTTAGCTATGGTAAAAATTTAATTTATTTTTTTTATTTATTTGTTTGTTTTTGAGATGGAGTCTCACTCTGTCACTCAGGCTGGAGTGCAGTGGTGCGATCTCAGCTCACTGCAACCTCTGCCTCCCGGGTTCAAGCGATGCCCCTGCCTCAGCATGCCGAGTAGCTGGGATTACAGGTGCCCACCACCACACCTGGCTAATTTTTGTATTTTTAGTAGAGACAGGGTTTTACCATGTTGGCCAGGCTGGTCGCGAACTCCTGACCTCAAGCAATTTGCCTGCCTTGTCCTCCCAAATTGCTGGGATTACAGGAGAGCCACCGCACCCAGGAAAAATTTAATTTTTAACCAATATAAATGCTCTGATTTAAAATTGCTAGCTGAGGAATCGAATGTGGGAGCTTTCAAATTAAATTTAATAAACACAAAAATTCCCATTCCTACCCTACTGCTTCCAGGACTTCTAAAAATTTCCTCGTCCTGCACATGGCAAAAAGTAACTTCAGATGATGATTAAAATTTTAAAATAATTCAACCTCAAAATAAATCAACTTGGGTCAGTGTTTCCTTAAAGATTCTATTTTGCATGAATGGTCATTAAACACCTAGAATATAAAGTGGAGAGCATCAAAATCCCTACATGATAAAAAGTCTTTTCAAGCAGGTGGGAACTCCACATTTAATGAAGACCAGATTATTTCAATTCATTGTGAACACCAAGGCTCAGTGTTTGAAGCATTTTGATTTCATTCTCCTTCCCTAAGCAGTTAAGTCATATTTGTTAGTCATTGAATTCTGTGTACACATTCAATAAGAAACTTCTATCCTACTTAACATATATTTGTTCCATTCACATAGAAGACTGATCTATAGAATTTGGCATAATTAGCCAAGAGCCTGAAAAGAGATACAAGCAAATCAAAAGGAAAATTCAGAATGCCTTTGTCATGTGCGTGCAGGACCCATATCCTAGAGAAAGTGTAAGTTGTCTTCGATAAATGATACCATGCTGGCATGAGTTGTTACTACTATTTTTTTTACCACTGCACTGAATAACAGGAATATCACTATATCCATTTCATTACACTTTTATAGGCTTAAAGTATTTTTAACTGTGCAAAGAAATATAGTGTGATGACACAGTCCCATCTATGAGGACAAGTTATACACCTATTTTTATGTTTGTGGTCCATTTTAAAAATCTATATTTGGGGATAAATAAAAGGAAGCACTACATTATTTGCTTATTACAGAACATACGGAACTTCTTATCCCAAAAATGTTATTCGAGTTGGAATTATGAAAAGTTTAAGGGCTTAGATGACTTCACAAATTGACCCCATTACAAGTTATTTAAAAGATAATATTCCTAATCTTGAATCATTACAAAGATAATATCATCAGCTATCTCCCCAAACTGTACATTTGTCATCTATTGTCATTAACCAAAAGGAATCATTGTATCTTAGTTGAAAAGAATGGTAACGATTTTCATTCTCAACTTTTATATGCTACTGATAGGAAAAATATATAATTTTCAGAAGGTTATATAATTTTACCAGTGTCAAAAAAATCACCAGAGCAGCATAGGAATTTTTTTATATTCACGTAAATTGAATTTAAAATCTAGATGGACTATGTCGCTAAATCAGCAAGCATGTTTCAAAACAAAATGGAAATAAAATTCATAGATCTCAGCAGAGGAAATGGTCTTCTGAAAGGCAAATAACAAACTTAAATGGTGGTTTAAAAAATATGCTCCATATTATTTCTGTTTTAAACTTTATATCTCAGTTGCTTTACAATGCTTTAAATTAAAACAAATGGGAAGATAAATATTCTTCCATATTCAGGCAAAGTAGTCTTTCTGTTGTTATCCAACAACAGCCTTAAGAAATCATTAGTCCTACTACCTATGTAGTATAATGGAGAAGAGGTAAACACTAGTTACATAACATAAAATTAGACAAGAAAGCATTCTATTTGTAAATTCTCCACAGAAAATACAAACTAGATGCATGTAAATGGAACCCAGTCTTCAACCTTGATTGTTGGCCCACCTGAATTTTCTTTTTATAAATTGAATTATAAACATTCAAAAATTCAGAGACTCCACAGAAAAATCCAGATTTTCAGATCTGCTAAAAAATACAATACCAGCATAGAATTTTCCAATGGTAGCAATTTTTAGGAGCTGAGTATTTGTCCCTTTAGGTAGATTATACCCTCCTCAGGTACTCCGTAAGCCCCACCACACCTTATTGTTCAAACACATTAACTGCCTAGACCTATATTCCTATGGGGTTTTAAGTTTATTTGGCAATCAATACCTAATTACTACACATAGCAGGCCAATTAGTTCAACTCCCTAGAGACATATATTATAGTAAACAATATTTCAGCAGCAAATAAAATAACTCAACTAGGATTAATTTAAACAATATAGATATTTATTATTTTGTATGTCAAAAAGTTCTAAACTCAATTCTTAGGTTGACCCATTCAGCAGCTAAATGATATCTCAGGCACCCAGAATCTCAGCTTTCTGCTCTGCCATCCTGCGAGTATTGCCTTGGTTCCCCTGGCTACCTTCTTCCGTCATCTGAATTGAACAGCATGGTTCCTGGCATCACAACTGCCAACAAAGTCCAGTGTGATAAAAGGAAGGGTCTCCTCTTTTGTATCATCTTTCATCATTGAGTAAATATTTCCCAAAATGTCCCCAGAAGAATTTCCCTCACTTCTCACTTTCACCTCCTATGGCTGAAATGGAAGACCAACCTCCCCTGAAGCACATGGCTATTGTATTAGTCAGGGTTCTCCAGAGAAACAGAACTGATAGGATGCGTGTATAGACATACATAGAAAGATATTTATTTTAAGGAATTGGCTTATGAGGTTTTGGAGGCTGGCAAGTCCAAAATCTGCAGGGTGGGCTGGCAGGCTGGAGACCCAACAAGAGCTGATGCTGCAGTTCAAGGTCTAAAGCCATCTGCTGGCAGAATTTCCTCTCACTGACAGGAGGTCAGTCTTTTGTTCTATTCATGCATTCAACAGATTGGATGAGACTCACCCATATTATGGGGGCAATCTGCTTTACTCAAATTCTAATGATTGAAATATTAATCTCATCCAAAAACATTCTCACAGAAACATCCAGAATAATGCTTGGCCACATTTCTGGACACCATGGCCCAGCCATGTTGACATCTAAAATTAACCACTACACTACACAAGACTGCAACAAACATAGAAGAAATTATGGGGATAGAGGAGTGGCTACAGAAGGCCAACGTGATTTATCCTAAAAGACACATCCATTGGTTTTACTGTTTAAATTTGAAGGCTCAATGAGAATACTCAAGTGGAAAGAAAATGCTACCTTCTTAAATAAAGCTCAGATAAATCAAAGTTGACACTGACATAAGGCTCCTGATGAAGAGGTGATTTAGGCCATCTGCCCAACTTGGGAAGCTAAAGTGTCTTCAAAAACAACTCTTTGAATCTTCTGTTATAATATGGAGGTTGATTCATTGCCCATTTCATAAAATCATTCTTCAAGCACAACGAAAATTAAGTGACAGTGCATTTCATCATTTGCTAGCACCACCAGGAAATTTAGATTCAGTTTTATTCAGTAATCGCATTCACTCTAGTTGCTGTATTACCCTGCAAAGAGCATTTGAGAGGCAGCATAGCATAGTAGTTAAGAGTACAGATTCTGAAACCAAATCGCTGGGAATTTGATTCCAGTATGCACTTAACAAATGTGTAAGCTTGAGAAAGTTATTTGCCCTCTCTGTGCTCCCATTTTCTCGTAAAAATGTTGTGTATTAATGTAAATAAGTGAACACGGAGGCGTTTAGAACAGAGCCTGACACTTCTGTATAAAATGTGTTTCATATCATCTCCCTTATAAAATTTTTACTTTGTAAATTGGGCTATGCTTATTATTTAAAGCAGAATCACAGTCTTTTAAAAGGGGAAGGGAAAACATTAACTAGTCTCTCTAGAGACTGAACACTCATTTTTCTTTGGGTGTAGAGAGAAGAGAGCTGTCTCAAGACGAAAAGGGGAGTATACACAGGAAAGTGAAGTAACTGCCTTCAGAGAGCAAAGGGAGCAAGTTTTTAAGAGGAGAAGAAGCTGCAGGCAATTGATGTGGGAGATAAAACAATCTTTTGGTTCCAAAGATGAATTAAAAATAAAGAAAGGTTTTAGCACCCAGCCGGGCACGGTGGCTCACGCCTGTAATCCCAGCACTTTGGGAGACTGAGGTGGGCAGATCACGAGGTCAGGAGATCAAGACCATCCTGGCTAACACAATGAAACCCCGTCTCTACTAAAAACACAAAAAATTAGCCAGGTGCGGTGGCGGGTGCCTGTAGTCCCAGCTACTTGGGAGGCTGAGGCAGGAGAATGGCGTGAACCCGGGAGGCAGAGCTTGCAGTGAGCCGAGATCGCGCCACTGCAACTCCCGCCTGGGTGACAGAGTGAGACTCCGTCTCAAAAAAAAAAAAATCATAAGACTAAAGCACAAGAATAATTAGTATCTTTCAAGTCACCTATAATTTTTCTGTCAACTCCTTTCAGTAGTTTTTGTTTCCTGGTGAATCATAATTTCATGTAACAAGAAAATGAGAAAAATTTAAAGATATACCTTCATCCTGTATTTTTCTCACCTTTCTAAAAAAAATTAATGCACTAATTCTTTTCTGCTGTTAACTTTACTTACTCATAGAATTAAATTATACTCCTTGACGTTCAGTGTAAGTGAGAGCTGTGTTTGATCATGGTGATTACAATCTTCTCTGTGGAGATTAAATTATTCAGTTGTACGGGTTGTTTAGCCTCGTTTTACACCAAGGGAGACTGAGGAAGATTAAAATTTGTTCGTTTTTGGTAAATGAGTTTCTTAATAGTCAACAACCTAGTTCCTGAGGCCACATCTTCCCCATGTGACATAAGCACTCTAATTTATAATAGGGTAAGCTGGTCCCACCCTCAGTAGTATGCAGGGAATGTTTTTTAGAGTGTCCCTGTAATTTTAAGAGGGAAGAGTTATGTGGATGATAAATCTAGATCTCTTTTAAAGAGGAAAAAGGACATTGCAATGCTGCCTCAGAGGACCACGGACAGTGTGGGGAAGGAGGGATGGTCTGCAATAGACCCAGACATGCCTGCTTGGGAAAGTTAATCTCGCTGCCTGCACTTCACATGGGACTGTCAGCAGATTGCTTTCTGTACATTATAACTCTCATATTCAGGAAGAAGGGAATTGGCCAAACCAGTAATATAAATGCATTGTATGCTCTACCCTCCCTCTTTATGATTAATTCTACCCGTGGTACAAATTTGCATGAATGAATGTCAGTGTGTTTTCTGCCCTGAACATTTCCTGCTGGCTTCAGTTCAGCCCTGCTGACATTTATTACAAATAATAGCTAAATATTCCTGATTTAATAGCTGCAGTGGTCCCACATCTGAAGGTGATGTCTGTAATAAAAGCAGACAAGACGAACTTATAACAAATACTAATCAGATTGTGTTTGCACACATAATGGATAAGCCTCACAGATATACCCACAAAATGTAATGTTTGTTTTTTAAATGCAGCTACTTGAAGTCACAGTTCAAGAACACATTGGTTGCTTTATTTCCTTTTCATTTCTCTTCTTTCTTCATCTCCTTAATGTACTCAAGGCCTCTGCACAGGATCAAGATAGAATATTATCCCCTTTTTTATCTGGAAAAATGGGACACTAAACACAGAAGACTGGCTGTGTCCTTTTATTCATCTTTTGTTGCTCCTTCTAAACAAAGGGCATTGTCCCCTGATAAATTCCATTTGCTGCCTCTTATTCAAAGGTAGTTTACACACCAGCTACAGCGATTCTCACACAATGCAGTTACTGGCAAAGATACAAATAACTTTCAAAGTTCTTTAAACCTGTTGACCCAGGTGTCCCTTCTGAAAGATATAAACTAGCCTCCCACACCTCTTACAATTGATAAAGGAGACTATAAAACCTGAGATTACAAAAAGATGGCACACAGTGCCTACTAAACGCAGGTTTTTAAAGCCTTTGGGAATAAAAGGTTCTTTTCCCTTCATCCTGCCCAAACTTCACAAGCCTCCATATAAAAATTGAAGAAGGTCAAATTAGCATTGTCTTTACCGTGACATTTAAACACTTAGGAATTTTAATTACTTGTCATTAATTGTGAATAGCGTTATGAAAATACAACTCTTAATATGTTTCCATTTTTTTTTTCGGAGTAGACTGTGCAGAAAATTGTAATTAGAGGTGATTATAGACACTGAATATTTTTAAAAAAGTATTCCATTGAAACTATTTGGTTGGCAGACATTCCCTGAGGTGCATAAACTATTTGACACTTGACAGCAAAAGTCTTAATCACAAATTGTGTTAAAATCTTTCATAGTATGAACCAAAAAAAAAAAAAACAACAAAAAAAAAACAAACAAAAAAAAAACGTAACTTGAAGTGTAAGCATCATGGACTAAGGCAGGGGCTAGGACTAGACTACTTTTCTGGATGCCCAACATCATGTCCTGCTCACAAACCCACCTTAGGAGTCCCCAACTCGTAGCTTCTAACTTGTACTCTCCTCTCATCCTCCTCTGATCAGCCCAACAGGCCATAAAGGCAGTGAATAGGAGTCTTAGGGCCACTGGGGCTTCTTCTCAAACTCTGCCTTTGCACTTCTACCACTAATACCTGAGCACCTGAGTATCCAACAATGGTTCCTTGTGAATCAAAATAACAGAAAGATTCAACATAAATTCCATTATTTTGATATTGAGAAAGAAATTTAAACTACCTACCTTATCACCTGGCTTGGCATAGTCTCTGAATCAGATTTTGTTTATTCATTGTGACCTTCAAAGGAAGTAGAAAATTAGGTATTATGTATTCGTATTGACCAGGAATTTCCACATGAATCATAGATTTAAAAAACGTTCGACCTAGGAAAAAATTACAGAGATTATTGTCCTTCTACAGATGAAGACACTGAAGCCCAGGAATTTGAAGTGACTTGCCAAAAGTCACATCATGAACTGGGTCATAGTTTTTACTGTACTCCCTGTCTTAAGCCCTGGAAAAGTGCTTCCTCCATCATACTATTCCCCATTCAGCTCATCTTACTTGTTCTCTTCTGGTTCATGAGAACAAATCATTGTTCCTTGCTTCCTCTGTCCTGAGCTGCAAAGCTTAATCAATGGGTTTTCTGGATTCTCAATCTATTAGATGCATTTGGCAAAACATATGGCCCATGTATTGTTTTGTCTATGTGTTAACGTGGTTTGGGATAAACTTGATGGTGCCATTGGTTTTTAGTATATCCTTTTTCCCTATGAATAAGAAACCTTACTCAGAATGAAAAAAAGAATGACTTTATGTACGTTTCTTCATTGCTAACTTGGACCTTTCCATGGCTAATCATTAGTAGTCAGGCATTTTGGTTGCTAAACTTTGTATCCTTGCACTATTTTTCTCCCACTTTCATCTCTAACAATTCTGCTCCTTCCAGGGATCCAGTTCATATGTTTAGTACATTGTGTTCAGATTTCCCTGTCTTCCACCACTGGCTTTCACAGATATTCAACTTCACCTAAATGTTTAGTATGGTTCTAGGTGCATCTTATATAAATCTGTTTTAGCATCTGTACCCTTCCTATGCCCTGGGCTGGAAATATCATTTCCCTAGACTATTTCTGTTTTATTCAGATATTGTGTCTTCTTTGAACCTTTTCCTAAATACCAAGCCATGTGAGCTTTCTTCCTACTCTAAACACTTAATGGTCTTCTTGTCACTTACGTTTCCATAGCATTTATATAGTGGCCTCCCTGTATTGCAGTTATGTACACCAGGTGCTCTAGACCATGTATTTTATAATTCATCTTTATACTGCACACCACACAGAACAGGGCCTAACTCTTCACTGGAAAAAATAATTATAGAGATAGATAGATAATTAATATTTATTACCCAGAAGCCATATATTTTAACCCTTCTCAAAAATATTTATTGTATCATAAAACAATACATATTTGCAGCTCCATGTTAACTAAAAAGAAGCATAAAGTACTTCAATGTCCTAAGAGCTGTATGAAAACCGAATGGAAAGCACAATTAATTTTATACTCCAGCATACATTCTACCTAGCAGAAGTGGTGTGCCTAAAACCAGAAGGCTAAATGAGGGAAGCAGGAATCATAGGCAGGCAACCTAAGGACTGATCTAGCCAAGGAGCACATGTAGTTGTGGTTTATATCACCAAGAAGCAATGGCATGGTAGACAGTCATCTAGAGGTACTGCTTTTGTCGAATACACACATCAGACTCAGCTAGAAGGCCAACACACTATCCATTGCACCACAGAGCTGGCATAGAGGTGCTTTCTGATCTGAGGTACCCTCAGCTGAGAGTGGACCAAAATGGGAACCAAGCCCCCACTCTCCCTCCAGTCACTAGCTAGATGGTTCCAAAGAAGCCAGGAGGGCAAGTAGTAAGGAAGGACAAGCATTCAGCTGCTTCAAAATCTAGTATCTATAAGCAAGGTCAAAATTCTAGAAAAATTCTAAGGAGCTGAGATTATGCCAGCAAAAGAATCCAAAAACTCACACCGCAACAATATCTAAAGTCTAGGTTATAAAAACCCTGCACCCTTGCAACAGAACAAATTTCAATAGGCAAATGACAAAGAGAAAAGAATATTGCTGTTAGACAAAATGAAAAGTTGTACAACCAGGGCTCAGAAGCAAGTTGTGTTGGGCATGGAGTCTGTCTTCATTCTCAGTATTTTCCTTAGTTGTGCATGATAGAAAGGCAGGTGCTATAGAAGACACATTAACTCTTAGGCCCTCTGTAGAATCAGTTATTACCGTCATATTTAGCCAAGAAACTACTGACTTGGGCCGTAAAAAATGCACAGGACTTTTTAAGAGGCGACTCACCTTACTATAAAGGAGTCATCCAAGCCCATGCGTCTCAAACTTTAGTGTGCTTGTGAATCCCCTGGAGACATGATTACATTGCTGATTCTGATTCAGAAGACTGGCTGTGTCCTTTTATTCATCTTTTGTTGCTCCTTCTAAACAAAGGGCATTGTCCCCTGATAAATTCCATTTGCTGCCTCTTATTCAAAGGTAGTTTACACACCAGCTACAGCGATTCTCACACAATGCAGTTACTGGCAAAGATACAAATAACTTTCAAAGTTCTTTAAACCTGTTGACCCAGGTGTCCCTTCTGAAAGATATAAACTAGCCTCCCACACCTCTTACAATTGATAAAGGAGACTATAAAACCTGAGATTACAAAAAGATGGCACACAGAGCTAAAAAGGAACCTGAAATTCTGCACTTCTGGCAAGCACCCTTGCTGCATGCTGGTTTGTAGGCCAAAATTTCAGTAAGGAGGCCCTAAACAACCTAAACTGGAGCCTGACATATAGAACAGTCATATTTTAAAATCACGGCCTAATATTTAAATTAAGTAATATACATATGTTTTATACATACCGTGTAATGTAAATGTTGTATTATCTGCAATAACAGGTTATATCACTTCAGACCTCAGGCTATATATCATTACATTCCCTTGCCAAAACATAACAAAAAATTTTGATTCATTTGTTTTCCTTATTTATCTCTTGCCTCTGTCTGCTTATATTCTTAATAGGTTCCAAATGAGAAATGTTCACTTCACAGATTTTAATTACCTGAAGTCTTTTTTTCCTTATTGATTACCAAGAGCAAAGTAGCATTTTGTGTTAACCTTTCAAAATGTCCAATTTAATTTATGAATACAATATTTTTTCAGCTCAGCGTATATAGATGATGCATATTGTTTCATACTGCCTTCATGAAAAGACCATTTTAATTTTAATTACCCCAAAGAAATGTGTCTGGGATGGAGAATTCTGTGAATTCACGAACAGAACTGCCCAACAATTTGTTGGAAGAGCTCATGGCATCTACAAAGCAATTGTATCTGTGATAGATGAGGCATTCTCTTAACTGCTGGGGAAAGTTGTTTTGACATTACATTAGGATTAAATCAGTTATGTACTATTCCAGAATGGATCCCTTTGTTTTTGTTTGTTTGTTTTTTGAGACAGAGTCCCACTCTGTCACCCAGGCTGGAGTGCAGAGGTGCAACCTTGGCTCGGGGCAATCTCCGCCTCCCAGATTCAAGTGATTCTCCTGCCTCAGCCACCCAAGTATCTGGGACTACAGGCATGTGCCACGATGCCCGGCTAATTTTTTGTATTTTTAGTAGAGACAAGGCTTCATTGTGTTAGCCAGGATGGTCTTGATCTCCTGACCTTGTGATCCGCCCACCTCAGCCTATTTTGTGTTCTTGAAATCAAAAGCCTAATATTTTAGATTCCTACAAGTGGACTAAACATTGGCATTAGTCCTGGAAACATCTCAGTAGGAGAAAGAGGGCTGCCAGTGGTGAGGTCATCCTGAGGCATTTGAATTCAGGGCTTCCACTATCCCAAACTTGGTGGCTATTCTGGTAAACATCAAGGTCACACAACCAATGCTGCTTGATTGCAGTCACTTCTCTGATGTCTTCAGCAAGTGTTTGCTCCTTTTTGCATTTTCTTGGCTTTAAAATTCACACAGCAACTCTATCCCCCCAACCCAATCAGAAGGCTTTCAACAAGCCATTCTGCAAAACACAAAATCAGGGGGAAAAGAAGCTAAATCAAACTCAAATAAAAAGCAGTGATAGAAGGCTTCAACAAAGTCCACACAGGGAATCAAGCCTGCTTTTAAACAAAAATATTGACATAGCAATTTAAAATAAATACCAGCTTCATATGCTGAACACTTTATTATTGGCTCACAGGACTGCAAATGTAAGGAACATATTCTTCTCTGAAACATTGCCAAAAGCAAACCTCTTAAAAGCCAAACATTGTGACATGTTCTTAAGTAGCTTGCCATCATGTCAATTGTTGCATTTGGTATAACATAACGCCTGCATGTTCATTAAGCCTACATTTTGCAATTAAGGTACATATGTTTTACTTCTCCAAATGTCTGAAAGCCAGGTGGAACAAGTCAATCACTCTGGTGACATTGAGCATTTCTACAACAATGCTGAATCCCAGCTTAGTATTTTGCATAGTCTCCTTATTATATAGGAAAATGGAATTGTCAATATGTCCTTTTGTGTAAAGCTGTAAAAGCTCAGAAGATCTTAGCAAATACTGGCTATGACGCTAAGGTACATGAAGCAGATGTCTACAATTAGCCTGTTAAAAAGTTTCATTGTAAAAGACCCTTCAAGTAAAGCACTGCTGCCGGTAATTGTACATTAATTGGCTTCATTTCTCTCTGAAGGTCTAGCGGATCACAGCCCTATGATTTGCTGCCTACCAAAGCATACCATGCTAAAAATATATGTTTCTTTCTTGTCTTTAAGTAAAATGCCTAGAGAAGTAAATCTGGTAGAGTCTATGCTGATAATCAATATTTCTTCAGATTTATAAAACAAAATAAAAATGATTTCATTACAAATTAGGATGGGCAATACCTAACAATAAGAGCAAAAACCAAGTAAAAGGCTGACCCACAGCTAAAATGGTAAGTTTCAGTTCATTGACAATGATAACATGAGCACTTGAGCAACTGACATGTTAGATGTCAAGTATCTAAACAAAATATGGGTTTTACAAATAGATCCCGACAAGGCTAGAGTTGTGTGACCTCCTCCAATCTACCTCTCTAGGTAGAGCACAGTATAACTCTCATGGTAATGTCAGAAAGAGCTAATTAGCTAAAAGCTACATCTCAGGTGAAAGGGCAATGGGAAGTCAAAACAAGGATTGCTTCAAAATCGCTCGCCCCGTGTCGACTGGACAGGAATTTGTGAAGATTGCTTAAAGTGCAGAAGCTCTTTCTGATATTTCTGACAGTTAAAGTACCCTAAATTGGAATGCACTCCTGTATAACAGAATCAGGAAGAAAACAATTGCAGGGTAGTGTTTGATGGTTATGAGGAAGGTTAGACTTTGCTGTAAATGCCCAGGCAACTGAGTGAAGTATTTTTTTAAAAGACTTTGAAAACATTAGATAAACATGATATATGAAGTCTTCCATGTTTAACCACTCATTACACACCGTACCCAGTGTCTCACATTTAACTACACCCAGATCAGCAGCCTTTCACTGTTTCTCTTTTGTTTTAGGAAAAGGTTTGGAAGAACACTGATTATTTATGATTTATTCTAGATAGCTGAAAGGGTGAGAATAGAGACGAGAAAGAACTGAACAACTGAGGAGCTTATCATTTCCCTCCCAGGACAGTGGAGTTGAAAGAGCACTGGAATAGGAGTCTGGTAATCCTTCAGTTACTAACTAGTGTACATCTTGTACAACTCACTTAATCTTTATTTACTTTCTTCCTATGTAAACTGAACAGGCTTATCTACATCTAGTTTTGAATTCCTTAGGGTTACTATAAAATTCTCATTTCTGCATTTTTAAGTGTTCATAAATACCATAATTATTTTTCCTCTGTATTGGGTAGTCACTGACAAAAGGAAATTTGCAGTCAAACTCCCTAAATCTCCTGAATGTACCATTTATTCAGAAATTTTCATCTATAAGCATGAGTGAGACTCAATAAAAAGTAATTTTGGAGTTGCAGTAAATCTAAGAAATGCAAAAGAAAATAATGGCCTTGGAACATTAGAGTATTTTGCAACTGTCAAAAACATCCCAGATATTAGATGAAGTCCCCATAACACGAGGTCTTCAAAAATGGTCAAAGCTTGAGAAGGCTTTGAAAGAGCTGAAGAGAATATCCAACGTGATTCAACTAAGACTCTAGAGCAATTCATATTAGAACCACATAGTTGAGGGCCTAATTTATAGCAAAGCCCCTTAACCTGTATCTCAAGTATGAGCCTACAGGGTAGAAAGCCCTGTCCAAGATGCTGTGTGAAAAGAAAGACGAACAAAATGTGGAGCCTGCCAGTAGGAGATGACTGTTTTATAAAACAAAACCTCCAGTGCAAGAGCGACTTGCATACCATAGTCAGTCATCTTGAGGCAAGTAGTTAGAGATTAGAGAGATGTGTGTAAAACAAACACAGTGAATCAAATCAGCTTTCTATAAGCAATAACTCAAATAGTCTGAGTAGGAAAACCATCAACCCATTTCAGACTAAACTCAGACAATTTGTTTAGGGTGTAATACCAAAAACCACTGTTGAGCTAATTTGACAGACACCTCATTTCATGTGTTTTGCTCCTACCAAGCATCATCTAGAAAGCGGGACTTGGTTTATTTGTTTTAAAATAATGACTTAGATCAAACAGATAGGAAAACAAGAACAAAAACAAATAACCAAGCTGAATACAGACATTACATAAACTATAAAGGAGAAGAAAGGAACACAAGAAGATTGAATTAGATGACTCCTAAATGTCCTTTTCCATTTAAAAAAATCCCTTGATTATATATTTAAAAATCAAAAATTAGTGAAAAACAGTTCAGACTATCTAAACACCACAGATAAATCCAGGATTACATATGGAATAATGTATTTGAGAACACTTTTATTCAAAGTTCTATTTAAATTATTTCCACTGAAAAATTGTAAGTACTTATATACTAAATTCAGTCAGGTTTGAAGATGAGTAATTCGTATTAGTATCCACTTGAATCTTTACATGAACAACACATACTTACTTCCACAAACTGACATTTCTTTCCTGGGATTGCTTAGGTTACTGTTACTAAAAATATTCCAAACATAATGCTATCTTTCAGCTAGTTACATTATTTTATCATGTTTGGTACTGTCTTTGAAAAATTATCTTAATCCATATATTGAACCCAAAATTTCCTTTTTTTCACAGGATACACCGTGGGTAGGTGCTGGGGAAGAATTGCTCTAAGAAATACAAATGGAAGCAGACGTTGTTTGTACCTTATAATTAAGGTTACATATTGAAAGGTGAATTGCCTTTAAATATCTCTAGATATAGCCCCTTATGTCAAACCTCCACATTTCTGTTAACTTAGCATTGTTCAGCTGTCTAACAAAGAAGTGAAACGAAGATCAACCTTTCTCTGCCATCCAATTCTAGAAGTTTCTATTGTAATTTGAAAAAATTGTAGTTGAAATGCTTCAATGCTGGATACTAAAACAGTATTTCTTATGGGTTTATTATGAGGCAAAGCCAGTGAGGAAAACTGCAGATTATTTTGAACTAAACTAAAACCTGATTTCTGTGAATTATATTCATCGATGCTAATTTGAGTTTTTCATGGCAAAATATCACTATTGTTTCTATATGCTGCTTATACACAGTTATGTTTTACTGAGCACACAATATAAAAATATTTTGAATAATATATAAATCCCAGTACCTTTAGAAGAAATCGTTATGAAACATATTTAGATTCTCCAAAAACATCCACTAAAAAGAACTTTTAGCATTTTACATGTAAAATCCTATCATTATCATTATTGGAAAGACTGTACTTAACATACCAGGCATTCTAAATCACAGAATTTTAGAACTGAAAAATACCTTAGAGATCATATAGTCCAGAACAGCAAAGACACAGCACACACTCCCTGCCATTCATCTTTCCTAAACCCAAGGCAGACAGCACCAATCAATTTCAACTCTCTTTTCTGCTGAGCCTAGTTGTGGCCTCAAATGCTTATCCATACAGCACTCTAGGCTGCCCCTACCAATTAGCCACCATTGGCACACAAGATGAAATATATTTGCTTACTTTACTCCAGTGTAGCATCCTCAATATACAAATAAAGAAACTGAAGTAATAAGAACCTAAGTAATTCCCATCTTGCTATTCCATTAATTTTGCAGTAGAGCCAGAATTAAAACAGATTTTCAGCTTCTGTGTAGCTGTATCTTGTAGCCTTAAAGAACTTTTTTTTAATAGTAAGAGACAGGCGACTTTAAATTAGAATATTTTTAATTTAAAAAACTCATTGCCTTATTTTCATTGCACTGCAGCTGCTGATTCTCATATACATAATATGTTGTTATTTTTTCTCCTGCCATTTTTTGTAAGCCAAAAATACTTCCTAAGAAAAGAACATTCATACTCCATCTTTTAAATACATATATATTATTGAAGAAGTTACAGTTTCTGACAAATAAACTTCAAGAATTCATAAGGTCAGTCTGTCCTGGAAATAGATTTTCTTATCTTACACATCTCAGGTTTTTCTTGCTACTGACCAAAAATTTCTGGGGCTATCCACCTCCACATGAGGATATTCTGATTTGTTATGCCTGAAAAGTCTATAACCCACCTTTATGCTACATCAATCACTTTATCCTCACTCAGACAGAGCTGTAATTCTCTTCCAAAGACTTTGGTTTGGTGCCAACTTGGTGGCGCTTGGGCTCTGGCTACCGTTTTCTTCCCATATGTCCGTTTCCACCTTCCTATTCTGCTCCCCAAACATGACACTACTCCAGCCTCTACAGCTTATAAACAAGGTAAGAAATCATTTATTTCCCTTACCGTCAGTCATCCATCCATTCTGTAAATATTTACCCTGTACCTATTATGTGCCAGGTGCTGTTCTGGTTCCTAGGATTCAACAGTCAACAAGGTGAAAACCCTGACATCAGCTCAGCAAGTTTACATTCTCATCTAAATTTTAGCAAGTAAATATACAGCAAGTCAAATGTTGATTAGGGCTTGGGGAAAAATAAAAATGTCGGGGGTACAGGGACTGATTGGTGAGGCTCTTCTATGTAGGTTGATCAGGGAAGATCTTACAGAAAGCCTAATATTTGATCAGAAACTTCTCTGATCAAAGTTAAAAAAAAAAAAGGAAAGAAAAAGTAAAACAAAACAAAACCCCAAAACCAGCTTGTTTATATATGGGTAAACAGTCTCCAGGCAAAGAAGTTCACACTGTATTTAACGCCATGAGAATGAAAGAATAATTGGAAACTGCACTCTAAACTTTAAAGGTCAGGAGAGTGGAGAGGGACTAAGGGGGAATCTCTAGTGATGGAGGCGACCAAGATGAAGTGGCATCCTAGAAATCAGTTAAACAAAGTCTTTGAAGAATGAGGACATGCTTAACTCTGTGAAATGATACTGAGAGGTAGAGTAAGACAAGGACAGAGAATTGACCATTCCATTTATTTACTCACATGAAAGTCACGCATTCTTTTCTTTTCTTTTCTTTTCTTTTTTTTTTTTTTTTTGAGATGGAGTTTTGCTCTTGTTGCCCTGGCTGGAGTGCAATGGAATGATCTCAGCTCACTGCAACCTCCGCCTCCCAGGTTCAAGCGATTCTCCTGCCTCAGCCTCCCGAGTAGCTGGGATTACAAGCAGGCACCACCACGCCTGGCTAACTTTTTGTATTTTTAGTAGAGACGGGGTTTCTCCATGTTGGTCAGGCTGGTCTGGAACTCCTCAGGGCAGACCTCAGGTGGTCCACCCACCTCGGCCTCCCAAAAGTGCTGGGATTACAGGCGTGAACCACTGCACCCGGCGAAAGTCAAGCATTCTTTATGAGAGTTGTTTCAAGGTCAGCAAGTGGGTTCAAAGACAAAAGGGGACAAATGGTCTATAGCATGTATAGAACAGCCCTTCCTGGAACTTTTATTCTAAAAAAGAGCAGATAAATGTGGTAAAGGGAAATTTGCAGGGGTGGGGGGGTTGTCATTGTAATTTGATTTTAAGATGAGACAAAGCTTGTATATTTGTTCAGAAAGCTTATATATTTGTTCATTGAAAAGATCTGGTAAAAAAAAAAAGGAGGAAATGATGAAGCAAGAGAAAAGAGATATGCTGCAGTAATGGCCTTGGTTAGGCCAGAGGGATACAGACTTAAGAGCAAATAGTAGGGGTTGGAGGGTGGGTGAGTGGAGGGTGTTGCCATAGCTAGACACACATTTCCTCCACAGTGAAGGAGGAAGGCAGAGTGTATGTACGCAGATGCAGAGGGTTGAAGGGATGCGAAGACAGAAAGACAGGAAATTCTTTTCTGATTATTTCTCTTCCGTGAAACAAAATTATAGCTTAAAATGAATAGAAGGAAGGAAGAAGTGTTGAAGATTTGAAGAGAAAAGAGATCCTCTCCTCTCCTGTCTACTAAGCAACCGGAATCAACTCCCTCCTTGCTCAAATTAATAGAAAAGGGTAGGGAACTCTCCTCTCTTAGCTAATTATACACACCATTGCTCCCTTACATAATCGAAGGCTGACTGTATATTTCAGAAAGATTGGCAAAGAATTAGCTTATTAGTTTCACCTTGAAGATAGTTTTCAAAAATCACTCAGCACACAAATATAAGTTCTCTCTCCCTCCTCATTCCCAACTGTTTCCTAATTATAACTGCATTACTTTAGTGCCTTTTTTGACTTTACTCAGGACACAAGCAACTCCTTAAAAGAAATACAAAGTTCCTCACCAATGCATTCACGTGGGAATCAAGAGGAAAGGAAAATTACTCACTGACCTTTAGTCCTTTCAATGTATATTCTTTAAACACCATCTTTATCTCTCTGGTCCCTCAATGGCTACTTATTTAAAGTTGTGGACTGATAACTATGCCACAGAACTTTAAAATCTTATATTGAGAAAATATAAGTGATATCATAATATAAAACCTGCAGCAATCAAATGAGTAACTGTGATTTTCATGGTATTATATTGAAAAGTTAATGTAAACCAGTTCACATCCATGGCTGTTTCCAGCACTCAAATGAATCATTTCTCTGTTCATCTGGGGACAAGGAGTGGAAGAACAAGTAGGCTTGAAGGAGCTGTCTTGAGATGCTTCTGAAACTTTTAACTTACCTCTCCTACAGGTGAAATATTTGACCTAGCTAGATATTATAGGAAGCCTTTTCTGACCAGTGTACTCCAGGGGTAAAAGCCTATTGGAGTAGGGAGTCATTCTCTGCTTATGGCAAGACAGTCCTCTCATAGGAAGAATAAAAAAATAATTCTGCTGATATCAGCTGCACACTGGACGCTAGGGCTGGAAGATCTTAGAGAATCAGAGGGTCCTTTTTGCTGAACCTTTCTTAGGATGAGTCTTCCATATCTGTGATTATTTGGCATTCACGACTGTGAATGACTCATCAGCCTGCTTGTCTAAAACCTAGCTGACAATTACTCAAGGAATGGGAGTTTTGATAGTCTGAAAGCATCCAGATGAGGGCAGAGGGGAAAGCAAAGGGCACCATAGGGAGGAGCTGGCAGAGTTTGTGACCTTTGGTGGCAGGATTCGAGGGAACATAAGAGACAGGAGTGCAGAGAGGAAAAATAAATGCAGATTAAAACAGAACAAAAAGGGATACGAGGAGCCACAGGAAATAAAATTAAGAGCAAAACAAGGAAGATGTGATTGTATAATAAGAACAAAATAGACTAGACCTTCCCTTCATATTAAATGACAAAATTAATATTTATTTGATTAGATAACTAAATGTAAAAAATTAGAAAAAATAACATATTTTTCAATATCTCCATATGACACCACATTTTAAACTCAAATAATATAATAAGTCACCCAAAAGATTGACCTATTTACTTAAAGTAAATGTAAAATGTATAACATTCAGAAACAAGCACAAAATAGGAAAGGAAATAGTTCCTTTTTGTTATCCTTCTCTTCTACCTTTCCCTTCCTTTCCTGAATAATTCAGTACAAAAACTAACAAATAGGGCCAGGCAAGGTAGATGCCAGCATAAGGGTACAGGTGGTCTGTTGGGCCAGTGAGAAGTTGGGGCATTCATTGATGGGTAAAAAGGGCTTCTTCTCAGAAGCAGAAAGGGAGTGGGGGCAGCTGGAACAGCCTAGCTAGAGGAAGTGTCTGAGCTCCAGTGGGAGAGAAGTTCATGTCATGTGAGGGCGCAGTCTGATAAAAGATACTAAAGCCTGAGGAGTTAGGAAGACAAGGTCCAGAGGGTAGGAAGGGAAAGATGATGAGATGGCAGATTAGTTACAGACAGTAACAGTGATCAAATAATTATGTTGAGAATGAAGGGAACCAGGTTTCTCACTCTAGAGAAAAGACTAGCAATTATAGAAAAGAAAAAACTAAAAGGAACCTATGGTGTTGGATACAAATTAAATATATCTTATCTATCTGTAGTCCCAGCTACTCGGGAGGCTGAGGCAAGAGAATGGCGTGAACCCAGGAGGCGGAGCTTGCAGTGAGCGGGGATCGCACCACTGCACTCCAGCCTGGGTGACAGAGTGAGACTCTGTCCCCCTCCAGAAAAAAAATCTATCTATCCATCCATCTGTGTGTGTATATGTATGTATGTGTGTGTATATATATGTATAGTATGAACTCATTGATTTAATAATGTACAGATAGATGTAGAAATACAGTTGTATTTTGTGTTTGTGTGTGTATGTATGTTACCTACCTCTGTCTACTGAGAACCCTGAGGGCAGTTATACCCCCCAAACCAATGCATGCACCTATACCTAGATAGTGTTTTATGAAGTGACTAGAAGAATTCATACTAAAATATTTATAGTGACTGTTTAGGTTGTTAAAAGTGTGGACAATTTGCTATTCTTTGCTATTTTAAAATATTCTTTAACAAACCTTTTACATTTTTACAAATATAAGAAACATTTTTAAAAGTTATAAAAAAATTTTTTAAAAGGAAGAAAGGTAAAGGCACTGTGGCCTATATCCCCAAAACCCTTTCACAGCCCTTTTGGTCTTTGCCCTCCCTACTGTAGCAGTTAGAAACAAAAACATCCCAATTTCCAGCTTCCTTTGAAGCTGGTTGTGGCCAGATGTCAGAGTTCGGGTCATAAGGAGTAGGCAGAAGTCCCTAGAGATTTTCAATATAAACGCAAAGCCTACTAAGAAAAAGGCTTTTCTCTCTTGCATTTCCCTGCCTGGAAAACATACAGGATTCTTTTGTACAGGTTCAGCAGCCATCCTGTGACTCTGATCCAATAAGCATGAGGACAAAAACCTACACATTAAAGATACCAGAGCGGGAAGATGGAAAGAAACTCGGTCCCTGATGACCTCCTTGAGCTGCCCAAGCAGCTCTGGAATCCTTGCCCCTGAACTTCTTGTTTCATGATACCAATCAGCCCCCCAGAGTTTGAACTGTTATTAATAGCAGCATTCTGTAAGATAAAGAAGAGTGAGAAAGTATAACAGAAAGAAAGTGTATACAATCAGAAGGTGTGTACCAAAGCATTACATGACCATCAAGGGGAGGCTCAGCATAACAGTATTTATGTTGTCACTACAGAATTAAAAACATAACTTGAACCTAGTGATAAAAAGGGCACATTTTTCTAAAAACCACTTTTTCCTGTTAATAAGAACTACCTAACTCTCCTACAATATGGCATTTATTTCACTTATACATACAACTCGACTCTTACAGATACAAATTTAGTCTCCTTATATCTATTAAATATAACACTATGTCCTAAATTCTATAATATTCCTGAGCCCATGGAATATGTTAGCAAATACTATGGATGTAGGCTTGTTCCTTGCTTCTCAAATCTTCCTGCTTATAACATCAGGATAGGGAATTCCAGGCCAGGACAGGGTTGGGGAATGTGGAACCTGGATATTTAAGTGATAGTGGACAAACATATGTGTGAGATTTCATCTTTTGACTTGGGCATAACCCAAAGTGATCAAAGTGAACAAAATTTTATTCAAGTATAAATATTAGCTAAAAACATGTATACATCAACATGGTCTGCAAGAAGAAATTGGCAATTGTTGCAGGAAGTCAGGGACCCCGAACAGAGGGACCGGCTGAAGCCATGGCAGAAGAACATAAATTGTGAAGATTTCATGGACATTTATTAGTTCCCCAAGTTAATACTTTTATAATTTCTTATGCCTGTCTTTACTGCAATCCCTGAATATAAGTTGTGAAGATTTCATGGACATTTATCACTTCCCCAATCAATACTCTTGTGACTTCCTACGCCTGTCTTTACTTTAATCTCTTAATCCCATCATCTTCGTAAGCTGAGGATGTATGCCACCTCAGGACCCTATGGTGATTGCGTTAACTGCACAAATTGTTTGTAAAGCATGTGTGTTTGAACAATATGAAATCTGGACACCCTGAAAAAAGAACAGGATAACAGCGATGTTCAGGGAACAAGGGAGGTAACCATTAGGTCTAATTGCCTGAGAGCCAGGCAGAACAGAGCTATATTTCTCTTCTTACAAAAGTGAATTGGAGAAATAGCGCTGAATTCTTTTTCTCAGCAAGGAACAGCCCTGAAAAAGAGAATGAGTTCCCGGGGGAGGCCTCTGAAATGGCCGCTCTGGGAATGTCTGTCTTATACGGTTGCAGATAAGGGATGAAATAAGCCCTGGTCTCCCGTAGCACTCCCAGGCCTATTAGGACGAGGAAATTCCTGCCTAGTAAATTTTAGTCAGACTGGTTGTCTGCTCTCAAACCCTGTCTCCTGATAAGATGTTATCAATGACATTGTGTGCCTGAAACTTCATTGGCAATTTTAATTTTGCCCCGGTGCTCTGCCCCAATTTGCCTTGTGATATTTTATTGCCTTGTGAAGCATGTGATCTCTGTGACCCATACCTTATTTGTACACTCCCTCCCCTTTGAAAATCACTAATAAAAACTTGCTGGTTTTGGGGCTTGAGGGGCATCACGGAAACTGCCGACATGTGATGTCTCCCCCACACACCCAGCTTTAAAATTTCTCTCTTTTGTACTCTTTCCCTTTATTTCTCAGACCGGTCGACACTTAGGGAAATAGAAAAGAACGTACACTGAATTATCGGGGGCAGGTTCCCCCGATAGGCAATATAGGTATTTGGCAAAGAACTAGTATCTAGAATATATAACAAATTACTACAAATCAATAAGAAAAAACAAAAGTAAAAAAACCCAATAAAAAGATGGACCCAAGATGAATAAACATAACCAAAGAGGATATCTAAATAACAAAAATGATATGGTTTGGCTGTGTCCCCACCCAAATCTCAGCTCAAATTGTAATCCCTACATGTCAAGGGAGGGACCAGGTGGGAGTTGATTGGATCATGGAGGCAGTTCCCCCATGCTGCTCTCATGATAGTGAGTGGGTTCTCACAAGGTCCGATGGTTTTATAAGTGGTGATTTCCCCTGCTCTGCTCTCTCTCCTGCCGCCTTGTGAAGAAGTTGCCTGCTTCTCCTTCTGCCATGATTGTAAGTTTTCTGAGGCCTCCCCAGCCATGCAGAACTGTGAGTCAACGAAACTTCTTTTCCTTTATAAATTACCCAGTCTCAGGGAAGTTATTTATAGCGTGTGAAAACAGACTAATACACAAACATTATGAAAATTATTCCCCAGGCAAATGCGAATTAAAATCGTAATCAGAATGACTAAAATCAAAAAGATGGAAAATTTTGTCAACAATGTAGAGCAACCAAACTTCTAATACTGTACACTGCTAGTGTATGTGGAAATCACACAACCACTTTGGAAAATTATATCTTTTAAAGGTAAACATATGCAAACCTACAGCAACTTTGATCTTAGACATATGTTCATGAAAAGACAGAGTTTTATGTCATATCACATCTATTTGCAATAGTCAAAAACTGCAAACTACCGAAATGCTAAGCAAGAGCAGAAGGAATAAACAAAATGTGGTATATTCACACAATGAACATTACGTAGCCATGACAATGAACAGTTTACAATCATACACAAAAGTATTGTTAAATCTCCCACACATGTTGTGTGACAGAAGCCAGCCACAAAAGAATACTCATATCTGTAAAGTTCAGAAACAGGCAAAACTAACCTCTCCTGTTAGAAGTCAAGACAGGGCTTCCTCTTGGTGAAAGGAGGTAGAGAAAGACTGGAAAGGTACACTGGGGGTTTTCAGGGGTGTTGTTAATATTCTATTTCTTGATGGAGTATTGGTTGCCATCAGCATAAATTCACCATCTCTACACTGATTTTTTTCTCTCTGTACATTGCACTTCAATAAATAGATGTGAAAGTTAAAAGTGCATATGGATTTTGCATTCTTGTTCATAATTTATCCATGGTTAGTGTTTTTTTTGTTGTTGTTGTTTGTTTTGTTGAAACGGAGTCTCGCTGTGTCACCCGGGCTGGAGTGCGGTGGCACGATATCGGCTCACTGCAACCTCCATCTCCCGGGTTCAAGCAATTCTCTGCCTCAGCTTCCTGAGTAGCTGGGATTACAGGCACCTGCCACCACGCCAGGCTAATTTTTGTATTTTTAGTAGAGTCGGGGTTTCACCATCTTGGTCAGGCTGGTCTTGAACTCCTGACTTTGTGATCCTCCCACCTCGGCCTCCCAAAGTGCTGGGATTACAGGTGTGAGCCACCACTTCCGGCTCCATGGTTATTATTTTTAAATCAGGTGTTCTTTTTTTCTTCAAGGTAATCAAGAAAAAGTTGGTATTACAGAGAGGTGCTGGGTTTATATATTGACCTCTGTACCACTTAGCGACAACCACATATTCCCTGAAGTATCTGTTTCTCAATTAGAGGAGCATGGAAAGAAGTTCACATTCCTCACCATCAGATTAAAAGCCAAGTTCACACTCCTTACCCTCAGATCCAGCACAGCACACATTGTATTCTCTTCAGTCTTATTTTCAGTTACCCTTATAGTCAATATTCGATCAATGTCAAAATATTTAATATTTGTTATAGATGTCCCATTGTGTCATGTCGCCAAATCTTTGCTTTGCATTTAATTTACTGGAAAGCCCTCACCCACCCACCCTCATTCTTTTCCTGAAAAACTACAAGTAATCCTTTATCATTTAGCCCAAATATCACCTCTCTCTATGAATATTCCCTTGACCTCCCCAGATATAAGGAATCCTCACTCTATGTTTATTATATAGTGGTTTATATATGTGCATACTAACATGGTAATGTACATTAACATATATATATGTATGTGTGTATATATAATACATATATATATATACATCTACTAGTATTTATCAGTAGAGTTACAATTATTTTATAGTGATTTCTCCCACTAAACTTTGACTATTTGAGGATAAGATTCTTTTTCATCTTTTATATCTATTGTTTGGAGCCTAAGACATAGTGATTGTTCAATAAAAATATTCATTTGACTAAATTAAAAGGTGGCATTCAAGTTGGTTTTCAGTATTGATAGCTACTCTTTACAGTAACGGTTCACTCATGACAGAAGTTTCTGGGGCTAGTTCCTTTGGAGATTTGGCATACCACATACTCCAAGCATTTTCCTGCAACAATCAAAAAGTGTGGAGCCCTCCCTAGTGTATCATGTTCTCAGATGTCGTGTCAGCAGGTGGTATGACACTTCCATAAACTAAGGCAAACCTTAGTGTTACACTCCAGCTATCAACCATACCTTCTATGCCCCCCTCAACCCCTACAACCACCACCAAGAGCAGTTTTTTGTTGTGTTAAAAAAAAAAAAAAGTGACTCAGCTGATATGAGAAGGCAGAACAGTTTAATGGTAAAGTGTGCACTTTGAAGTCAGACAGATCTGAGACCATGTTCTGATTTTGTCTTTCTACTCCCAGAATATAACCCCTTTAAGTTCAGAGATTTTTGTCTTTTGATTCTGCTGCTATGTGGCTAGCACCTAGACCAGGCCTTGGCATATGATAGGCACTTAATAATTATTTGCTGAGTGAATCTATCAGATTGGCACCTTCAAGAGTTGATCATCACACCTCGCTTCCATGCAACAAACACCTGGCATTTCCTGACCAGTGATGTTAAAATTGCTTCGCAATTTGGACCCCTTAAAAAGAGAGAACACAAACATGTGGAAGAATATATAGCTCTGTGTCACCAACAAAAACGAGTACAAACAGTGTCCACACACATCTACATATTGTACAATTTCCAAGTTAAAAATGGAGAAATATACAATAAATATGTTGTCAGGTTTTCAGAATAGCTTTTCCAAATTTACAAAAACTGAAACAAGGGTTCCATTTTTCTTCACCAGAATCCTTATCACACGGAGAGAATAATGAACAAAGTAATACTAATTAAAATATTTATCTAGTCATGCACATGTGGAAAGGTGCAGAGAGCATCAGGCTTGGAGTCAGATGGACCTAAATTTTAATCTAGCTCCAGCACTTATTAGTAAGAGCGACCTTGGAAAAGTTTCACCTGCAAAGAGAAGATAATTATATACCTCACGCAATTTTTACAAGAAATAAAATAGATAATGCACTTCAAGTTTTAGTATACAGCCCAGTATAGACCAAGTTTTTAACAAGTATTAGATCTTATTACTCTTCGATACATATTACATTAGAGTTTTACTTGTTTTAATTTTTTTTGCATTTTTAGAGAAAATTCATTAGTATCCATATTTCCAGGATTTTCTTAATCTGTTGATATAAAAAACAGAAGCTTATTTCATTCATGGGATCAAACTTGTATTTGAGATCATCATCTAATCTTCATCTATTATGTTTGAGCAAAATTATTTTTCCAAAGTGATCCACCTTTAATCCAGTCATAAAGAGTTAGCTGTTCCCAATTTTAATTGACAAATCTAATTACTGTGATGAGTTTATTTATAGACACTATTCAATATCTATTGATAGTTTCTTGACCTTGAAGAATATCATCCAATTAACATGGCAATATGTGTTAATGGATTTTTAAATTACTTCACACTGGATAAAAGGTAAAAGAAAAAAGGGAATTTCACTTTCAGAAAGAAGAATCCCAATTTATGAAAATAAGCCCTATATATCTGTTACTGAATATGCAACACTAAGGGTTTTCTTTGTATTCCTTTAATATTATGTGGGCCAGGGGTTATGTCGTCGATGTGGTGGTACATATTTTTGGAATTCTTTCAAGGAAACAGTTCCTAAATTCAGACAACATGATGTCTGCCCAATTCCAAGAAGAGGTGTTTTGTTTAGGGGTGGGTATTTTTGGAGAATCTGTTAAATTTTGGTTCATTCTTACAGAATGTACAGTTCGTAGGTGATTGGTTGATAAAAATCACCAACCCCCTAAAACACATGATGGACTGAAAAGCATTCTTAGAAAATTGAAGAACATTAATCGAGGTCAAGCGGTGCGCCCCTTGGGGAGACAACAGTTACCTTCCTGTTGCTGCTCTCCCTGCTGCCCAGGCAGGCTCCCCTCCCATTCTCTGTATTTATTTCACTTTGTGTTTTAGGCCTAACTTCAGACACAGACATGGAATCATAGACTATCAAAGCTGTAAGGAAGCCTATATATTATTCACCCAATCTCCCATTTGTAAGGGAAACAAAAGCAAAAGCAAACAAACAAAAAATGCTGAGAAATTGAGAGGTAAAGTGACATTTTTTGATAAAGTGATTCATACTTTTGTTTACTTCTCTGTCCTCCTCCTGATTACATCATAAGCCTCTCAGACAGGTGCCTTATCTTAGTGTGTATTATGGACTGAATTGTGTCCCCCATCCCTGAAAAAAATATGTTGAAGTTCTAACTCCCAATAGCTTATAATGTGACTACTGAGAGATAGAACCTTTAAAGTGGTAATTAAGCTTATATAAGGTCATAAGGGTAGGCCCTAATCCAATATGACTGGTGTCCTCATAAGAGATACCAGGGATGTCTGTGTACAAAGGAAAGGCCATGTGAGCACACATGGAGAACGCAGTCACCTGCAGGTGAAGGAGAGAGGCCTCAGGAGCAACTAAATCTGCTGACATCTAGATCTTAACTTCTAGCCTCCAGTATTGTGAGAAATAAATTTCTGTTGAAGCCCCATTCTGTGGTATTTTATGATAGCAGCCCTAACAAACCAATGTAAGGGTGTTCATATTCGCAGCAGCTTGTATAGTAACTGGCACACAGTAGGCACTCAATTTACAAAGGAAGGACAGGGTAGACTAAAGGAAGAAAGGAAGGTGGGATGGAGGGAGAGAGAGAGGAAAGGAGAGGAGAGAGTACCTCACGGACTAAAATTAGCAGCTGCGGGATAAAACCCCAAAATATCTAGATCCTTTCTACTGCACCAAATACTAGGGAGTCTTTTCTCAGTTCTAAAGGCTGGTTAACACTTGGTTTCACATATCCCTTGCATATACTTTCCATCTTTTATGTTTATTTGTTACTATGCACCTGCAGGACAGTAATTTCATTGTGCATGGATCCCAAATCTACATGTTTGAAATCAACAGTTATATCAGAAGAGAGGAAAACAGACTTAACACCTGTGAAATTTCTATTTTGCCTCAAGCAGTTTATTAAGAAATATTTTATGTTGAACAGAAGTCACTTAGCCAGGCTACAACTTAAGAATTTGCACAGTTACCATGAATTATTTTACTCGGATATGTAATCTTTTAAATATAGGCATATGGAAGAATCAGGAGGGTACTTAAAGGTTTGTTTTTTGTTTAAATGTGATGTTTTCAAGACTGAATATATAAGAAAGGAAGTTGTGCCTCTGGGGTTTAGAAAATACTCATTTTCCTGGAATAAGATAAATTGGAATGGACTACTGCATTGAGAACTACCTTTAGCACAGTGAAGTGTAGCAAACTGGTACTCAGTGAGGCTCATTGGATATGAAGATGATGTGGTCAAATGCATTCAAGCACAGTTCTGAAACAGTTCTCTATTATTCTGAAAGATACCAACTTAATAACCTATTTAAAACTACATTTTTAATGCATTACTTTTTCCATCCGGAGAAAGGGTTAGAGGAGGCTGCACTCAAGGCTAGTAGAGATAAAAGGACAACAGAAGGCCTTGCCTGGGATTTGGAAAGCCAAACCATTAAATGGCTGGCAATCACATGGATGTGGTCATCTGTCCATTCTATCTTTAAGCCATCACTGGCCCATCCGTTAATCCTTATTGCATCTGTGACCCAGTGGATCCATAAGTGTCTACTTGAAGGAAAATAAGCTCTCTAATGCTATTACCCAAATCTTCTGATATAATTATGGTCTGGCAATTCAGTTACGGTTGTAATTGTATCAATCTTACATCTCACCCTGTCCCCTAAATCCATTAAACAATTCAAAGAAAAAAGAAAACTGTGTATGTGGCTGTTCATGTGTGTTGGTGTGTATTTCTCAGTATGTCTGTGTGCATCTGTATGCATTTTTGTGTCTGTCTTGAAGACAAGGGACAGAGAAGAAAAAGAAGACATGATTGGTCCTTCCATTAAAATATTCTTAGACTTGTTTGAGCATTCTTTGCATTTCAACCTCAGAAGTTACCAAAACCATCACAAATTACTCTTGTTGAAAACTGGTAATGCTTCTTTTGCTACTGAACCTATTATCTGTAAAAACTGCAGTTGGATTTTTTCCCATTTAACCTTCCTACCTTCCCTAAAATACCTCACCCTGCCTCTTCCTGCCTACAAAATCCATCTGCTCTCTGAAACCCAAGAAAATTAATTTTTCAGCAGAGGTTTCCTGTCCAAGTGTGCTTGTGCTACAGCCTGCATTGTATACAACCTCATGTTTACAAACCTGGCAGAAAATATGAGTAAGTGTAAATGCCTAGTATCTACATATATTTCTCATTTTTCTCACACTTGATATAGACATGAGTATAAGAGATCATTTTTCTCCCTACCGCTACCACAAGAGAAAAAAACTAGGGAAGCAGTATGATAAATGGCAGCTGACACTCAATGCTTGTGTGGGAAACAAGAGGGAGTGGTGGGGACTGTGGCAAACAGAAAAGCTATGCCAATTCTAAAGTGAACAGAATCTACTCAGCTGTAGACAGTGTTTTCTCCTAAGAATGTGGGCAAAGGATATCCAAATCTGAATTGTCAATTGAAGCACAAATCTGGATGTTAATGTAAAAATCTCTCAGTTTTTAAGTACTGGCAACTAATAAAAATTAAAACAACAACAAAAAAGCAGCTTTTATAAACAATATGAAGGCAAGCAGGGAGTGGTCTAAACCCCTAAGCAACAGATTTATCCCAATCCATCATTTTTCTATTTCTGGAATGTGCATTCATTTAACACATACCACCTTACATCTTCTCTTATTATTGTGTAAAAAGCAGGATTGTGTAGCATATATGCTCAGCAGCCAAACTGTCTGGGTATGAATTTTACTCCACTATTCACTAGCTGTGTGGTCTTGGGCAAGTTGCCTAACCTCCCCATACCTCAGTTTCCTTATTTGTAAAATGCAGATAATAATAGGGTGGTTATGAAGGTCAAAGGTGGTCCTATTAATAAAGTAATCATAATCATTTGAAGCACAGGGCAATTACTCAATATAGGATGGTTGTTATTAAATGTTACATTGTATTATAATTTGGTACATTTCTTTGACACCTCCTCCCCCAATAAACTGTAAATGCCTTTAAGGTACCTTTTTATACAATGTAACCTTTAACATAGTTTCTTTTTCAAGAAGGAGCTCAGTGAGTATCTTTTTTTTTTTTAAGCCTGAAATGTAAAAATCTTAAAAGGATATTTAAAGAAATTGACTGGAAATCAAGGTCACGCTACTGCTTGTCCTTGTCTTTGTTCTATATATTTACATCTACCGTAAGGCCAGCACATTGCACCAATCCATGTCAATTTGTTCTATGATCAGCTATAATGAATGTTTTCCAAATCCCAGACGTATAATTTCCTCTTTGATATATTCTATCCAGTCTGCAGTACAACAGACAGGAACTATTCATGTCCTTTTCTTTTCTCCTTTAAAAGACTAGGAGAGAGTTAGGGTTAGATAGAACAGTAGGTACATGTAGGGCAGCCTTGTGTGGCTGGAGCCCCTGGGTCTTTCTCACCTGCCTTTACTTAAATTTACAGAGGTTACATCACAAAAACCTGACAGGGTGCTTGTAAAAATGGAGCCATTATTATCCTCATTCTTTTCTTCCGCTACAACCCTTGTTCTCTTTGAAAATAAAGAGTAGGTTCTAGAAAGGGAGTGTTACAAAATGGAACCCCCATATTTCACAGCATGAAATTCAGAATTCTGAGACCGATAACACAAATAGTTTTACACTATAGACTAGGATAATGACTGTACCTCAGAACTTTGGAAGGTAGCCTGTAAGCATATAAAGTTAAAGGCATGTCTACGTCCAATCTAAACTTCTCTCTTCCTCAAATTATATTTAAAATGTTGAACATAACCAACACAAACCATCTGTCATGAAGCAACCAAAAACTTTCTTCCAAGTCTTAATGGGTTCAAAGTAGCTGCAGCGGAATGGGAACAGGAAAAGTAAAAGTATGGAACCGTTTAAAACATGCTGATATTAACATCAAGGTTTTTCAGAGGGGATTTTAAAGTTTAAAACAATAGTCATAGATCCTTTGCCAGCTGGTTGTGTAGGGCACATGAATTATATGTGGATTTATATGAAAGGGTTTGGGGGTGGGAGAAAATGTGTAAAGGAAGGAATTTAGAAACTTGGGGTTTTGGAAGATGCCAAGTCAATCACCAAAGCTTAATGAGGAATTATATAAATCACAAAGAGAAACCTGTCCTGAATATTTGACTTGAACGAAGGTGAAGTTTGGGAGAAATTAACCACATCACAATCTAAAGTACTCATTATTCTCTTCAAATAAATATTCAGTGATTGTCTACTTCGTGCCAGGAACTGGGCTTGACTTTGGAGAGAAAAATGCAAATGAGACCCTGTATCTGCCCTGGAGGAGCCATTGAATCTAGCACCTGTGTATGTGTGTGTTAGGAGTAAGCTTAACAAAACAAAAACAAGGCTGAAATAAAGTGATGAGAATGGAAAGGTAAAGTCAAAGGAGAGATTGGTCAGTTACAAAGCAATGAAGGACTGAAAAGAGTAAGAAATGCTTCATGTGCGTTAACCCTTGAACTGAGCAGGTGTTGCTAGGCAGATGGCAACTGAAGAGCACCACTTCATAAAAGTAATTACTTGAGATGCTTATTTTGCTTCTCTTTTCACAAATTCCAAAGGCTGTGCCTGCTACATTACAGGGAAAATCGTTTATGCTCTTGCATATTTCCGGGTAAGTTGCAGTGATGATATTCTTTATGTTCTAAAAGTCACACTAGTTTTTAAGGAAATAATAGACAATCATTCACAAAACATATTCAATAATAATACTAACAACCTAGCTCTCTGGTAAACTCTATGGGTCCTAAACCCAGAAAACATAAATAAAAGATGGAAAAAAATAGGCTTAAAAAGATTAAAATTCAAATTCAAATAGGCTTAAAAAGATTCAAAAAGATTTGGTTTCCACATCAGTTAAATAGGCAAAACAATGACTTCATTTCTGGGTTGTGGGATGGAATATTTATATAATATATTACATATATTAAATCTAATAGGCATTCAAAAATTTGTAGCCATTGTTTCTATTTGATTAGCCTAGATTTTTTTCTCTCCTGTCATCTTTCCTTGGCATCTTATAATAGGATAGATTTCATTTATCATAACATATATATGTGTTGTTTTGCCTAAAGAGGATGGAAAAAATCACTCTTTAAAGCACATTTCTAAATGATCCACATCCACTGAAGGATAATGTAGAGAGATAAAGTGGAAAAGGAATCTCTCTGCCCCTTATATGTCATTAGGAATTTCCAATGACACCAAAATATTACCACCAAAAAATATATAAAGAGCCTATTAGAGAAGAGAGGGTCATCCATGAAGTATAAATCAAAGGAGAGAATTTGTAAAGCACTGGCATTTTCTCCTTTCCCTCCTGCTTTCCTTTGTGAAAGCAGGTAAACATCTTTCGGTCATCTCATTATACAGCTGGCTGTTTGCTGAGCACCAGGACCTGCAAATAACTGAGAATAGGGAAAAGATTGTTCTCCTCAACTTCTCTCTAAGCTGAGTCTCCAGGGTAGGGCTCTGGGGTTTTCTAAGGGTCTAGATCAGGCTGCAGAAGTCATTTCAGGCAGAGGAAGGTGGTCACTCCAGCAACCCACACAGAGACCACCCATTAGGGGTTGTGAGAAGTAAGAGGAAGATAGAATTTTTGAAGCTAGGAGGCTGCAGAGAGAATACCCTCTAGGCACCAAAGCACATCTCAAGTTTCACACCAGGGAGCCATCATTTGGAGACTAGAGATCAGCTGCACCAAGTTTTACCAAGCAACCAGTGTTAGATGGAGAAGACGCAATGACCAACCATAGAAGTGCCCTAAATTCCACACAAAGAACATGCAATCTCTCATTTGAGCAGCCAGACCTTACCTATATACCCCAGACTTCAGCAAGCACAGGCGAAAGAAAATGCACCTCTACTAAAAACAGACATTGACTGTAATAAGTATTTACTGTGATGCCAATATCATGGGTACAGAAACAAAAAATAATGCTGATAGGATATTGGAAAGAATTGAACACTAGGTGTTTGTATGTTGCTGAGCTGACACTGTTCAGTATGCAGCTTTTACAATTATTTCACAGTTGTGTATGGAGGAGTGCAGAAGGAAGGTGCATGTATGGAAGGAACAGAATCAAAAACTAGACAGTCAGCCGTCACTGAATTGAAGAAATCTCATCTAACAGAGCAGGTTTTGTCTGATACTGGAGCACCTTCCAATTCCGATTTTTAAAAAAATCTAAGAAAATGTTTTTGGGGTCCTAAATCAACCTATGGTCCAATGCCCTTCCTAGAAAAAAAAATTGTTTTATTATACCTAAACCTTGTATCTACTTCAGTAGAACCATCATAAGGTTTAAGTTAAACTCTGTTGATTTTTAACTAAAAGCTACTCAAATCCTGACTGGCAGGATTGTTTCTTCCAATGTACTGCTAATAATAATTATTAACTTTAATAATAGCAATGATTTTTAGTAGATAATGTGTTTTTCCTCAGAAACTCAAAACAACTTCACATTTACTATGTTATTTGTTCACAGGCATTCCCTGTTAAGACCAAAAAAGAACAGAAAGTGTATTGATTGTGCCATAGAGAAAGACCAAGTGAGATTAAGTATTAGTTCAAGGTCACAGGGCTAGTCTGTGGCATACCCATGATAGATATTGCTAAGGGTAATTACATAAACTAGAGTTGTGCTAACCCCAGTTACAACAAATTTGATTAAGGCCCATGTCTGAAGCAGAGAGACTGGATCTACTGCCAGAGTCATGCAGTGTTTGCCCCGGGGTAGCCCTCAGTCTCTCTTTCTAAAAGAGCCTTAAATCAGCCCATCAGCCCTTGTGTCATTTTACTTTCTTCAAGTTGCTGCCTTCTATGTTAGCATCAGATGTTTTGGCCAAGACAATGGGCAACTTTTCTACCCAAGATCCCGACTCCATGTAGTTATCTGACAATAAAGTATTTCTTCAATCAAAGGAAATTTTTAAAATCACAATATTGGAGACTACAAAGATCCCATCGTATGTGATTATTGTAAAATTACTAACACTACTTTAACCTAAAATATATTATCAAGTTGGCATCTAATTGACTAATACACATGGATTTTTTGCCTTTTTAAATTTGACCCTACTTGCCCTCATATGTCTTCTATGCACACTAAACATTTCAGGTATTTGCTTTCGGCTAATACTGTTGGTTTATTGGTGCTATTACTAAAATCTTATTCAACATGTCTGCTTCCAGTGCTTGCCCATTATTTACCAAAATCTATACTTTCAACTCAATCATTTTGCCACTTGCCTCATTCTTATTTCTATAACAAAATCATGGAAAATTTTGGCCAAGAGTTGAATTTTCTAAAACACAGCACAGATTCTTTGAATACAAATTTTAGCAAAAAATACTGTGGCAAGTTTGTGAAAGAGAGTTTTCTTCTAATTACAATGGGCTCTAAAAATAAAGTTACTGTGGCTTTATTTGTTAAAAAGACAAATTCTTTTTAAACCCTAGCCATACAAGGGAATTAGTTTTCTCTATAAAAAATACAGGAACTTCCCAAGTTTTCCTGGGGGTTTATCATGCATCTCCTTATAGGTATCTCTCCTCCCTTCGTGGTGGCTTTAGTATAAGGTAAAGAGGAAAACTGAAGTCTGCGAAGTGCCGTCTTCCACTGACACAAATTAAGGACCAACAAAACACCATGCACCATTATGAGCTGTGATAATGGGGAATTTCAGTTTGGGGTGATATCATCAGCCAAGTCATATTTAGTAATGTTAAGCAAGTCAAAGAACAGTGTCATGTTCTAGCTTACTCAATGGAGAGCTGACTTTATCTCCTCATATATTATTCCCTATAAAATTTCTAAAATCTGTATTTCTTCTGAGTTGTATAAGGAGAAGCAGCATATAGGGAAGATCATTAGAGTTCCATTTTCTAATTCTGGTTCATCCTTCACTCACCAAGCATCAGTTTCTTTTTCAGCACAATGGGGGCAATAATACCCATCCCATCTCTCTTGGAGAGCTGTAAGAATAAAATGACATAATGCAAAAGTGCTTCATATGCCATAAAGAAACACTCAAACACTTAGCACATATAGCACAAATTTTTTTTTCATTGCACTCTAAGTAGGAGTACGTTTACTCTCTTTTCTAAAGGAGTGAATGGTGAACAGCACTTTTCAAACCCTAATAAATGTCAAGGTTATAAAGGCACAATACAATTTGTAAAGTTCAGCTTAAAGGTAAACAGGGCAGCTTATTAGCATCCACAAGAACTGAAAGTTAATTTTAACCTAAAAAATATACTGAAAATACCCATAAGAAGATAGTTCATCATACCAAAGAAACATTTTTTTAAATTAATATTACACTCTACTTGACATACTCTACTTGGTTTCTTGAGCATGCTGCTAGTTTACTCTTCTTGCAATCTTTTAGGATGCCACTGTCTTCAGGAATAGAGTCTATCTGATACACAAATGAGCTTTGAACTCAGCCTAGATTCAAATTTCTCCTACCTATGTATGAGATCTGTGACTTTGGACAAAGTATATAACCTTTCTATGCCTCAGTTTCTTTAACTATGTGGTAGAGAAAATAATAGAGCTTATTTCATAAGGATGATACATAGATTAAATGAAATAATGCATAGAAACACTTAGCACAGTGTTTGACATATAGTTACATGACACAAATGTTAGTAATATTGATGATGATGATTGATAATTATAACATAATAATAGAAAATATTTGTACTTTAGAAATCTTCATAATCACTTTAATAAGGCACAACTTAATATATAAGTACCAGCTGTTGCAGAAGAGAACAAGATGGCTCAATGTGGGGAAATATAAACAGGACAATTCTTTATCACCAGTTTGCTATGAATAGGCATTATTGGTTACAATAATTTTCTTCATGTCTTTTTCCTTTTAGTTGTCCAGTATAATTTTCTAGTTTGGCAGAATTCTCAGAAACTTCCAAGCCTTAACATAGGATTTTGAGGTGCTGTACATAACCAAGAAACGTATAAAATATATAAAATAAAGTTTAGGACAGCTAGAAGTTGGAAACACATTTACAATGGTATATGACAAGTTGCACAAGGCTTTTGAGCACAATGCCTGCATTCTAAGTTGCAAGTGATAACAGCCACAATTCAGGCAACAGAAGGTATCTATTTTTCATGATTCACAGGCTTTAAGTCATGTAAAAACATGGTATTTCCTCCTCGGAGCAACATTACCACAGCCAGTCACATACCTCCACCTCCGGTGGAGATAATAAACAACCAGTGTGTTTGGAGATTAGTATTCAGCTCCTTCTTTAGAAAATAAAAAGGAATAAAAATTGTTCCCTAAATGTCCAGGTCTAGAAAAGGTACTCATTTGATAAACAATGTGTGCCCTGAGAAAAAATAACCTTGTGTGCTTACAACTGCAATAGCCACAGAAAAATTATGGGAGGCATATTTCAGCAATCCTGAGTTTCTCTCAGTTCCTAGAAAATTATTTCCTCTTTTAATTTGCAGCCCTTCCACTTGCTGCTCCCTCTATCTGTAACACTTGCTCATCTGTAGACAACTTCTATTTTCACCAGGTTAACTTCTCTTCACCATTGACTTCATGGCTTAAATAGCACTTCTCCTGGCAAAACTTCTCACACTTCCTACATCTGGATAAGGTACCCTTACTAAATACTCACACAATACTTTGTACTTTCCCTACAATGGTAATTTTTCACAGTATGTCTTACTCGTTTACTTACCTATATCCCCCATTAGATAATAAGCCCAGTGAAGACAGGAGTCATGCCTATACTATTTTCATTGCACACTAAGCACTTCCCATGGGGCCTGGCACTTTATAAGAACTTTATAGGAAAATATTCCTGTTTAATACTTATTAGGGGAAAAAAGAATGCTCTCAAATTTTAGTACCCCTTCCAAATTACAGTTAAGTAAACATAGTTATTATATGTTTTATAAGTAATTTCTTCTTTAAAAATAATTATATAATAGTTATTATATAGTCCATGTTTTTTAGTATGGTCTTCATTGTGGTTTTAGATTTTTCAATGCCTAAAATCAAGAATTCATTTAGTAAATACTTAAAATAAGCCATAAAAGTAAGCTTCAATTTTTTCCCTTTGTCAGGGAAGTAAACTCTAAAAACTTCCAAGAGCACCTCAGCCATTTTTGCATTCTCAGATACCACAGGAGCCACACTCTGGATTTAAGTCCTAAAATGCATGATATGATGAAAGGATAAACGGACTGAGAAGCAGACAAATGTTCTGGCTCTGATCCGCTCAGTCAAAACCTGGCTTCTGGTTTTTGCAACCTGCGTAAACAGAAAGCCAATTAACTTCTCCAATTTCTTCATGTGCATTGTTATAAGATTATATGAGGCAATTTCTAAGACCATTTCGTTTTCTTCAGCAAATGGGGGTGAAAGAATCATAAGAACTTTTGTCCCAATATGGCACTGCTACTTGCCTGGGATGCCCCCATTTCTCTAACCAGGATCATTACTGGTAAATGGAAGAATAAAAAGATTGCATTTACAGTTACAAGCATTGGTAGAATTCAGAGTTAGTAAAAATAATAGAGTAATGATGTGAAAGCTTTGTAGTTTTATAGACACATATTTGTATTTGCAGTTTTATTGAGCCACCAACTAATAAGCTTTTTAACTGTATTGGTGTATAATGGGATGCAACAACTGCTTCCGGCCTCTAGGGTTCTCCTGGATCTATTACTTTTTTTGGTGCTCAAAGCTGAGTTCTGCATGAGACCAGTAGCTCTTAGCTTACAATGTTATTATGCAAAGATTCTTTCCTCACTTCAGCTCAACCTTATTTGTGGGTTATCATAAAGCCAAACAAGAAAGAACGTAAAGACCAGATCTATCTTGATGATCACATTGAACTGACATTTCTAGTAACTGTTACTATTGGTCTTATCCGGCTCAGTGATATTCCATGATAAATGTGAGGCTCCTCATATGTAGAAGGGAGTAGTAAAGTCAGTTAGGAAACAAAAATGGAACATCTCACCCGCTCCTCAGTGAGCCTTCAGTTATCTTGGAGTACCCTTACAGCCCAGAGCAATTTACTCATTTTGGAGGAAGTGGACTAACATTATAGGAAGTCAAAAAGTATGGCAAGGATGCCTGAAAAATACCCTCTCATCAAAAATCTCATCTGCACACCTGCCACAGAGACCAAAATCTCACCATAATAGAGTTAAGTTAAAGGGCTTCCTTTCCAGTGAAATTTTATAGTTTTGTAATAGGTTCATTTGCCCAATGCACAGCAAGTCAATATACTGACACATCAGGAATTGGTGCAGAGAAAATGTTTACTACCCATAGGACAGCCGAACAAGAAGATGGGAGGAAACCTCAAATATACCTCCTTGAGGAGTTTAGGACGAGGGATTTTAAGGGATGATTTGGAGTGGGCTGAGGTGTGGGGGATTGCTGATTGGCTGAATAGTGCAGGATGAAGTCATGGGATGAGGAGAAGAAAAAACCACATTCTCAGGCTGCTTCAGTTCCTCTGTGGCGTGAAGCGGCTAGGTATTGGGGGGGGGCACGAGGCGAGTCTTTAAACTGATTACTGTCAGCTGTTCTGCTGGAATTCAGGACCTGAAGAAGATCTTAAGTAATTCTTAAACCAAAAGCCTTATGATTCTAATGTCAGTGGTCCTATCTATAGGAACAATGGGGATGCAAATCAACTCTTAAACAAAAGCCTTATGAGTCTAAGGTCAGAAATCCTATCTATAAGAACAATGGGAATGCAAATAGCTACCATCTAGTGCTAGGTGACATCAAATTACAAGGAAGGGGGCCAAAGTGCAGCCTGGTCAATTCTTAATTATAACTATATTTCTGCCCAGAACCTGGCATATGATCCTTGTTAACCCTGTGAGGACACTTTCCGTTTGACAATATTTAAATAGTAATTAAAGGAACACATTTTAGCCACTTCTAATAATTAATATAGCAACATAAATGAGTAAATCAGAAAAGATGCAGTCACTTAGCAAGGTTCCATTGACTAGAACACTGAATAATTAAGTTTGGAAAGACAGAGAAGGAGGGAGGCAAAACAAACAAACAAACTACCAGAATAGGGTTGCCTACTGTGAAGGGGAGATGAAGGTTTGTATACCTAAGAAGGGAAATAAGAGCTAAAGCATAATGGATACTGAAGGGGCATGAGGAAATATCTACTTTCTGATGTTGGTAATGTCTAAAGAAATAGTCTTGGCCTAAAAGTAGCATTCAGTCCATTCATTTATTTGACAATTTATTAAGTTCCTAATATGTGCCAAGACACTGTGTTAGACACTTAGAAACCAGCAAGAATGAGAAACTCTTAATGGGGAGACAGTATACATAAAATGTGCAACTGCAGGAACAGAAGCATATGCAAAATGCAGAGGTGGCCCAAAGGAGGTTATAGCCAAATTGCTGTGGAGCTTCAGTGAGGTTGTTGGAAAAAGGGTTTTCTGAAAAAAGTGACATTTTATATGGGTAATTTAAAAAATAAACAAAAACCCATGACCAATTAAGAGCCTTTCAAGACTCGCTCTAAAAGAAGGCTGCTTTGGAACCGATCTTCTACTGACCACAAGTGCTTCAGAAGCTCATTGTTGACACAGGTAAAAGGGAGTGTGTATGGACAGGAAAGATACTGGAACTTTAAAGTGATCTGAGATGTCTGAAGCCTTTAAAAGAGGTAATAAATTAAAACCAGTGGTCCCAATTTCCTGATATCTTTTCTCTGTCCACTAATTCGGAATGCCCAGTCCTTACCAATTCCACCATCATTACCATCAGATATTTATGAGATCCCATGTAGTGCCTTATATGGCCTTAGGAGAAAAAGTATGTTCCCAAGGGCACCTCTTTGATATCAATAGATTCAGAGTGTCATCATACAACATGGAACCACAATTCCCTGGGGGCTGCCAGTGTAGCCTTCATATAATCAAATGTCCCGGGAGCTGTATTTTGTTCCATTCAGGGAGAAGATTTACAAAACAATGCCTCTGGAGTCCTAATGTTTTACAAAGATTTTTAAGGAAACTGCTTGATGACTTGTTTTTACAGTCTTTTCTGACTTAGCCTCCATAGGATTCAGACATGAGCTCAAGAAGGAGGTGGACAAATGATTGACAACATGTTGAGATTGGTTATGCTATAACACACTCATTCTTCATTTTTCCTCAGGACAACTTCTTCTAAAAGATGTCTCAATACACAGAAAAAAGGCCAACCCCACCAGTTTTGCAAATTACATCATGTTTGCATCTCCTCTAGAACCCTTTCCATACTTGTAACGTTGTGCAGAGATGTAGAATAGCATGGTTCAATAATTCAGTATAATTAGAATATAAAATGATTGACGGCTGAGCATGATGGGGAGGGGAGGCAGTAACAGGAGATAGAATCACTTAACTCAAAAGGGCTTATTCATGAATGTTAAACACCTTACACTTAACTTGAGGACAATGAGAAGCAATTTATACTATTTATAAATAAAATTGGATTCAGAGGATAGTTCGGGATGGGGAAAAGGGGAGATTAAAATAATAGAACCTATTATCTTCCACTTGTCTTGCTAATGGACAGAGGCTAGCAACCCTCAGAATCTAGGCCAATATTGATAAAAATCCATTGTATTCCCCTTAGGAAAAAACAATTTCCTCTTGTACAAAACAAGATAGAGAAACCAGTCCTTCTTAATCTGATTTTTAAAATATAACATTGGCCATAATCTTTATTCTTACAAAGCACAGTAAGTCTGGTTCTCAATGGCTATAACTCGTAATTTCATCAATTTTTAAGAAAAATGACTACATCTTCCAAAGATGATATATGACAATTTAATATACAGAAACACCAAAATAGGAAGCCATTGTTAAATATAAATAGTTTAATTACTTTCTTGGATAAAATTAAAATAATATTTCTATATATGTTAGTTCAGCATTCTCTCTAAGATATATTTATATGATTGAAATCTTTTTTTTTTTTTTTGAGACAGAATCTTCCTCTACCAGCCTGGAGTGCAGTGGTGTGATCTCGGCTCACTGCAAACTCCGCCTCCCAGGTTCAAGCAATTCTCCTGCCTCAGCCTCCCAAGTAGCTGGGACTACAGGTTCATGCCACCACGCCCGCCTAATTTTTGTATTTTTAGTGGAAACAGGATTTCACCATATTAGCCAAGGTGGTCTTGAACTCCTGACCTCGTGATCTGCCTGCTTCTGCCTCCCAAAGTGCTGGGATTATAGGCATGAGCCACCGCAGCTGGCAGAAATCTTATTTTCTAATAGTCACGTCGCTTTAATTCCTAAGTGAGCATTGTCTTTGTGTAATGAAGAAAAGTTGTTCATCTATTATTATGTGATTATATCTTATATATATTTACATGAAAACATTTGTACACCTAAGGAAAAAAATGCTTAAGTAGGTTTACTTAAGTGAATAGTAAACAAAAATAATTGTAAAAAAACCTAAGATTTTTATATACTCAAGTAAACAGAAGCATTAATAGATTGAACCTAGGACAAATAAGAAAATTCAAAATCTCCTGTTGTGATGATATATTTTTAACCCGTATATTTTTTTAAAAGATGCATTTTAGGTGATTGTTCATATAGCTAAAATAGTTTGCCTCTTTGTAAAGTTATTGTTTCAGAATGTTTGTGTCTATCTCTTAACTCCTCATGTGACTCTGGTCCCAGAACTGCCTTAATGATCCTTGGCTGTTTCCCAAATCACAACCAAAGTGTAAAGAAAGGGTCTAATTTTTTTTTTTTTTTTTTTTTTTTTTTGAGACAGAGTCTCACTCTGCCAAGGCTGCAGTGCAATGGCACAATCTCGGCTCACTGCAACCTCCACCTCCTGGGGGTTCAAGCGATTCTTCCTGCCTCAGCCGCCCGAGTAGCTGGGATTACAGGCACCTGCCACCACACCCAGCTAATTTCTGTGTTTTTAGTAGAGATGGGGTTTTCACCATGTTGGCCAGGCTGGTCTCGAATTCCTGACCTCAGGTAATCCACCCACCTCTGCCTCCCAAAGTGCTGTGATTACAGGCCTGAGCCACCATGCCTGGCCAGAAAGGTTCTGTTCTTTAACCAAGCCCTTGTCCCATACAAATAGAAAATAATAAACTGCAATATCACAAAAAAAAAATTGAAAAAGAAGAGGAAAAAAACTTGTTTGAATTTTCTGTTCTATGAATATAAATTTCTGATTTTGCTCTGTCTTCACAAATCTTCCATGCGTTTCTCCCTCTTTGTCCATATTGCCACCTCCTTTACTTAATTTCTAGTCGTTTGCTTTTGCTACACTAAAATGTGCATCAATGATAACATAAGAAAATATTTCTGATAAAATTAGATGTGTACTAGTTTCCTGTGGCTGTTGTAACAAATTACCATAAACTGAATGATGACTTAAAACAACAGAAATGTATTCTCTTACATTTCTGGAGGCCAGAAATCAGAAAATGATTGAGGTGCATAAGGGCTGCACTGTCTCTAGGGGGGCTCCAAGGGAGATTGCATTATTTGCTTCTTAACAGCCACTGGTGGTTTTTGACATCCCTTGACTTGTGTACACACCACCCCAATGGTGCCTCCACGCTCACGTTGCCTCTTCCTCTTTTGTCTGTCTGCTATGTCGCTCATCATTGGATTTAGGGCCTACCTGGGAAATCAAGGATGACTTTCTTATCTCAAGATTATTAATAATTATAGATTCAAAGACTTCTCCAAGTAAGATTTTGTTAACTTTTCCTAAATAAGATAACATTTACAATTCAGGGTATTAGGACATAGACATATCTTCTGGGGCCACCATTTAACCTACTACAAATAGCATGATAAGTAAGTGTAAAATAATAGAAAATATATATTCATATATGATAAATTTTAGTACATAGAATCATTATCACTTATGTAGTCAATGCAAATTTAATGGATCGAGAGGGGGAATAAAACAGCTACTATGTGCTGGGCAGAAGAGGAATCCAGGTTTTGTGTAGCCTGGCCCCTATTTTTCAAAAAATAATATAAAATTATGAATACAAAAGTAGGTCTGAATGTGAGTCTATAGTTAGAACAAGGAAAGGACTCATAACAAATCATGAAGTTTTTAAAAGCAGACAAATCCATGAACATAATGAAATCCACGAAAATAACATTTCATTATTATTAATAATTAGCCATTTCCATAATTCCTCAATAATACTTTTTCCCCTACATGTTTGGATTTATTCTCTTTGGTTGCCTCTTTACGCAACAGTTTGAATATCATTTTAATAAAAAGATAATTCAGTCTTTCCCCTAGGATGGTTGGTGGAAATTCATTTGGTGCTACTGATAGCTTAGAAAGTTTTTTCCAGCTTTAGCACAGAGTTTTACTTCTTTTTTTTTTTTTTTTTTTTTTTTTTGAGACGGAGTCTCGCTCTGCCGCCCAGGCTGGAGTGCAGTGGCGGGATCTCGGCTCACTGCAAGCTCCGCCTCCCAGGTTCCCGCCATTCCCCTGCCTCAGCCTCCAAAGTAGCTGGGACTACAGGCGCCCGCCACCACGCCTGGCTAATTTTTTTGTATTTTTTAGTAGAGACGGAGTTTCACCGCGTTAGCCAGGATGGTCTTGATCTCCTGACCTCGTGATCCCCACCTCCTCGGCCTCCCAAACTGCTGGGATTACAGGCGTGAGCCACCGCGCCCGGCCTTACTTTTTTTTAAATGTTGTTTTATGTTTACTCTAAAACCATGGTTTTATGGTATTTTATACTCCCTGTGGGCAAGTTCTTGGAGGATCTCAGCACTTTGATCTCACAAGACATGGCTCACCCAATTGACTTGACTAGATCCTTCTTGCCTCTTGTGAGCTGGCCCCGGTGGAGAGAGAGGACAAGTGGCCACAAACCAGGGCCTTTAGAGCCCCCCATTCCAAGCAAGGAGAGAATAGCATTTTTCAAAACCTTCTCCCTGGGAGTTAAAGAGAATCTGATAGGAGCTGGAGGAACAATGAGATCTAGCAGGGTCAGGTTTTCACCTGGGGCTGCAATAGATGTGGAGATGCTGGTAACCCAGAACCACCCACAGGCCAGGGCCACCATGTGCAGCATGATCCCCAGGCTTCCTCTCTGCATCCCTGGAGGAAAATAAACTGAGCTTTGGAAGGGGCCTGAGCAAGTTGGGGGCCCTGAAGCTTAAGCATGAGAAAGCTTCATCTCAAATCCACTTCTGCAATCAGGTATTATACTTCCCACAGATGAATGGATGGAGGGATAGACAGATAGATTAGACAGATATGAGGACAAATATTTATCTTTAAGAATTACTTTAAAAGTTTAAAATGGTAATTTAAATCAGTTTGGAATATAGAATTACAAACTCCGATGAGATATTATTAATGTTACTTCCAAGTTACAAACTCCAATAAGATATTATTAATGTTACTCCCAAGCTCTGTAAAATTTGAATCACGTTGTTGAATCTAAGACCATATGATTGGACTTTGCATTAATCTGTGAAATTTCCTAGAGAAATAATTAATATCTCTTATTTATAAGCAATCAGGAACAATGTTCATACCTGAACATATATGTGCATATATTCTTTAAACATGGCACTAGTTTAACACTGGAAATACCAATCAGAATGCCTTGAGTATAAGGTAGAGAAATGTTCATTTTCATATAATCTTTGCATATTTCCAAAACAAAATGTATACCATAAATCTGATCATATAATAAGAAAAAAAATTACTGAGGATAGCAAAATAATCATTTAAAGAGCTGTCTCATAATAGCTCACTTTGGCATGTAAGTTACACAATAACATTCCTAAGAATAAATCAGTAATCTGCTTTAAATTTTTTTAAAAAAAGGAAACAGCATTCTAAGATACAGCTGCATAGACTATATAATGAATATTCAACATATGAGGAACTGACAAATTTATCTTTACTCCATCATTAAGCATTTTTGTGACAAGCTGGGTATTCATCCCTTTAGGGGTCTTTTCTGTGTGTGTTCTTTTTGTCTAATGCTTGCTCATGCCCTTTCGTGACATCCTGCAAGACTAGCCTTTTCTTTTCTTTTCCAAATTTCTGATTACCCGTATTGTTAAAACTCATATTCAGAAAACTTCTCAAGGAAAGGAAGACAAAATCCTCGGTCAAAACTTTCTTTCCACCATCAAAAGCTTGATCTAATAGCTTTTCCCTCAATCCTCCAAAAAAAAAAAGTCTATGAAATAAATGTAAGTTTTTCATTGACATATATATTTTAATTACTTTTGCTCGTGAAGATTCTCTTTATAGCTTCAGATTTCTCCTAAATCAGGAAAAGATGACTCCATATTTAATAGCAAAATCTACAACTTTAAGTATTTCATTTTCTCAAAGGCAACCATTCATTTCATATATCTTTCATTGCCGTATACAAGACAAAATGTTTGACTGGGGTGGAGTGTGCTCATTCAGTTTTTGATAACTCAATGAGATGATATTCACCTAATAGTGTGTAGAAATTGGTTTCCAAAATGGATTACTAGTGTTAAGATGGAAAAGAACACAGGTAATAAGACCAAACTTTTATCTTTAGAATACCTAATACACCACATTCTCTGAGAAGCTTCCTATGAGATTTGTTTTGTGTGTAAATTCTTGAAGTTTGGCAAACCTGTGCACTAGAAGAGTCCATACTACTCCTTTCCAAAAATTTGACACTTAAGAATATTCTCCATGTGGAAAAAAAAAATTCCTATGAAAGTACATCATCACTGTAACAGCAGAGTCTTGGCTTCTTCATTTATTATGTATTCAGTGCCTTCTTTATGTATCTCACTGCCCCAGAGTTCATGACCAAACATCAATACATGTTAACACATCTTCAATATTTATAAGCTAAGGGCTTAGATCCAAGAGTTATCAATAATAGCCCTGCTACTTCATTCATACTCACTAGCATCTCAATTATACTGCCTACCAAGAAGCATCCTCAGGAATTTATGCATACTAATAGTATGAAAAAATCTAATTCAAAACTGCTTTAGGGTTAAGCTTGACAAATGTCTTACTCATACTATCACCTCTCTCCTTTGAAATAGTTTCACTAGAAATGGTTTTGTTTGTGACTTAACAGATGTGCAAACAGGTGGCTAAGCTCAAAATTATGCTTGCATAATGATCATACCAAAGTTAAATAGGAAATAGCACTGCCTACTAATATAAATAGCAGTGACTGGTAAATAAGATAGATAAATGTCAGAAATGCATGTTCATCTAAACAAAGATGAGTAATAAATGGCATATATTTACCAAAAATATCAAGCAAAAAACAGCCTATTTACTCAACGCAAAATAGAAATCTTGGTTAAAATTAATGTGATGATCTATGTAAAATGGTTTTCTAAATGACGTTGATTTCTCATTAATAATGCATGTACTTGTACAAAAAAGACTAATATAAAATGTTTATATAGAAAATGCATATCAGACACAATTCTATAAGCATATCTAATCAGGATTTGTAAGATAACTTAAAGGATTCATACAGGCCTACTATGTTGAAAGAGGAGAGATGTCTCCTTTAAAAATACCACTACAATAAAACTTTAAATAACAATGTTACACCAGCAATAAAAGGATGAACCCTGGCTATCTGAGTTTCCTAGAAAACATTTTTTTAAATTTTAACTTACTGAAGAATTTTTCAGAAATATTAGGCTGGTTTATTTTATTATTTTAGAGTAGAAATTATTTCACTGTTGAAACTTGATTTATTCTCCTAATGTAAAGATTTCTGATTAATCAGCATTTTACCAACTAGAATCTAAAATAGGGCACCTGAATCCTACTATGTGTTTATGCTTATATTGTGAGGGTTACTGCTGTTTGATAGTGTTGTTTTAATTATTCAATAATAAGATACTGCCATGATGTTAGGTTATCATCAGCAACCATATGCCAAATTAATTCTACTTTTTTCAGTGTTCTTGAAATGCAATTGACTGCTAAAACCAGAATCACTGCTCTAAATTGATGTTTTTATGCTCCATTTCACCTTACATTCATCCACATAACACACATCCTAGTCCATCATCCAAACTAAATATATTCTCTAAATAAAGAAATGTATGGAATGTGTCCTAAACAAAACAAAGATGAAGGTCAGATTGCTGTATGTCTGACAATGGTGTCAAAAATTGTGATTCAGTAAAAAATGCTAGAGATGGCTACCAAACAAGTCCTAAGCCAGGCCTTTTTAGCCAATTCTTCCCTGAGAGAACAGTCTGTGGCTCTCCCTCTGTCTAGCTCTTTCTCTTCTTTTCCTACTGGGTGACTTTAATGTACTAAATACTTGCATATAGGATATATTTAATCCTCACAACATTTTGATAGTTGATCTATTTATTATGAATACTGCTTATAAATAGTCATATATTTCTATATCATACTTGCCCAACAATTTTATGTTTCTGCTATCCTAGTAAGAATCAAGAACTATGCCGGGCTCACTGGTTCACACCTGTAATCTCAGCACTTTGGGAGGTTGAGGTGGGTGGATCACTTAAGGCCAGGAGTTTGAGACCAGCCTGGCCAACATGGCAAAACCCCATCTCTACTAAAAATACAAAATAAGCAGGGCCTTGTGGCAGCCATATGTAGTCCCAGCTACTCAAGAGGCTGAGGCACCAGAATCACTTGAACCCGGAAAATGAAGGTTGCAGTGAGCCCAAATCGTACCATTGCACTCCAGCCTGGGTGACAGAGTGAGACACAATCTAAAAAAGAAAAAATAAATAAAAGAGAGAGAGAGAAAAAAGAATTAGGGAATAAGGTATTACAGACCACAATTAATCAAAAATAGAGGTCAAAAATGTGTACTAAATCTCTCTTTACATTTAAAATTTTTTAGTTTTTAGATATCACTCAGTGAATATTTCTACTGTGGACAGAATTCTGCTAAGTTTAGATATGATTCTTTTAGGCCATAGTAGATTAAAAGAAAATTAGAGAAGGTGGAAAGCACACGTTGAAGATAGAAAAGTCAGCTGACTGTAGACAAAAAGGATATATACACACACATATACACACATAAAACAATAACAAAGAATCACAGTGGTCATTTAGCCTGAGGAAACAATAACCCAGTGACTCAAAAATCCCTAAGAGACTTGTTATATGGTATCCACTGATAATGTTTCATCATCTACAAATGGTTTAATTTGGTTTATTATATTTGGTGTAGGCAGAGAAATTAGTGACTTTTAAAAAAAAACTGTAGAAAATGGTTAAAGATTATTGTCTGATAATAAAGCCAAAATTTTGCTATTACAAAATTTACGAATAATATTGCATTAACTGATGATAGTCATACATTAATTGCTGTATGAACCTAATGTGTTTGTATATCACATACTTAAATACATGAGCATATGCAATCTCAGGCATATGCTTTGCATCACAGGCTATTTGTTAAAACTAAGAAAACAAAAAGATATATTAATAGCTTTGTGCCTATCTGGAATAATAGAATAAGGGTCTGTGTCAGGTGAATAACTAGTCTGATTAATGAACCCCAAACCAATGAAGTTGGGCTGTTTCTGAAGTAAAAACCAGAGAATAAAAGAAAAAAAAAGATAAGAAAAGAAAGGATGAAATAATTGGCCTCATATGGCAGAAAAAAAGCAATGACAAATTACAGAAAAAGAAGATCCATTCTTGGATGAAATTTATATTATGTAAAAGAAGTCAAGAGAAGAGAGAGTGGGAAGAAGGGAGTAAGGTCTAGTATTTCAGGATGGAAGGAAGGAACTAGGAATCAGGCCCTTCTTAAATGGAAACTTGCAGGGTTCTGGGAAATCTGACTTATGATGAAAGGACTGTTATCACTATGACCCAAAGATCAGCCTTCAGACCTCCTCTGAGAAACAGAAAATTACTACCAATAAATAGCCAACAAAGTAAAACTTCCTGCATTTCTGTTGAAAAGTACATAACCATAACTCTGACTACTTTGGCTTTAGGAACAATAAAAAAAATTCTACTGTGAAATGATGGGCTCATAAATAACCTTGCTCTAAGTGTTAGAAATTGGCCTGTAAAATTGGAAGATGATTAAAGTATTTTCCTTAATCTTTCTCTCAACTCTAATAATTTCTTTCCTTTCCTTTTGTCCTTTGTGTGGAGGACAAAGCCTATCAAGATTCATGCCTGCAACACAAACACAACCATCTTTCCTCCAGGTCCCAACCCAACTACAGATCCATCATTTTAAGTGACAATTCCATAGGAAATCAATATTTTGAAAGGAAGATTGCTTCAGCTACTACAGTGTGGACTGTGGGTACAGCCAGTGAATTCAACAAAGCAGACCCATTTGTAGCTGCTGCGCATTCTAGCAGGATTGATTGCAGGTACCATCCTCACAGAGGAGAAAGTTGGGGGGTGCCTATTCACTTCTTTTTTCAACTAGTTCCTCTGTTCTGAATCAAATGACAGTCCTAAATTATAAATAGCAACAGAAGACAAATAGCATGCCCCATCCAAAATGCTAAATAATAACTCCACCTGTTGTTTAAAGTTGATGTTCTTTGTGTTCAACATAGTGTTGCATAATTCACATTATTAACAGTGGCTGTCATTCACCGGTGTTACATCACAGGGTATTTCATCTGAAAAACTGCACTAATGCCCCAACTCACAAAGCTTTTGGGAACATTGTAATCAAACACAACGTAAATATTTTAAAAGCTTAAAGCCTGAAATTTTTCCTCAATTTCAACTTTAAAACTGATATTACATATTTTAAATGCCTTTTTCAAATTATTTTATTTTTCTGAGTAAGTATAATGCATGATAATTGAAGAAAAAGCTAAGATTCAGAAGGAAAAAAGAAATATGACCACTATAAGTCCATCTCTCAAAGATAATCATTATTATATCTTGATCTATTTCTTCTAATAGTTTTCTATGCAATTGTTTTTGCACAGTTAATCTCATTCTGAGGATGTAGTTTAATACGTCCATTATAAAAACTTTAAAACACGAGCATTCCCCATACTCATAGGCACTGATTATCAATATCACATTTCAGGGTTACATAATAATTTATTCTGGACAAGTGTCATAATCTACTTAATCATCTTACTACTGCTTATATTTAAGTTGTATACAGTATAATATTTTGCTTTAATCATAACTGAGATAAATACTAATATGTATTTCAGAAATCCTTGACGTGTGTTGATAAATCACTTTCTAAAAGGGCTAAGTGCTTTTTCTTAAATACATATTTTTTTCAAATAAAGTTCTTTTTGCTCATCCCTGATGTAAATCATCAGAACTGTCCAGATATTTTTACATCAGTGTATAACATACGTTTTCTCTAAACAGAGTTGAAATAGAGGATGGTTTCATATTACTGAGTAAATCAGCCAAAGAGCCAGGTGATGACCAGTTTAATCCTCAAAAGTTTGTTTTATGGAAGATGAGTGTCAGACTCCTTAAGACCAAAGCTTAATAATGACTCTACAAAAGTACATAGGTAGTATACCCTGGGTATGTGAGCAGAAAACAGGGTGCTCTTCTCTCAGCACCCTAAATTTGAAGGAAGGAAGAAAAAAGGAGAGAATGGAAACGTAGAAAATTAGGAACTGCATCTGATGTAATAAATACTTCAACCACAAATCCTTTAAGATCAGGAAGAAAAAAGGAGCTAACAATTATTAAAAACATCATGCAAATCATCCCCACCCCATGTTAGTACATTATATGTCATTTGCAGAATTTTCTAATTTTAAGAAGAGACTGAAATAGTATCAAGTGGAAAGAATGGTGACATGACAGCCAAAGTGAAAAGTCTGAATTTGGGCTCTAACAAGCTCTGTGGCATTGGGCAAGTTAGACAACCACTCTGAATCTCAGTGTCCTTTGTGAACTGCTCAGTTAGGAAAATTAATCTCTCTAGATTCCTGTGACATTTAAAAATTCTGTGGTACTCAGTCCTGATTTCTATGTAGCAGGATAAAATCTGTAGATGCTTTCTCTCATTTTTCTTACTGTTCTCTGCTCAAATACCCAGAGATATTCATTGTTGAAGATGTAGAGTGGAATATAGAACAAAGAAATAATTCAAATGGATTTTTGAATGGACTTTTTTAAGCACACAGCATAGATTTTGTTCTGAAGGTCAAAGCTCTTTCCATTTGCATGATCCAGCCACCCAAGTGTAGAAGATACCTACTGAGTTTCTAAAATCCTGGTTCTGCTTCTCAGGAGCAAGTAGGAACTCAGAGTAAAGGTTTATAGCATTGCTTTTCAAACTGTTGGTCAAGGCCCACAAGTAGGTCGTGAAATCAATTTACTAAGACCAGATCAGTATTATTTTTTTCAAATGAAATACAATAGAATGCATTGCAATCAGTAAAAGTAAATTCAGTATGTGATTTCTGGGGTTGATACAAAAATGTATTTCTTACAGAAGGTTTTTATTAAAACATTTTAAAACAACACTTATTTAGATTATAAACTACAGTGAATGGGAGGAAGAAATACGCTTGTGTAAGACCAGTTGTCCAGAACTTTGGACGTGCATATGTGGAGTGGGAAAAAGAGCTTGGAGAGGATTGGGAGAGGGAAGCTACATGCATCTGTTGTGCCTCCGTCCTTCGTTCTTCCACTGAAGGCCTGAAACCAAGAGAAGTGGGGTGCATAGAAATAGCGAAATATGTTGAGAATATGAAGGAAGAAAAGCTTCACTTCTTTTCTGGATTTCTGGAAAGAGGCAGCCTAGCAGCATGATACTTGCCAATATAGAGCCACTGCTCTGGGGTATGAATCACAGCAGAGCAGATCTAGGCAGAGAAGTGCCTTGAGATTAATGCTCATTCCACCATCCTTCCTGGAATCCTAGAGATATGGAGAAAATCCAAAAAGATTCTCCTACCCAATGAGGCACAGAGGTTAGGCAAAAATAAAGATATGGCATCCCTGAAGGGTAAGAGGATGAGCAGTGAGGGACCTACAGAGCAGAACGAGCTTCCCAGAGCAATCACTGCACTTTGCTGACACAGAGGACAGATGGCACGTTGCACCTGCAGTGAACGCCACAGATAGGAGCCTCAGACCCTTCCCACTCCATCCAATGTCAAAAAGATATGGAAGTACCAGGATCCAAGATTATCCCGGGGAAGAGGAACAGGAGAAGAGCCTTGAAGTCACCTGAGTTTATACAGAAGATACAGATATAAACTGGAAGTTTCCTTGGCAAAATTGTTTTCCATTATAGTGGAAATGGGGGCTTTGGATACATGATAAATTCATTTAAGCCGCAATTAGAAACTTGAGTTTGTGACTGTTTTTATTCATTACCTATCTCTCTTACATTCAGTTTTAAACACTTTTAAAAGCATACAATATACTGTTGTTTGTTTTTAAAACATTTTTAATCCATAGGGCAATATCTTCTACATAACCATTGCTCAATAAATGCTGTTTTCAGTGTTTCCCAACCTTTTATTGGCAGAGCATATTTAGAGATTGGAACTTATATCGTGTGCTGGCTAAAATGGATGAGGCTGATGCACCCAGAGTCTCAGACCACCCCACATCTCACTAATGTACTTGAAAACTGAGGGAATCAATCAATGGTGGCACAGAGACAATCATTTCAAAGCATGTGATCTATTGCATTACTAAATACAATTCACATAGTGGATGAAACTCATTCATCTGCTACTTAATGTGGTACCACATACGTAACATCACATTTACTAAAGCATACACAAATATTGTTAGACAATGTCTGTGGTTTCTTGCTTATTAAAGCAATCTTGGGGATAGAAGAATATATTTCAAGTCTTTCAACGTCTTGCAAACATTTAGAAAAGTTCTGCTCACAAGTTTCTACAATGGTCTCTGATCTGTGTGGGTCAGCAAATCAGGCTGCTAATGCTACATACAATACAAGTCCTCAAGGAATTAATTTAGAATTTATGCCAAGTATGAGCCATGATTTTTTAAATGTTTCATAAATAATTAGTGACACTTTCCTGCTTAGCAATGGCTCCATGAACAAGCCCCTTAGTACACAGATATGTCAGAGGTCCTGTTTTAATCAATTACAAATAGGCTATATATTATTTTTTCTACTGCTTCTAAATGCCATAATTTTTTCTTTTTTAAAGTGTGCTCTTATTGCATTTGAGATTGTTTTATTACTTGAGAAAACCATTTGAGTCATTTTTAAGTCTAAAAGCATATTTTACTGAATGACCACACTGATGCTTTGATCTCTGATGAATAAATAATGTTTGTTTTTAATGACCTATTATTTTTCCAAGAGATCATGGAAATTGTAAAACATCTCTTGCTGCAACTTATGACAGTCATCTACAAATAAAGGTACAATATAGAACCATGCTAAACACAACAAAAATACTCCATTGCAAATTAGATAATAATATAATTTTATTCTAGAAGTTGCCTTCTCTAATTTCAACAGCAGATGGTAGGATCAGAAGGGCATGATGTTTTTTTAATTAGCCAAGAATCCAGCTGTATGGATTTGTTGATTTCAATGGAATGTTCAAATTACTGTGAAAAAGAAATTTAATTATTTCTTTTTATCTGAACCCCAGTTTAGTATATTACATACATAATATTTTAAAAGAGGCATTCCTATTGCTGTCAATGGTCTCTGGACACTAATAATTTCCAAGGACCTGTCCCAGTGCCGTCTTCTTCATGAAGCCTTCCCTGAGCCTTCCGACCCAGAAAGTATACTCTGCTTCTTTTCAACTGTAACAGCACATAGCATCTGGACCACTCATATAGCAACTATGATATGAATCCTTATAAAATGATTCAAGGAAAAGAATATTCATTCCAAAACAGAAGGGATATCAAAATATCTTAAATTATTCAATAAAGATTATGGCCATATTTAGGGACCTTTTATATCATTTGTATTTTGAAAATCTGTTCCCAAGGGAACCAGAAAGCAGAATATTGTTAGAACCAATGGAAATAGCAAAGTGCTTTAGCCATCATGATGTTAAATCTTTCATTTTAAGAACTCAGTTTATAAATATGTTATTTATTAATATATACACCAAAGAATTAATCTACATATGTATTTGTGAATTCAAAGCAATGTGGCTTGTTCTTTTGTGCAAAGTAGAGTTGTACTTAATTTGTCAACATTGAAATGCCTGTACTAAACCATGAAGTCATTTGTAATGAAAAGTGTATTTCTTAGAAACAAGAAATGCATTGACGATGCTTGACAGTATGTTTATAATCTTTAGTAAACACATCAGTTCCATATGCAGTTATTTACTTTTGATTTTTTCTTTTTATAAAATGAATTAAATTTTTATTGCAACCAATGGACAAGGCTTATTAATCCTAGTGCACAAATTGTAAAATACATGTTAAGAGTTTAGCACAATGGCTAGTTACCTCTAAGGGCCCAATCAAATGTTCCTATGATACAAGTCTCACTTGTTTGCATGTGACAGAAATCTATTTAGAACTGCCTGGAGGAACAAAAAGAAATTATCCAGGGGACATTAGTTTATTTCATGAAATCCAAGGAATAATTGGACAACCAAGTTAAGGGACAAACAAAGAAGCAACTGGACCTTGCAAAAAATTGAGACTGGGAACTTAACACCATTCGGTCACTACCCTGGATGCTGAATTTCTCCTCTTTCCTCACATTAGCATCATTCTATCTAGTTGAAGAATACCTTTCTCAACATATACTTTATCAACCAGCAATTCAACTCCTACATATTTCCTTAAGTGAAATAAAAATTTAATTTACACAAAACCATTTACATGAATTATAATAGCAGGCTTACTCATAATTTCTGCAAACTGGAAACAACCCAATATCCCTCTTCTGTGGAATGAAGAAGCAAACTGCGGTATATCTACATAGTAGAATATTATTTGGCGATAAAATAATAAACCATAATAAATGCAACAATATGGCTGTCTCTTAAATGCATGCCACCAAGTAAAAGAAAAGGGACTCAAAAATCTGCACACTGTATGATGCTATTTATTTGACATTCTTGTAAATGCAAAACTGTAGAGACAAAAGATTGCCAGGGATTGGGTGGAGGAAATTCTCAACTACAAAGACACACAGAAATTTTGAGAGTTGTTGTATTTGCTCCATATCTTAATTTTGGTGGTGATTACAAGCCTTTATGCATTTCTTGAAGTAACAGTAAGATGAACTTTACTTAATGTAAATTGTACTTCAAAAATTTTTGAAAACAAAAGGACAAAAATGGATTAGAAGGGAGTGACAAATATCAAAGAGAGAAAATGTTGAAGACATTGTCTTGGAAAAACAATCCAAGATATAGATCGCAGGAGTCCCTGAAATAAAAATCAAAGCAAGGGCATAGAATAAATACTAAAAACTATTATTCAAAAAAAAAACTTTCTTGAAGTAAAGATTTGAAATTGCATAGTAAAAAAACACATATATACCTGACAATTTGGTCTCTGAACTACTGTCACTAAGGTACACTATGGTAAAACTCCCGGATTCTAAAGGAAAAAAATTCTTTGGGCATTTTTTAAAACAGCATTTGTCTTATAAGGTAAAGAAAGTTAGATTGTCATTAAACTTTGGCAGCAATGCTTTCTGCCAGAAGAAAATGGAACAATATATTTGGCAATCTGAGTGACAGAATATGTATATCAAGGACTTTATGTCTAGCAAAACTGGCTTTCAAATATAAAGAGCATAAGACAAACCATTATCAACACTCAAGAATTCAGAGTGTCCTTATAAACACTTTCTGATGAATCTATTAAAGGAGTCTAACAATCAATATGTCTAGAGAAATATCTCCAAAAGCATTGATGGTGAGCATTTTAATTATAATTACATTTAGAACTAAAAATAAATGAGAAGTTTTAAAAAGGAAAAGAATATAGTATATAATTGTTGTATGCTCAGACCTTGTAGCTATAGCTCAACTACTAAAATATGAGCAAGAAAAGAGGATAGCATATGCAAAAATCACATAATTGTGCTCCATAATCATACTGAGAGTGGTCATATTGGTATTGTTATTCTGAAACTGTTACATTTGTAATGCAGAATAAAGAAAATAAGAAATTATAAAATATTTCAATCATCTATGTGTTTAAGGAAGGTTAAGTTAAAACCTTATAGTACTGATCCTGAATTAAAAATATCAACATAAACTTGTGAAGCATATTCTCTGTAAATATGTATATTTAAATGTATATTTTTGTGGGGAAGTGTGTTTCCCAGCTCTTTCTATATATTTAATTCCATTAAAATGCCTATAAACAATGACTATCCCAAAATAAATAATTGTTCCAACATTCAGATTTTAATCTTGAAGCCCAATTTTCTGCTAAAGTAAACCTGATTTTGATTTCTTGGAGAAAGCCTGATCCTAGAACTGAGATAGGAAATGCATAAAATAATCCTGAAGTACCTTGTCAAACCAAATAGAAAGGAAGCGACCAAAAATGACTTAGGTCATGTCAAAAACACTCATGAACCAATTGGAAGAGGGTTCCACTGGCCAAAGATGTGACAATTTGAGCTTCAACAAGATAATAATGCCAATAGATTAAAACACATCTATGAGTTCATAATGGTAGGGAAAAAAGACCAATAGGTTTCCAGAAGATGACTGGCAATATCTTGAAAAGTGATAAATTAAGGGTAATAATTTTGCATCTATATTGTCTTCCTTATATGAATTGTACCACTGGGTAACTACATAGTAGATGAGGAAAAGCAACTCTTCATAAAATTATCCTAGCTAATAAATGAAAATAAAATACTAGAATTATACTATCATCATTCTGCAACCTTTAATAAATTGATTATTCAAGACATTAACATTCATAATTGCTAGCATTATAATAAAAGAGAGAGACAGAAATTGAGAGAAACCAGCCATTCTGTGCCTTCTGATGAAAAAGAAAAAAAATGACCACCAATAGGTTTGCTAAAGGAATCAAACCTTAGCCCATCAAGCCTCTGGATCCACCTGTCACTCTGCAGGAAATCAGAGGGCAGAGGAATGTGTTGAACAGTACAGCACTGTAAGTATGAAACTGCCAAAATCCGGACTAGATAATCAGTAGGCCAAATGATCTAGGTTCCTCAACAAATGAATTCCAAAGAAAAAATAAAAAAGAGCCTGTATATTAAAAGATATAAAAGTCATAGCCAATATGCAACTAATCTGTAAGACTGTAGCTTAGGATTCACACTTAACTGATAAACCTGTAAAGAAACTCAAGGAAGTAATTAGTACAAAATCAAGATAGTGGTAACCATTGGGGAAATTTGGATTGGGATAGGGCACATGGATGGATTCTAGGATGGCAAGCAAAATTCCATTTCTTTTTTTTTTTTGAGACGGAGTCTTGCTCTGTCGCCCAGGCTGGAGTGCAGTGGTGTGATCTTGGGTCACTGCAAGCTCCGCCTCCTGGGTTCACACCATTCTCCTGCCTCAGCCTCCCAAGTAGCTGGGACTACAGACACCCGCCACCACTCTCGGCTAATTTTTTGTATTTTTGGTAGAGACGGGGTTTCACCGTGTTAGCCAGGATGGCCTCGATCTCCTGACCTCGTGATCCACCCACCTCAGCCTCCCAAAGTGCTGGGATTACAGGCGTGAGCCACCGCGCCCAGCCCAAAATTCCATTTCTTAACTCAGGTCATGGTTACAAGAGTGTTCATATTATATTAATTTATTAAGTTACATATATGTGTTGTGTTTGTGGTTTTATGTATATGTGTTTTATTTTAAAACTAAAAGGCGTAAGTCATATAGAAACCTGACATATACGTTCAAAAGGTTTTCTAGAGAACATAAACATGTAATAGCAGAAATCAATTTGGAAGAGGACAATATGGGATCATGTTCTCAATAAGTTATAAATATAAAACTTTGGTAACTAAAACATGATACTAGGAGAGAAATTAGTAAAGTGATCAATAAAACCAAAAAGAGAATGTGCATTTTTATATTCACGCACACGCACACACACACACACCCCTCCTTGTATGAGAAAAAAATTCAATATTTAATTCATATGTAATTAAACATACATTTAAATTTAATTTAAAATTAAATTAAATTTAAGATCTAAAATAGAAAAAGATAGCTATAAAGGAGTTAAATAAAAAGTAGCTTAGACTGGGGAGTTAGATGAAAGTGAATACTTAAGAAAGTCAAAAGGCCCAGAAAACACAAAGGAAAACATCAACGTATTTGAATAAATTTTTTTAAAGTCTTATGAAAGACAAACATTCATAGCTAGTTTTTAAAATTACAAACTAAGATAATATATTTATAGTTTATATGACTGGCAGGAGACTATTAGCCTTTACATACAAAGAAGGTATATGTCAATACAATACATCAGAACAAAAAAAAACAATAATTTAATAAAAAAATAGTCAAGGTCATGAATAGGTAATGCACACACACAAAAATATGTATGTGTATATATACACATATTATACACACATATATCCATATATAAAAATGATGCTGAACCTCACTAGTTGTCATATAAATGCAAATTAAACACCATTTACAATTTTTAACCTATTGGATTTGCAAAATATATTTTAATGAATAACCAATATGTGAGAGTATAAGAAAATTGAACATTTTCTTATTGAGAGTATAAGAACATTGTACCGTCATACAATGTTCTCTCCTTGTGGAAATCTTTGTTGACAGATACAGCTATTTTTGAAGCTACATAAATTATTCTTTTTATCTTTTTATGCTGAATTCTAGGTTAAATTTTTTGTTCAGTCTTCTTAATTACTGATTAAAAATATTCATCTATGATTTCTTTTCTTTTTTTTGAGATATGGTCTCACTCTTCCTCTGCTGCTGTCACTCTTCCTTCCACTACTGGGGTACAGTGGTGTGATCACGGCTCACTGCAGCCTTGAATTCCAGGGCTCATGTGATTCTCCTGCTTCAGCTTCCCAAGTAGCTGGGATAACATGCATGGTCCACCATGCCTGGTTAACTTTTGTATTTTTAGTAGAGACAAAGTTTCACCATATTGCCCAGGCTGGTCTTGAACACCTGGGCTCAAGCAATCCTCCCGCCTCGGCCTCCCAAAATGTTGGGATTACAGGTGTGAGCCACCATGCCCGGCCCCTGTGGAGTTTATTTTTATGAATTCTTGTTATTTTTAATAGTCTTTTATTGTTTGTCACATCAATTTTATCCCTTTAAGGATATTTTATCCCTTTAAGAATATTATTTATACTTCCTTAAAATCCTATTTTTCTTTAATTTGTTTGTTCTGGTGTTATCCACTAATTTTCATGGATTTGGTTATCACTAAATGTTTGGAAGTATTTTTTTGCCTGCTGATCTAGTTTTGCTTTTAAACATCTCATTATTCAGATGTCTGTGGTGCTTTTTTTAAAAAAAAACATAACTATCTCCAGTGATTGGGGGCGTGAGGTGGAAGCAAGGACTGCTTGCTGCTGAGTGTAGTGTCCAAGACCCATCTTTTGGATGTGGCCATATTCTCTCATCCAGGCAATGTAATTTCTGCCCATGCCACACCCGCTACAAAATCTGTGTTCAGCAGTGGATGAAGGAATTTGCTTCTGGAGCAGGATCAAGGACATGGGATGAATGGGAACATGGGCTGAAAGTGCGCAGTAGTGCCTGGATGGCTGGTGCCACCCTGTATAGAGAGAAAGTGCTGCAGCCAAAAAATGAGCTCTTGACTCTGCACTCAGCATCAAATACCATTGACCTATGGGGACCCCAGAGACCCTGCTGCTTCACATCTACATACTAGGAATGTGGAGCCCTCCCCAAAACCATTTTTGGCTATCTCAAGTGACTTTTGATGTATAGTTTCCTATGAATATGAGAATATCAGAAATTCCTCAAATTTTCTGTTCTTCTTCTTGTCTCACCTCTTGTATTCCAGAGCTATTGTGGATTTATTCCTTTTTAAACTATATTTTCTCTAAACCTAGAAGGAGACAAAGCATACCCATCTATTGACACTTACTTCTGTTTTTAATCCTTTTAAATTGTCATGATTAATTTTTGTGTCACAAAAGGAATACACTATTTTAATATCAAGTAAAACAATTCAACAATGTATAGATTTCTTCTTTACCCCTTTCTCTTCCTAGCCCCCTGAGATAAGTCTGATGGCCATGGAAGTGGCCACAGATTTTACTTCTAGAGAACCTGCTTAAGGAGCATAATTGGCTGACGGCTTCCACAGCAGGCCAAGGCCATGCTTCCCTCAGGCTGATCTCAGTCAACAACTGCCCCTAACCAATGAGAAGGTACTAGGTTCTGGCCATTTCTCTCTCACAGAGGACTCTTCTAATAGGCAATCTTTGCTCTAAGACTCCCTATCAGCCAAGACAGAACACTCTCCGAACTTTAGTCTACCTCTTTTCCTCTCTCATCCTCCTTACTTCTTTCTATTTTTTACAGGTGTCATGGCTGCATTATGGTCTAAGGTTTCTCCCTACCTCTCATACTTTTTCTCCCTCCTCCACCTCCCCTATATCTTTAATGGGCGTCTTACCCAATAAATCTCTTGCACATATAATACTGTCTTGATGTCTGCTTCTCGGAGGATCTGAACTGACATAGGTGGTACCAATAGTGATCTGAGAGAAAGAGTTGCTGGGCACGGTGGCTCACGCCTGTAATCCCAGCACTTTGGGAGGCCAAGGCGGGCAGATCAGGAGGTCAAGAGATTGAGACCATCCTGGCCAACATAATGAAACCTGTCTCTAATAAAAATACAAAAATTAGCCGGCCGTGGTGGCGTGCCTGTAGTCCCAGGTATTCGGGAGGCTGAGGCGGGAGAATCACTTGAACCTGGGAGGCAGAGGTTGCTGTGAGCCAAGATGAGGCCACTTCACACTCCAGCCTGGTGATAGAGTGAGACTCCCTGTAAAAAAAAAAAAAAAATAGTTTGCAGAATGACTCACTCACCTCCCTGCTGGCAAGGAAGGCCCTATCCTGAGTAGAATACGGCACATGGATAGCCCCTTGCACAAGATGGAGGCTAAATTGTTGAAGATTTTGCTGCTGATTATCTGAGAAAATGTCCCAGCAGAGAACAAAGCCCTTTCCAACGCAACACTTCAGACATTTGAAAGATGGGTGGGGAGGAAGTGATGAGAGGTGCCAACGCCCACAAGAATAGCAAAGCTGGCTGGTAGTTACCAAGCTGTAATGGTGCCATGCAAAAGGATAAGATATGAGGGTGGCAACAAAAGTTAGGGGTCCTCAAATATCTAGTATACAGTTATTGAGTTCATAAATGCATTGTTTTCCTATACTAAACATGTAAGAAAATCAGAGGCAGTATGGCATTCATGCGGGACAAACAATGATATTCATTTATAGTTTTGCCCCAGAGCTATATTAACTCTGTCACCCTTTGTCATAATGTGAATAGACCTTGAGACCTCTTACCCATATTTCATCAATTTTTCAAGCACAAATGTTTCTCAGATTGTTGCATTCTGTTGCTCAATGTTCAGAGTGGAAAGGGTTGTTTTTGTAAGTTCATCCAGCTTTACAGTTGTTTGTTTTTTTAAGGAGAGGATTTGGCAATCTTTCTTGGCAACAGTACTCCCCCCTTATCCATAGTTTCACTTTCCATGGTTTCAGTTACTCATGGTCAACAGCAGTTTGAGAATCTTAAATAGAAAAATCTAGAACTCAACAATTCACAAGTTTAAATTGCATGATTAAATCCCTCACTGTCCTGCTTAGTCTCACCCAGGAGGTGAATCATCCCTTTGTGCAGCAGGTCTGTATTTTCTATGCCACCTCCCCAATAGTCACTTTGCAGCTTTCTAGGTTATCGGATTGCACGGTACCACAGTGCTTGTATTTAAGTAACCCTTGTTTTATTTAATAATGGCCCCAAAGCACAAGGGAAGACATGCTGGCATATTGTTATAATTCTTCTATTTTATTATTAGTGTTGCTAAACTCTTCCCATACCTAACTTGGAAGTTAAACTTTATCAGAGGTGTATATATATATGAAAAATACATGGTATATATAGGGTTTAGTACTATCCACAGTTTGAGGTATCAACTGGGGCCCTAGAACTTATCCTTTGTGGATAAGGGGGAACTACTAAAATTAATAACACTCACTGAAAGCACCCACCATAGAAGAGGGACTAAACAAGTAAATAGAGAAAATAACTCAGTCAGTTTATGTTAACTAGCATTCATCATTGATCATCCCAGAAATAGCATTATGTACACATGAAGGGAGTGGTCACTGATTTTGAATATCCAATCCGCCAGCAACAAAAGCAAATGTTGATTTCATGATATGACACTAGTCTTTGAGGAAACCAACCGGACACTCTTGGCCAGCTGGCCATAATGGGTCTCTTCATACTGGAAGCACCAATAGTTAATCCTCATAGGGATAAATATATATACCAGATAAAGTTTTCATTACTTTACAGAGCAGAGGCCAGCCAGTTCTTCTCACAGTGCTTTAGCCAGTACCACTATTTGAAGAGTTATAGATTTTTCATTCTGCAAGCATGGAATTCCATACATGTAGCATCTGACTAACGTATGAGCTTTCAAGAGAAAGAGGTATGCCATCCAGAAACATCAGGCCTCATAGAATACTGGGACATCCTACTGAAGATAAAGCTGAAGCACCACCTTAAAGGCAATATCCTACAAGAAAAGGATGCCATTCTTCAGAATACAGCGTATGTATTAAATCAGAGACCCCACATGGTCTTCCCATATGAAGAATACAAGAGATTGGGAATCAATGGTGGAAGCAGGAGTGACTCTACTTTGCCTCACTACCAATGATCTACTGGAGGGCCACATTAAATATTCTGTTAATATTGCCAATTAGGATTTTCACAGCATTTATTTCCTGAAAAAAAAATGTTGCAAAGTACTTATTATAAAGATATTCTGCTTCCTCTAACAAATATTACTAATTGGTACTATCATGTATACCTTCCAAGCTGGCTATACCACAACCTACTATAGAGAGGAAATCAATATAGCATGATTTCTTCTTGGAATTCATTCAGGAAGCATAAGCCACGAGCAGAAACAAGAGATCATGTGCTCTTCTATAACTAACTGGCTTTTGAGTGTGGCCATGCAGACACTGTTTCAGAGACAGCTCTGATTCAGTCATAATCAATTTATCCAGTATATTAGTCATTTTGGAAGTAACAATAGCAAAATGACATTGACTTGCATAAATTAAATATTGTTTGTCATTTTAAGACACCACACATCAAATAATAGAATTTAAGTGAAACTGATTTAATATATACCCATAAGATGGCCTCCTGTTTTTATGATTATCTTAAAAACAGTAACTCTTCCATTTGTAGCTTTCACTGGAGCTTCATGACAACCTTGGAGCTAGGTAGAACAAATATTACTACTCTCATTTTAAAGATCAAGAAACTGAATCCAAAAAAAAATTTGTCTGACTGATAGTAGGGAAAGAAGCCAGCACTTTAATACATGTCTTTCAACTCATTTCTTTCTAAAGAAACAAGAAATTTAAAAGCAAATATTTGGAATCAGAAGTAGATTTCTATTCTGAGTCTGTAATTACTAGCCATGGAAACAACCACTGAATTATCTACTCTATACTTCAATTCAACATCTTAAATGCCATTAGTCAGAAAAGGATAAGAAAACAGCCATGCACTGAATGAAACCTATTGTTCAATTATCTGTATATTGAAAATATACCAAGGGTTGTTCTTTAAAGTGTTTATTCATGGTGTTTCTCTAAAACACAATGTTTCTCTCTACTTTCCTTCTGTTAACAAGATGCCTCTGGGTCTCCTGAAAATTTACTGTTGTGTGATTTATCCTTCCACCACTACCCAACAGGACAGCTAAAGCTGGGCCAGACAACTGGTACTGTGTTGTGAAGCTGCTAAAAGAATAAAGCTCTGTTTCGCTACCTCTATTATCTTTCCTCTCTTCCAAAATATCCATAGCCAATGGCAGAACTGCCCTGCCAACCCTATTCCACCCCTAATCCCACCTCCAGTATCTAAACCCTCAATTTTTTGGAGTTGTATAAAGATTAGCCCTGATAATGAGTCAGAGTCATTCACAAAGTTCCTTTCTTACTATTTCTCCTCTCTTCTTTTCTCTTTGGCTAATAGGCTCCTCTACATTCTGTCATTCTTTAAGGAACATTAACTCTGATCAGTCTAACAAACATTCCTAGAGTTCCTTCCATGCTGCCAATACTGAGGCGCTAAGAATAGAAAGATATCTACAGCACAGTCTTTATCCTTAAGATTACAGTTTATTAGAGAAGAGAGATAATTAAAGGAAACATATCACTATAATTCAATACATACAGTGGTTAAAGATAAGCTTAAAGTGTTATGGAAGCAGAGAGGAGGAACAACTCACCACTCTGTGGGTGGGAATTATGTTAATAAAAGGCTACAAGAAGAAATGAAATCTGATCTTGTAGCATGAGTACAAATTAGGAGGTGAATAAGAGTGTTACAGGTGAAAAATTAATATGAGTAATTGCATAGAAACATGAAGCCACAGGTTTTGTTCAGGTTACAAGCAGCTGGGTATTTCCAGCACTTACAATGAGCTTCAGTTTTGGACATGTGCATTCATGGTGCCTGTGGGACAATTAAGTGTAAATGTTTATCAAGAAGCTTAAAAGGAAAGTCAAAATTAAGTATTTGGCAGTCATCAATAGTATAAGATGAAGAAAAATCAAATAAGATAAGGAGGAAGTGGGGAACGTTGTTATTTTATAGAGAGTGGCCTGGAAGTTCTGCAATTTTAAGATTTTTTTTTGAGTAGAGATTTTAGTAAGTGAGAAGGTGAATCATATGAATGTCTTAGGAAATAGTTTTTTGTTCAGAAGAAACAGCAAATTCCAAAGCCCCGAGGTAAAGAGTCTACTTGATATATTTGAAGAACAATAAGGAACCAATATGAATGAAGAATATTAAGAAGGAGAGTGGAAGGAAGTGATATCAGGGACACAACAAGGGACCAAATCAAGTAGAGCCTTAATGGCCATTGTATGAACTTCAGCTTTCACTCTGAATAAGATTAGAAACCATTAGAAGTTTAGATTGGAAAAGTAATATGATTTAAGTTGTAAAAGACCTACTCTGGCTATCTGCAGAACCTACTTATTGGGCAAGGGAAAAAAAACACAGAAATGAATTAGGAAGCTACCCTATTAATTAAGGAAGGAATGATGGTAGTTTAGAGTGGTAAAAAAATGGTAGGACCCTGGGTACATTTTGAAAATAGAGCTAAAAGATTTTCTGCTTGAGTGTGTAAGAACAGATGAAATTAAGGTGCAAAAGATAATGAGAAGTCTCAAAAAAGAAGAACCAAACCATAAGAAAGAAAAAGAACAAGGTAAGAATATTGACAGGGAAGAAGTATGTTTACTGGTTTAAAAGTTTAAAGAAGGAGAATGCAGCAATGTTGTCTAAAGCAGCAGAGTGAAAAAAAAGGATAAAAGTATCTCGTTGGACTTAACAATTTTGAAGTCATCATCCTTTGCCAAAGCACTTTCAATGAAGTGGGAAGGGAGAAATCAGATTGCAATGGTTTGAAGGATGGACAGTGAAAGAAGGAATGAGAGATAGCACTAATGTTACCTGTCAAACTCAACAGAGGGGAAAGAAAAGGGTTGTACCAGCTAGGTATTTGGAGTAAAGAGAAGATTGAATCATTCATGTGTTGTGATGTGATTCACAACCAGGAAGGATCCATGGTAATCTCTTTTAATCCCAAGCTTTAGGAACAACCCAGTGGAATGGGTCAGTTCCACTTTCCAGTCACTAAGATTTAAATGTCAATTTTCCTTGAAACCTGGGTCAGGGAGAGAATTTCAGAATAATAATGTATAAGTATTCAGCAAACATCCACATAAAAGCATTATAACACATTAGTTTACAGAAAGAAGTTACCAAAGCATTATCTAAACTTTTTTCTGAAAACACGGCTAATGCATTACATCTGTGTGGCATCTTATTCAGTTGTACTAGTATCTGGTCTCATCAGATAACCTAATTTGATAAATCATCTGTTCAGCTTCAACTTTTGCTTAAGTAGATACAAAATTAACTCTATATAATGAGTATGCATCTTACTTTTGCTCATTTAAATGAGATTTGTACAGATTGAAAGATCATTTAATTATAGTGATCTCAATAAGACCTTAATATTGAACTGTAAACCCAGTATATCATATGCAGATTATGCAATCTCCTAAATATTAACACATTAACTTGTATTTTTAAAATGTCCTTCCATTGACAGAAAACATCATAGTCACAGAACTTTTAAACTGGAAGTTCTAGAGACATCAAGTTCAAACAAGTTCATTTATAAATGAGGAAATCGTAGCGCAGGAAATCTTCTTGATCAGCTAACTTTACACAAACATTGACAGAAACAAGAGGCAAATCTAGAGTCCTGGATTTCTGGTTTTCTTTTCATTATGGCAATCTATAATTCTTCTGTGTATTCCTTGAAAAAAGTACTGGGATATTACTACCAAAATTAAATATCTAAAGGTTTTGATCCCTTCCTATATGTGGCTGTAGACATTGTGCCAAGTCTTTACATAAATGATTTCACTCAATCTTCATAACCATTCTAAGATGTAAGTACTATTAATACCCCATTTTATAGCTGGAGAAACTGAAACAGAGACATTGCATAACCTTTCCAAGGACACTCAGGTAGCAAATGACAAAACTGGAATAACTTCCCAGGCTCAAGGCAGCCTGCTTATTTCTTGATGTAGGCTAAGCATTTCTCAAAATTCAATTCAAAAAGTATTCATTGAAAGGCTGTTATGGATAAGATACTGTCTTGGGAGTTGAATAAGATATGTATGATACAGAGCTTCAAGACCTACAAAAAGACAGATGTGTACATTACTAATTGTAATACCAAAAAAATGGGTAAAGGGTAAAGTTAAAACAGAAAAAAAGTAAAGTGCACAGAAGAGAAAGGAATTTCAGGAGCCAGGAGTGAGCAAGAACATAAAAATGGCCAATTCTACCTTATAACCTATTGAAAATCTTCTTTGGACCAGTCTTTTACCATAAAAGCCCAATAGATATAGAAATATTTCCTTTTGGTAGTCTTATATATGTGTATCCAATTCAGCTTTTTTTTAATACCATACACAACACAGCTATTTCTTTTTTTTTTTTCCTTTTGAGACGGAGTCTTGCTCTGTTGCCCCCAGGCCAGAGTGCAGTGGCGTGAACTCAGCTCACTGCAACTTCCACTTCCTGGATTTAAGCGATTCTCCTGCCTCAGCCTCCCGAGTAGCTTGAATTACAGGCAGCAGCCACTATGCCCGGCTAATTTTTGTATTTTTAGTAGAGACGGGGTTTCACCATATTGGCCAGGCTGGTATTGAACTCCTGACCTCAAGTGATCCGCCCACCTCAGCCTCCCAAAGTGCTGGGATTACAGGTGTGAGCCACCACGCCTGGGCGCTACTTCTATGTTTAGGACTCAAATAATTTTTTTAATGCCTATGGTGCAGATGGTAAAAAATATTCAATAAATAAATCAGCTGTGCGAAAGCTCTCTTAATATATCAAATCATCTTTACAGAAAGTTATTAGAGGCCTCAAAGTCTTCATAAAATAATCCATTCACATTCACTGTCCACTTAAGCAGCAACCTCTAAATTTATGAGTTGCTGAAAAGTCATAAAACTTGCTGAGTATTAATTTCTTAGATGACCCTGGTCTGGTAAGAAAAGTGCAAACAAGAGTCAGAGGAGGGAAGTTAACTCCTGCCAAATACATTCCAGACTATTCAAGAATCACTGCCTTCTCAGGGCAACATGCTTTATATATGCTTATGTTACCATTTACTAAAGATCAGGGAATATGTCTATGGTTGTTGTTTAAGGTCTCGCATTTTAGCTATTTTTTTCTGCAACTACACTTAATCAAATATAGTTTGTTTTCAAATGCCCAAGCTGTATAAGAACTGTGTATGTAAAAAAGTCAATGGAGAAACCATTGCTTTTTTCATTTTCATACTATAAATGTTACTATTGCAAACTAATTTGTACAATCACTAAGTGTTAAGTGTCTGGTGGTGAAGATAGTATTAAGTTTCTTTTTCATTTTAGGAGTGGTCCATTTGTCTTCACAAATCCATGGTCTATCCAAGCTGCCATTTTTTTTAAATTGTTTTTTCTAGTACTGGACAAGGGGAGTTTTACATCCCTTCCCAGTAAATAGAGTTCCTATCATTAAAAAGGTGAGGTACAACCAAAGAGTTCTTGGCATGTAGTGCTTGACCAAACTCCTCCAGAATCTCTCAGAAATAAAAGAAGGCTTGAAGTATCTTTCGTAGATCAATGTTGGTCAAACTCCCTTCATTTGCATACTGCTGTCATGACTTGTGTCTTTAAAGTCTAGATGCTTATGTACTTAATATTTTAGTTTAAATGGAATCACTATTTTTACTTAAATAAATTTATTTTAAGATAAAAACTCCCTATCACTATTGTAAGGGAAAAATCAATATCATGTGTCATAAAATGTGTCAAAACAACTAGCTAGATGCAGTTGCTTGCCAAGGCCAGCTCTCTAATTATTAAATAGAGAGATCAACACGTGCTAGAGAGCTCTTAAGTACATATTAGCACCACATTGACTTGTTTTTTTCTGCACACTAATTAGAAGAAAAAATTGCAAACAGGGTGCTTCTCTTTCTGTGTGGCTCAGTGTTATTTAATGCTGTGCCCATTTACCTTCTAATTTCATATTAAATACTCCAAGGAGCCAAGTAGCACACTTTGAAAGACTGTTCTAAATTATCTGAAATTTCCTAAATGCAAACCCTGCCACTTCTAACTGATCCAGAATAAGAGTTCAGTATCACTCTTATCATCTACAACCTTCTCTGATCATTCCCTTTCCCCACATCACCCATGCTAAATCTATATTGTGTTTTTTCTCAGAGCAGGACTAGTCTGATTGTCTAGAAATTGTTTCCCAGCTCCACCACAGGCTAGCAGTCACTATTACCTAACAACTTTCTGGCCTAATTCCCATATTTTAAAAAATGGGTGGCCCCATATATATTCATATCTCTTTTAGATTTGAGTTTTTACCTTAATTAGGTAAAAGAGTTTAGTCATTTCTCACAAATAAAGAGATGACTAAAAAGGCCTGTCTTTCTTGAACATCTACTGTCCTGAACTTTAACAATCATTTTAACATGAATTATTTTCCTTTATTCTCCATGTTAGTAACTCCACATTCCATTTGGAAACAAGATTCATGTTCTCAGCTCCAGAATAACTAAATTATTCATTCTGGTTTCCACAAACTCTAATTTGGGTTACAATATTTTTCTAATCCACAATATCATTAAACTATAAAATTCCCATAGTAATTTTTCTATTAAAAAATCAAATAATGCCAGCACAATTCATACTTTCTCTTTGAAACCACAGGAAGAGCTTTGTGACCTTTCAAAGTTTTAGTAGTTAAATTAAGTTTTATTATAATCCCCTTCCCAATTATCCTATTTTTAAAAAAATCAAATTCAGCATTGTTGAAAACCAGAAATACTCAACACCAACATAAAATATGAGTCAGTAGCCAAGGCTTGATGTAGTATATGCACTTGTCATTTCTTACACAACTAAAATTTTACCAGGATATTTCCTAAATATTACATGTGATCAAAAGTCTTTTCACTCATTTTATGGGTTTTAAGAGGCTCACCATAATTTTGCTTATAGCTCTTCTTTCTAATACAGTTGGGCACTACCTTGATAATCCATCAAATAATCTAAGATACAAAACAAAGGACTGCTGGCTGGTAAGCCACTGAGGGACCAAGCCACGAGTCACCCAAAAGCCATCAGAAACTGTACAAAATAACAGGTAAAGGAGAAAATTTCTAGCTAATGCCACAAGAAAACTAGTAGTTCTATGTAGACATTAAACACAAAACCCAGCCATATTTGCACAGAACTCTATACTAGGGTGTTAGCCACTTTTAGACAACTTATTCTTTCTCAAATTAATAAATGGCATCTACATTTGATACAGCCAATGATTAAAATTAAAATTAAATATGCATTGTATTGACATGACCCAAATATCAATAATTCATTAAAATGGTCTCGAACTGAGGGATCTTTTTTTTTGTTTTAAATAGAGGAAAAATTGCAAGAAAAAAGTAATTAGATGATAGATATGGTATTCCTGTGGTGAACTATTGCAGCAGCTCATCATATTTACCCAGGTATCTCTTTAAGGTCTTATTTGTGAAAGTTTGTGATAAAACCGAAAAGAACTTTTAAATTCATTTGGCTTTTGAGATTATCACTCTATTTAACCTTGAAAGCTTTTTGCATTTTCTCATGTCTTTGTTTGCTTTCAGCAATTTATCTTCATTTTAACTTTAATCCATTTTATATCGCCTGCCTCATCTTTGATCCACAAGGTTTAACCTTTTATTTTCTTTTTTTAATCTGCTGTGTCTACGGTGTGGTAAGGTGGGGATAACAAAGCCTTCTGTCTCCTGTTTATAAAGGGGTATATAATATAATTAGCTTGAATAGGTTATATATACATAAGTGTGTGTGTGTGTGTGTGTGTGTGTGATTAAACAATGTGTGTGTGTGCATGATTAACCAATGATCATTTTATCTATTAGATTGAAAGCTGGTATCAAAATGATACTTGTTCCATATTAAGTAGCAATTTCACATAGGATTTTCAACACTGATCCTGTCAGTTACACTATCCTCAAGGTGACAACATTTTGTCTCAAGTGGCCTAAGGATTTCAACATTACTTCTGACAAAAGTGGAAGCAAACACTTATCAATTTTTCTATAAGAACCATGAAACTACCATTGCAGTGGCTGTCTTACATCTTTGCATAGAATATCAATAGTTTAGACTAGCTTTGCACAACTAGGATCATTTTTTACATTAGGTATTACAGACACAGACAAGAGACTCTTTGAGCTTTCCAAGGGCCTGAAAATAATTATATATCAGTGGCTACAAAATTTAAAAATTAATGAGATATTTGAGTAATAGCTGCAAAAATGTTATGTCACCTGTGACTCAATTCACATACAAACATAATAAAATTTAAATCTCCAGGGCAAAAGAAATAACTAATTCCATTAAAGTAAAATTATCTTAAAATTTTTTATCAAAAATATATTTAATGTGATGATTCAAATATTTGCATTAGAATTAGAATCTGTTTAATATGATAAGTGGGGTCTGCCAAAGCAAGCATGCCTGGGACAAATGTGATCACTATAGATCTTTATTTGCATGTCAGTAAAACAGTAATTAGAGACTGTGAAACACAGAATTTTGTAAGGCAACAAAAATATCTGTATGAGAACTAGTTGTAGGCTGGAAATTACTTTCTCACAGACATTAAATCAGATAAATTAGGATTTTCCAGAAATCTTACCCAGTGAAAAGAAAATCCCAGGAGCCTTGGGTCTTATTATAATTGGTCTTATTCCTATCTCATTTCTGAAAACAACATGAGTAGGACAGCTGTACTCTAAGATAATTAAAGATGGTTTATACTATTCTGAAGTTATCATGGGTATCAGTATATCTATGATTTTTTTTCCAGCAATTGAAGCTTGCCAAAGATATACCATAGCAGAGACACTCAGAAAATGTGCCCATAAAGTAGTAATTGCTTCATATTTGTTTAACAACTTGGAGTGTCTGACAATGACCCCCTTACATTTTTTACCTGAGAAAAATCAGAGCAGAAAATTCTCAGCAGAATGTCATGAGCTTTTAAGGATCAGACTTATAAACTACCTTATATCAAACCACCACATCCTATTACAGTTCCACACCTTGTTGAAGGCCCAATATAAACTTGGGCTTGAAATCAAGCACCCCAGTGTTACAAGCTAGCCTGTTTCTCACAGTAACAATTCCACAGAGAGAAACTGCTCTCACTTCCTAACGGGTTTGAGATGCTGAAATGTAACTGCTTCTCTTCAGTAATTTTCCATCAAATGTGCAAGATACACCTTGACAGTGAAACATCGTTTCTCATTTACCTCTTCAACAAGATTGAAATATTCCTTCTCTATAACAGGACATTCATTTTACTTAAAGAAAACCAGGGTTGATCTCTGTGGTTTCATTTCTTTTTCCAAATACTTTCTCATTTAAAAAATATACCCCAAACAAACAAACAAACAAAAAACACATAGATTTTTTAGCTCGTAGGAACTGATAAGAACAATGCTTTTTAACGTGCTACCAGTATCTCAAAGTGATATGCAATTTGAGTTGTTCTGAGTCAGCCACTTTTAGTGGCTAGCTTTCTTGGCGACCACCTATCTAGTTGCTGAGAATACAGGCTGCAGTAATGAACACAATTTAAAATCATGCACTCATTGTATGGATTACCAAATCAATGTGTATGAAACCTGCCGGGAACTCAAAGTTTTTGTTTAAAGTAAAACATTTCCAGTAGTAGAAAGGGAAATAATTTTGGAAAGTTGAAATCAGAGTGATGAACTATAGCACAATGTTTCAAAGCTCTGGCTGCCATCATCCCTATCAGAGTTGTTACACTGCAATATGAATAAAAAGCCCATCCCACTTATGAATCAATTAGAAGTGAGATTAGGGATGAAGTTCATTCTGACCTACAAGTCCTTGTATAGGAATTTGTCTTTGTCAAACAGCCAGTGGTTTTATTTTCCCCAACTGCTAATATCTTGTTCCAGTATAATAGTAGGTTGGGTGATAAATAATGAGAAAGGCATTTAATCTTTAAGGTTTCCACATAATAAGTTTCAGTTAACTAAATGATTCCAATGGCCTGAAATATTCCAAAATTTCCTGGGAAAGGATTTAAAAAATGATATATAACATTTATTTAAGTTTACATCTATAAAAGAAGAATCTAGATTTCACCACATTCAGGATAAACCTCACTATTAGAACCAGGTGAGAAGTAGTCTCATCTGAAAGAGTGAATAACTATTCTGTTCATCTATAAAGAACGTGAATATTTTCTAACTGCAAAAGAGCTAGAGGTTAGAGCAGCACAGCTGGCTGAGACTTAGGAGCCAGTCAAGCCCAGCTTTTTATTTGCATAAATTACTTAAATTCTTTGCACCTCAGGTTCTTTGTCTGTGAAATGGGACAGGAATAAAGGCAATAACTGCTAGACAGTGGTTCCTGCAGTGCATCCTGAAATATCCTGGGTGCTCATGTTCATTAACTTCATATCACACAATAATTATACAAGATTAACAAAACATTTCCAATAACTATTTGGAAATTCTGCTTCAATAAATTATATAAAACCATTTTGCTTTCTGGGTGCCAATTTTTTGTGACTAGACATTTCCAGAGTCTAAAAGGTTGTTTGTTGTGTATGTAGATTAAATAAATTTTCTCCCTTGCAAACTTATTTATACTTTTCATCTGATTACCAAAAGCAGGAAACAAAACAATAAAAGACTTTATTTTTCATCAACATTTCCAAATTCAGTATGGCAGAGTGAAAAAGGATGGACTATGGGATCAGAAATCGTTGTGTTAAAAGCCTAGTTTGGCTGTAAACATGTTCAAGACACTTGAGAGGTTTGAGCTTCAGTTTCCTCATCTGCCAAACTGGGGTAATACTGCTTTGAAAAGTGAATGAGCTGGCCGCGCACAGTGGCTCACACCTGTAATCCCAGCACTTTGGGAGGCCGAGACGGGCGGATTATGAGGTCAGGAGATCGAGACCATCCTGGCTAACGCGGTGAAACCCCGTCTCTACTAAAAATACAAAAAATTAGCCAGGCGTGGTGGCAGGCGCCTGTAGTCCCAGCTACTCAGGAGGCTGAGGCAGGAGAATGGCGTGAACCCGGGAGGCAGAGCTTGAGCGAGCTGAGATCGCGCCACTGCACTCCAGCCTGGGCGACAGAGGGACACTCTGTCTCAAAAGAGTGAATGAACTAAGCAAAAACAATATGTGCAGTGTGTGTGTGTGTGTGCGTGTATGTGAAATTATATATATTTAAAATTATACACATATATGTATATAAATCTGGCAAGGTGTTTCCAATAATAACCCCATAAATCTATATGTTTTTAGATCAAGAATTTACAATTAAGAATGGATTAATAAAATATTTCTATGCAGCAGTTAAGTTCGTGGTTAGTGCTCAGTACCTTCAATTTTATCTATATAAGCTATGATACCTAGGTCTAGATATTTTTAACTTAAGACTCTCTTCTATAATGGCATGCTAAGAATCTACATGGGATAAGATATTTTTGTCCAAAGCTAAATTCCAAATAGTGCAAAAAAAATTGTAAATAAAACAACTGCTACTAGGATTCTTAATTTTCAGGTTGACTCCAACTCCTAGAAAGTACCCAATTAGCAGTGGTCTGTATTCCTTCCTTGGGGTATTATGGAAATTAGAGATTTAAAAGATTTTCTATGCAATGTCCTCACTTGCCGCTGAATTCCTTTTTCCCCCCAGAAAATAGAAAGGAACTAAATGTAAGAACAATATCAATTATTTGGCTTTTACAGTTGAGAAATTGCCCTTGTTTTTAGAAAGGTCGTTGTAGAACTGTCAAGTGATAATATTTGTTTAATGGTTCATGGACGTTTCTTAAAGATGGCTCACATGAACATTTCTGCAGAGTCAACATTGGGAATTGTCTGACAGGTCTTCCCACACATAGCCTTGTTCTTCTATCCAGCTGTTGATTTTCTGTGATGTGGTTCACACTGCTTAAAAAACTCAGACCCCGAGAGCTTCTTTATATGCCACATTACTTTTTGTCCCATCCCTTTGTTTTGTTTTCTTTTAGCAATTATTATGTTGTTCATGTACTTGTTTCCTTGATTAATAAATATGATTAGCTTGTGTACTAGTCCGTTTTTGCATTACCATAAAGAAATACCTGAGATTGGATAATTTATCAGAAAAGAGGTTTAATTGGCTCATGGTTCCACAGGCTGTAGAGCAAGCATGTCAGCCTTTGCTTCTGGGGAGAGCTCACGGAGGTTTTACTCACGGTAAAAGGCAAAGCAGGAGCAGGCAACTTACATGGCAAGAGCAGGAGTAAGAAAGAGATAAGGAGGAGATACTACACCGTTTTTTGTTGTTTTTTTTTTGAGATGGAGTCTCACTCTGTCTCCCAGGCTGGAGTACAGTGGTGTGATCTCAGCTCACTGCAATCTCCACCTCCCAGGTTCAAGCAATTCTCCTGCCTCAGCCTCCTGAGTAGCTGGGACTACAGGCGAGTGCCACCACACCCGGATAATTTTTTCTATTTTTTTAGTAGAGATGGGGTTTCAAAGTGTTAGCCAGGATGGTCTCGATCTCCTGACCTCGTGATCCACCCGCTTCGGCCTCCCAAGGTGGTGGGATTACAGGCATGAGCCACGGCGCCTGGCCACTACACACTTTTAAACAATCAGATTTCATGAGGACTCATGCACTATGGCAAGGACAGCTTCAAGTGGATGATGCTAAACCATTCATGAGAAACTCACACCCATGATCCAGTCACCTCACACCAGGGCCCACCTCCAACATTAGGGCTTATAATTCAACATGAGAGTTGGGTGGGGACAAAGATTTGAACCATATCAGCTTGGGATTATTGCCTGGTTTATTCACCAATGTTCTGTTAATGTCAAGAATATTGGGCGCGGTGGCTCACGCCTGTAATCTCAGCACTTTGGGAGGCCGAGGTGGGCAGATCATGAGGTCAGGAGATCGAGCCCATCCTGGCTAAAACGGTGAAACCCCGTCTCTACTAAAAATACAAAAAATTCGCCTGGTGTGGTGGCAGGCACCTGTAGTCTCCGCTACTCGGGAGGCTGAGACAGGAGAATGGCGAGAACCTGGGAGGCGGAGCTTGCAGTGAGCCAAGATCTTGCCACTGCACTCCAGCCTGGGCGACAGAGCAAGACTCTGTCTCAAAAAAAAAAAAAAAAAAGAAAAAAAAATTGCCTGGCCTATAATAAGACTTAATAATTACTAATTGAAAAAGTAAATCCAGATACCCAATATACATAGTGGAAAGGCTAAGCACTTACAAAAGCATACTGCCTTCCTAGGCTTTCATCAAGGTATGATTCTACCTTCCTTTACAAGTTGTATTTTCCTCAAAAAAAAAACCCACAAATCTAACAATGTGGTACTGCCTTTGGCTCAGTCCACCTCAGGCCATAGTGAAAATAGGGTGCCACTTATCCAGAAAGATAGTAACAAAAACAGGTTCCATTAGGATCAAAACCACATGCAGTCTCATAAAGTGAAAGCCTGAAAAAACAATGTCAGACAGTAAATCTATGTTTTAGCAAAGCTGGCAGAGATTTCTTCGCTAGGAAAAAAAAAAATGCAGGACAAGCTTTTGTTAGATGGTAAAAATAGACAACATCATCGTGATAGTGATCCAGCATGAGGCATAGCTGTAAAGTACCCCTCCTGAATTAATTACTAGAGAGAGTGCAATTTTTGAGACTGTTGTACAATTTGCACTTCAAGGATTTCCTTACCTATATACAAAATAACTTTTATTTATCATTATCCAACTAACCATATATTATTAATATTTTGGTATGTCTTTCTAAGTTGCCTCCTGTCACAACCCTTTTAAATGCACCCAGGCTACTGGCTGCAAACATTTTCTGGGAGCACACAGAAACCTGGACAAAGCCACACGACCCTAATATCCACATTTAGTACCAAATGTTGTCCCATTTTCAATTAACTTGTTCTTCTAGTCTTTTAACTCTCATTTGTCTACTTAAACTTGCCTCAGACCCTCCCTTCATCTGTAATCTGCATTTTCCTTACACACCATTGTATTTTTCAATTTTTTGTGTATCTGCTTCTCTCCCACTAAAGACAGACTCTCCTGGTTTCCAACACATTAGAGAGGGAGAGTTCATACCTCTTCAACAGCCTTCAAAAGAATGTTGCCAATCATGCAATGGATTTTGGGTATCAGGTGGGTTATGCTGCATTCTAATTTCTTTGACCATTGACAGCCTCATTACGGTAACTGTAATAATTCTCGTTTAACTGGAGAATGTCTTGTTGTAATAATATTCTGCTTTGTTTTATCTCACTTTTTGCATTGCGAGCTCTTTGAGGGCAAGGATCGTGTTTTACTCAGCTTGGAAGGCTTTGCATCAGCTAACACAATGCTGTCTACCTACTACTTTTAAAGAGTTGTTAAATTAACTGGATTGAATTAAATTCTTGACAAATGAGATTTTTTAAAAATTTTACTGTCAAGTTTTAATTTCTAAGTGATATGCTTCCATATGTGTAAAATAAAGAACTCTTATTTTATAAATATGTTTTGTTTTGGATAACCTTATAATTCATTGAATAATTGCTGCCTAGTTAGAAAAATCAAACTTGAAAACAAATATAAGCAAGGCAACATTTTCAATTGTTATACAAGTTGATCCTGATAGTATGCATTAGAATCACCTAGGAATATTTAAAAAGGGGAGGCGACTAAATCTCAGATGTACTTCCTGAGTACTGAACTGGAATCCCAGCTGACACAGACATACATCCATGGTAAGTACCACCGATAGAAGCAGAGGCAAGTATAATTAAAGAAATTAGGAAAATCAAGATACCTTACAGAGATACCATGAAAATCAAATGAGCTTCATTTTGAGAAAAGGCATCATAGACTGAAAAATGCTGTAAAATACTAATGGCCATTATCATAACCATCACTGCTTCTAGTAGGGATTTTCAGGTAGCTGCCTAGAAGAAAAGTTTTTGAGCTTTGCTTCAGGGATACACTGCTTCTGAGACAGACCACATTTTTTAAACAGCCCATGAATCTTCACTTTTTCACCGTGATTAATTTTTGTTTACTTGATACTTTTTCAAATCAGTCCAACCCTTAAAAAGCACCACTCTTTTTCTGATTTATAAAATTATCCTCTTTAAAGCTTACTTCAATTCCAATCCATTCAAGTGCTTCTAACTTGGTACATTTTTCTTTTTAATTTTTAAAAAATTCATAAAAGGGGTACATACTCATCTCTTAGACAACATAAATTACAGAATAATATGTGGTATTAGTGTGATTCAAGTCCTCAGACATTAAATAGTATCAATCACAACTTAATCTGTAAATATGAAAATGTCTATTATATGCAAAATAATTTAATAGCTTATTGTTTTGCTTCAACATGAAACTTTGCCAGATTCTATTTGGACTATGCCATAATTCTTAATTAACATTCTTAGGTTCCACAACATGGTTCAAAAACAATGGTAAATCATTACATTACAGACAGTGATTTCTCAATTAATTTCTAAGCACCAACAGCAATTCTGCTATTTCAAGCTGCACTTAGATCATAAATTATTCTGTGGGCCCTGTTGCTTGTACCAAATAAATGTAGAGTTACTCATCTATATGAAGATGGCAATTTGGCAAAATATTTAGAGCACAAGGAACAAAAGTATTACCTCTTCTTGGTCAGGACCCTCTTGCAGCTGAAAATGATGATGAAAAACTCACCAAATAGTCCCTGAAACAGTTGTTGAAAACCTGCTTTATCTTCAGCAGTCACCTGAGAAGAAACTAGTTAACAGCTTGACAGATTCAAGACAGGAACAAGCAACTTCCCTTGGCACTATTTTAAATTGCTGCAAGGGAGGGCGAATCAGTGAAACTGGGGTCAGGGGAAAAAAGTAATAATTGCTTGTTAGAAAAGAAGAGGTATGCAAGAGACAATACTAAAAAAACAGTTACACGTCCAAAATAGGCATTAAAAATAAACCATTATTAAGTACATGTACTTAGAAAAATTATTTTAATTTTGTTTACTTCTAGTAAATGAAATACATATGTCTAGAAATCAAAATAAAGTTTAATTTTTTAAAAATGATATTAAACCACAGAAGTCTGTTCAAGAATTAGCTTAACCCACAGCTCTTAGAATACTGCATGAGTTTTAATAGGGTCATCCAAAACAGGAAAATAATTTGTGAGTATCAGATTGATGTAAAGTAGCCTCACCTAAAATAGATATGATGACAGCCACACCATAGAACGGAGGTCGGCAACCATTTTTTCTAAAGGTCAAGATAGTAAATATTTCAGGCTTTGGGCAAGCCATATGGCCTCTATGGCAGTTTCTCAACTCTGCCATTGTAGGGTGAAAGCAGCTATATACAATATGTAAACAAAAGGGCATAGCTGTGTTCCAACAAAATTTATTTATAAAAACAGTCAACCAACTGGGCTTGGCCTACAGGCTGTATATATTTTCCAACTCTGCCATAGTATATTAATTCCTGCTCAGGAAGCAAAGGGCACGTTATTGCTGCTTCTGAGATCCACAAACCTCTCTCCTTTTCCCAGTCTCCCTTTAGCCACAAAAAAAAAAGAAAAAAAAAATCCTCCTCTATCTTGTTTTTCTCTTAGAGCTTTCATTCTTCTCTATTTCCAGGACATCAATTTTAATCTTCTCAAGGGACTTTGGCTTTTGGAAACCTCATGATATGGTTTGGATGTGTGTCTCCACCTAAATCTCAATGAATTGTAATCCCTAATTTGGAGGTGGGACCTGTAGGAGGTGATTGGATCATGGGGGTGGAGTTCTCATGAATGGGTTTCCCTTCCGCCATGATTGTAATTCCCTGAGGCCTCCCCAGAAGGAGATGGTGCCATGCTTCTGGTATAGCCTGCAGAACCATGAGCCAATTAAACCTCTTTTCTTTATAAATTACCCAGTCTTAGGTATTTCTTTATAGCAATGCAAGGATGGACTAATACACCTCACTAGAAAGGAAAGTGCTGGACATCAATTTCTGCTTTGCAGAATCATAATGTAGCTGCTGCAGCTTTATACTCTCATCTGAACAATGGGAATTACAATGGTACCTACCTCAGGGGATGCTGTGAGAATTAAGTGTTCCATTTGTAAATGCTTAGTAAAGTCCCTGGCATGTAGAAGGTGTTCAATAAAGTTTAGCTATTATTATTATATTTATGCTCTCCCATAAACTTTTCTGAGGAAAGGAAACAGCTAATGTTTTACCAGCATTTAAAAAAAAAAAAGAGAGAGAATACATGGGGAGAGAAATATTTTTAAAAAACAAAATTCTCAAAACATTATCCTTTCACGTAGTGTGACCAAACGTGCACTAACTGGTGTAGTAACTAGAGTGTGATCTCCTTAAGATACTTTCTTTGACTCACTTTATAACATAAGATCAAAAGTGAACAACCTCTGAACTATTCATCAAAACACTCACATCCTGCCTATGGACTGTGAGAGGGTAATATGGTGACAATATGGAGAAACCTGATAAAAGGCCAGTAACACCAGCCACCGTTATCTTCAGCAAGCAAGGTAAGGGTCAACACTGCCCCCATGCTACCACCAGAACACAACCGGATCCAACAGAGCAAAAGTGAGTAAGTACAACTTTGCTCATCCCTCATTCCTACTAATAAAGTGCCATACACTTGGGCATTGAATCCTAATCACAGAGGCTGTGGACAATGGGTTTTTCTTGAAACAAATGTCTGTTTCCACACAAAATGAGCAGGTATATAATCCAGATTTTTCCTAACTGTTCAATTTCGAAGCAAACCCTACTTTCCTGTCCTAGGAAGTCAAGCATATGGGATTGCATATGAAAATTTCAATTCTCTGCATTTTGAAGAAACACGCTCATCCCGTGGACTTTGAAAATATTGACACTCATGGTCACTTTTATGCACACTAAGTGTTGGTAGTTCTGGGCACAAAGGGATAATGCACATGTCTCTTAAAATAATGTTGTCCCTTTTTAAAAACTGATTATTTTAAATTACTGTTAATTAAGTGGCTTTAGCACAAATAATATATTTACTTTTTATCCCAAGATGTCATTATATGTACCGTTCATTTTCCAAAATTGGCTCACATAAACAAGAGCAAGTTGAAATTATGAAAATAAAATTTATGTTCAGATTACCACCAAGGTATAATCAAACATATTTTAACACATTAAACAACTGAAGATTGTTAGCCATTTTTATATCCATAAATTAAACTTGACTGCTTATTCAACCCTTTCTTTTTTTAATACAGCATTTTGGTGGCACTTATTGGGTAGTAATGGTGAAAATGTCTGCTATATTCCTGCCACCATCACTCAAAACTTCAGTAGCATCTGCACTCTTCTCTTTTTACCTGAAAATCTACTTAGTTTCTGGAACCCTAAATATAATAATTGGCTCCCAATTTTTGGCTCAGACATCTATAGTAGGGTCAGAGATCTTTTTCTCTTGTTCTATTTATCTCATTATCTAAGATTTCTGCCTCACCTGGAATTCAGCTTCATGCCTGCCCCTAAGATATACTACTCCATCTGTTCAGGAATGTAGAACCTTCTCTTTTTCTGTCTCTGCCATATCCTATCTGACATAATCTGTTCCCAACTAAGATTCATTTCTGTTAATCTGCAGGGTATAGATCACATGTTAGCATGCATGTCATGACTATGAAAATTGCCATGGCTAAGAAAACAAGGCATGTATTCATTAGGGTTTTGTTTAAACTTATGTTGTCAAGAATAACTGTTTAAGTTAAATGCCTGCTTATAAACATCTACAATATTAAAAAAGAAAACGTCTTTGAATTTCTTCAAAGTTGTAAGATATAAATTTTCAGACAAACTAGCCAAAATTGTAGTCAATTCTTAATGATCTTGAAGGCATATGATCTTTATTGAATTCATTTAAGGAAACTGTCAAAATTGTTTACCATGCCTACAATATCCGTATTGTTTTATTTATTTCTACTCCCCTCCATTAATAGCTATCACCTAGCCCACTGTTTGAAGTGAATACACTATCCATTTGTATGCCTATGAGTGATATTGAAGTGTTCTACATCAGCACAGGCACTAACTAATCAGAATACTCTGGGCCACAATATAGATTGCTTTCTTCCTCATATCACACTCCAACTAGGTGTTCTATGGACATCCTTCTGCACTGTGATTCAGAAAGTTAGGCGAGGCTCCCACTAATCATCTGCATCTAGCCAAGAGATGAAGAAAGAAAAAATGAATATGGAGAAGGAATACCTGCACTTACATATCTTGGCCTGGAGATGATATACTTCACTTCCCCATACATTCCATTGGCAAGAATGAGTTACATGCCCCACCCAAATGCAAGAGGCCTACGACGATAGCCTAGCAATCTACTGAGTGGTACAAACCATTATTTCTGCCACATATAAAAAATATTAAAAGGTAAAAAATGCTGCAGAAAAGAAAATTGACCAAGACTAAGGTACCTTTGGAGTACACAGGGAAAGAGGTTGCAAATTTAAATGACTTGCTTGGAATAGGCCTGATTGAAGAGGTGACAAGTGAGGAAAGGCTTGAAGAGCAATATAGGTAGAACCATACATGTTATCTGGAGGAATTCATTTCAGGAAAAGCAAAAAGCCAGTTCAAAGGTCCTGATGTGGGATAGTACCTGGTAGGTTCAAGGAAAAATGAGAAGGCCAATGTGATTACAGTAAAGTGTTGCAGAGGATATCGGAGAAGTAAAGGGGCCCAGTAGAGTTGTAAAAGTCATTGTAAGGACTTGATTCTGAAAAAAATAGAAAGCCCTTGCATTTTTACTTGAAGAATGAACTGCTCTGGGTTACATTTTAACAAGACAACTCAGAATGCTATTTGAGAATACACTGGAGAGGAACAGGTATAAAAATTAGAGACCAGTTAGGAAACTATTACAACAATCCCAACGAGGGATATCAGTAGGTTAGATCCAAGGAGTAGCAGAGATTTTGAGAAGTGGCAAAACTCTGCATATATTTTGAAGGTCGAGGCAAGGTATATTCTGATAGATTGGATATAAACTAAGAGAATGAAAGCAGGCAAACATGACCCCAAGATTTTTGGCCTGAGCAAGTAGAAAGTTGAAGTTGCCCTTCACCGATATGGGGAAGACTATGAGTGAAGCAAATTTGTGGGGAGGACAAAAGTAAGAATCCATTTGTGGATATGTTAATTTTGAAATATCTATTGGACATCTGAATAGATTTTTCAAATAGTCAGCTGGATATATGGTCCTGAAATCATGGGAGAGGTCTGAGCCAAAGATACAAATTTGGCAATTGTCACCACTGGATAATATTTAAGCCATGAGGCACAGGAGATCAGCAAAGTAGGAAGGATAGAGAGAGGGCTGTCCAAAGTCTGAGTTGCCAAAGCAACATTAAGAGGACAGGATAAGTAAGACAAACTAAAAAAGTGGAGACAGACAAGACATGAAGTAATACAGAAAGAAATCCAGGAAAGTGTGGTGTCCTGGGAGTTAAGTGAAGAAAGCATTTTCAGGAAATAGGAATTATCAACTGTGTAAAATGCTGCTAATAGGTCAAGTAAGATGAGTACTGAGAATTTAATTTAGCGCCAGAGGGTCTTTGTTGACCTTGATAAGAGCAACTTTGGTGGGATGTGGGGTGGCAAAATCCTGAGAAGAGTGCATATAAGAGAGATACAAAGAGAGGATTTGGGGACTGGAAGTGTAGATAACTCTTTCATGGACTTTTGCTGTAAAAAGAAGCAGAGAAACCAGGCTGGAATGGAAGTTTTGTTAAGAAATAGGGTTTTTTTTTTCTTTGATGAGGTAATACCAGGTTGTTTCCCATAGGTTTTAACAGTAAGATGTTTGAGACTCAAATATAATCACGGACTTACTTTAATTTATATATTTCTTTAGATGCTGGTGATAGTGGCACAATTTGCAGTTCTATTCTTAGTCAAAAATATAATTATTTTGGTTTCCCTTCAATGATTAACATAGAAAGATGCTTATTCAACCCTGCTAAAAAACTTGTTACTCTAAAAACATATTGTATCAACTAATACTTTCTCCCAGTTTACCTTAAAGTTAGTACAATTCTCACCTTGGAAAAATGTGAAAGGTGCATTGATCCCTCTGTCCCGGCCTGCCAAAATATGACACACAGTAGTGTCTTTCCCTTTTTAATTTGAATCATCAAATTGTTCCTCTCCTCCAGTCCTTTTGCCTAAAAAACTATATCTTCCTAAATTAAAAGAAATGTATGTCTTCAGAAGATGAATCTGTATCTACACACACGACATCACTCTCACCATCAGCATCTCTACGGTGGCTTTTTAGAAGCAAGATGCTCCTCAGAAAAAGGCTAGTGGTTCCACGCCTTCCACCCTTAAGTAGAGTTTATGTGGCAACTTTGCGAGGAACTGGTGACAAGTCTATCAAGCAGCATAGAGCTGAAGCTGTTAAGAATGGATATTACTATGTCCAGGAGAAAAGGCTAGAGGTCAATGAACATTCACCTTTTTTTCCATGGTAAACACATAAAGTTTAACTTTCTGTGCCATCTGCTGGTTCCAGTGAAGGAAAGAAATTAGAGACTGCAAATATATAATGCAAAATTTTTAAATACTCCTTTAAATTAACAATAAGCACCTAAAATAACTGTTTTGGTAAGAAACAGCATGTAGGTGTTTTTCATAAATATTTTTGATTATTTAAGTAAGTGGTTACCAAACAAAACTCATTGAAATAGAACATGAAGTAATTCAGTGCCTTTAACTGAACCAACATTTCCTCAGAGCCTATAATGTGCCAGGCTCTGTGCTGGGAGTACATAGATTTTTTTTTTTTAAAAAAGACATTTTCCTTACCTATGAACAGTTCACATTTTCATGGGATAGACAAAAAGTTAAACAATGAAGATATGATGTGGCATAAAATATTAGAGATAGGTACAAAAAGATATGGAAGCACAGAGTCATCTATTCCACTGGCAAAGAGGGGAGAACTAAAGAGAGGAGTTAATATTTAAAGGATAAAAATGTCTTTCTAGAGGCAAGAGAGGGTTGGAGGAGGTCACAGAGGTCAAACAATTTAAGACAGAGGTAATGGGAAGAACAAAGCTAGGTGACTATAACATGATGTTATCAAGAGAGAAACATGCAGTCATCAGAATTCCAGTAGTCCTGCTTCTCCAAAACAAGGCAGCCAGAGCAAACAATGAACCCGACTTCCCAGAGGCTGTCTCTGAAGAGAGCACCTGGAAGGGAGTCCATCACTAACATGGTATGTGGCGGACATGGAGGTGGTAAAGGAAGAATACCACCTTATGAGGAAACTGCTTGCAGAAAGAAAGAAACAGGAAAGTTTCCCTTGATTCCTCTGTTTGCCTCACTACCAACTTCCCTACCATTATTTCAATCATTAGCCAGTCTTATGATTTTTCTCTCCAACACATATCATAATTTTACCACTTTTCACTATCTTCTCTGACACCCCACAAATCCAAGCCACCATCACCTCTCTCCCGGATTACTATAATAGGTGTCTCCCTGACAATCTTATGTCCCCACAATCTAGAGTGATCATTTTAAATTGTGAATCAGATTATATTGCTCTCTTACTTAAAAGTCTCCATTGGAGTCCTATTGCAATCAGAACAAAAATCAGTGTCTTATTTTTGTCTATAAGGCCATGTATGATTTGGCTCCTGCCTATGCCTCCACCCTCATCTATTTATTTACTTTGGCTGGAATTCTCCTGCCCATGACCTTTATATAGTCAACTGTCTCTCCATACGGTTTTCAGCCAAAGTGTCACCCCATCAAAATCTTTTCTAATTATACTCTCTGAAGTGGCTCCCCTGTTCCACTCTCTATCCATTACCCTGTTATATTTTCTATATAGTACTTATCACTATTTTAAATGATCTTGTTTATTTATCTTGTTTATTTATTTACTGCCTCTTTTCTCCCACTATGCTAGTAAACTCCAAATATTTAAGAAATTTTTCCATTTTGGTTACTTCTGTTTCCCCAGGTTTGGTAGAGGGATAAAGGTGCTCAGAGAATTTTTAGAAATTTGCTCTGTGATGCACTATATACAATTTCTGTGTATTCTTCTAAGAAACCTAATATGAAGGCCTATATTCTTCAAAGCATTCAGAGACAGATCGAAGTGCCATGGTTTCTGACCATGCAGTGTTGGGTTTCAAAGAAAACAGGCCCCCCTTTATATAGACTGTAAGTGCAAGTCCTAGTTAGAGATGCCCCCTCCATGAATAGTATAATTCCTATGTAATGAAAGTATTTATGTGCCCATTTATCTTTATGAAACAATATATTTAGTAGTAATAGTCAAAGGCAAGAGGATTTACACAGGAGCTATAACTGATAGAAGTTCTGATGAGGATTTTCCAGAACTAGAAAACAAGGAAAATTAAATTTTGTCATAAAAATGTTGATGGTGAATAATGAAACCGGAAAATGAGGATTTTGGAGGTAGAATTGGCATTGTGATTCCTTCCAACACATTCCATGGAAAAGAGACCTCACATCTAGAAGACATAAACAGTCACCAGAGAGAAATCCTCCACTGTGCAAGATTCTTGAGGTTTTACCATGAGCCAAAAAAAGTCTCCAATTTCCCCATCTCATTCCATGTTTCTCACGTAAGCTTCTGATTATAATTCAGTGTCCCTGGTCCCATGATGCTAGGAAAAGAGTTGAGCTAGATCAAAGTCAACATGATGCAGTCACCAGAAAGGGTGGGATTGTCTGTGGGCCTTGGTGATACTGCATCACAGGCCAACTTCTTTCTCAGCCCAACTCGGCCTCTTTCACTTCCCTTCTGCAGGTGTTAGTCCCAAGAGCACCTCTTAATATACTCTCTATGTTATGAGCCCAATTTCCAGCTTACAGTTTGCATTCCTGGGAATCCAATCTGCAATCTCTGTCTTCAAGAACAGCAGGATCCAGGTGTTCAAATTAGATTGTCAGCAATCTGTCTCTATCTCTCAGTTCTGCATTAAATTCATAATTAGCAAAGTTCTCCTTTGTGATAGAAATGGTATTAGATTTTACCAAAATTTATTTTCCAAAGGCAAATTCATGAATATAAATTTGTCTAATGTCAACTCTTTTCAGAAATTTTGGTTAACAATGGGTAGATATAAAGTAGGCTGATATGCCATTTGAGGAATTGACGAAATAAAATTAAACATGCCTAAAACTGGAGAAAATATAGCATAAAAACCATCCATAAGAAATGAACAGTTATTCTAATTTCTCACAATAAATAATTGGGTATATGAACTTGGAAATAACTAAGAGGTTTGATGTAAAAAGGTAAAATTATTCAAAGCAGTGTTTAGGAAATTAGAATGTCCAGAAGCAATTACAATTATTACTATAATGTACTGTATGATTACTATGTCAGATTTGACATATGTGACACAAAAATACAAGAATTTGAAGGATCAAAATTAATTGGCTAAAAATCCTTAAAAGAAGAAGATATGTCTAAAGCATAAAATTAACTAGAAGGTGAGAGGAAAAGTCACCCCAAATATTACATTTTGCTACGATGTTTTAGAAATAAACTAAGGTTTAAATGTCACATGGAAAATTGGCAGAGGGATCTGAACAATGCTAAATGCTAATAATATTAAAAAAGACATTAAAAATATTTGAAGTAAACAGATATTGGAAAAAATTCACATGAACTGCTATTGATTATTGGTGACGAAATACTGCTTTGTAAATGTTAAATATAGATATTTAAGAAAAATAAGTCACCCTATAATCTTTAGAATTCATAAACTAGAACATTATTTAAACTGCTTATAGGAAGAAAAATAAAAACTAGTAATCTTCATAAGCTTTTAAAAGCATAGCACCCAGTATAAATTGTGGTAATCTTTACAAGTTGTTAAATAAGGTTTTGGTAAATTGTTATATTTTCCATATAACAAATTTTCATTAGGAAAATTTAATTTCAGATAATTCGTTTTTGGAGAATGGATTTTCAGTGAGTTGGCCTGCCTCCAGCAAGACAGCTACTGGCAGCCACAGTATTTTTCTTTTTAAAAAACATTTTTTTATAATCTTATGTTCTGCTAAGCAGATCAACTCCATCTAAAATGCATACTTTGTTCCCAAGAGCTCCAACAGAAGTCCTGGCATTCATATTCATCAGGAGAGCTTGGATCATGAGTCCATAGTGAATGTTCACCAGTAAATGTGGCCAGAGACATGGAATCTGGTGAGCACTCAAGCTTGATCCTCATGACCCCCTCTGGACCTAGGAGAGCAATCAGGCCATGTGAATCACATGGACTGCAAATGGGAGAAGGAAAACTCCCAGAAGGAAAACCTGGGTCTATTACCAGAAAAGAACAGTAGATGTCTGTTACATCTTTCAGTCTGACACTTGGAATAAACTGTTGTCTTGTCTAGCAGCATTTCTCTAACCATTGCTAATGAAGCTACACTTCATTACAGCTTTCAAAAGAGGACAACTTATTAGACCTGTATTTTTTCAATCCAGTTGAACTCAGAGAGAGGGCAAAAATAACTTTTTTTTTTAAATTTTTTTTTAAATTTTTTGAGACACAGTCTCCCTCTGTCACCCAGGCTGGGGTGCAATGGCAAGATCTTGGCTCACTGAAACCTCCGCCTACTGGGTTTAAGCAATTCTCCTGCCTCAGCCTCCCAAGTAGCTGGGATTACAGGTGCCTACCACCATGCCCAGCTAATTTTTGTATTTTTAGTAGAGATGGAGTTTTACCATGTTGGCCAGGCTGGTCTCTAACTCCTGACCTCAGGTGATCCTCCCGCCTCGGCCTCCCAAAGTGCTGGGATTACAGGTGTGAGCCACCGCGCCTGGCCAACTTGTTCTTCATACCATGCTTTTAAGACGTAATCTTATCTTTTCCTTTTTTTTTTTTTTTTTTCTGCGACAGAGTCTCACTCTGTTGCCCAGGCTGGAGTCCAATGGCCCGATCTCAGTTCACCTCCCAGGTTCATGCCATTCTCCTGCCTCAGCCTCCCGAGTAGCTAGGACTACAGGTGCCAGCCACCACCCCCAGCTAATTTTTTTTTTTTTTCTATTTTTAGTAGAGACGGGTTTTCACCGTGTTAGCCAGGATGGTCTTGATCTCCTGACTTTGTGATCTGCCCGCTTCAGCCCCCACAAAGTGCTGGGATTACAGGCGTGAGCCACCACGCCCTGCCCCTTTTTTTCTAATTTTAAGAGGTTTTAAAAATATTAATCTCTCAGCTTTTTTGCTTGAATTCCAACATTTAAATTACTATTCTATACTTCTGATTGACAAAGAAAAGAACGTCCCCAGGTTAAAGCAAACACAATTTCATATGTCAGTTATTACAAACTTTCATGGAAAATTACTATGCAGAATTTTTAGCTAATATATAGTTAACTTTTAACACATGAAATATTATTAAATTTTACCAAGCTTAATCTCCAAATCATTAACTCTACCCTAGAAAATTGAGAGTTGACATATTTGTAATAAAACAAAATACAATTACAAGAGTCAAAATTGAACCTTCAGATACTGAAAATGTCCTCACATTCTTTCCTTCAATAATCATCAAGAAATATACATTCAGAACCTGCTATGAGCCAAGAACTGTTCCAGGCACTAGGAATAGACTAAAACAAACATCCTACCCTCACTCATGTGTCTTATATTTAGCAAAGGAAACAGACAGCAGACAAATAAATACATAGGTCAAGCATTACAAAGAAGAATCAATCCGGACAAAGCAATTGAGAGTGAAAGAGGGCTACTTTAGATAGAGTGGTGAGAGTTTCAAGGGACTCAATTGAGTTTTATCTCAACTGAGAAAAAAAGGTGAGAAAAATGCAAATAGGAAACCAAATATTACTTTTATTTCATCCTGATTTTGAAAAATGTATCTGATATCTGTGGGCAAGTGAACTTCCTAATATTAAAGCCCCAAAATTAGATAGGTTCACCAACACAGTTATTGTCAGTGCTGGAAAACTGAAAACTCCCCATAGGATCAGTGCCCTCTCAAAGCAGCACAGCACAGAACAGAGGGGACCTCATACTTCTGCAAGCAGCCAGATCCCAAGGACAAGGAGGGAGAGGCTCTAATTCCTCGTTTTAATCGCCCAAGTAAATAAAGTCACAGCTCCCCATTCAGTGCAGAGTGAATGAGAGGCTAGAGACAGGAGAGGTACGTTATTTACGTCCCTCGGCATCCAAGGAAACAAGAGGAGGGGGATAAGAAAGATTACTCCTGAACCTGTGGGTTTTTTCCTAGTCACATTCTGCTACTCAGGTGCAGGGGCAGGGACAAAGTAGGTAGGCAGAGAGTTGGTTGGACTTAACTAGGGATACAGCCTGATGAGTATTACAGAAGTCAGGAGAGGGTTCAGGGTGAGGGAGAGAGGTGTTGAAAGTATCTGCTAGGGAGTAATTGTAGTAAAGGACCATAGAATGTAAATTGGATAAGAAGAAAAGTAAGTCCATTAAGACAATAACAGACGACGAATAAGTGGTACAGTAAATGGATTAGATCCAAAGGTAATCAAATAATTGTTGGAGACAGGGAATCACTAAGTGACCTAGAAATATAAGATAGCTCATCTAGTAGAGAAAATAATGGCCTACAAAAGATGCCCACATCTGAATCCCCAAATCTGTGAATATGTTACCTTACATGGCAAAAGGGAATTTGCAGATGTGATTAAGGGTCTTGAAAATGGGAGAGTTTCCTGAATTACCTGGGTCAGCCCAATATAATCAAAATGGTCCTTATAAGAGGGAGATATGGGGATCAGAGACATGAGGATCAGACAAAGGAGATGTAATGAAAGAAATGGGGTCAAATTCAGAGAGAGTTGAAGACTGTATGCTGCTAGCTTTGAAGGAGGAGGACACAGTTGCAAGGCAAGGAAAGCAGGTGGCCTCTAGAAGCTGAAAAAGGCAATAAAATACATTCTTTATAGAGCCTCTAGAAGGAAGGCAGCTCTGCTTACACCTTGATTTTAGCCTGTGAGACCCATTTTGGATATCTTAGCCCAAAATCATAAGATTAAAAAATTGGCGTTGTCTAAGCCACTAAGTTTATAACAGCAGCAATAGGAAACTAACAGTTGGTAAAAGAGTGTAATGCCTGAAGTCCTTATCTTGAAGGTGGTATAACTGTTAGTAATTCAAAGTCTGTGGTATGACATGGACTAAAGTGGGGCCAGGAAAAGTGAGGTCTAGGAGCTCAGTGGTCTCAGGCGTGGTCATCCTCATGGATATTGAAGTCTCCAAAAATGAAGAGTGATCTAGATGCTCAACTCTTCAGTGAATGAGGGGGAGGCTGGTAGATTCCCAAGAAAGGACGATGGACTTCAGAGGATCTTGTCTTTTGTGGGGGACAGGGAGATACGGTTGTCTGAAGGAACAATGAAACCGAAAGAGGGTTAATAAAAATAGCCATTAATGGAAAGAACTAGAAAGTAATCAGTGTTTTCAAGGATGACCAGATTTCAGTTAAAGAAAAAAGGTGAAGGGAATGATGAGAAGACAGTTGAAGATACCAGAGAGGTTAGATTTTGATGATAAACAGAGCACAGTGAAAGAGTTTGGAATATGGGGTGGGAGTGAATGCTGTGGTCATATTAGGGGATATTCAAGGTTTATGGGACATGAGCCCAGGTGATAATGTATGAACTGAGATTCTTGGGCTTCCAAAAGTGACTTAGGTAAACAAGGGTGTAAAGCATGATGAAATTTGTCATGACACTTTTTAAGAAGGGTAAGCAGTTCTGAATGCAGCATTTTTTGAGGATTGTTCCTTGAATAGTTGTAGTTTTGAGGTCAATGAACACTGATTATTTTGTCAGCAAAAAGCAAGTGCATTCTGGGCTTCTTTTAAGCCTGTCTTAGGGGGTTGGACACATCAGAAACTCACAGAGCTGGGAGGCGTTGATGAAATCCAGGATCCCAAGAGGCCCCCAGGCCTCCTATGATGATTTCAGAGAGGGGGTCATGGCTGTGGGAAGGGAGGTGAAACTGTGAACCTCTCACCAAGCGCCTGTGAAGCATGTTGGGTCATAGTAAAAAGAGAGATAAGCAACAGAAATTAACCTTATCATATAAAGGTTTTCTTATGTCTGCAGTCCTACTATTCCCATAAACTCAAGTATCTTAACAATAAATATTACTATATAACAAAAGGTTATAATCTTTTTATGTATATAGTTTTATATATATATATATATTCTTTTTTTTGTTTTTAGATGGAGTTTTGCTCCTATGCCCAGGCTCAAGTGAAGTGGTGCGATCTCAGCTCACTGCAACCTCCACCTCTGGGTTCAAGCAATTCTCCTGCCTCAGCCTCCTGAGTAGCTGGGATTACAGGCATGTGCCACCACACCCAGCTAATTTTTGTATTTTTAGTAGAGACAAGGTTTTGCCATGTTGGCCAGGCTGGTCTCGAACTCCTGACCTCAGGTGATCCACCCGCCTCGGCCTCCCAAAGTGCTAGGATTACAGGCGTGAGCCACCACGCCCGGCCTATATTATTTAATATATATAGAGTAATATATGTATATTCTTCTCAAAAGATTGGGAAGAAGGAAATAAAACTCTCCTTGTTCACAGATGGTATAATTATCTATGTAGAAAATTCCAAAGAATCATAAAAAAAAACCTTCCTAGAACTACTAAGCAATTATAGCAGGATTGCAGGATACAAAATTAATATACAAAAGTCAAGTGCTTTCCTGTATACCAGCAATGAACAAGTAGAATTTGAAATTAAAACTACAGTGTAGCACCCTAAAAATGAGATATTTGTGTATGAACCTAACAAAATAAGTATAAGGTCTATCTGAGGAAAACTTTCATGAAAGAGAGCTAAATAAATGGAGATATATTCCATGTTCATTGATAGAAAGACTTCAAATTGTTGAGAGAATTCTTCCCAACTTGATGTACAAATTCAATGCAGTCTTAATCAAAATCCCAGCAAGTTATTTTGTGAATATTGACAAACTGAGTTTAAAGTTCAGGAACTCACAGAGCTGGGAGGCCTTGATGAAATCCAGGAATATAAACTTGATATATAAATTCAATGCAGTCTTAATCAAAATCCCAGCAAGTTATTTTGTGAATATTGACAGAGTTTAAAGTTCTCATGGAAAGGCAAAAGATCCGGAATAGTCAGCACAGTATTAAAGAAGAACAAAGTTGGAGGACTGACACTACTCAACTTTAAAACTTACTATAAAATTACAGTAATTAGGACTGTATTGTCAAAAGAACACACAAATAGATAAATGAAACAGAGTAGGTATCCCAGAAATAAACCCACACAAATATAATCAATTGATTTTTTAGAAAGGAGGAAAGGCAAATAAAAGGAGAAAACATGGGGTTTTCTACAAATGGTGTTGGAAGTACTGGACATGCACATGTAAAAAACAAGAAGAATCTAGCACAGGCTTTACACACTTCACAAAAATTAACTCAAAATAGATCAAAGACCTAAATGTAAAACACAAACTATAAAACTTCTAGAAAATAACATATAGGAAAACCTATATGAAATTGGATTTGGCAATGATTTCTTAGGTACAACACCAAAATCATGATCCATGAAAGAAAAAATTGAGATGCTGGACTTCATTAACATTGTAAACCTTTATGAAACAGAGTGTTAAGAAAATGAAAGACAAGCCACATGTTAGGAGAGAATCTTTGCCGGTATCTGAAATGTACAAACAACTCTTAGAATAAAAAAAAAAAAGAAAGAAAGAAAAAAAGAAAAGAAAAGAAAACAACCCAATTTTAAAATGCGCAAAAGATCTGAAAAGACATCTCACCAAAGAAGACACACACATGATAACTGGACATATAAAAAGATGCTAAACATACATTAAGGGATAGCATATTGAAACAACAGTGAAATACTACTATACATCTGTTAGTATTAGAATGTCTAAAATTCAAAACAATGACCATTAAGGGATAGCATATTGAAACAACAGTGAGATACTACTATACATCTGTTGGTATTAGAATGTCTAAAATTCAAAACACTGACCATATGAAATACTGGCCTGGATATATACAAATGGGAACTCTCACTTATTGCTAATGGGAATGCAAAATGGTACAGCCACTTTGGAAGATAGTCTGGCAGTTTCTTACAAAACTACCTATACTCTTAAGAGAGGATCCAGCAGTAGGCCTCCTTGGTATTTACCCAAAGGAACTTAAAATGCATGCCCACACAAAAACCTGCACATAAATGTTTATAGCAGCTTTATTCATAATTTCCAAAACGTGAAAGCAACCAAGACGTTGCACTCAATAGGTGAATGGATAAATAAACTGTGGCATATCCACACGGTGGAACCTTATTCAGCAATAAAAGTTACACAAAAGACGTAGAGGAAACTTAAACACATATTGTTAAGTCAAATAAACTAATCTGAAAAGGCTAAATACTAAACGATTCCAAATAAATGACATTTCATAAAAGGCAAAGCACAGGAAAAGTTAAAAAAATAAAACGGTTGCCAGTGATCCGTGGGAGATAGGGAGAGATGACCAGGTAAAACACAAGTAACTTTTAGGATAGTAAAACTATTCTGTATGATATTGTAATGGTGGATACATGTCATTTTATATTTGTCAAAAACTACAGGCTATTTAATACAAAGAGTAAATGATGATGTCCACTATGGATTTTAGTTAATAATAAGGTACCTGTATTGGCTCATCGATAACAAATGTGGCAACAGATTAGTAATAAGGGAAACTGTGGGAGGTTGGAGAGGTATATAGGAACTCTCTGTATTTTCTTCTCAATTGCTCTATAAACCTAACTGCTTTAAAAATAAGTCTATTAATTAAAAACAGATAATGCTGGCCACTATGAATAAAACAAACTGAATGAATTAGAGTAGAGACAGAGTTGAAGTAGGGTTCTAATTAGGAGATAACCAGGATGGGTCCATTACAACAAGGGATTTATTAAAATATCTAGAAGTTTCAGTAATATATTTTATAAAGGAAGGTTAAAAAGTAACATTTTCACATTTTGGAATCATTTTACATTCCCATCCTCTATCCCTAAGCCAGAATTGCATTATTTAGAACATAAATTTAAATCTATAAAACTTAAGCATAAGGTTATACATACAGAACAATATTTGAAACTTCAAAGACCCAGTTACTTTAGTTTAAATACTTAAAATTTTGAAATAAAACTTTTTCAAAGAAAGTCCAATATCAATAGACGCTATTTACATGCTTAGATATTCTTCTTCCTGCCCCCCCCCAAGAAAGCTAGCCAGTATTCCCTAAGCAAGAATGCATGAAAACAAGTTTTATTCTATAATTCTCATCAATGTAATCTAAAAACTAGTGGCGAGAATGCCCCAGAAGTCTAAATTCACAACATATAACATCAGGAGGGAAGAAAGTAACCATAATCCAGATAATTTTGGACTTTATAGTTGGTAGTCAACGCCTTAAATTTCATCTGGAATCAGAACAGAACACTGATGTAATATCCAATGGAAACATTATCACAGCTTGATTAGGTGGCAATATGACACATTTCGCATATTGGTTTCATTAAAATAGCATCATATCCACAAAACTCTTGAATAGACCATCTCCAGAGACATTATTCTGAAATTATCATCTTATTCAAATATAACTCCTGCTTTGGTTGCTTTTTATATCTTGTTTTCTTCAAATTTCCAAAGCAATATGTGTGGCCAGGGAAACATAGGTTATCCCTGAGACCTAACAGAACAGTGTATTAATGTTACATTGAGGGCCCGTCTATTTCCCATACTTCTTCTTGGAAATATATTCCCCTTACCCACCATCCATCCACCCTACTCCTGGGGCATCAACTTCCGAGTTAGGGCTGAGATGAGCATTCCAGATTTTAGAGCTGTCTAACCTCATTCACTTAAGTCGGCTCCTCCACCTTCTTCCCTTCCTCCTCCTCCTCCTCCTCTTCTTTAATTGCCTCCTTTCTGTGACAGTGCCTTAGAGAGTTCTGCACTTGAGTGCCATGATTTGTCAAGACTCAAGCTTGTGTTCACTGACAGGAGTTTGGGAGAAAATGAGCTGGGAGAAATAGATGTGAGCAGAGGAAAGTCAGAAAGCAAGCTATGAATTACGAAAAAAAAAAGTTGAAGAGGAAGATATTCAGGGGTTTCCTCAACCTCTTATTTTCCCAAAATTATATATGTTGCCTGAGAGCTGTTCTTGATTTTCTTTCAGTTAACATTCACAGGATCACGATTATTTCAAGCAGAACTCAAGGGGAAAGTTAAGGCTGTAAGAGGTCATTCATCTTCTCCGTAAGGGAATAGAAGAAATGTGCAGTCGCCCCCTCATTCTCAGAGTGACTCATCATAAATGATGACTTTTATGTCAAACTAGAATTTTCTTCATTCTTTCTTGTATAAATGTATGAGGGTTATTCCACACTAAGATGGGTCACCAAGGTAGCTTATAGATTTTTCCTTCCCTTGAGACATTTAAAGAAGATAAATATCAATCTGTCTTTGCAGGATGGCATGGAGTCCTTAGGACAGGTTGAGGAATGAATTAAATAACCTTTGGCTGTTCCCACTGACTTATGAGTGAAAAAAAATAGGTACACTCACAATATAACATAACTCCTTTTAAACACTAACTTTTTTTTTCCCCAATGTGGAACTCTCTGCCCTCCCTGGCATTAGATGTCAAAATAGTACCAAATCTGTGCAATTGAGGTACAAAATTAATTGACTACTATGGTGAGTATCAATGTAGCATAATGAGCCACAGAAGGCCCATATCAACGCTAAATTAGAAAATGCCACTGCCTTGCATAACTCAGTTATACCCAATTCTGTAGCATCCAGAAATTACTGGAGTGATTGGAATATTTGTTAAAGGTACTAAGATACCTTACATTTCCTGAGTAGATGTAGAATCTAAAGGAACAATAAGTTCAGCTTCCTAAAACTCTAAGTAGTAAGTACTGATTGATCTTAAAATACAACAGGTTGGCCGCGTGCGGTGGCTCATGCCTGCAATCCCAGCACTTTGGGAGGCCGAGGTGGGCGGATCACGAGGTCAGGAGATCGAGACCATCCTGGCTAACATGGTGAAACCCCGTCTCTACTAAAAATACAAAAAAATTAGCCAGGCGTAGTGGCGGGCGCCTGTAATCCCAGCTACTCGGGAGGCTGAGGCAGGAGAGTGGCGTGAACCCGGGAGGCGGAGCTTGCAGTGAGCCGAGATCGCGCCACTGCACTCCAGCCTGGGCGACAGAGCGAGACTCCGTCTCAAAAAAAAAAAAAAAAAAAAAATACAACAGGTTGACCAATGCCTGACATATGGTAACTGAATATTGAATACATTGACTAGAGCTAAATTATTTATTCCTCTGGACTTTTTGAGATGACTAGTTACTGCTCTTTACACTAGATCTTCCCTTAATTCAGCTCCTCCGTAAGGAGGATAGTCACCACAAAATAAATAAAATAAATAAAGACGATAATTTTTAGGTGCTTCCTGTGGTTCTAAGGTCCTGATGGTGTAAAAATGAGGAATGCTGGGAGCTTTGGGGCATCTCTTAGTAGATGACAACCCACAACAACAAAATAAAATGTTTTTATTGACTTAACATCTCCTATGAGATTTCACTTCAAAAGTTGATTTTATTTTTAAAACCTGATATAAAATCATCACAGAGATTATGTCTAAAGCAGTTCTTTCAGATATTGCCTTAAAACTAAATGTTTAATATTCATTTTTTATTTCTCTCACTTATAAATAACAGTAGATGCAGTTTTCAATTTCTTCTAATCTTATCTCAAAACAAAAAATATTTTTTAAAAAATTTAATCTCACCTTTCTGTCCAACTAGGACCATGCGATAAAAACTTATTAAAACAACTGCTGTATCAGAATCAACTTGCACGTTCCTTCTGTCAAATAATCTATTAATATTTACAGTTAATGTTAGATTTGTTGTCTTGCTTAGTTTGGGTTTGTTATCTCAAAATTTTCAAAAAACCAAAGGACCTATTAAGGTCAATCAATAGACATGTGCCACAAAATTGTATCATCTGGCATAGAAAATAATCTTAACACTCAACATTAATAAATAAATAGAAATTTTGCATTATGTATTGAATTAGAAGATATTTATAGCATTTGTCTTTCTTTCTCAAACTTTCCCAAAGCTTCTTTTTTTCAAGAATTGATTATCTCTCCCCAATCAAAAGTTTGTCTTTACAAAGAGTAAAACTTATAATCTAAATTTCTCTAAAATGATAATTTATGACCTAAAAAAAAAACCGGATTCAGTTTTTCAATTGTAGCAACTATAATGACATTCCCCCTTTTAACACTGCTTTACTGATTTGATCTTATTTAAGCTTTTCAAGAACCAACAGAGTGACAACTTGCTCATTCAGAAGAAATCAAATAAGAAAAGTAGGATTATACTCAGATGAACATACACTTATCTCATGTTCAACGAAATGCTCTGGAAGCTTTGAATGTTTTCTGAAATGTTAAGCATTTCATGGTCACAAAGATACACTTCTCTCAGTTATTTCTCATTCTAGGAAAGTTTGTTCATTTCTGCAATGTCTTTGCACCCTCTAATGGTCATTTTAGGATTTTCTTTACTGGGAGCAATTTATTCAAGGCTATGCAGAGGTTTCATCTTATAAATCTGAATTTTTATTAGAATAATGATGTTTACACACTTTATACCTTTAAATCTGTTATTTTGTAATCCCAAATATTAATTGAAGCTCACACCTCTTTATATTGTTAAAAAAAAGAAAGTACATAGAGTTGGAGTTACTAGGATAAAAATTAGGAAACACTTCATACTTTCCAAATATATCCTGACATATTAACAAGCTAGTAAGAATTTAAGATTTTTGCCTCCTAGGCAAAAATGAATTCTATAGTAAGGCCATCACTTGGCATCACAGTTATTTCCTAATACTGCCATGATGAAGTCAACATAAAATCCGTCTGGGCCTGTTTGTATATACAAGGCATAAAAATGAATTCTAACCCAGTACAATATCCTACAAAGAACCTCAGAAATGAGGTTCTCTTTTATTAAGAAGTAGCAATAACAAGATTAAACACACACATGTATACATATACAGAAACTATAGTCAACTGACTCATATATCGTCTCAGGAATATTGAACACCTTTAACCCAGAGATCTTTAAAAAAAAAAAATCTAATGATCAATTGTTACCTTTCTATTATATTTGACATCCATAATAAAAATTGCTTATTCCTTTCTTGATGTCAAATCTCCTTCTTTCTATTATAGTTTCATGTTTAGAAAACATTTAGGAAAAATGTGAAAAGTTTTAATGGCAAGCTTGATGTCTGATTTCATGCTGTTGAGAGTGATAAGGAATCCTGCTTTGTGGTGAAGAGAAACAACAGATCAAACCATACAGATGTGGGAGGAGCTAGTATCAGTGCTTATGAGAATAGTTGCATTTCTATACAATTGTTTCTTTCCAGGGTGACGCTACACATTTTAAAATATTTTTATCTTGAAGAAAAGTATAACTTGAGCCCTCTAACAGTTTGAAGTTCCTAATATATGTTATATCCATATTTTTGTCAGAAAAGTATTTCAGAACTTATACATATATCCATAAAGCAACAACTTTTGTTTCAAAATAAAACTACTGATATTAAGTCCACAAAAAAGCATTAACCAACAGTGCAATAAATCTCATATAACTGGATAACATTATAGGAGATGTTATCCATTGAGGACATGGAAAATACAATATCTCCAAGCTGAAATAAGATAATATATAGGATGACGCTCCAAGTATTTAAAGTTTCTATCAATTCCCAAATTACAAAAGAAATTTAAAAATAAAATTTTGAGTGTCCACTTTGAAATATAATTATCTCTAACAGAAGACAATATAGAACCTACCAACATCTCCAATCCCTGCAAGGTAGCCATTTGTAGGGGTTGCTTATGCGTAATTCAATCAATGTGTCAGATGAAATGACAGCAAATATATACTTAAAAACATTAAGGTTATTAACAGCTCCAAAAATATTCTTTGTCTACAATTATATTTTTAAAAAATCTAAACTCCTAAAATTCATCTCTCTTATAATGCAGCCATGTACACTGTCTAAAATCCCGTTTATATTTCATAAACCCTGGAAAATGTGATATAAAGTTGCCAAGTGAATACTACCAGTACTTCATCTTGTATGGATTCTTTTACAATAATGATTATTGACAACTGAAATCTACTGTGTAAGTGTGAGTAAATTTAAAATATAAAACAATATGCTTTGTTAATGAGAATAGCAAATAACTCCTGTTAAAATGTATCCTGAGCTACAAAAGTTTGGGGGAATAAAACTTAGATAATTACTAATTTTCAATAATTTGGAGTTTCAAAGCATTCAAATGTATATTCAAAGACATTAAATATTAAATCCACTAGCACCAACAACCATTTAGGAAACTAGTCATGAGGGTTGTTTGAAAGCCGAGTAACCCAGGAGTCCCAAGCTATTGAGCATAAATTTCCAGGCCCTTCAAAATCCGCCATGCAACACTACTTTTAACTTCTTCCGCACTATAACCTTCTCATATCTCAATGATTATGCATTTAGCTCCCATTATCAGAAATAATTCCCTCCTTACCATAGTACATCATTAGGTACTGCGATTTATCACATGATAATGTAAACTGTTTGAATGGCATTCTTTCCCAATAGACCACCCTTATGAATTTCTTGAAGGCAGGAACTGAGTTTATTCATTTTTATATCTCTAGCACGTGACAACTGGTAGGTGGCAAAGCAACATGTTGCTTTCGCAGCCAAAAGATCATGATGGAGATTCATGTTTTAGTCCTAGTTTCAATAGCTTGACTTTCTAGTTTCTCATATGTAGACGTGGAATAAAACAATCTGCAGGATTGTTGTGAAATTGGAAGATATTTATGAAGTGACTAACCCAATGTCTGCTATATATAAGGCACTATTACATGTGCTCAATAAATGTTGGTTGAATTGATTTTTTACAATAGCTCTTTCTATTTATATATTAGCTCAAAATCTTTTCAGAATTCTCAGAATTCAAATCACCATCTTGTTCTTGTTCACTCATTCTCATATACCATAATTTAAACATTGCCCTCACTGTAAGAATAAAGAATGTTACTGTGTATTCAGGCAATTTAGGCATTTGAGGGAAGTATGTTCAATGCTTCCCAGAATTAAAATAGTTTAAAATATCCTCAGAAAGGGGAACTAAAGTTCAGGGCATTCAGCTTTATTTTCTCTTCCATTTCTCACTAAAAGGGAAAAAAATGCTTCAATATTTATAAGACTAAGAATAATGGATGTGCATAATTTTGCCTTAACATACATTTCTGCCTTTTAAAACCAGTTTAAACTCAGTGAAAAGCCAAGAACATAGACTTAATTATGCAGAAAAAGGATGCTTTAACTGCAGTGCACATTCAATAGACAAAATCCAAAGAAAGCAGTCCTGCCTCAAACGTTTACAAATCAATTCATTATATTGATTTGGAATGAGTTGTGCTGTAATTTAAAACATAGATTACCACAGGCCAAACTAAAGTTCTCTTTCTAAGGCACTGTCACTTGGCTGCACACATGACCTGAGAATTTTCAAGAAACAGTGATTTGCCTAACCTTATAAAAAGCTATTGTATGTAAATAATAGGTTTTAATGGAGTAATAATTAAAATGTAATCAAAGTTAAATTTCAATAGTATGCCAAAAATTGTGTGTTTCAGTTAACTAATAACTTCAATAAATCATTGATATCTTATTGAGAACAGGCAGTGTGCTTCTATTTCAAAATGATTTATTCCACATATAATGCATAGAATGTTTCCATTTCATTTCCTAATTTTAATGTAATCCTTGAAGAAAATTTTAAGATTCCATTCTGTCTTGTTTGTTTTTCGTGGGAAAGGCTGCTCCTTGGGGAATCGGTAATTATGCCTCAGAGTTCTATTGTCCTCCTCACACCTTTTGATGACTTGCTGTTTTATCTTAATATAACTTAAACATTTTATCATTTTTTTTTCACTGGTCAGTCTTAAAAGGTAGGAATAATAATAGCTGCTGCTACATAGTTCTCAAAAGCACTGAAACTATAGTTCAGGAAGACTCATTGAATTTTAATTACACATCTAGGAAATGGGGGTATGAGGCCAACCAGTTAATTAGAGAAATGGCTAAAATGCATGCTTCTTGGGGAGGACAGAATTTTTATCAGTAATTTTCTTCATAGTAAAATACAGAACCTAGTGAATGCAGGAGTCCTGAGAGTATAAGTAAATAAAATAATAATTTGCAACTGAGTTGTTCCTGAGACAGCCTGAGAATCAAGAGAGAATGTAACAGGATCTTTCTATACCATTAAGTCTCCTTCACTGAAATCCTTCCTGGGCCTCAGTTTCTCCATTGGAGCAATGATCTCATTAAACTACATAAGCTTTCAATTCTATGCTAACTTTAAGTGTTCTGAGTTCTTAATGTTAAATAATCATATTAGTAAAAGAAATCAACTACTCTGCTATTATCTGATATCTAGATGATATATGAACCTATAAATATACAAATATTTAAATAAGCCATATGTAAGTTATTGAAACACATGTACAGAAGAACTATTAAAATCCAAGAACATAAAACAGTTGTTGATATGACTTCCTAAAAAGTCTTTATTGTTTCTGGTAAAATGACACAAAAGTTGTGAAAAATCAAATACCTCAATGAAAACAAAAATTCCTTGCTTGTCCAGTTTCCTTTTCTATGAAATGAAAGAAGAGAATTGCAACAAATTACGGTCTCTGAAACAAATTATAACTAAAGAGCATTTTTGAAATTATTTCCATAAATGTCAAGAGCAATTTAAGCTTTCTAAAATTTGTTACCCTGGTGAATCAGAGTAGTTTTGCTTTATAAGAGCTTTCTTAAAGTTTGCCACAAAATTTCAAAATACATAACTACCTTTTCATCAATAGAAATAAATGTTGCTGTGACATTTTTCCAGCAAATTTTAACAGGATTCAAACTACCTTATCTTTCTAATTTTAAGTATTCACATTTTTTTTTCTGGTTATGGAATAAACCAGAAACAAGGATAAAACAAACCTATTTTTCTCAGTTATTTGATCTCACAATGATAACAAAATTCAGTCTCTAAACTAGTATTTCTAAATACATTTATCCATAATTTTCAACTGATTTCAAAAATAATTCTCAAAATAAATTGGAGATAAGCATAGGTATTTAAGGACTCCTTACTAATTGTATTGCTCCTGTGGTACTACTGAAAGACATCACTTTCTGAGCTGATTACGTACCAAAAGCACAAAGTTTGCTAGCACTGCCACCTGCTGTTGACTCTAAATCATTTTCCAGCATGTATAAAATAAATGGAATAGCTCCGGCAAAGTGGTCAAGAAAATAAGCATCCACACAAAATTTAAAGACATTTTTGTGTGCAAACCAATGACAACAGGCAAAGTTATACCTATGCTGTAATACATCTCTTCTCATAAGAGAGGGGCTTAATAGGTGACTGAAAAGGCCCCTGAGCCATTTTGGTTATTCACATTAGATTGAGATATATTTTTTACAAGAGCATTTTCCATGTGACAAAAAAGCAGGAGATGCAGTACAAAATAAAGTGAAGGCAATAAAGTTCTTCCAGAGGGAATTAACTGGTCTTCTTTTAGTTGAGTAAACCATGTTCAATGTATGTAGGGAGATAGAAGTATACATGTAGGAAGATATAAGCAAATGTGGCAAAAATTGGTGAATCCAGTTGAAGGATATATGGGAAATCACTGTTTTAGCCCTTCTACCTTTCTTAGGTTTACAAACTTTCTAAATAAAAAGATGGAGAAAAAAGTATAATGTTCTGATATATTAAATCCGCTTTACCAGTGCAGCTAAACTTCATGGAATTTAAAAGAACATTGAAATTATATTAGACAAGCTTAATGCACAATTTAATGTTTGAGAAAAATTGAAATACTTTTTTTAAAGAATTGTGAGGATTTCTTTCTTTTTCTCCCTTATTCTAGAGAAACAGTTGCCTTGGGTCTTACGGGAGATGGCTAGTTGTGTAGTTGGAGCATTGACCTAACACTGCCTCTGGGTTAAGGAAAGAACAAAGTGTATAAAAGAACATGACTATATCCAATAGCTGTTTCTTTTACAGTTTAACGGCTTCAGAACTCCCTGTTCATTAACTTTAAAGCTTTATCAGTGTGCTTATCAGATTTCCCTATCAACAGTAAGAAAAAAAAAATAACTGAAAACTTCTTTGAAACATATTCATGAAAATAATTATTTTTTAAAAAATTCTAAAGTTTCTTATTTTAATAAGAAATTTAACCTTTGAATAATAGACAGCTTTTGGATTGTCTGTCCAATCTTCTTTCTACAAATTTCTCCTCCTACCTCCCCTAATCCATAGAGATTAAAATTCTGTGATTTAAATTACATAGTGGGTCACTTACAGCCTACCAGCTGGTGCTTCTGTCTTTTGGGAAATCAGAATTGGGATTCAGAAAGGATGGTCGAGTCTTTGATGTTTTCTAAAGTTGAGACAGGTAAACTCAGGGGCTATGGTGCTGTCACTGAGTACCAAATGAATGAAAAAGCAGGGAAAAATGACCATTTGAAAAGAGCAAAGAAGGAAACACACACATAGAAATAAGGAAAGAAGAAAATCCAGAAAGAGACAGAGAGTAATAGTAATGCCTGACAACTTTCTAGTTCCACATGAACACAGCAGTACTTCTACCCGTAGGTTCTACAACATTCCCCTGTATCCATATAAACCCTTCTCCATTGTAATACACTAGATTGCTGTGGGATGTTATTTCTTGAAGCCAAAAATCTTGACTCCAATAAGATGTTAACATTACAAAAATACAGGGAAAATTTTGATACAAAAAAAATTAGAATCCCAGCCAACAATAAAAAAAGCTGAAAAATGTAGCTATTACCCATGAGATACAATTTTAGATATAAGTGTGCATGCACGTGCACACATGCACACACACACACACACACACACACACACAAAACTGAAATATTTATCTTAAGCAGGGTCCATGCCTAGGAATTATAATGGTGTTTGTAGTAGATTGTGATATTATTTCAAAATATTAACTGCTTCTCATGACTTGCTTTGGTCAGTCCAAAATAAGCCCAAGTGACTTGTGGCATTGCCAAGCAGGAACCTTAATGCCACCTTGGCTTTCCTTTCCCTAGACCATACAAGAAAGAACAACAATGTAAGGTTGTGTTACAATAATGTGAGACTGTGTTACATGTCAATCTGCAATAGACATATAACATGAAATCAATCTATTTTGTTGTCACTGAAATTTAGAGGTCGATTGTCACTGCAGTATAACCTGGTAAAAACTGGTACATGTCTAAAATATTCTCATTATTAAAATGCTAATGGGTAAGAAAGTAAATATTTCATTTTGAAGTCCATTTGTTATTGCTAATAAGCTTATATTTTAAATAAGCTCTTTTAATTTTCAAGGTATCCTGCTGTTAATGATTTTAGGGGTCTTTACACAAATTAATTACCAAATGATATATTTATCACTTCCTCCACGTTTTTAAGAATTGCCAATACAGTTATCAAAAATACATATTTCTTCTTAAAACATATTTCAAAAACATTCTAATTTTAGTATATAGACTATATCTACTAATTTTAGTATATAGACTATATCTACTAATTTTAGTATATAGACTATATCTACTAATTTTAGTATATAGACTATATCTACTAATTTTAGTAGATAGACTATATCTACTAATTTTAGTAGATAGACTATATCTACTAATTTTAGTAGATAGACTATATCTACTAATTTTAGTAGATAGACTATATCTACTAATTTTAGTAGATAGACTATATCTACTAATTTTAGTATATAGACTATATCTACTAATTTTAGTAGATAGACTATACTAATTTTAGTAGATAGACTATACATACTAATTTTTGTATATAGACTATACTAAGTTCTAATTTTCCAATTTTAGTATATAGACTGTACTAAAAACTGAATGTTATAAAACTTATTAAAACATATCAATTGAGAAAAAGGTCTTGACACATTTTATATGGTCCTTACTTATTATGAAAACAACCTGATGCCAAGGATTCTGAGTCTTTCAAATAGTATAAACTAAAGCAATTGTTAATACTTATCCTACTTTCTTTGTTATTTTATAACACCAGTGACTTTAAGTTCTTATACAATCTAGATATTAACTCTACTTTTGTGTAAGTACCTTTTTCTTAAGACAATGTCATTTTTAATAGAGTTTTGGTAACTAGAAATAGTTAATAAATAAATATAAATTAGACATGAGGCCAATTCTATACATCCTGCCACTATGATTAACTGTGTGACCTCAGGTAAGGCATTTTACTTCTCTAAGCCAGTGAGCCTTCATCAGAAAAATGAAGATAATTAACTGTACCTACTGCATAATGAAGGAACCAGATAACACAATGTATGTTGTAATCTCTTAAATGTATTATAATTATTATTACTTACAACTGTATTAACCCTACAAGATACCTTGAGATGACCAGAATTTATATATCAAAGGTCAAAATCCAATGCTATATAATGTATTGCTATAACTCCTTATCTAAAAGAAGGGCCACATGATCACAACAGAGGCAGCAGTGATGGTTGCATACAATTTCTACAAACTTTAGTATGTACTTTAAACTGTTCAAGTGCCAAGTCATTTTGGAGACTAGGAGACTATCTCTACTTCTTTACTAACCCCACCATTACAACCACAATAAACCATGTTAATGAGAGAATTTATTCACGCAATTCACTTTTTAATTCTAGGTGCTCACTGAATAAACACTATCCCATCTCTTTTTTCTCTCTTTTTTTTTTTTTTTTTTGAGATGGACTCTCACTCTGTCACCCAGGCTGGAGTGCAGTGGGGCGATCTCCGCTCACTTCAACCTCTGCCTCCCAGGTTCAAGTGATTCTCCTGCCTCAGCCTTCCAAGTAGCTGGGATTACAAGCGCGTGCCACCACACCCAGCTAACTTTTTTTTGTAACACTCTCCCATTTCAACAACAAAAATACATTAATGTCCATAACAATAAAGAGATTAGAAAATAACTCCAGTGTTGTTTAAATTACATATGGTAATAAGCTTTTTGCATGTGTTTACTTATTTAATCTTCATAACAATTCTATGAGAAAGTTATTAATTATTCTATTATTCTGATTTTAAAAACAGAAACTGAGGGACAGATTAAGTGCCCCTAAACAACAACTTATAAGTAGCAAGGCCAGGTTTTGAACCTAGGCAAGCAGTATTGAAACTCCACTTCAACCAAATATTATTACACCTATATGGTTGAAGCAAAAAAGAATTTGGGGAAGAAATAAAACACAGTTATGCCAGGAAAACAAAAGAAAAGAAAATATTATTTCATTAGTGCACATCAAGTATATCTTTTAAGTAATTCCATTCACTTGAATTATTGAACTTTCATATTGGTAAAAATCTTGTGAAGGCCATCAACTAATACAAACATTGTTCATCTAAATCCATTACTTCCATTGCTACAATTTGTTTCTTTCATTGTTACTTTAACTTTGGAGAGTTCATTTTTATTTTACTTATGGGGGTGAGAAATTTTATCTGTGAGCCAGATTCTCTCCTTGATAATGAAAATGGACAGTTGGAAAAGCTAAAATCAAGAACAAATTAATGTACAGTAACTGTAACACTATAAATAACAGCTACAGCCTCAAAAGCAGATAATGGATACAGCACAGTACTATACAAGCATGCACCTGGAATGTATACATAAAGCATGTTTCTATTGTATCTCTTTAAGAATGAATATTTTTAAATGACAATGTATAAAACGTCCCAGGGAATGACCTATATAAATATATAACAACTTTGTGCAAATATTTAATGAAAGAAATATATTTTAGATTCTGATTTGAATGCCACTGACAATCTCTTGCAAGCTATTACTTTTATAAATATGGCATTCCATTTAAATAGAGAAATTTCAATTCATGATTTCAGCAATCATTTACTAGCTGGCAAAAAAAATTTTCCCAAATTTGAATCATATTTGAAAATGTCAAGAAAGAATCACAAGATTCAGTTTCATTTAAATAAATTTGACATATTCAAAAACTTGGAGCTTTTAAATTTAAAGAAATAAAAAACAAAGTATCCTAGCCCTAATATAAGATGAAGGTGACAAAAATCCATAATTTTCAAGAGAAAAGAGTCAACTATTTCTAAGGAAACTATTTGACTTCTTAGGAACACTAGTTTGTCTAAAATAAGCCTAGATTTTATGATTGGCCCATTATAAAAATATAGATCTCATATATTTAATTCTAATTTGTCAAATGAGAAAATTCAGATACTAAATATAAAAGAAGAGCCCTTATATCTTTATATCAAAATTTGCACAAAACACGTAATCAAAAGAATGGAAATTTGACTATATCAACACACCACAAAATAATTACCACAGTGAGTCAAATGGATAAATATTAGTTTCCATAAATCCTCAAAACAACTTTCACTGGTACTTCAAACTAAAAAACTAAAACAATGATTGGCAAATGTCTACACTTGAACTTTAAAAAAGGCTTGATGAGGATCATATTTTTTTTCTAGAATATATCTGTTGCTTTTCTCACAGTATCAATAAGCCCTAAGGGGCATCTATACACATTTCTAAGTTTCAATAATAGCCAAAGTATTAAATAACTAATCCGGCATAAAGCACTATTCCAAAGTAGAGTGTTTGGCCAATATACCTCTTCAGAGAGATACTGTAATTGCTTCACTCTACTTTCAATAAACGATCTATAATGAAAGTTGCTTTTTAGGCTTAACCTAGAGCTGTGCCCTGTGGGAAAAGATTGAGTCTTTGTAAAATGTGTTACAGTTTACTAATAAGAATGCAGAAGCAGCACAACTGATGAACCAGCAAATCTGCTCTGACTTATTTGGTCTTTGCTGAATAAATTTGAATATCATCAAAATACATTATCCTTATCCATAACCTGCTTCCTGTGATTCACTCTATCCTATGCTCATTTCAAAAGGAACTTTAAGCTCGTCAGTATTTTAGGTATTTGTGCTAGTCCTATGGCATTACATAAAACAGAAGAAAATATTTTTTTAAAAAGACAAAACTTTTAATAGGATTAGGTTACCAGGTAAGTATTTAAAACCTAGAGAAAAACAGAGAATATTTACATAACAATATTTATGTTTGATACTGATATGTAATATACAGAATTTCTCACCAAAATAATGCAAAATTACCTTCCTTACATATTTACCATCGACCATCAGAGAACCATGGAGACACGGATTAAAAATCCTCCTTTTACCATGACTGGTTGTTTTATCTTGAACACATCCATTAACTTCTCCCTCTATCCCCTCCCTCCCTCCCTCCCTCCTTCCCTCTCTTCCTCCCTCCTTCCTTCCTTCCTCCCTTCCTTTCTTCATTCCTGATTCATGCATGAATTCGTTTAAATTATATTGAAGGTATAACACATGCTGGGCATTGTGTCTGCCTATAATGATGTAAAGATTAAGAAGATAGTTGCTCCTCAAAGAAGCTCCTAATCTTTGGAGTGTTAGAAAAAATAACTATCTATACTCTAAAATATTATGAAAAACGTTAATTTATAATGCTTTGGAAGCAGACAAGGGGATATAATTTTTTTCCCTGAGATGGTGGCACATGAACTTAGTCTGGAAAATTATGTAAAAATTACTCAACAAGAGGGTCTATGGGTGAGTGGGTGGAGTGAGGTAGGTATTTCTAACAGAAAAAATAGGAGGAGTGAACATGCCACAGCCTTGGTAATTATGTAGTTGTGGCTTTAGGGCAGGAAGCAAACAGGGGAGTGACGGAGCTCTCCAAAGTTGGGTGCACACACCAAAAGGTACACAAGGCAAATACATGAGAAGAAAAGATTGCAGCTTATTTTTATAATTATTCTTACCACATCCTTTTTAAAATTCTGCTCCTGTGCATAGTATATAATGTATCTAATATTTTATATATGTACATCTACAAGACTTTATACATACACACACACACATATATAGTATATGTCCTCAAAAAATTTTAATTCATAGTATTGCAATTAAAGAAAAAGAAAGGACCTCATATTCTATATTCTCCTGAAGGTGATGTATAGTAATAAAGAATTTTTAAAAATGAAGAACAATTAGCTTTTAAAAGATCCACTCTGGTTATATTCTGGGAGGTAAATTTAAAGATGAGATCCAAGACAAATAAAGCAGCTATGAAGCCACTTCAGTAATCCTGGTAAGAACTTAAATGATGCTGGTGGCACAGTGGAAATACCAAGCAGGTGGCAGAAGCTGCCTATAAGGGAAAAATATTTTAAACTATAAATCATGTTGATTTACATCATTCATTACATTCTGGGCCTATACAATTCCACAAAGATAATTTATATATCCTTCCAAAAGTAGGACTACAAATCAAGTTATAATATACCATTATCCTATTTGAGGTCATTAAAACTCAATGATTTAATTATATTCTGATTTCATGACTAGGACCAATTTTTTAAAAGAAATGTAATCACTATCCTGGCTACATCACTCTAGTTGTTCTCATGTAAGCGAAATTAAAATCTTGATCATAGAAAACGGGATGGGAGACTGGGAGGGAGAGAGAGGAAGGCAAAGGTGAAGGTGAAGGGTACCAGCTAGCACAATGCTACGGCCAGTATCCAATTGTCCCATGCCATCATATTGGTGATAGAACAAAGGTAGTATGTCTCTGCTTTCTATCTCTGTTTTACCAGATTCAATGGGCCAGGGCCTTTTAAATAAATCTGCATCCAAATATATCACAGATTTCCTTTGCTAAAAAACAAAACAAAACAAAAAACAAAGAAGCCAAGCGAAAGAGAATAGTGAGACATAACATAGGTAGATTATGCTTTATCTACTGGATCTTAAACAGTTGAATTTAGGACAATTAGTTATATTTTGAGAAACTTTCTCCATTTTGTTTCAACTCTGCAAAACAGAAATATTTAACAATAGAATTTGACTAAGTTGTACCTTCCAGTATTATTTACCAACACTTTAAGAAGCCCTTATCCATTTTTGAAAGAATAGATGAATGAATGAATCACTGTTGAAATTTTATTCTAGACCAAAGGGCCTAGTCCTACACAAGAAGTACCACATTGATGGTCCTATTACCAGAAAAATTGTGTGTGATTTAAATTGGAAATGTTTTCACCCATTGCAGATAACTTTTTAAGTAGAACAAAATGGAATATTTTATAAGATATCTGTAGTGACATTTTGTGTCTGGTAATAGTTCCTTATCCTGGCTTTCCAAGTATTTCACATGGCCTTCAGTGACACAGCTACTCTCTTATATTACTCTGCCTTTCCCACAATTCTGTCAGTTAGATTTATATTAGAATTTGCTAAACAGGATAGTGGCAATAAGTGGATTCTCAAGGATTTTTCAGAAGGACTTAAAATATATAAATCATTTTTAACATCAGTGTTAAAAATCATCACATAATGTTTAAAATCAGTTTTTGTCTTAAAAATATACACATGCCTTTTGAAATGACTATGTTCCTCAAAAAAAATAGATGAATATTCTTATTTTTCAAAACTCTAGAAATTTACTGCATTCAGACTGACAGTTCTATTCAGAGAATAAAAACAAAATGCCATCCCACAAATTCTAAAAGTGTTTATTAATCATTCTAAATTTCATTCCTCCTTTTAATGTATTCTGAAAATATCGTAGCAATCAGCATTATATTATTGCTGTAATGATAGCTTAGGAAGCAACAGAAATCCTCTCTGGGATACTGAAATCAGACAAGTTGGGAACAGCTGAGAGAGCACTGTCAGGGCACTTTGTTTAGAAATAACAGGTAAGGTGTCCTTTAATCACAGTAAAGTCATCCTTGCTTTTTAGTCCAAATTTCCAGATTTCCTTCTGAACCAATCCTTTATGGAACTCAAAATCAGAATATATTCACCTCCAACAGTAAATTAACCAACATGTGAGCACATAACATGTGGCTTTAAATATACTGCTAAATTACATGTCCTCCATAGAGAAGGAAAACTCTGATTCATAGAGCAGGTAGCAAACCTAAGGCTCTCAATCCTGGCTGAAGGAATTTACCTGCATTGCAGACTTTCACTCTCCATAGAAGGTCATCACTTCACAGCCTAGGAAATAATCCCTGCCAGCCGACTTGCAAAGTGCCTGAGGCATCGCTCCTGAGAGGTATAACTCCTCTTCTTTCAAGGCTAGAGGTCAGAGTCATGATCACAGCTCAGTCAAATTTAAAGGAAAAAGTATCTGGGGTCAAAAATACCCTAAGGAAAAAATTGAAGACTAAAACTCAAAAAATACACTGCGTTCCTCTGGGCTTCAGCATAGTGATGGAAAAACCTGTTGCAGAATATTAAATTTAGGTGTTTTTTTCATCTGAAAGCTTCAAAGTAACTAAACTAAAACTGAATACAAAATCTGAGGGATGTCATGCTGCAATCAGTTTTGAGGACATTTTTAAATGCTACAAATTTATTTAAATGCTCATCAACCTAGACATTCTAAAAAAGCAAAAAAAAAAAAGTTTAAGTGACTTACACATGAAATGTGAACAGAGGCTCAATGATTAAATTACTGCACCAATTAACTTGAGTACACAGAAAGAATGCTGCTCTTTCAAGCAATGTTAATTCTCCCTCTGATCAGACAGACTCCTCCTCACATCATGGTTGCTGCTTCATAAAACACAACTCATACAGCAAAGGGGGAGAAATGATTGTAAATAAGAATAAACCACTGTTTGGGAATTCTTTCTAAAATGCATAAACTAAATTGATGTTTGCATGGAAAATACAGTCATTTCTGTATGCTTCCAAGAGTAAAAATACTCTAAAAGTTGTTTTTGAAAATCATAAGACAGATGAAATGACCATTAAACTCAGCAAAAGTGGCTTGTTACCCACAAAAATCATAAATGAGTGCATTTAAAGATTAAAGGCATTTCGGGATGTACACATTGCAAAGGGTAAAGTGTTTTATTCTGGTCACCTCTGCCAACTGCTATTACATGCTGTCATTTTCAGTACGGGGAAATGTATTTGCAAAAACAGAGTGAGCACAATGGGCCTTAAATCAGACAAGCTGTGGATTGCTGACAGCGCCGTCAGCGCTTGGCCTACCAGGGCCCTTGGATATCAGGATTTTATGGTGTGTTTTTCTGACATATCTGACACTTAGTAGACTCTGCTACCTCTTTAGCATCTGGAATATTAACCTACTTTTATCTCTAAACTTGCCCCTACTCTTTTAAGGGACCAGGTTCTATCTTGGCAAGATGGAAAGGAGAGCCTCTAACATGTAGACTTTGTCCAGTCTTTGCTCCTGGCCCTCCAAAACTTAGTTCAGAGTTCATCTCCTCACTGTACTCTATACTAGAATAGACTATGCTATGGTGAGGTGGCAACCTAACCCTCAAATCTCAGTGGTTTATACCACAAAGGTTGATTTCTCACTCAAAGTCCATGGCAGATATGGCAGCTCTCTCCCAAGAGTAAATGCCAGTCCTGTCTCCTAGTGACACTGTCATTTTTTGTTTGTTTGTTTGTTTGTTTTGAGACGGAGTTTTGCTCTTGTTGCCCAGGCTGGAGTACAATGGCGCTATCTCAGCTCACCACAACCTCCACCTCCTGGGTTCAAACAATTCTCCTGCCTCAGCCTCGCGAGTAGCTGGGATTACAGTCATGCACCAGCACACCCGGCTAATTTTGTATTTTTAGTAGAGACGGGGTTTCTCTATGTTGGTCAGGCTGGTTGCAAACTCCCAATCTCAGTTGATCCGCCCGCCTCGGCCCCCCAAAGTGCCAGGATTACAGGAGTGAGCCATTGCGCCCGGCCGACTTTGTCATTTTAACATGCACTTCCAACATCGCCAAAACACGGTAATAAGAATCTGAAGGGCTATAAAATCCTGTCTCTTTCTCCGTTGACCCAAAAGACCACCACTTCTGTCCACAGTGCATTGGCTAGAACTAGTAACAAGTTCATGTCTAGCTGCAAGGAACCTAGGCTATATCGTTTTCCCAGAAGATCCAGATGGAGAGAAGAAAAAAGACATGGGTAAGCACTTCAAGTCTCCACTATACCCTTTCTGATCCTGCCCTGCAAGTCTACAGCGGGTGCCCTGAATGTGCTCTCCACTTTGTCTTCACTCTATCATGGTGCATGTAATTGTTTACCATCTGCTTTACTTCATTAGACAAGAAACTCCTTGAGAGAGGCAACCAGATGTGCCTAAATTCCATAAACATACAAGTAAACACAACCACACAGAAAGTCAGATATGTTCTTGCTTAATGTTATTTGAAAAGTTCTAATTACCAAGGTATTATAGCAACATCAAAAATATATTTGACTTAATAAATATGAAAACAAACACTTGTTTAACATCAACAAATATTCACTGAATATTTCTTACATGCTGAATCAAAATCCCAGATCCTGGGAAAACAGTCGTGTGAGATAAATGAGGACTTTCTTATGTAGTCGTTTACATTCTAATAAGGAAACACAATAAATAAACATTAGAAACAAGAAATTTCAAAAATAAGAATGCCAGAAATAAGAAAGTATCAGTAGGAGAAACACTGTAAACTGAGTGATCATGGGAGCCCTCTAAAAATATGACGTTTGAGCTGACACATGGATGCAAGAAGGAGTCTGTAAGTAGCAAATCTAGGAAAAGCGTACTGCAAAAAAGAGGAAACAGCTAGCATGAAGGCACTAAGTCCAGAGCAAACTTAGTGTTTTTAAGAATGTAGAATAGAGGCTGGGTTTGGTGGCTCATGCCTGTAATCCTGGCATTTTGGGAGCCCAATGTTGGCGGATCGCTTGAGGCCAGGAGTTCGACACCAGCCTGGTCAACATGGTGAAACCCTTTCTCTACAAAAAATATAAAAATTAGCTGGGCATGGTGGCGCACGCCTATAGTCCCAGCTACTCAGGAGGCTGAGACAAGAGAATCACTTGAACCTGGGAGGCGGAGGTTACAGTGAGCTGAGATAGTGCCACTGCACTCCAGCCTGGGAGATAGAGTGAGATTCTGCCTCAAAAAAAAAAGAAAAAAAAAAAAAGAATGCAGAATGTGTATATAATGTATATAAATTAGAAACTCTTCTATCTTTAGTCACATATGAAACTATCTAATATCAAGGCCCTTATGTAAAACTGAAGAGATCTTCACTTTTATTGAATTCACCTCTAAATATAAAGCACAGTTCTCATCACTACCATCCACCAACTTTTATCAAGTGCCTTAGCTAATGAGACAAATGCAGCTATTACTGGAGAATTTTTTTTAAAAAGTAAGACTCTTTATGTTTAAAGAAACTACAAGCTATTAGAGAAAAAGGCAAAAATACATGAAGTATTAATATAAAAAATAAAAAGCAATGTGTGGCAAGAATAAGACATCTCCAGATAGCATAAGGTTAATTACTAAGTAAAATTACGTAAACTCATATTTATATGTTGCCCATAATGTCAAGTTTCTACTGGTTTAGAGAAAAATGACTGGATTTTACTAAATTTGAAGAATACATTTAACATACTTCTGCCTTAATAGTCTATGCGTTCCTTTGCAGGGCACCCAAAAAAGAAACCAAGTAACTTTCCAAAGCAGCTAAAACTAAATAATAAGAGGTCCATGTGGTCTTAGAGGGCTAGTAATAGTGAAGGATAAGCCATTTTGTAAACTGACACTATAGGCAAGAAAAAAAAAAGTGGTTTAAAATTTGAACTCCAAATTATTCATCTAAAGGACAATCAAAATTTCATGCACTGATTTGTAACAACACTGTTCTGATAAAGACAAAAGGATGTGTGTTCTAGAATAACTGATAATAGGGATATATTTACTTAATCACTGGGTTAATGATTCTCCCCAAGCTATGCAGGGGAGGCAAATCACCACATAATCGAGAGTATGAATTGAAAGGAGGGAAAATTTCCTTGTTTTAGTTTAGGTTTTCCAAGAAGCAGATCCTGGGAAAGGGATTCACATGAAATTGGTTATCTAGGAAGAAAAAAATGGTAGAGAAGTGAAGAAATGAGGAATGGCAGGGAAACAGGGAAGGAAAGGCAGCCAATAAAGAGAGGTGGTCCTTAATCAAGTGTCCACGCTAGATAAGGAGAACTTGATCCCCTTGGGGAAAGCTGGCAGCTGGTGTAGAACATGTGCCTCTGAGTAAGAGGGTGAGAAAGGCTGAGGTATTTATATATCAATTCCTGTCATGCCCCAAGAGGTATTAATTATTTGGCTTTGCTGATCTGCTGAGCTGGAGGGCAAAGTCCTTTTGTGAAAAGAAAAAAACCCTCAGGCAAAGAGATATAGATGCTGGCATTTGGAAAAAGGGCCAGCACACAATGAAGTGGTAAGAGCGGGGAGATACTAGTGGCAAACCTATAATTCTATGGACAGTAATGAAGATCCAATTAAGCAGTACTTGACCTGGGCTTTAAGAAGTGGGTAGGATTTGGAAAAAGGAAAGCATTTAAGGTAGGAAAAGTGGAATGAGCACAAGCAGTGAGGTAGGAAAGGGCAAGAGATACCCTAGGTCAGTGCAGTGTATAGGCCAATTTGTCTGGATCAGAAAGGTTTTATATAGGAAATTCTGGGAAAAAATATTGCTAAAAATATATGTTGGGTCCATATTAAGGAGAATATCCAAAGCTAGAGTTTTAACTTTTTCTTGTACACATTCAGGAGCCTTAAGTTTCTGAATGGAAATGTAATAAAATGAAAACATTATTTTATTACATTAACATCTATGGATATTAGACCATATTGTCCTTCGAATGTGAAATCTTATTGGAAAAGATCTGTAACTGTTCAATTTCCCTGGGAGAAAGTTACATCCAGGGAGATACTCAGTAACTCATCAGCAATGAGCACCACAAGTACAAAGACTGTCATATCTAAATACCATTTCTCACTAAAAGGAACGAAGGCTCTTTGGAGAAATGGCTGACTCCAGGTCTGGAGCAAAATATTTACAAGATTAGCCTAAAACATTTTGTCATACCAAAAAGGAAGTAAGCTATCAAACACTGCAGGGGTCTGGTCCAAAAAACTCAGAAGCCCACTTGAGGTGGTTCCCACTGGTCAAGTAAGAAACAATTTGAGGATCAAAGTAATAAATATTATAAAAATATTTTAAAATAATGTCAATGACCTGAAATACATTAAAAATGTTAGCATCAATGTGTTCATAAATACAGGCATCTCTCTTTTTTTCCCCCGAGATGGAGTCTGGCTCTGTTGCCAGGCTGGAATGTAGTGGTGTGATCTCGGCTCACTGCAACCTCCACCTCTTGAGTTCAAGCGATTCTCCTGCCCCAGCCTCCAGCTAATGTTTGTATTTTTAGTAGAGACAGGGTTTCACCATGTTGGCCAGGATGGTCTCGATCTCTTGATCTCGTGATCCACCTGCCTCTGCCTCCCAAAGTGCTGGGTTTACAGGCGTAAGCCACCACACCCAGCCTGGCATATCTTAGAGATAGTGCAGGTTTTGTTCCAGATCACCACGATAAAGCAAATATCACAGTCAAGTGATGCCCATACGTTTTTTTGGTTTCCCAGTGCATATAAAAGTTATGTTGATACTATTCTATAGTCTATTGTGTGGAATAGCATTATGTGTAAATAAAATGTACATAACAATTAAAAATACTTTAGTGCTAAAAAAATACGAATGATCATCAGAGCCTTCAGCAGGTCATGATCTTTTTGCTGGTAGAGGGTCTGGCCTCAATGTTGGTGGCTGCTGACTGATCTGCTGAACGCTGGGGTGGCTGTGGCAATTTCTTAAAATAAGACGCAATAAAGTTTGCCACATCACTGACTCTTCTTTTTACAAAAAATTTCTCTATAGTACGTGATGCTGCTTGATAGTATTTTACCCATAGTAGAATGTCTTTCAAAATTGCAGTCCATTTTCTCAAACCTGCCACTACTTTATCAACTGAATTGTTATAATATTCCAAATCCTTTGTTGTCATTTCCATAATGTTCACAGCATCTTCACCAGGAGTAGATTCTATCTCAAGAAACCACTTTATTTGCTCACCCATAAGAAGCAACTCCTTATTCATTCAAATTTTATCATGAGATTGCAGCAATTCAGACACATCTTTAGGCTCCACTTCTAATCTGGATTACCTTGCTACTACCACCACATCTGCAGTTACTTCCTCCACTGAAGTCTTGAACCACTCAAAGTCATCCATTAGGGTTGGAATCAATGTCTTCCAAACTCCTGTTCATGTTGATAGCTTGATCTCCTCCACAAATCACAAATGTTCTTTTTTTTTTTTTGAGATGGAGTTTTGTTCTTGTTGCCCAGGCTGGAGTGTAATGGCGTGCTCTCAGCTCACTGCAACCTCCGCCTCCTGGGTTCAAGCAATTCTCCTGCGTTCAAGCGATTCTCCTGCCTCAGCCACCCTAGTAGCTGGGATTACAGGCACCCGCCATCAAGCCTGGCTAATTTTTGTAATTTTAGTAGAGGTGGGGTTTCACCATATTGGCCAGGCTGGTCTTGAACTCCTGACCTTAGGTGATCTGCCCATCTCGGCCTCCCAAAGTGCTGGGATTACAGGTGTGAGCCACCACACATGGCCCGAATCACAAATGTTCTTAATGACATCTGGAATGGTGAATCATTTCCACAAGCTTTTCAATTTGCTTTGCCCAGATCCACCAGAGGAATCCCTATATATGACAGCCATAGTCTTACAAAATGTATTTCTTTAATAATAAGTCTTGAAAGTCAAAATTACTCCTTGATTTGTGGGCTGCAGAATGTTGTGCCAGCAAGTATGAAAACAACATTAATTTCCCTGTAAATCTCCATCAGAGCCCTTCAGTGACCAGATACATTATCAATTAACAGTAATATTTTGAAAGGAATCTTTTTTTTTTTTTTTTTTTTTTTTTTTTTCTGAGACAGAGTCTCGCTCTGTCACCCAGGCTGGAGTGCAGTGGTGCGATCTCTTGGCTCACTGCAACTTCTGCCTCCTGGGTTTGCGCCATTCTCCTGCCTCAGCCTCATTCTCCTGCCTCAGCCTCCTGAGTAGCTGCAACTTCAGGTGCCCGCTACCATGCCCGGCTACTTTTTTTATTTTTTTTTTAGTAGCGACAGGGTTTCACTGTGTTAGCCAAGATGGTCTTCATCTCTTGACCTCATGATCCGTCCGCCTCGGGCTCCCAAAGTGCTGGGATTACAGGTGTGAGCCACCGCGCCTGGCCCTGAAAGGAAACTTTTCTTCTGAGCAGTAGGTGGCCACGGTAGGCTTATTCAGTAAACCACTCTCTAAACAGATGTGCTGTCATTCAGGCTTTGTTGCTCCATTTAGAGAGCACAGGCAGGGTAGACTTACCATAATTCTTAAGGGCCCTAGGATTTTCAAAATTGTGAGTATTGGCTTCAACTTCAAGTCACCAGTTGCATTAGTCCCTAATAAGTGAGTCTGCCTGTCTTTTGAGGTTTTGAAGCCAGGCATTGATTTGTCACCTCTTGATATGGATGTCATGGGCGGCATCTTCTTCCAATAGGTGGCTGTTTTTTTCTACATTCAAAGTCTGCTGTTTAGTTTAGCTGCCTTCATCAATTCTCTTAGCAAGATCTTCTGGGTAACTTGCTGCAGCGTCTCCATCGCCACTTGCTCCTTCAACTTGCACTTTTATGTCATGAAGGAGGCTTTTTTCCTTAAACCTCATGAACCAACCTCTGCTAGATGCCGACTTTTCTTCTGCAGTTTCCTCACTTCTCTCGGTCTTCATACAACTGAAGAGAGTTAGGACTTTGCTCTGGATAAAGCTTTGGCTTAAGGAAATATTATGCCTGGTTTAATCTTCCACCCAGACCACTAAAACCTTCTCCATATCAGCAATAAAGCTGTTTCACTTTCTTACCATTCATGTGTTCACTGGAGTAGTACTTTTAATTTCCTTCAAGAACTTTTCCTTTGCCTTTATAACTTGGCTAACTCTTTGGTGCAAGGGGCTTTGCTTTTGGCCTGTCTTGTCTTTTGACATGCCTTTCTTACTAAGCTTAATAATTTCCAGCTTCTGATTTAAAATGTGTGAGAGATGTGTGCGTCTTCCTTTCACTTGAACACTTAGGGGCCACTGTAGGGTTATTAATTGGCCTAATTTCAATATTGCTGTATCTCAGGGAATAGGGAGGCCTGAGGAGAGGGAGAGAGATAAGAATAGCCAGTGGATGGAGCAGTGAGAACACACACAACGTGTATTGATTATGTTTGCCAACTTATATGGGTGCAGTTTGTGGCAATCCAAAACAATTACAATAGTAACATCAAAGATTACTGATCACAGATCACCATAACAGATATAATAATGAAAAAGTGTGAAATATTGCAAGAATTACAAAATGTGATAGACATACAAAGTGAACACGTTGTTGGAAAAGTGGCACCTATATACTTGCTTGCCACAAGGTTGTCATAAACCTTCAATTTGTAAAAAATGTACTATCTGTGAAGTACAGTAAAGCAAAGTGCAATAAAACAAGGCACGTTTGTATACTTACCTGAAGGATATTAGGGAACTAACTAATTATTCTGAAGATTAGGAAATAATGGTGAAAATCGCACATTTATCCTATCTTTCCATATAAGCTGTATAGATATTTAATTAGATGAAGTTCTTTATTATAAAATAATTTGTTAGTAAATGTAGAGTGAATATCAAATTAGAATATCACTATTTGCAACTCATAACAAAATGATGGATGCAGGCAATAATCATGAATGGCTGCTAAAACTATTAGCTGAAAAGTTGATGGAAAAATTTATAATATATTTATCATAAATTTAATATTTAAATAATATAATTATATTTATCATAATTATATATCAATGTCATATATTTATCATAAACATTTACCATATTTTTATAATATTTATATTATTATTTATCATACATGTTATCAGGTTGACAACATCTGAACCCAATGATCAAGTATAACATTAAAAAAAGAGAGACAACCAGAAGTTGTAAGCCTCTTGAAGTAATTCAATACAAAGTAAACTGTAACACCTATAAAGTCTTTTGTGAAAAAAAATCAAACTTTAATCTGAGTAATTCTATAAAGTTAACTACCAGTTTGCAAGAAATACAGGGGGAAAGGACAGCACAGGAATAAAATCTGCAAAATTCAGAATGTGGAAAATTCTACAGAACAAATGATCATTACTCTTTAGTAAATAAACTGCCAGAAAAAAAGGGGAAGAGGAAGGAATCCATAGATTTTTAAAAATCAAATGTGATGTGGAGACTTTGTTCAGATGAATCAACTGAAAAACATATAAAACTTCTGAGGCAAGTGAGTAAATTTGATATTGAATGTTTCTTTTATGTTATTACAGAATTATTGTTAAATTTGTAATACTAGGGATATTGAAGTTGTGTTGTTTTTCAAAGCCCTTATATTTTAGATATAATACATATTTCCAAAAAGTTTACTCTTAAATATTTGTCATCAAAACAATATGGGGTCTGGAATTTACTTCAAAACAATCCTAACAACTGGGAGAACTATATATTAATAGTTGTTGACTCTGGATCATTAATACACGAGGGTTCACTATACTAATCTAACATATGTTTGAATGCAAAGATTGGGTACTCCAAGTGAAGTAACTAATCCTTTCTGACCACCTGTCTGGTCACTGAAATCATTAAAGGCTGAAAACAACTAGTCACATAAAGAAGCATAGGGCGGCCGGGTGCAGTGGCTCGCGCCTGTAATCCCAGCACTTTGGGAGGCCAAGGCGGATGGATCACCTGAGGTCAGGAGTTCCAGACCAGCCTGGCCAACATGGCAAAAACCTGTCTCTACTAAAAATACAAAAATTAGCTGGGCCTGGTGGCGCACACCTGTAATCCCAGCTACTCGGGAGACTGAGGCAGGAGAATCACTTGAAACCCCGGGAGGCGGAGGTTGCAGTGAGCCAAGATCGCACTACTGCACTCCAGCCTGGGTGACAGAGTGAGAACCCATCTAAAAAAAAGAAAAAAAAAAAAAAAACAGCAGCACAGGGCGTTAGAAGCCCTCATGATCAATGTCAACTGGTGCATACAGCTTCACAGTGAGAAGGAGCTTCCAAGGGTAAAATCTGGGTGGGAAACAGTGATCAATTGTAAGAGACCCCTGTAGCTGTTGCTGATTACCAAGGAGAGAGTTTAGTAAAGGAAAAAGCCCTGGTCTGGAAGTTAGAAGACCGCCAACACCTAGTTTTGTAATCTCGGACTCATAACTTCTGTAGGTTTTGGAGCATAAAAGCACAGGAACTGAAATAAAAAATAACGACAATAATTTTGTTGTGGGTGCCCACTCTGCACTTCACAACATCCTAAGAGCTTTGGATACATTATCCTATTTACACCTCACAACCCAAGGAGGTGTTTTGCGCGCTTGATACATACTTTTTAAAGGACTACTGAATAAGTTAGGCGTCAGTATATGATACCAGTTTTCCCATGGGGTGAATGATTAAGGTGTTACAGAGGCCGAATATCTCGTTTAAGAGTGACTTGGTCTAGTCAATAGTCCAGGATTATTTAACAGGAAAGAATGCTTTGAGCACTCAATTGCATTGGACTGTATTGGAGAGAGGGCTAGGAGTTGGGTGGGAGACGCTGGAAAATTTAAAATCGTTTCCTTAGGCCTACAGTTTTCCGATCGCCTGCACCACGTTCTATCTACACATCACAGTCTCAGGAGAAGGATTTTCAGCCCTTCATTCAGCTCCAATCCTTTAGACCGCGATCTCTCCCGCGCCGGCTCCCAAACACTTCCACCCCCAATCTCCACCCCTTCTCCCTTGCGCACAACCTGTGGGCTTCAAACTACATCTCCCATAAAACCGCGGGGGCCCCCCTCCCGCCCCCCCCCCACCCCCGGATCTCCACCGGAAGTCGGGAAGACTGCATCCGGCTCCAGGAAAAGCGAGTGGGATATCCCAATCTTTGGACTGCATCCTGGTTGCCTCTACTGTGGTCACCTTTGGGTTAGTAGAAGCAGTGGGGAGTTAGTCGTCTCATTGCCTCCTCTGGGGGCGGTGACCACTTCCCTGGGCTCTTTGGTTCCCGCGCTGCCCTGCGTGGCCCTGCTGAGTTGTGTGGCGGAGCCTCGTAGTGGTTTGGTGGGCGCAGGCGCGGGAGCCACGGACGCATTTGCAGGGGCTCCCGCGACAGGGCGGAGGTGCGGCGGTACTGAGGTCGTAGAGTTTCCTGCCCAAGCTGAGATGGGGAAAAGGAAGCGCTACTTAGGGTGTGATTTCACCTCGAAAGAAGGAATCTCACAGTAGTGGCAAGAAAGTAAAATATCTTAAGGCATTTTACCATTTTCAGAGACCGTGCACGGGTGGCACTTAATTGGTCTTGAGTGCCCAGGGAGTGGATGAAATTCGTTAATTGATGGTCAGTGATTTCAGTGACAGAGCGATATTTAAGGTCCTGTCCTGTCCCATTCGGTCTGTGTGAGCATGCGGAAGTCATGGGCCCCGGGTTACATGTCAGTAAAAGTGGATGTTGGTTTGTTAAAAATTTATGTCCCTTTACATCTAATATTCTTTTAAATGATTTCTCGGAATAGTCCTTGAGCTTCTTGGAAAACAAGGGCAGCACTTTATTCTGCCTTCAAATCTTTACCTTCTATAACCTGTCAATGAGAATTGAAAAAGTAAATCAAACAGTAGAATTGGGTGTTAGACTTTATGTGCTTCTCTGGAATGAATAATGGTACTATTTCTAGATGGCTTTTCTGCTGAGAAAGCTAGAGGGAAAAGTGTACACTTTCCACTTCCCATCTCCACAGAATAGCATATGCATAAGCATTGCCCTGGAGGTAGTGAATGACGCTGTATTTTTGAAGGACAATTTTGCAGTTACCTGGCGCGGCCTGTGAGAATGTGAGGGAGTGACGGTGACCCCAGAACATGAGACAGTGAAATATTATTCAAACTAAACCTAGCTGAAAAAACTATAATATGGGTTTTTGGAAAATAAACTTAAGAGAAAGACAATTTGGAAGGGAGATCAGTACAGGAGCTGTACAGCAGTGCTTCAAAATAAAGTCCTGAAAATTTGTAGCTTTTGTTATGCATAGTATTTTTAACGTATGTAGAAATTTCAATATGAAAGGAACAGCGAAGTAAATTCTAGAATAAATCAAAAATTATTCTGTCATGTAGATATTACTTCTGGTAATTTAATTTCTAAACAGATTTCCACTGTTAGGTTTCATCCAAGTGTTTCCATGACTGTGAGCAGTTTTAACCTATTTATAAGTAGCAGAAAGACACAAATAGGAAAGGTGAACAGCTCCAAAATGAGACAATTAATCTTTACTCCTTGTTTTCCCTAAATTTTGTTCATACTATTCCTGCTATGCAATTCATCAGCCAGATCGCCCTTTCAGAACCCAGGAGACAGCAGCTATCAAAAACTATGGGCTATAACCTTTCTGTCTTTTTAGCTTAAAAATCTTATTGCTTAGAATGATAGAAATGTTGTTAGAATCCCAAATCTTTTCTTAATAGCATTTCATAGAAAGAAGAATTATACCTTAAAAAAAAATACTTTGAGAAGTTCACAGACAGTTGAATCATGAACCATTTTCACCATCCCCCGCCGCCAAAAAAAAAAAAAGACAAAAAAAGCTCAGTGTGTGCTCTATCATCTGCAGTCCATGATTAGGCAATATTTAAGAGGTATGGAACAATTATTTCAGGGTTTACCCCACCGAAACAAAAAGGTGACAAAGCAGATAAAGTTAATGAGTTTTAAAAGCTGCTCTGATTCAAGGACAACAAAGTGACCAACAGAACTGTCCAATAATAGAACCAAAAATATATGATCATCTGATTTGTGACAATATTTGTCTCAGTGTAGTAGGACAAAGATGGTAATTTCAAGAATAATACGGAGTAATATGGATTATGCATTGGGTAAAAAAGTATCTTGACCCCTACCTCATGCCATGAACAAAAATAGATCCTAGATGGATTACAGAATTAATTGTGCAAGGTCAAACAATAAACTGTTTTCCTGTGAAACTTATAAAGTCTCTGCCTTTACTTCCATCTGTTTTAATGCTCTCCCCCTCATGTCCCCACCCATCGTGAAGTCCCCTCTGGTCTACCCTAAATACCTCCTCCTTATGTAATATGTTACCTGGTTCCCCCTCCCAAGGATATGGCCCCCTCGTCTGTACTGTCAGAGCTCTTTATTCATTATTTTGTGTAACTCCCATGGGCATATAAATTGCGTTGCATTTTATAATTCTAAACTGATAACATTTTGAAATTGAAATGTATGCTGTTTAAGGATTGCCTGTTGAATAGTATGTTGCCTTGGAAACCATTGCTATTATTCTATTGCTATTTATCAATATTGTTCATTGATAAAAAAGCAGTTGCAAATAAGCTTTTTCCCCTGATTTTCCTTCTTTTAAGGAAGAAATGTCTTCTGTAAAAAGAAGTCTGAAGCAAGAAATAGTTACTCAGTTTCACTGTTCAGCTGCTGAAGGAGATATTGCCAAGTTAACAGGAATACTCAGTCATTCTCCATCTCTTCTCAATGAAACTTCTGAAAATGGCTGGACTGCTTTAATGTATGCGGCAAGGAATGGGCACCCAGAGATAGTCCAATTTCTGCTTGAGAAAGGGTAAACATTTTAGGCTGTACCACCTGAAAGGGTTTGTGGTTTAATTTCTTTGTTACATATTTACTTTAAAATTTTGCTTGTTTCCATATTTATATTGTTGAACTACTAAATAACTCATTGGCTAATTTATGTAAAAATGTAGCACAATTTTTCTAACTTAAAACTTTGTAACCTTTTTCATTGAGAAATTATTTCTTTATAGCAAAGCAAATTTATGAGGAGTCTAATTATAAATTTTCCTCCCAAATAGAAAATGCAGATCTCACTATGACTACCAAGGACTTCTTGTAGAATTTTGGTATCTCTTTATAGTGCATAAAGCTTAATACTGTTTTATTTTGTGAGTAATTATCCAGAAAGTGTAAGTATCCACTGTCTCTTAACTTTTTGTCATTTATGATTGTTCTTTTAACCTTCCCAATAGTAAACTATGTAACAAAAGAAAAAAAATCTATGTAATCATTAAAAAGAAGGACTTTAATATGTATCTGGAAATATTTTAGTGAAATAAATACGGAGAAAGTGTTTACTTCCTATTTTACTTTTTCTCCCCAATTTTTTCTTCCATCTATAGGTGTGACAGATCAATTGTCAATAAATCAAGGCAGACTGCACTGGACATTGCTGTATTTTGGGGTTATAAGCATATAGCTAATTTACTAGCTACTGCTAAAGGTGGGAAGAAGCCTTGGTTCCTAACGAATGAAGTGGAAGAATGTGAAAATTATTTTAGCAAAACACTACTGGACCGGAAAAGTGAAAAGAGAAATAATTCTGACTGGCTGCTAGCTAAAGAAAGCCATCCAGCCACAGTTTTTATTCTTTTCTCAGATTTAAATCCCTTGGTTACTCTAGGTGGCAATAAAGAAAGTTTCCAACAGCCAGAAGTTAGGCTTTGTCAGCTGAACTACACAGATATAAAGGATTATTTGGCCCAGCCTGAGAAGATCACCTTGATTTTTCTTGGAGTAGAACTTGAAATAAAAGACAAACTACTTAATTATGCTGGTGAAGTCCCGAGAGAGGAGGAAGATGGATTGGTTGCCTGGTTTGCTCTAGGTATAGATCCTATTGCTGCTGAAGAATTCAAGCAAAGACATGAAAATTGTTACTTTCTTCATCCTCCTATGCCAGCCCTTCTGCAATTGAAAGAAAAAGAAGCTGGTAAGAAATGAATGCTGCTTTTCATTGGTAAAATCTGGTTTTTAGACTTGAGTTGGAGTTGTATGTATTTGCACTTTCCAGGGGCACTCTTTTTCCAGTAAGCAGTGAAATTAGACTGTCTTCATCAGAAACTTCTTAAAGTTCTCACCCTAGGGGACTACTCTCCTGGGCAGTTAGTAGTTCTAATCAGCCCAGACTGATTTCCTGAGAATTAACCCTGGTGCATGATGATCTCATTTGATTCTTCATTGAATAATTCTTAGTTCCTGCTACACGTAGAACATGATGGCAAAGACTTTGACTGTTTTGTTTTGTATTCTGTTGATGGGGCTTTTTATGGCATGGTAAGAAATTGGGGTTTGATTCTAAAGCCATTTAAATGTAACCTAACCTGTGTTTAAAATATTTTTTTAAAAAAGACACTGCACACTGGCTGCATCATAGAGCATAAATTGTACACATGTAAGTAAGTAAGTGTGAAAGTTGGGAGTCTTGTTAAGAGGGAATTGAGTATTACAGGTGCCCAAGTAAGAGATTGCAATGGCTTGAGTTAGAATGGAGGCAGTGGAGATGGAGACAAAGGGAGAATCTGAGGTATTCTCGAGGTAGAAGGGATAGGGCTTGATCTGTAGGTTGAGACCCTTATAAGTGAGAGATGGTGGTAATATGGCATGAATTAAGGTACTGATAGTAGAAATGGAGGAAAGAGGGTATATGCAAGATAAAGTTTGGAGAGAAAATCACTGGTCTTTGCTATTGAATTGGATATGGGATATATAATAATGAAGGAAAAGATTAAGAATGACTGCTAGGCTAGAGACTTTAATAATTTGGTATATAGTGATACCATTTCTCAATAATATAGGATGATGGTTAGAGCAAGGAAAGCAGGACAGACTTGGATTAAAAAAATCAAGAGTTTACTTTTGGGCATACTAAGTTTTAGAAATGGACATTACAATCAGATGTCTGAACTGGAAATACCCATATGGCAGTCATCAACACACAGATACTTAAATCCCAAAAAACTACTGAGATTACTTGGAGAGTTGAGAGGAAGCAAGAAAAACTCAGAATAAGACCTGAATCCCCCTAAATTTAAAGGTAAGCTGCAAGCAGGAGAGCCATCAAAGGAGTTGGAAACAGTGTGGCCATGAGGTAGGAAGAGAGCAAGAGGCCTCAGGGAAACCAAGACAGCAGAGTATTTCCAGGAGGGAGTGGTCAAATGTATTGAATGCTGTTATGAACTTGAGTAAGATGAAGGCAAAGTGGTTTTTTTGTTTTGTTTTGTTTTTTAAAGCATCTTTGTCTTTGGTAATATGAAGCTATTGATGAACTTGACAAGAGAAACGTCAGTGGAGTGAAACGAACAGAAACCAGATTATGGTAGACTGATGAGTTACTGGGAAGTTAGGAATAGGTCACTTGTCAGTGACCACCTTCCCTTAGGTGATAGAGGTCCTTCCAGAGACTGCTTAAATATCTCCTCCTCAAAGTCTGGTGTGGTATGTTTTATTCTCCACACCTGTGGAGAAATCATCAAACTTTTTTAAGAAAATTTATTTTCTTTAGACATATATATATATATATATATATATCATTTTAAGATCAAAAAGATCTGATAAATGAGCTAGTTGCTTGCTTTTTTCCCTTGTAGGAAAACTGAGGCCTTTTAACTCACTTGCTCTATAAGTTTACACAGTTACTTAACTTTTCTGTGACTCAGTTTACTCCTAAAGAAAATGATAATAATAGTATCTATCTTCTTTAGGGTTGCTCTAAACATTAAATAATCTATATAAAATTCCTTGCATGGTGCTTGGCACATTGTAAGTACTCAATAAATGTTAGCTTTTCTTATTGTGATGATTCTGAAATAATGTAAATACCCTAGTGTAAGTTACATATTACAAGGTTACGTAGCAGGCAAAAACGTAATGTTGTCTATTCATTACAACTGTTTTATTTATTTTTCCCAGTTTAAACGATGTTAGAATTTTTGTTATTATTTTGTTCATTTCAAAAATCTGTAGACCAAATAATCTATTTTAGGGAGGGTAACTTTGTCAAGCATTTAACATATAGCATTTCTAGTCTTATTGCCTCAACTGTAATATTTCTGGCCAGGCCATATTAACTTTTTTTGAACTACCAGAGTAAAACCTATAGCTAAAGTGTATATATTTTAAGATTTATCCTATTAGGCATTTTTTGGTAAACAAAGTTAACCATGAATGTAGTAAATGCAGTGTGTTTTATACTGTGTACATGCAGTCTCCAGTTGAAAACAGGTTGTGTTCCACATGGCTTGGACCATCAATGGCATAGTCACCAAGAGAGTGGTGATAGCCTCCTACAGTTTCCTAGTAATATTTCCTTTAGAGTACAAATCTCACTTAAGAACTGACTTTGTGGTATATTTTTATTAAAATCACTATTGTAAAATCACTGTTTGTAAACTTACTCTACACTAGAATCATGAATACCCCAAATTTTAAAATCACCTACAGTAAAAGCCTGATCTAATATAGGATGTAAGATAGATGTCAGTATGTCTATCTTATATGAAAGTTATATTTTATTCAAACAAAAAAATCTAATTTTTGTAATCCAGAAAATTAAATCTTTTACTTTAAAAGAAGAATACGCATTATAAAAATAGAAATACTAAAACCCCTGATCACACAGCTATTCTTATTGTAGCTTGAGAACATTTTACTTATATATTGATTTTAATTTCTTACAGAATTAAAATTTTTGTGCTTTTCTTTTTTTTGAAGGGGTTGTAGCTCAAGCAAGATCTGTTCTTGCCTGGCACAGTCGATACAAGTTTTGCCCAACCTGTGGAAATGCAACTAAAATTGAAGAAGGTGGCTATAAGAGATTATGTTTAAAAGAAGACTGTCCTAGTCTCAATGGCGTCCATAATACCTCATACCCAAGAGTTGGTAAGCCCTTTATTTTATATCTCAGCCACCTGGATCTTGGGGAATAAGATATTTTGGAAAGAGAAAATTTGTGAGGAGCTAAAGAGTTTTCCTTTTTATGGAAAACATGTCTAACCATTAAGAATGTGTTAAAGTGTTACACACTTTCATGATTTTTAAGTAAAAAACATGGTACATCAATAGCCATTTCTTAACTTTGGGTTACTCACTATAATTTGATATGTTATGATACATGATTTCAAAAGCCAACCAATTTGGCTCTACTTAGTGGAGAAAAAGCCCCACTAAGTACAATTTATTGCCTGTTTGAGGCATTACTAAAGCAGTACAGCCTGGCCCTAGCTTTTCATTACTGTTAATGTCTGCCTGTATTCTCTCTTCTAATTGCTGCCTTGAGTCTGCTGTAGATTTGGAAATCTGGTAACCCAGACCTTTAAAACTGTGTGAAAGAAGAATAGATAGGCTCAGCAACACCTGAGGAGGCCTCTGGGGAGAAAAATACATGGCTTAGTGACATCTATTTTTGTTGCTCAAGAGCCTTTTACATTTAATTCCTAGTTCTTGGTCATGATATAGTGAGAAGAATTTGCTGAATTAGTAACTTCTAGAGAGATGAACTGTTATTTAAATTTTATTTAATGACTTTAATCATAGAATCACATTAGCTTTTAAAAACATTTTGTTAAGGGTTAGGATGGAAGAGGGAAATTAACTATTTACCGTGGTAAAATTTGAATTTTCCTTATTTCCATGTATTACCTACTCAAATTTTTTTCTCATTAAAAAGTAATAATACACCTAACATCCATAAGTACAGAATAAATGTTGCTGTTAAGATTGGGGGAAGAAGGACAAAAATGGTCTTCCTTTAGCTTACTGACACTATTCTATACAATTTCCCTGAGATATTCTATTATCAGCTACATTAGGGCAGAAAGAAGCAATCTCTTACAACCAGACAAGAGTTCTATCCCTATAGGAGATATACCTTTATATTATCCTATCAGACAGTGTTTGTACAATGAATCTAAATTCGTTTTTCCTGCCATTCATGTATCTGATTTTTTTTTTCAACAGATCCAGTAGTAATCATGCAAGTTATTCATCCAGATGGGACCAAATGCCTTTTAGGCAGGCAGAAAAGATTTCCCCCAGGCATGTTTACTTGCCTTGCTGGATTTATTGAGCCTGGTAAGCCATTTCTTAATAATTTATATTTAATTTATAATTTTAAAATACAAAGTTTAGGTAACATTTGAGAAATAATCTCTGATAAATTATCATGTTATAAAACTCGGTTATTTTAAGGTATTTTAAAAATGATACAATTTTAATAATATAAACATGTAATTCTCATGTTTTATATGAGAATTATATAAATTACTTTTCCTAGTAATTTGGTCTGCTTTGTTAAAAATTCAGTATTTGCTCTTTGATATGTTGCTCTTGACCCAGGTATCTAGGTTCCACCTCATTTCCTTCTGTACTAGACTCAACTGTTACCTTTTCAAAGAGGCCTTGCTTGATTGCCCCAGATACATTAGTTAGCCCCCATACCCTGCATTCACAATCCCTATCATCCTTCCTGATTTTTCCCTATGGCACTCATCATCACCTAATACCGTATGTAAGTATGTATATATGTACTTACTAATTTATTATCTTATGTTTCAAGAATATAAGTTTCATAAGCACAGGGACTTTATTTTATCCACTGCTGTATCTGAAACCCTCATAGCACATGCCTGTAGCACATGTAGTAGAAAGTCAGTAAATGTTTGTGGAGTGAATGAATACATCTAATTAATATGTTTTATCTCAATTTCAATTTCCAATATTTGCATTGCTAGATAATAACAGTAAACATATAGTATCAGGCTGTGTTTTGGAGGAGGATCATATCATATATATAAAACAGTATCAGGCTATGCTTTATATATATTTTTTGTATGATCCTTATACAACCTTATAAAATACACTATTACAGTGATTTTGCAGGTAGGGGCACTAAGGCATAGGGACTAAATAATTTGCTCAAGATCAAACAGCTAATAAGTGATAAGGAAGGGATTTAAGCCTGGGCATGTTGGTTTCTGAGTTCTTGCTCCAAATCACTATGCTGTCTTTAGTAGTTCTAGGTCATTGTCTTAACTGCTGGGTAGTAATCCATTCATGGATATTCCACTATTTATCCATTCTGCTGATTGGACATTTAGTTTATTTTAAAGTTCTTATTACAAACAGCACTGCAATTAATATTTTTATACTTCTCCTTGTGCACATTTGCAAGAGTTATCTAGGTTATATACATAGAGTAGTACGACCAGCTCATGTGTTATGAGCATCTTAACCTTTTCTGTATGTTGCCAAGTTGTCTCTGAAGTGTTTCTGCCAATTTACACTTCCTCCAGCAGAACATGAAATGTTCCATTATTCCACATCTTCACCAAGTTAGGATTTTCAGACTTTTAAATTTGTCATTCTGAGGAGTGAATGAAATCGTATCTCGTTTTCATTTTCATTTTCTTGCCTATGGAACATCTTTTTTCAAATGTGTATTAGGCATTCAGTTTTCTTTTCTCTGAATTTTAGATGTTTATCTTTTACCTAGTTTTGTTTTCATTGTTTATCCTTTTTTATTCATTTTAAGAATTCTTAAATATGTAGCATATGCTAATCTTTTGTTAGTTATGGTTTTGCAAATACCTTACACTAGTCTATAATTATATTTTTACTATATGTGTTCTTTTGATTATTATAAGTTAATTTTCATGTAGGAAATTTATCAATCTATTTGAAATAGAAAGCTATATTTAAAATATATTTTGCTAAATACAGCAATATTTAGCAAAATGTTTCTAAACTTCCAGATTTTACTTAGAAATGATTTTACTTAGAAACAATTTCCCCTATTCTAATTCTTAATTCCAACAAATTAGAAATATAAAGTACATTTATAGGCATCACTTACCATAGCAGAGTCAGCAGTCATCTAGAGGAAAATAATTGCTTAGAAAAAGTATTAAATTTCATCTTATGTAGTTTGTAATCTTGTAATGACCTGAAAAGAGTTACCTGCAATAATTGTTTGACAACATAATAAAAAAAAGTTTCAGAATTTTAGTGTGAAAGAGCTATTTGTAAAAATCATGTAATTTATAACTATTTCGTGGACAATATATACATGAGATAAGATATAAAGTGTTTGCATAGTGTTTAACCAGTATTAGGTATTGGATATTTTTAGATGGTATCATTATTTTTAAAATGTAACTGACAAATTTGTACCTTAAAAAAACGAAAAGTTTATTGTTGGCATTTTGATATTCTATATGTGGTCATGTACTTTAAAAAAATTGTTTTCTTCAATTACAGTCTAGTTTTAGGCTTCTGCTTTCTGATTATTTGCATTGGGTTTCTGTCCAAAGTGATTTCCAGATGTTTGAACCATTCAGGACACAAAGTGTCCCGGGCATGTTCATCAGCAACTTGTTCTTTTGCTCCATTTCATTAGGAGAGACAATAGAAGATGCTGTTAGGAGAGAAGTAGAAGAGGAAAGTGGAGTCAAAGTTGGCCATGTTCAGTATGTTGCTTGTCAACCATGGCCAATGCCTTCCTCCTTAATGATTGGTTGCTTAGCTCTAGCAGTGTCTACAGAAATTAAAGTTGACAAGAATGAAATAGAGGATGCCCGCTGGTTCACTAGAGAACAGGTAAAGTTCAATTTAATTTCCTTCTTCTATTGATTGTTCCCTGACTGTATTGGTTTGGTCACAGAGCAAGGATGCATATTTTCAGCAAGTTGAATGATGCCTTTGGCCCTCTCATTATGCATGGATTACATGGTAATTAGTAATTCCATACAGGAGGAGTATGTTTCACTAATGTGATCTATATTAACTTATTCTATGAGATTTTTCTAGTAGAGATGATTCTGTACCATTTCGAGTTTCAGATTCCATTCCTTCACATAAATAATAATACCTATCAGTGGGTTTAGAAAAACATTAATTCATAGATGAGAAACAGGAATATTCTTATACATTTTATATTTTAGTTTATAACATTAAAACAAGTAGCTCTCAAAAAACATCAGTAAGTGCTTAAAATTTTCAGAAAGTTTTTATTCATTTTAAAATGTACTTAAGGACAAGAATGACATAACTGTATAATAAACATACACTTAAAATAACTTTCTAAAATGTCATTCCTAAATAATATATTAAAAGATAAATTACTCATCTGACCTGAAATTCTTTCTGACTTTGCCTGCATAAAATTAATTTTATTCTATGCTTAATCCTAAAAGATGGAAATTAGATTATTGCTTATGAATTTTATAAAAAAGAATCTGTTTCAAAAGTTGGCTTTGCTTAGAAATTAAGTGTGGAGCGTACATTTTGCTTTTTCGTGATGTCATTTTCATAAGGGAATGTGTCTTTCTGGAACATTTTAGAAACTGAATCACTTACTCAGTGAAGCAATTAAAAATGCTGTCCTAAATTTTGCATGTTGAGGCGGGGCGTGGTGGCTTATACCTGTAATCCCAGAACTTTGGAAGGCCAAGGCAGGAAGCTTGATTGAGCCCAGGAGTTTGAGACTAGCCTGGGCAACATAGGGAGACCCTGTCTCTACAGATAATTTTTAAAAAGTTAGCCAGGTGCACCTATGGTACCAGCTACTTGGGAGGCTGTGGCAGGAGGATCGCCTGAGCCCAGGAAGTCAAAGCTGCAATGAGCCATGATCCCACCACTGCAACTCCAGTCTGGGTGGCAGAGTGCAAGACCTTGTTTCCAAAAAAAAAAAAACTTTGCATGTAAATATGGATGTTGTCACTTTCTACTGTTGTTATTCACTGTAAAACTCATCACATTTTAATTGAATTATGTAAACATGGGAATAGTATTTAAATATGACAGCTTTGAAATCCTAATGCATTCTATTATGGTGTGTTTTAGGTCCTGGATGTTCTGACCAAAGGGAAGCAGCAGGCATTCTTTGTGCCACCAAGCCGAGCTATTGCACATCAATTAATCAAACACTGGATTAGAATAAATCCTAATCTCTAAATCTAAGAACTAAGCTTTGAGTATTATTTAATAATTTCTAATAACACTCATTCCTCAAGTGATATTAGAGATTATTCAGTACTCTTGAGAGTGTCACAACACAAAATACGATGTTGGGTTTTCGAAATATTTTCAAAGTGTTCTGTCTTAATCACAAATTCATATTTTTACACATTTTTACAATATTGCCTCAGATTATGTTAAATTTGGGTCAGTCTTCTCTGAACTTTTTCTCTCTTGGTTTCTTTTCTTCCTTCACAGTTTTATCTCACAAAACCATTTTTCTAATAAGAGACATCATGTTGGAAAGATGTTCTAGAAATGTGCATAAATTTCAGTGCCTCTTGTAAGCATTAAACTGATGATGAAGAAAGTTCCTGATTTGAGAAATGAATCAAAGTAATTTTAATGAATTTTTAGCTTGTATTAGCTTGAGTTAGCTGGCATTGATTTTTTAGTCCTTTTGTTACCTTTAAGTTGTCAATATATGGTTTTTGTTCATCTCCCCATTGTAGTCCCACTTGCTCTTTCCTGGGGGTTCCATTGTTCTAGCAGTGGAGGTGTTATAGTGTCGCCACTCGTCTAATTTGACCAGTGTTAAGAATTTTCTAATTTAATAATTTAATAGTGATCTCAATACCACACCCTCATGGAAGGAGAAAAGCATACTATTATATCTGGGACCTCTCTTTTAGACCTAAAATTAATTAACATATCTACTTATATGTTACTTATACCTAAAGCTGTTATTAAGACAAACCAAGATTCTCTGCTTTTGCACTGAAATTAAACTTGAAAGGAATTCTCCTCAAAGGTCGGATATTAAATAAGTCCCAGGCAGATTTACATATTTAATTTAAAACATTGGCTTTATTTCATTTTGTGATGAGTGATGTATCTGTGTTAACAAAAAATTGTATAATCATTACCAATACTATTTATTATGCTCAAATATATCTTGGCTTTGACCTTATTTCAACACATTCTAAGAAGCCTTGACAAAGTAAGTATATTTTAGAGCTGAATCAGTAAGATTCTAGAGAAAGCAAAACATAGTAGTTCACAATTTTGCAACATAGAAAGTCACATTTTGAAAGGCTATTTTGAAATTGATTTAATAGCTATTATAGTTTATGAATATCAAAATTTGTATAATTTGCATCTTTACTAATGTATGCTAGAGCTACAAGAGACCTTAAGGATAATATATGAAATTAGCTTTCCTTATTTTATAGATAAGGAAAAAGAAATTGTGAAAGGTGAATTTACCTAATTAGTGAAAGTTACATAACTAATTACAACAGTCTGTACTATATAATGCAGAGGACGATTCTCCCTGTAAAAGGAACTAGAAGCTATTACTAAAAATATATATAGACAAAATTAAAAGAAGGAATGATAAGAATAAATTTAATTTACCAAATATTGTTAATTAAAATTTTAGATACTTAACATTTATTTAACTTAAATAAAAGATAACTGTCAGATAAAACTTTATTTTACTAATGAGCAGTGATTTTCTTAGGAATTGATGAAGGCTTATTGGTATCAAGAATTTAAACCAAATTAAAACTGACAGAGGACATTTAGATACATAATAAAATTCGAGCTACATAAGTATATGGAAAATAATGTACCTTGATTATTATGAAATAGAGCATCTTGAAATTCAGTTTTACTCTAAATGTACTTTTAATACTTGCAGATTCTAAGATTACATTGTAAAATTCCAGGTTTTCATAATGTTAAAATAGGAAAGTAGAATATAAAGTATCAACAAGTGTAGTTATACATTTTGTTTTGGATATTTAATCCTTACTTGGGAAAAAATCAGCATCTAGGTAAATTATTATTTTAATAACAACTCTTAAATTGCCAACCTCTGAGAGGTGAAAAGCTATGTAAATAGAAGGAATGGCCAGTTCAAAAGAATAGTAGATGTGATAGTGCCGTGAATGTATTCTACTGGAAATGAATGTAATAATACATTAAATTTTTAAAATCTATTTTGTTTTGTGTGTGTGTTTAACATGTTTTGACAAGTGTCCTGAAAAATGAGAAAAGCTGGATTTCAGTCGTTAACCTGTTTCGAATTGATAATGTACAAGAAATGCAAAAGCCTTTTTAAAAGTGTCTGTGTTTGGGAGACTTAAAACTTTGATTTGAATCTTAAAGTATAGTTTGGGGTCAAATACAAACAGACTTACATATATACATACATATATAAAGTCAATAATTTTTGTTCTTCAGGTTTAAAGCGATATATCTAATTTTTATTACTTGTCTAATACTGCTAATTGTTGGATTTTGATATTTTCACATGTTGATGGAACATGAAGAGTTAGAAGCCCACATATTTTATTTAGTTGGAAAAATGAGAAATTCTTTTAAAGACCCAGTTAGGGATTTGGCTGAAGACAGAAAATAATAGGATAACAAAGGGAGAGACCAAGATGGAAGGAGGAAGAATAAGTTTGTTAATAAGCCAAATTAATCCCACATAACAACAATAGATAGCTGGTCCTGGAACTGTGTTGCTAATGTGGATACAACAAAATATTAGGTGAAGATGTTCTATAAAACAAATCCATTAATTATTTAGAGTAAAATTTTCACAGTGAAAATTTTATTAGGGCTGAGACCCAGTTATTAGGTTCTGGGGGGGGGGAGGGAGGGGGAGAAAGAGAGAGAGAGAGAGATGGGTGGTGGGTATTGAGTGAAATTTGTGTATTTGTTGAGGTTAAAAGGGGCTGTTATCTCTATTAGAAAAAAAAATATGTAGGACAAAATAAATCCAATGTGCAAAATTAGGAGTCTCTATCTTCAAATATATAAGATCTAGGTCCTGAGGCAAAGCAAGAGTAGTTGCCAAGAGGTTGGAAAAGGCAGGGAAGTTTGATATTCTGTGCAGATCGGGGAGGGTGCTTGATAAAGTGGGGGCAGATGCTTGAGAGCTTTAAGCCCACAGGAGCAGATAAGACAGGCTGTATTTTGGGGCAGGGGTAATAATGTTGCCAAGTACCTGCATCTTCAAAATGAGTCATTGATTAGAGGAATTACTTGTGAACATAAACTAAATACTAAAAAAATATTTTTTTCCTACACTATACCCTACCATCCTTCCAGGACAATCAGGATAGAATTCAAAAGAATTTCTGAAAGAGGGAGTGAATTTTATTATATATGATAGATTTTCAAATAATTCCATTTATTTGCCCAAAACTAGAAATGGTCAAAAGGAAGGTCATTTAAAAAATAAGGATGGCATAGGGAAGACAGGTAATCAGCAACCTGAATTCTTGTTTGAGAAAATAATGAATTTTCAACTATAGGATGAATATTTGGGCATGTTAATTGGCCTAAGAGGCAAATTACTCATTCTATTTTTACTGAAGGATATCCATATATATAGTTGTATTCATTGATGGAAGTGACACTTTTAACTTTATTTCTTCAAGACTACTCCTTTTTTTTTTTCTTGCTAAGCAGTCAAAGCCATAGCACCAGACAACAAATACTCCTCCTTTTTGCAACTCCTGGCATAGTGATAACTCTGCAGAATAGTGGGTCAGATGTGAAATTTTAAACAGATTTTAAGTTGGGGAGGGGGGGAAACTTTCTCCTAATGGAAATATTTTTCTTTCTAACTAGAAGTCTGATAAGAGACAGACAAACTCAGCATAAAGAATGAAAAAATGCCCTGACTTTCCATTCCTGGCCCATGGGAACTATACCAGACAAACTCTTTGCTTCACCTGTGGAGGATTAAGAACATTCTTCTAACCACTTAACTTGTGAGGAGGTTTTATTTTTAGTCATGTGGAAGTTCCACCCAGCAGTAGAAATTGAAAATGGTACTCTTGTTTATTTTAGAACAGAGTAAGTGGACAGCTGATCCAGTCTGAAGTTTTATTTTTGTTTACTTTTATCCTGCCCATTTCACTCTAGCCTGAAATCGTCTGTTGGAGCAGTGTGATGTTCCGAATGTCTCAGTAGAGTACTTTATAAATATTTGTTACTACTCTCAGGTAGCAGTGAGCTGAAGTCATCTCTATCAGTGGGGGTAACGATTTAAAATGCCATTTATGCAACAGCTTTACTGCTAAGAGTTATTTTGCTTTTTTGTTAGGTTTACTTGTGTTTATGGAACAAATTTGAGTAGTACCAAGCAGTTTGGAGAATTTGGAACTAGAACTCCAAAGAAAAGATGCTCAAGGATGTGTGCAAATTCAAACCTAAGGTGCTTTGTTGGTCCCAACCATCATCCCTTCTCTGTATCATACTGAGAGCTTCCATGGGAGTGTATCCGCAGGTGGGAAGCCACTTGGAACTCTGTGTGTTCTGGGGTAACAGGAGAAAATATGCATGTATCTGTGTGGACCTCAAAGTTTTCATGGCTGTAGAAATGTCTAATAATTATTATTTCCAAAAAACACCATCTTTTTCTACAAATTACTAGGCTTGCCATACCAATCTTTTTTTTTAGTTCCCAGCCACTTCCTACATCCTCATGAAAAATAAACACATTTTTCATTCTATTATAATGGTAAATTTATCATATAAAGAGTTTTGTTTTATACAGTGAAAATAGTACATACATTCTCCTTGTTCAGTATATCTAACATCAGTACTAATGTAATTTTTGCAAACTTAGACTTCTGGACATTATAAAAGTTATTTTTTACCTGTTGTTTACAATATATTTCTAAGAATTACAGATCTCTATTTACAACAAGCTTTTAAGGAAGCATAACTGTTTAGCTTATTCTCATAATACTAGTAATTTTTACACATGACTCTATATATAGAAGGTTGACAGTTATTTTATCCTTAACCCCATAAAATGAATATTAGTATTATTATTCCCATTTTACAGTTGGCTAAGATGGGGTAACTTCCAAAGTCATGGTGTTAATAGGACAGCCAAAGCTTAAGCCCAAATACTTTACTCCAGATCCTTTCCTTTCTTACCAGAGCTATCTTAAAGACGTTTTCTAATAACTGCATTGACAAAAGCACTTCCAGTCTCAGTTTCCTTCTTTAGTCTCCTAAATTTTGCTTATTTTTCAGGTTGAGTCTTCTCTTGTTACTCTACACATTTCTGCAGGACATTCTTTGGATCCCACATTTCTCTGTCCAACTGTCCAACACACCTGCTTAGATGTCCCAGAGCCTCCCAAATACTGCATGTCTAAAATTAAATTATCTTTCCCCAAGCATCTTCCTGATTCTATATTCCTGTATTATTATAATATTGCCTAACATGGAAGTTTGGGCACTGTTTTAATTTGTCTGCTTTATCCCTTACCCCACTCTACTCCTCAGCCAAACAATCTCTTAAATCCTGTCTTCTTAATGTCTTAATACTTCTTGAATCTTGATATCTCCCTCTCTTTCCCTCTCCATCTTCTGTCTCTCCCTCTGCCACCATCCTACTTAAGATCATTCATCTGGTTTCTGCATCAGCCTCCTACACTGGTCTCCCTACTTTCCAGTTTCACTCCCAATCAGTTCTTCACACTGCAGCCAAGGAGATCTTGCTAAGGAACAATGTCATCTAGTCTTTGCCTTACTTAAAACTCTTCAAAATAATGCCCCTCACTGTCCTTGGACAAAGGAAAAGTCTAATTTCCTTAGCATGGCAATTTACCTCTTCCATTTCAACTTTCATCATTTTCCTTTCCTTCAACCTCTTACTATACTATGACTTATGTTCTTGCAGAGCCATAGACAAGCCTAAATTTTTGTTATGCATTAACATTCATTTAGGACCACCTGAGTAATTATGGCTAATTCCATATGTTACTAGTATAAATAGAAATAATTTTTCATTTATTTAATATTCTAAACTGTACTTCTAAACTATATTTTCATTTACATATCTCATGGGATTAAAAAACTTCTATATCAGGAACTATAATACTTATCCCAGTTTTACAAATGAGCGCACTGAATCTAAGAGAAGTCAAGTCAGTTTCCCAAGGTAAACATGGGATATGGAAACCGACTGAAATTTAAGTCTTCTGAATCAAAGTCTGTTACCTCTACCATACTATATGCCATACTGCTTCTGCCCCAGTCTACTACACAAACGTAAATGAATTACCTAATATTTAGCCCAACCCATGTGAAAAGCTGAACTAGATCATCTAAGTTTTTGTTTCTGTTTGGCTTGCCTCTATTTCATCTGCACCGTGTGAACGTCATAGGTGTGTTTAATAAATACCACTATCAAAATTCTGAAGCCACAAAAGCACACAGTGCATCATTGTTTACTAAAAGTATATTTGAATATAAACAGACTGTTAGGAATGGTTAGGACAGATAATAGACTCGTTAAAGGATGGGTGATCATGCCTGATGCTGCTTAAGATTAAATATGCTAATCAGATTTTGGATTTAGAGAACCCAGATAAATCCAAAGTAGAGCAAGAAAAGGTACTCAAATCTTCAGCTTCTTCCTTTTCGAAAATACATACTGCATTTTATCCATGTCTCCTTCAGAACTGAGCAATTTATGAAGGCTTTACCCAGGTGAGCTGATTATACATGCTTTTTTCTTCCTTTTTGAATGCCATATTCTCTATTTCAATCCTTGCCATTCTAAATTAGTTCCTTGGCAAAGGATAATAGCAAAGGGAATATTATTTGAATGTTATATGTGAAGACAATTTAATAACATTTCTTTCCTGTCACAAAATATCCAACAGCTGTTTGTAACTTACTTTGTTACCAAATTGAGAGAATGGATACATCCAAAGAAAATTCTAAATAATCAATGTGTTTAGGCCTCTTTTATTTATGCTAAGAAAGACATCATGTGCACATTTGAATAAGCACCATCCATATCCTAATTTGGTTACTTCAAGTAAATTGCACATTTGGAAAGCAAGGAAAATGCAACTGACAAGCTAGGCTTCTAAACATAATTGAAATTCATTCTGAATGCAGGAAGGGTCAGTTTCATTTCAAAGCAGTAGACCTTGTTTTGAATTCCTATATTCTGCTTTGTATCCATTGCAGCATTAGATTTGTTAATCACCAAAATGATTTTTTCATCTGGTTAAGTTAGTAGAATTTTCTTCATTAATTTTATACTTAATTTTACTTAAATAAATGTTTATATTTAATTGTTTTTATATTAATTACTTAAAACATTTTGATCTGATTTCATGAAAGAAGACATTTAGGACGTTGAAATTTTTTCTATTACAATTGCAGTTACTCTGTGATTTAGAACAATTTCATAGGCAAAATATTCTGGCCAACATCTTTTTGTAAATAATCCCAAATCAAACTGCAAAACAGCCTATTTACAATCTTGCTGTTACTTAATCTTTACATCTGGTTATTTCAAACAAATTGTGCATTTGGAAAGCAAGATTTTTTCAGTGACCACTTACTATGATTTTTATGGAAATTAATACTTGCTATGAAAGACTCTTTTCACCATTAAGAATTCAGCCAGCTCCTTTTACCTTCTCCGTGCTCACTCAGAATTTAAATATTAGATATTTTTAAATCTCCTTTTCCTCTCGGATAATTTAAATTTTAGCTCGTTTATCTAATGTCAGATTAAAATGATGTTAAATAAGTATTCCTAAATTATATGTTTGGAAAATAAATTGAAAAATAAACCTTTATTATCTATATTTGTTTTAAGATATAATTCTCTTAGTTGCTAGCAACTGACCATTTAATTATATGTAAAGTCATCTAACTTCTTAAATAAATCTGTACTAATCATGTGATGAAATTACAATTAGGATGCTTATAAGATAGTCTTGGTATCTTCTCTCTAGGGGAAAAAAATCATCCACTGACCAAGTTTTCAAAAAGATCTTTAAAATGACACCAGGAATTTCACTGTGTTGTTTCAGATCTTCAACTCTTACTAGATGTGACGACACTTTCGTGGTCCCGGATTATTTTTACAAAAAGTAGAATAAAAATTCTGAATGTTATCTGATTTGTGAAGATGTACACACACTACCCAAAATCCACTGATAACTTATTCTGATCCCATGAGACTGTAGAGACCTCAGTGAATTTGAGATGGAATGGGATGTTAGCACTGATTATCTGCCCAATTTAAAACCAGTCATAAAGTGATTAAATTAACCTGACAGATTAATTCTAAGCATAATTTCTCATTCCCTCATCATTGGCCAGACTGCAGTTTACATACTTTTTTTATGACAGTGGGCAAAAATACAGCACAGTCAGTGACTTAAGCTATATAAAAAGAAGGTCAGCAGGAAATAGTAAGCATAGAACATTTTTAAATAAATGCCTTTTTATTGCTTTCAAAAACATGCATTTGTTTGGATTAAGCTACAGAAATGTATTTACTTAAGTGAATAAGTAAGCATAGAAAATGTTTTAAAATGGTGATTCTAAGATTGGAGATTTCTCCTCTAAATCTTTCGATTAAAGCCCCTTTGAAGCCTTTGTATCTTGTTTGCATTAATATTCTTATCAAATTATTTTTCTGAGGTAACACAGTAATTTCAGAGTAATTCAAGTTACCTTGATTTATGAACAAATAATGAGATTTAGCACTGTCCAAAGTGCCCTAAATATTGCTAACGATAATTGGCTCTTAATAATGGATAACATTGCCACTAAAATATTTTAAAGGTCATATTTATTATTTTCTTCTGAATGACTTGAAGTAGAATGAACATGCAGCCATTTCTTAGGCTACCATGAGCAAAGCACAATTTTGCTTAGGGATAAGATATATTTTGAGTGTTTATTTTAAATATTTACTTGAGATTTTTCTTAATCTTTAGAATTTAGAATGGTGGTTATACATCAGTTTTCCTTGATTCTAGACTGGAAAGGAATGAAGATGTCACAGGGGTTCTGCTTTAAGGAATCCGAAGCTCTGGTGTCAGCAGAATTGATGAGCTCTGCCCCTGGGGAACACCAACACAACTTCATTGAAAGAGTTACAGGGATTTCATGTTTCGGAGGAATTATATACAGAGGTTTCTGTTTGAAGGTATATTCAAATACTACTTCAAACTGAGGTTTAAGGTTGAATATTTCAAAATTAGGAAGACGTCATTGAAACCCAGCAACAGTTGGCGATTCAGCAATTATTAAGTCTTCAGAGAAACATAGCTCTTCTGTAACATGGTTATTGAAGTAGTGTGGCTCCACTTCAATAAGCAAAAAAAGAGACAGCATTCCTCTTTAGAAAACTCAAAGGCATTACTTATTTAATTAATAGGTAAGGAAAGTCTTGAGCAGAAAAAAAGTAGTCCCTGAGATGTATTCAATTAGCCTTTTGTGCCTATTCTTTTGCTAACTTTTACAAGGCATCTAATCATATATTTAAGTACATGTGTGTGCTTTATTTTTTCTTTCTTTATCTTAATGGAACTACACCTTCATAGTAAACTTTTTATTATTTGAAATACTTACATGTGTTAAAATGAAGTTATCACTTCTTATTGTGGACTATAATTAGTCAAAGAGGAATAATGTAAAATGTCACATAGGACTGAGTCAATTTTGAAAATGGGCTTTTCAAGATAGATTCTGAAACTCCCTGTGCTGGTCAAGGTCAGCGTAGGGGAAAACCATAATTATAGATTTCTCAGACCTAGCAATTCAAAAAATATAGAGAGTAGCTAAGGTTCTAATTGTAATTGGATAGGGTGATTTCTCTTCATACAGTGATACTTAATTCGTACATCATTCTGCATGTGGGATTAGCTAAACTTCCAGTCTAATAGTCATTCTAAAGCCAGAGAGGAAATGGAGCAAAGCAAAATACAGTTCTTCAGGGATTTCTAGTCTAATAATGTCATTATGATAGCACGCAGAGTATGACTGCATCTTTAAAATCTTCTAAAGCAAGGGACGCACACCACTGCTGGAATGCACAATGGTTTGGAGTGGTGCAAGGTGAGATATTTCCTTTTTATTATTTGTTTTTAATATGTGTTAGATATAACCCAGGATTTCACCTATATTATTGCCGAACATGAAGCTAAAGTAAAAAAAAATGAATAAAAAAACTATTAAGCAAATAACAGCACAGCTATTTTATGAATGTTGTAGAACTCGTGAAGGTAGTATGCAAATGACTGAAATTGGGAACAATAAAGTTGTGTTCATTCATCCAACAAATATTTATTGAATACTGTGTTTCCTCCACACATATGGAATAGGAAGATATCAAAATATAAGATAGTCAAGGTCTTAGCCCTTGTGGATCCCACATTTTGGGTCATACCGCTAGTGGTTCCACAGAAGACTGGAATAACCTAAGGCTGTATACACTGAGGTGTTTTGTATATGTTTGGTGAACCCAGTAATAAAGTTCCTCTGAAGCTCATGTGGCTCAAGTCAACTGTGGAGCGGCCAGGGGTCTGGTTCAATTCCAGAATAAAGAATATGCCCCACAGATGCTGCAGCACTAAGGAGATGAGCAGATATATCCTCCATCATAAATAAGAAGATAAAACTAAATACCTCATTCATCCTGCCAAGTGCCCTCCTTCCAAACACTTCCACTACACTGTTATTCTCCATGTACTTACCAACTGTTTCAGCTCTTACAGTTGTACCCAAACTATAGGAACCCCTTGCCTCTGAGAAGCTGAATGTGAACACAGGAGAGCAAGCAATCAAAAAGACAACATGATTTGTCTTACTCCAACCGCCCTGGCCTGCTAATCTGACTTGCTAGATTTTTATCACAAGTTCCAGTTAGTACAAGATGAAAAAAGGATGTTGGTGAGCTAACATAAGATTGATTTAGAACACAGTTTGGGTACAGCCTCTTCACACTGGGCTGAGAAAAAAATAAAAAGCAATCTATCACTGAATTTTCTTCCTAGAAGCTTGTTGATATAGAAACAGAGAATCTTAAGCCAAAACAATAAAACAAAAAATCCAAGCCTTAGTGTGTGCAGTTGAGAGAGATGAGAAATGAGATAGAATAAAGTGAAACAATTCATAGCAAGTTTCCTCAGGGCAGCCCTAGCCTAAAATCTTAAGGCTTTCAAAGATTTTTTGAATGAAGTTCCATTCTACCTATTCAATTGGATCTGCTTCAGTGGGATTTCTAATCAAAATCGCTTGGTGTGTGTATAAGGGTGTGGGAGAGTGGGCACTCATTAAAATTGCATACACCTGGATCACCAATCAGACTCCAAATCTCTAAAGTGAAGGTCAAAATCTACATTTTCAGCAAGTTGCTCAGTGATTCTCAACCACATTCAAATTTGAGAATTCCTGTGCTAAACAGTAAACTCCTTGAAATGTACATTATATTTACATTTTTACATCAAGTTCAGCTCGGAACTTTAAGCCCACAGTGCACAGTGCCAAATTCAAAGGCTATCTCTGTTGTTAAGTACACTGGATTTTCCCAATTTTAATTTATCATTCCATAATAAAGTGAAAGAGGAAAGGGGCTGTTCATGAAGCATGTCAGGAAGAGCCTCTAAGTTTAACAGAGTAAAACAATGAAAATCTTTCAAAAATCTTAAGAAAATTGTTCGCTTTTCAGAACCTTACCATGGTGGAGAGAGAAAATGAAGCAGCATCTCAGGACCATGATTCTTGGGCAAGTTGCTACATCTCTCCCACTTTTCTCCAATAAGAAATGGGGGATTTGGATAGATGATCTCACACATATCGACAGTCAAACAAAGAACAGACATTTTGGAACTGTTAAGAGATTTTCTGGTATTACTGAATGTATCACACATTATTAGATACTAAGCTCACTTTTCTTTTCATTTACTAATATCAATTTTTTCTTTCCCAATTCTTTAAACTTTAGATATAGTAAATTCTACACTACACAATCCTCTTTTCTGTCTGCATTTCCTCAGAGACTCTGACTTAACGTTTGTAGGGTGGGCCCAGGTGCATTCGCTCATGCCTGTAATCCCAGCACTTTGGGAGGCCGTGGAGGGCAGATCGCTTGAGGTCAGGGGATTGAGACCAGTCTGGCCAAAATGTTGAAACCCCGTCTCTACTAAAAATACAAAAATTAGCAGGGCATGGTGGCGAGCATCTGCAATACCAGCCACTCTGGAGTCTGAGGCAGGAGGATTGCTTGAACCCAGGAGAAGGAGGTTGCAGTGAGCTGAGATCAGGCCACTGCACTCCAGCCTGGGAGACAAAGCGAGACTCCGTCCCCAAAAAAAAAAAAAAAAAAAAAAAAAATGTTTATAGAATGGGCTTCTTGTCTCTCCAAGGATTATCTTTATCCATTAAGTTACATTTGATCAGTTGTGAGTCAAACGGAGTGATGGCGTTCCAACAAAGCTTATGGTTAAAGTTATTTTAGTATTGAAGTTTTTTATACCTATTCTTCTAAACTCAAGACCCTAGGCAATTTATGCTCCAATGATCACCAAGGGCCTCTTCTGTAGATGGACTTAAATACTCCCTGTATGCCTCAACAACCTGTGCATCATATGCTTGGGGAAAGTAAAAATTGGTTTCATCACATATGAGAGTTGAATGTCTCCATTAAAAATTTAAACAAATGGATTCAAACATTTATCCACACGAATGCATATAAATACAGATATAAATACATTTACTCATCAGTGTTTTTCAACAGAGAGAAGGAGGTAAAAGTATAAAGAACAATTTGCAATAGGCACTGAAACAGCCTTCAGTGATCTTAACTAAGGCTTCATACTTTCAAGACACTGGCAAACTATTCACTAAGAATTACTGATCAGGTCCCAGGTTTGTAAACAAGAAGCTGAGAGCAAGTCTGAAGTGATATATGGGCATTATTGAAACACCTGTTTTCCTATATAACTCTTCTTATGCTCATACATATTTTTTTAAACTTAAGGACAAATATAGTTTAAATCTCATGCCGTTTAAAATCAGAATTGACAGTAATGGGTAAGTTTATACACTTTAAACATACTTTTAAAAGTAAATGGAAATTTTAAATTTTCTCCAAATATTATTACACTTGAACTTTTCAGAACCTGTTTTACATATATGAATTTCCTTAAAAATATGGTACAGAGAGCATAGGTCGGGCACGGTGGCTCACGCCTGTAATCCCAGCACTTTGGGAGGCCAAGGCGGGCGGATCACGAGGCCAGGAGATCGAGACCATCCTGGCTAACACGGAGAAACCCCGTCTCTACTAAAAATGCAAAAAATTAACTGGGTGTGGTAGCGGGCGCCTGTAGTCCCAACTACTCGGGAGGCTGAGGCAGGAGAATGGCAAGAACCTGGGAGGCGGAGCTTGCAGTGAGTGGAGATCTCGCCATTGCACGCCAGCCTGGGCAACAAGCGAGACTCCGTCTCAATAAATAAATAAATAAATATATATATATAAATATATATATATAAATATATATATATAAATATATAGAGAGAGAGAGAGAGAGAGAGAGTACAGAGAGCATAGACATAGTGTTAAAATTGGGGAAATGAAGTCATAATAAGAATTCTTTCAGATTCTATAGAAAACTGAAGCCAATGGGAATTACAAAGAGTACTAGATGCTGTGCTACCCTGGAAGTTAAGCATTTAACCTTCTGAATTTATTTCATATTTAGTCTCTTTCTAGAATTTTAATAGCAATCATTATATCATTATCTACTCTTTTGTGAGTCTTTCTCTTTTTATTGGTAATAGCACATTTCCTTTGACTGTTTCAAGGAAAATGTTTCAACTTAGCAATTGAAATTTTAGGTAATTTGTCAGAAAAATGACACCAGTAAAATTTTATAACAATATCTTTCCCCCCAAAAAAATCTTTATCATCCAATAATTTTCTGAGTATAACAGTAATACTGTGTAATTCTGCAGTAAAAAGATATTGTTAGTATTTCCAGTTTACATTTTTCCTCTTTCTTCTTGTAAATTATAGTAATGAGTTAAAGCCCAGTTGGAAAAAAAAGACCTGTAAAATCTGATATAAAGACATCAGATGTGATAGGATTCAGCTGATAATATAATAGCAATCATAGTAACTTTCCTGAGCTTTATTGCCAATTTTGCACAGAAAAAATAAACATTAAAAATATAAACCCAAGGAATTTGTAGTGAAATGGATTCCTTAATGTATATCCAAAGGTCTAGTAGTGATATATTTTACTTGTGAATAAAATATTTTATGTATATGTATAAAAATGTGAGGTGCTTAGAATTTTTCAAAGTGAAATGAGAGGCCATTAGAGAGTTTTAAGCAGGGGGTGGGATAACATGATTTAATTTATGCTTTTAAAAAATCAATCTGGCTGCTATATAATCAAAGGATATGAATATAGACGTAAGAGAAACAGCTAGGAAGTTATTGCACTAGTCCAGATTTTTAAAAATATATCTGGTGGCTTGGATTGAGGTGGTAACTATGGAGTAGAAAACAAATGGACATATTTGGGATAAGATGTTTAGAAACAGAGTAGGGCAAACTTGCTGATGGATTGGATGAGGCAGGTTAAAGAGAAGGGTCAAGGACAACATCTAGGTGTTTGACTTAAGCTAGATAGATGGTGATGCTGTTGACTGAGATTGGAAAGATTTAGGGAAGAAAAGAATTGAAGGCAGACAACATTAAGAGCTCAGATGGGGATCTTATGAATTTGGGATTCCAATTAGACATATGACTAGACACATCAATTTGGCAGTCAGATATTTAAGCCTGGACTTCTGGCCTTAAGAAATTATGAATTTTAGGAGTAAAATTATGAATTTTAGAATCACCTATGTATATTATTTTGAAGCTATCAGACAAGATTTCCTAGGGAAGGAGTTGATGAAGAAGTGAAGGGAACCCTGAAGATGTCAAAGATTAGAGACTGAGCAAGGGAAGATCCAGCGAAAGAATCTAAGAGGGAATGCCCAGTAGAGCAGGATAAGGATCAGAAGAGTGTGACACCATGGAATTAAAAGAAAAAAAAAGTGATGCAAGAGGAACAGAGTGATCAGTTGTGTCAAATTCTGCTGAGAGTGTGCCTAAGATGACACAGAATTGACTTTTGGCTTTGACAATATGGATGTCACTGGTCGATGTGGGTAAGAGCACCCTCAGTGGAGTGGTAGGGATAAGTGATAGAGTAGTTCCTGGAGTGGGCTTGAGAAAAGCTGTGGGGAGAGACAGTAGACTCAGAAAATATAGACAAATCCATGAAGATGTGTTGCTGTAAAGGTGAACAGTGACATGTGATGGTAGATGGAGTGATGCAGTGAAAGACAGAAATGGATATTGCAGGAGAGGAGAGGATAATTGCATTAAAATGGTTCAGGTACATTTACTTTTTCCACAAAATAAAAGAGATTTCATAGACTATGATATAAATTCAACGAAATCAGTTTGTATTAATTAATAATTAATTAGTATTGGAAAGCAGAAAGAGTTTCATTCAGCTTCTGTTTCCTATGAGGAATGTGTCAAGCCCATCGTTGAGAGTGTGGAAAGAGGAGGACAGATAGGAGGTTGGAGAAGAGACAGTGTAAAATAGTTTTAGAGATAGAAAATATGTAAATATTATGAAATCATTGTAGAAAAGCTTTAAAATAATTTTGGTGTCTCCATGTGAAATTAAAATGACAAATTCTAAACCATGTGTGAGGAAGTTCAACAATATTCTACTTTTTCTAACAGTGACTATTTTAAAATGTTTTGAAAAATCAAATATCAAATTATTTAATAGTCCAAAACTTTCTTTGGTGTTGCTACATTGCTCATGTTCTAAGCATTTTATTATATCTTTATATAGGCCTTTCTAAAATAGGGAGAGAGGCTGGAGAGAGCATAAAATGGTCAACCATATTGAAGGAAGAGGGTCATACAGGACAAGAGAGGTACAGAAACAGAAGCCTGATATTTTAAAGAATACCTTCTCCCACTCCTCATTTTGCTTAGGATCAATTTAGAAAATGCAGCTACAGCCATGCCATGTTTAACAGGCAAAAAGGAAGAAATGTTTGCTGCCATTCAATTAAAATAGAATTGATAGTACCCCTATAGCCAGTGATTTCAGACACTGCCATCAGCTGATATGGATGCCTCTTATGCAAGTACAGAGCAACAGAGATAACAAGTAGGAAAAAATATGAGCAATTTATTTCTTTAAAAACAGAATTTTAACTATCGACAAATTAAATACAATGTAAAAGGAAAGTATATTTAAAAATACAAGAAGGCACTTTATTAAAACTATAGTTAGGTACAGATTGGTGCTATCTAATTTATTTATTCATGCATATTTATTAGGTACCTATTATGTGTCTGGCACTGTGCTAGATACTAGGTTCATATGAAACAGTACATTCAATTTTCTGGAACAAAGTTGTGCTTTCTCAATGCTAAAGTGAAAACTGACTATAAAATTTGCTCTGTATGGTCAGAAGCAATCCAAGCGTATTAGTCTGTTTCCACACTGCTATAAAGACACTACCTGAGACTGGGTAATTTATAAAGAAAAGAGGTTTAATTGATTCCCAGTTCCACATAGTTGAGGAGGCTTGAGGAAACACAATCATGGCACAAGGGGACGTCTCACATAGCAGCAGGTGAGAGAGAGTGTATGAAGGATGAACTTCCAAATACTTACAAAACTGTCAGATCTCATGAGAACTCACTATCATGAGAACAGCATGGGGAAAACTGCCCCCTATCGGGGGAACCTGCCCCCAATTTCACATAGGTTCTTTTCTATATTCCCTAAGTGTTGGCCGGTCTGAGAAACAAAGGGACAGAGTACAAAAGAGAGAAATTTTAAAGCTGGGTGTCTGGGAGAGACATCACATGTTGGCAGGTTCTGTGATGCCCCCTGAGCCATAAAACCAGCAAGTTTTTATTAGTGATTTTCAAAAGGGGAGGGAGTGTATTAATAGGGTGTGGGTCACAGAGATCACATGCTTCACAAGGTAATAAGATATCATGAGGCAAATGGAGGCAGGGCAAGATCACAGGACCACAGGACCGGGGCGAAATTAAAATTGTTAATGAAGTTTCAGGCACGCATTGTCATTGATAACATCTTATCAGGAGACAGGGTTTGAAGCAGACAACTGGTCTGACCAAAATTTATTAGGCGGGAATTTCCTCATCCTAATAAGCCTGGGAGTGCTATGGGAGACTGGGGCTTATTTCATCCCTACAGTTTCAACCATAGAAGACGGCCGCACCCAAGGGGGCCATTTTAGAGGTCTACCCTCAGGGATGCATTCTCTTTCTCAGGGATGTCCTTGCTGAGAAAAAGAATTCAGCGATATTTCTCCCATTTGCTTTTGAAAGAAGAGAAATATGGCTCTGTTCCACCCGGCTCACCGGCGGTCAGAGTTTAAGGTTATCTCTCTTGTTCCCTGAACATTGCTGTTATCCTGTTCTTTTTTCAAGGTGCCCAGATTTCATATTGTTCAAACACACATGCTTTACAAACAATTTGTGCAGTTAACGCAATCATCACAGGGTCCTGAGGCGACATACATCCTCCTCAGCTTACAAAAATGACAGGATTAAGAGATTAAAGTAAAGACAGGCATAAGAAATCACAAGGGTATTGATTGGGGAAGTGAAAAGTGTCCATGAAATCTTCACAATTTATGTTCAGAGATTGCAGTAAAGACAGGCATAAGAAATTATAAAAGTATTAATTTTGGGGAACTAATAAATGTCCATGAAATCTTCACAATTTATGTTCTTCTGCCATGGCTTCAGCCGGTCCCTCCATTTGGGGTTCCTGGCTTCCCACAACAGCGCCCCCCTCTGCCATGATCCAATCACCTACCACCAGGTCTCTCCTTCAACATCTGGGGATTACAATTCAAAATGAGATTTGGGTGGGGAATTTGACAAAGCCTAACCATATTGCCAAGGCATCTATACCACGTGTGTCTGCTCAAAGAGAGAGCTTACTTAATTAGTGGTTTGCCACCATTAGTGAGATTCAGGAAGCACGGATGGTCTGGGTCCCAGTTTTTCACATACCGAATTGAGAGCTTTGGATGAGATAATCTTGAAAACTTCTAGACATTCTAGCGCAAAAATAATGTATGGTTTGGTCAGCTTTATTGAAGCCCTCACCTGCAGCTCTGATAAGATGGCAAGTCTCCCAAAGCCAGCCACTGCTCAGCTCTAATTAAGGGTATATTTTAATTGTTATGTATATATACTGTAACGGAGGTTAATAGCAAGTACCATTTCACTGGAACCATTGATAATGTTTTCAGTTGTGTTTATTCAAGACAACTTTGTAAGTTAAATTTTGTTAGCATTTCTATCTTAGAGGTAAAGGAAATTCAGCCTCACAGATATGACACAACCTGCTGAGTGAGCAGCAGAGCCATGGTACAGACCCAGATATTCTGAGTCAAAGTCAAGTGCTCTCAACTAAACTCAGTGCAGCAGGCTACATTTTTCTGTTTAAACTATGTGAAACCATTGAGAAATAATCACTAACCTAGTCATGTGCTTTTAAAAAAAGTATTTATTTATTTGGCCCTGTAATTGTACAAATTTATAAGGTACAATTTAATATTTCAGTACATAGCTATGTTGTGTAATGATCCAATCAAGGTAGTTAGTGTGTCCATTACATCATGCATTTATCATTTCTTTGTGGTGAGAACATTCAAAAAGCCTCTCTTCTAGCTGTTTTGCAATATGCAATGTTTTCCTGTTAACCACAGTCACCCTAGTGTGCAACAGAACACCAGAATTCATTGGTTCAATCTAATTGAGACTTTGAACCCGTTGACCAACTGCTCCCCACCTTCCTAACCCCTTCTTCTCCCCAATCTCTGATAACCACTGTTCTACTCTCTGCTTCTATTATATCAACTTTTTTTTTTTAAAGATTCCACATATGAATGAGATCACATGGTATTTGTCCTTCTGTGTCTGGCTTATTTCATTTAACATGACGTCCTCCAGGTTTATCCATGTAGTCACAAATAGCAGGATTCCATTTGTTATGGCTGAATAATATTCCATTATGTATATATACCACATTTTCTTTCTCCATTTGTTGTTAGACACTTACGTTGATTCCATATCTTGACTTGTGATAGCTATACAATAAAACATGGGAGTGCAGATATCTCTTTGAAATACTTATTTCATTTCCTTTGGATACATACTCAGTAGTTGAATTACTGGATCCTATGGTAGTGTTTTTTTTAAATTTTTTGAGTAACCTCCATACGTTTTTCTATACTATCTATACCTAGTCAAATGCCTTTGAAGCGTTTTTAAATTAGAAAACCCAATATGTGTAAGACAGGGATAAAAAAAGAAAGATATTAAATTGTGCATTTGTAATCCTCTGCGCAACCCAATCCCCACATTGGCCTTCTAAGAAGAGTGGATTACTGCTCACCTCATCAGCCACAGGAATGTAGTTTTGCTTATTGCAGGAGAATGTAGACAGGTTAATTGAAAGATGCCAAGAGAGTATCAATTGCTCTATATAAGAAAGGCAGCCTAGGGAAGCAGAATTTTCAGAAAATTAAGAGATTTGGAGAGGCTATGGAATAAAAAGTATTTTAAATCAACAGATATTATGACTTGGAGGAGAGAGATGAGTTATGAAGAATTTTAATAAATTTTTGCCAAAACTAGCCGCAAAGCAACCTGATTTTACATAAAACAAATAAGAGTCAAGCTTTTTGACTGAGGTGTCCAAAGACACAGCCTGGCCAAATACACCTAAAGCAAACTGCCTCCATGGGAAACTATTTCCTTTTCATCTTTACAGACAGATTAATTCTTTTAAAGTAAAGCAATTAGAATCAGGCTTAGCTCTGAGCACAGGCAGGTGCCTGCTTGAGGTGATAATTGGGAAATTAGGAGATGGCCTTCCCGCAGATGCCTTCTCCAACATCTTCTATTAGTTAAGACATCATCAACAGAGAATATAACCCTTTCTTTCACAGTTAAGGTAAAGAATTTGGTCTTCTACAATGAATTACCAACTCTACCAATATGTTTACTCAGTCATAATATTTAAATATGGTTATATATAATGACAGTGTAATGAAGGCAAACCATCTCCCTACCCCACTTAATTTTTAGCAGGGCTACAAATTTCATAATATTGGATTTAGGCTAACTTTACAAAAAATTGTGTGTTTCTATTAATATAGGAAACAATGAAACATAAAAATAATTAAACAATATGCATCAACTTGCATCCTAAATGTCTACAAATACGAATATATGTGTATATGTTTTACATATCTATATGTTTGAATATTCATTTATATGCACATGTACATATATATCTAACAATGCACTAAATAGTTGAGATGGAACTAAACAAAAAAGGTTAATGTAATTACAACAATAAAATATATTTAAAGGAAAAGCATGTGGGGATACCACAGACAGATACCCATGCTATCAAGTTGGCAAGTGAGTTGAGTTACTCAGTAATTTGACTAAACCTAAATTCTGATGGGAAAATAATTTCAAATTTATTTGCTGTTTTCAAAGGGCAGTGAAAACTGAAGACCCACAACTCCCCAAAATGATGAGGAAAAGAAGAAAAGGCTGTAAAAAATGGGAAATCTTGAATACCACAGTATGTAAGTCCAATTCAATGATTTTCTAAGTATGTAAAAAATGAACTGCTTAGTTTATGTACTTTCTTCTTTATCACAGGACTGTCTATAAAACTAGGAAGATAAAAACATATAAAATGATTTTGAAGCTTGGTCTATAGTTACTATTTATATACTTCTGCATTAATGATATGTATTATAACTAATAAAAATCTAAATAAAAATATTCAGATATGGACTATTAGGACCCATTATTCTTAGAATCTGTTATCAATGCATTATTATGTAACTTTCTCTGCTCTATATCCCTTTTTGCAGAAATTAAAATGTAGTCAATTCAAAGGGGCTATAAAATATAAAATTATAAAATTGAAAGGGGTATAAACAGAATGGCTCTTGGCATGAAGATGTTATTTAAAGAATAAAGTCCAGTTCTGGAAGGCAGTCCATCAGTCTATAAACTGTTATTGTGTCCATGGTCTATTGTAAATGGCCTTTAGAGAGATAGGTCTCCATGTCTTTTCTCTTATGACTTCCACATTACAGAGCTCAGATTGTGACCAGGCCCACTGGAAACTGTTTCAGTACCTGACAAGAGAGACCTTCCTACAGGCTAGAAGAGAGGCAAATGGGAATGGTTAGACTCCTCAAGTGATCTCAGTATGCTCGATGCTGTTCTTTTTCCTGTTGAAGAGAATTTATTCTCTATATAAGTATTTATATAATTATAAGCATTTTATGTAAAAATTTATAAGTATAAATAAAAATCATTTTAAGTTAAAAACATTTAAAATAAATGTATAAATAATCCATTCCAATTTTAAACTTAACTTTTTAAAAATGTCCTTTTTGACACCTGGTTCATCAATCTTTATGATATAAGTATTCACTTGTTGCCTATTCTTCTTTCTTAACAAATAATCTCAGATGTAGTTTAAAATAGAATTTGAGATATTTTTGTCCACTGTTTTTTACACAAGCTCTGGTGCCTCATGCTCAGGTTCACAAGCTTCTCATAGGAATGTATTTTAATATAAAACAGAGGAGTGCAGGTTGCAAGCTGGTAGTTCTTGGGCAAAAGCTGGTCCCTAAGTATACTGGCCTCCACCTATAGAGGGTTGTTGTTTTAAATTTTTGAACTAATCCTTAGAAATTAAGAAATTTTACAGTATAGGAAAAAATCCAGATTCTAGTTCTCTTCTGGAAAAATGAGATGATCCAGTAACACCAGGACACCTTTTCACGTGGCTGGAGCTGACTAGCAGAGAATATGTATACCCAGCCTGCTTCACTTGTTTATGTTACCTGTTTAAATGCCACAGACTTTGAGTTTGTGAACCTATTCTATAAAAAGCCCAGGGCAAAGGATACTACTGGACATGTTTGAAAGTCTGTCTAAAAGCATACTTATGTTTCTTCCATTCTTTTTACCCACATCTTCATTTGTAGTACCATCTCAAATTGTATTGAGCTTGACTTAGCCTGTAGTATAATGCCATGTTCAAATACCTGATCATATAGCAAGCTGTTCTTTTTCAAGAGTTGCACTTAAAATTTAGTTGCATATGTTTCTTGTGAAATTTTCATTTCACCCACTTTTGCAAGTTGCTGTTTTAGAGTACAGCTTAATTAAATTCTTACTTCATAAAACTACTGGTGATATTTCTACACTCTAAGAGAATTGGTTGATTTAAAGTGATGTATTTATTATAAATGAACTTTTGTGAAAAACATTTTGACATGCTATAAATGAATGAAAACCGATACCCAAAATACTTACAAAGGATTTGCATTGCATTTTATTCTAGAAATTGGAACATCTGTTCTCTAAATGAACACGTAAACCTTTCCAATTTTTATTTTTTTGCTTCCTCTTTAGGTGTATCTCAGCCTGCTGGCTGAGCATGCCAAGAAAATATAAAAGTTCTTGAAAAGGAAGTCAAAGGAGACACCTTGGAGCCTGTGTTTCATCAGACTGGGACATTAGGGAAATCTAAGGAAAATGGAGATGAGGGTATGTCTGCTTCTGTGAATGAAAAGCAGAATTCTTCTTTTCTTCCTAAAGATAAGAAACAGCATCCATGTGACAGCAAAATACATAGGAAGAAGGGAAATGATGATCCTCCTTTGGCTGTCTCTCATCAACTGGAGAAAGTCTTACCTATGATCACATTTAATGACTATGGAGAATCATTATCAGAAAACATTACATTACAGAATCTCCTAGGCACAGTAGAAGACTTTAAGCCAGCAAAAGGCAAATTTATTACAGAAGTGAAACGTGGGGATTTCAATGTGCAAATAGAAATCAAGAAAAACTTTGTCTGTAAACCAGGAATACAGTTCCCAACAAAAAAAGAGACATCCAAAATGTTGCCAGCGTTGCTCTATCAGACACATTCAGAGATGCTACCCTTCTAGGAGCTGCTTTCCTAAACATAAGAATATATTGGTGGAAGAACTAAAACCTGAGGTGCTGTCTAAACATGAAGGAGAAATTGCCAGAACCGACAGACCCTTGCTGAAAGTAACCATTGAAAGAAAAGAAATTAAAGTCAACTACATGACTAAGACACAGAATATATTAATTAATATAACTCATCCTAAAAGAAAGGAAAAAAGTAACTAAATACAGAAACATTTCCTCCAATCACACCACTAAAGAAACTTTCAGGTCTCCCTCACAGTCTGGTATTAGGTATCCTGAAATGTGGCAGCTTGAAAACAAGCATCAGAGTTGAGATTGTTTGTGTGTCTCTTCTCCTGGCATGTGTGCTGTCGAGAAGGAGAAGAATTTTGATACAGTGGTGATTTATCTAACCTCGACTCTGGAGAGAAAGAAAAATAAGCCTGACACACTATCTACAGTCTTAGAAGACTGTGAGGTAGAATCTGCTATCTCTCGGCAGAAGGTCTTTAAAATTAGTCAGAACACCCCCAGAAAGAAACATTTCTCTGAGTCTAAGACTCTTCTCAAAAAAATTCTTCCTACTTCACATAATACCCAAAAGACCACAAGTTTAAGTACTGCAGATTTAAGTAAAATGCCTTTCGAGGATTCTAAGGATGTGGAAAAAGAGAGAAAAATCAACTTTGATATCCCAGGAAATATCACATCAGACTCACATGTACAGCAAAGCACAGAAGGAATAAATTATTTGCCAAGTACCATTACTGACATCTTTCCACTCAAGATGGCAAAAACTTCACCTTTAGTTCTTCATCTTCTGTGAGTATGTAGCTCACAGAAGCAAAGGTAGCCAACATCTACTGCAAAGGAAGCAAGACTCCACCTGCAGAATGCTGTGAGAACTCAAATTCTGTATCTTTCCCTCCCACTCAAACTTCTCTGCAGTCTTGCACCTCATTCAGCCCACCTCACTGGGCCACCAGACATTTGAAACCTAAGGAAAACCCTGAGAGTACATTTTCTTTTAATCATTGTGCTGAGTGTGTGATAGATTATGAGAAGGAGCAGATTAATGTGACTGACAGAGACTTTAACAAAGCCATTTTACATAGTGACTCTCATGCTAAAGCACAGCAACTACTGGAAAGGAAGATTACACTGTGTCTTAATCTCAGGCCTGCTTCTGGCAGCAGCCTAGCAGCTAAGAGCCCACGCAACGGTATTAGCCACAGCACTGTGGAATGGAACCAAACAGAGTCACAGCAAGTCATCCAGAGATAGCAGCCCCGACCAAAACAAAAGCACTAGTTATGACCTTCATAACTGATGAGTTAGAGCAAAAATTGATTATTCAAGATGATAAAGAAACTAGTTGTTTCTAATTGTCCCATGGGAATGAAAAACCGTAAAGAGTCACCCAGCTCTCTGGAAAATGTTGAAAAAGACAAATGCCAGATAATACCCGTGGTGAATAATGCATACCACAGAGATTTTGAAGACCTGTCAAATGAGAATCGTGACAAAGTCTGTTTTCAAATGCATTTTTCAGCAAACACTGCTGAGTCCAACTGTGCAGTGTGTGCTTCAGATAATCTGTTTCTTATTGAAAAAACACTGACCAATGATGTGGACCTACATGGTAACCAAGATAAAGAAAACCTTGGACTAACTAGTTTTAAACAGGAGCCAGCACAGTGCCAAAGGATTGCATCAACAGGGCCAAATACTGAAGAGGATGAGAACAAAAATGACTCAAAGGAAAATTACTGTTACCAAATACACACGTTGATGCCACCTCAGAAGCAAGCTTTGAAAGGTATGGTGGGCTATACAGAATCATTAACTTTCATTATTTTTTATATATTTTAGCTTTGGAAAGTCTTAAGATGAGGGCTTTTTTAAAATTGCTTGGGATGTTTTCTTTATTGCTAAAGATATATTATATATTTTAGAGTTAGATGAACACGGGCAAGCATATATCAGTCTGTTTCTTTACATTATCACCCACTCCACCCATAAATAGTGCATCTTCAAGCCTGCAGTTTAATGTAAAAAAAAAAAAAATCAATTTCTCTTTAAAAGGTTGATATATTGCCAAATCAATTTTGTAGGAAATGTTAGTCTTTGCCACTCTTAAATAATCCACCATTTCTTTCCTTCTTGCAAGCTAAGCATGTTCAGAAGAATAGGAAGAATATGTTTGTAATAAAATATATTTTTAAATCTTGCTGTGGTGTTACAGAGGCATTGTATGTATGTCTTGGAAGGCCATGTGGAATAGTAATTACAACAAAGGACAAAAAACAGAAACGACCTTGCCTAATCCTCACTGAGCCACCATGGGGCCTCTGACCTCCAGCAGACCTCTGACCTCCCTTGTGCATTACTTGGACCAAATTGTTGATAGAACCCAGAAGCTCTCCAGACCTCAAGTAGGGCCAAGATGGAAGTTCTTTCCTAAGTACATAATTCTGCCTGTCTGCTTTCAATCTCAAATCAGCACTATATCATTTTTGTCACTTCATAGAAGGCCCTTGTTTTTTTAAATGAGTCCAAATTATTTTATATTTAATGTTAGCATTATTCCATATTGTAAATTAAAATACATTTTGAATGAGTAAAAACTGTCTTCTAAACTGCTGGTAATAATCCTAATAGCTTCAGAAATTATATTTGGAATGATGAAACTTAAAGGAGAAGGTATATTTTCTTTGTAGTTCTGTCTCTAGATTTTTGAATGAAATTAGTAAAATTTAGAAGTAGAAATAAAATACAAAAAGCATAATCAATTACATAACTGTTAGAATAAAATGTGAAATTTGTTTTGTAGAGAGTAAATGCCCTAAAACAGTATGAAAACTCTATGGTCATCTGCTTGATATGAACACCCTAAAGCAAGGACCATCAGTCATGGGGACTGCTTCCTGGTGCCAACATCCATCCAGAAATCAGCATCAATGACATTAATCCCAACACTGACTTCAGTCTATAGTTATTTGGAACTGCAAGGGAACCTGCAGTAAGAACAACTGTGCCTCCCAAAGGAAACACATGCTCACCTGGATGAATATATCTCCCAAGTTGACTCTCCTTCCCCCAGAGGCATGTTCCTCCCTGTCCTACCTCTCCCAGCGGGAAACATTTCTTAAGAAAATCAATAATTCAAGTCAGAATTCTCTCAAAGCTGATATTACACATCAGAGTTTGAAACTGTCCCATTTGGTAAACAATTCCAGCTACTGGTTCCCTGTGTTACTGATTCATCAAAAGGCTATTCCTACAACTCTCTCCCTGTATCCTTTTCCTTGATCACTCTTCCAGCCATATTGACTTACTTCCTAGAACCTTCCAGCCCAGATCCACATCAGGCCCTTTGCATGGACTGCTCCCACTACTTGGACCAGTCTTCCCCTATATGTCTACATGGTTCATTCTCATCTCCTCATCTCCTTTAGATTTTTGCTCACACAGCATGTTCTCAGGAAGGTCTTCTCAGACCACTCCATTTAAAATTGCAAACTGAACCATCTTCATTACAGCCCAGGCAAACGCTATCCTTTTTCCATTTATACATAGCACTTTTTGCCTTCTAATCTGCTATATATTTTACTGGTTTATTTTTGTTTTGTTCTGTCTTCTTTCACTAGAATATAAGTTCCAGGAGGGCATGGATTTTTCCTGTTTTGATCATTGCTATATTCATAAAATTAGATAGTACCTGTCCTGTAGTATAGGTGCTCAAATATTTATTGAATGCAAAAATAAATGCAGGGAAGTCACATCAGATTTCTTTGAATAGTTCACATACCAAAACAAACAACAACAACAACAACAACAAAACCAGGAACATAGTTCAGCAGTTATAATATTAATACAAAATATTTGAATCTATAAATGTTTGCATAGATTTAACTCTCCTAGAACTATGAATATCTTTATACTTTATTCAACATTATTGTCTTCATATTACTGATATCTCAGGCTAGAACTGGGTAATTTTTTCAGGGAGTGTATTGCTTTGAGAAACTGGGATACTTTTGGACTGTTTTTACCAGAAAATTATAAAATTGATATAGGCACAAACTTACACTTACATTTTGAAAAGCGATCCTCTAACCCCTTAACATCCATGCATGTGCCTCAGATTCGGAGTCCCTGACATGAGTGTTCACTGTAATATTTGTGTAGTTCCTTCCACCATGTGTGTGCGTTTAGGAATCAACTAGATTAGACGTCACAATGTGAACTGTCTACAGGGGCCAGGCAGGTGATGTAAATGAGTAAAGCAGGCTGTATGTGAGCAAGTCTGGAGTGTTGGTGAACTAGCGAGTGTGTCCTAAGGGAAGGAAAACGCAGGTCCAGTACAGACAGGCCTTCTGACTTCCAAATAGCAGGAGACCTGGATTCTTTAATGTATGAGTCTGCAGATCATGAGATTTGGGAGACACAGTACAAAGTAAGCAATCTGTGACCTCTGAACTAGATAAACAAGAGAAGGTGGGTGTGGTATGGGGGGTGTGGCAGGAAGTAACAGCCATCATGTTATAAAGGAAAGATACCAGATACCAGTCAAACCTTTAATAACTAAACACTAAGTTCTTCCTCTGCCAGGTAAGGGCTATACGTTGTTGGGTTAAAAAAGTAGTTGCTCAAGGCTTCATTTATTCAGCTGTTAATGGTGTGAATATATCTTTAAGAGCTCTGCCAAAGAACCAGAAATTCTATATCATAAAAAAATGTAATGAGGAAACCAAAAGTAGGCTAGCCTGAGAAAATTACAGACAATGAGAAGGATTAGATGATATTTTTACATGGCATAGAAATAGCCATAAACAGCCCTTTGTATGTAATATAACACAAAACTTACATACAATGTGTGAAATGTTTTATTTCTCTTAAAATAGGAGTGATTCTAAGAGTTCACATCAAGGCACAAAGTTATAGAGGACTGCAAATCTGAGAAAGTTTGTGGTCCCAGGCTCTGCACCAAGCACTGGGAATAAAAAGATGAATAAAAAATTATTTCATTTCACGTAGCAGAATACAACTGTTGGGATAGTTTCCAGCAAACTGACTTCTGGTGAAATCAGGAGCTTTCAACACCCGTGCCCACTTCAACATTTCTCAGCAGACGCACATTCCAAGATCCCAGTTTCAGCGGCAACGCTCTGCTTTTCTCCAGCAGGGCTCCTCCCAGATCTGCTTCTTTTTTGTGGTCTTCCCATTCATTTCCCAGGCCCTGCTCTGGCTTTCAAGGTGGTAGCTTTCCACTTTCACACTCATGTTTGGTATCTCAGACCATTTGTGCTGTTACAGCAACATACCAGAGACTGGGTAATTTATAAAGAACATAGATTTGTTTTTTACAGTTCTGGAGGCTGAGAAGTCTAAGGTCAAGGTGCCAGTATTAAGTGTCTGGTGAGGTATTAAGCATTTTGCTGCTACCAAGATGGCTCCCTGTTGCTGCGTCCTCACATGGCATACACAGAAGGGCAAAAAGGCCTAATCTAGCCCTTCTAAAGAGTACTAAGCCAATTTATGAGAGCAGAACCCTGAAGACTTAATTATCTCTAAAGGCCCCACCTCTTAATAATATCACATTGGATCTTAGGTTCCAACATATGAATTTTGGGGGACATATACATTCAAACCATAGCAACTGATAAAACATTTGTGCTTTTTAGTGGATTAATATATTGTTGCTACAAAGTGATAAGTGTGCATTTTAACAGAGTCCCTCAAGAGATTTGAATGTCTTCATTTCAGTACAAACAAATTGCCTGACTCCTTGAAAGACTTGATAAATATCTACTGGGTATTCATGGAATAAAGGGGAGGCTCACACGTGAAGGAAGATTACTGAGACATAGATTCAATGCATCACATAAAAACTTTCTATCATATTGTAGTATACAAGGATTAGACTGACTCAATAGGGAATAAATTTGAGTCTGGGAAGTGTTCAAGCATATATTGAATGATTACTTGGTAGAAATTTGGTAGAAATGTTTTGAGCATAGAGAGGTTCGTTAGAACAAATCACCTTCTATATTCTTTGCAAACCTAAGAGTCCACAAATACCAAGCAGGACAGTGGAAGTGGTACTTTGTACTTGGTGGGCATTTCAATCGTTTTCAGATCACATTTTAAAACACACTGTAGAACATATACTTTCCCCTAATTTGAAAAGATCAAAAGTATATGAAAAGATCCTGGAGGAAAAGTCTTCCCACCATATCCCAGGGCCATATTATCATACACAGTTTCCTAGGTCCATAAGATTTCTTTTATACTCCACACTTTCAAAAAAGAATTGCTGTTACACGTAAAGTATTTGATATCAGAAAATTATCCTCCTCATGAATGCCTTCATAGTTAACCTACACTCTCAATCTCAAAAAATAGCGGAACTAGAACAAGCATTGGAGAAATGGCCAGAGATCAGTTCTATATTATTTTTAAAAGTTCCACCACTCTGTAACATTCTAGTGAGCAAAAGCCATCTTGCTCATTGTGACCGCTCCAATAACCAACACGACAGAAATTAGTATGTAGAAAGTGAACACTGAATATTATCGAATGAATGTTGTTTTCCTGTCACCCTCATAAGAGGTAGGAGTCCACCGCAAAGTAATGGAAAATGAATTAGGTAATGATTCTTCTTTCTCCTCACCTGTTTAACCTTAACAAGTGAATTTTATTTTATTCTTTTTTTTAGAAACAGGGTCTCACTCTGTCACACAGGCTGGAGTACACTGGTGTGATCATAGCTCACTGCAGCTTCAAACTCCTGGGCTCAAGCGATTCTCCCACCTCAGCCTCTCGAGTAGCTCAGACAACACGCGCATGCCACCACATCCAGCTATTTTTAAAATTTAGAGATGGGTGTCTTGCTATGTTGCCCAGGCTGTTCTCAAACCTCTGGCTTCAAGCAATCCTCCCTCCTCAGCCTCCCAAAATGCTGGGATTACAGGTGTGAGCCACCTTGCCAGGCCTCTGACAAGTGAAGTTTAAGTTGTTACATAAATGGATCATTAATAATTATATATATATATAAAAATAAAGATGCTTATTTCTTCATAGATATATCCCATTTGTTATTTAAATAGTTCTGAAAATAAATTTTGATATTGATAAATTAGATTTTAATTTGCAAAGATCCAATTATAAGTACTCATTTGCTGCTGGGAATAGAATAAAAGTAAAGGTCAAGAGTTGGCCTCTTTTAAAATGTATATTGCCTGCCTTTCATACAGTATCAAAAGGTAACATCAAATAAAATCTTAATTCTAACCCATTAAATTACTTTCTAGGTATTATATGTTCTCCTATTTTTGTTGTTGTTGTTGTTGTTTTTACTTTTTTCAGTTACTTTTTTAAAAGTTTGATTGTACTGCAGTAGTTTGGGGTTTCTTCCTCCTAATACACAGTTTCATGATGTCATGGTTTGTGATGACAGAAAGCAGCAGTTTGGAACTATATAAAGTATTTCAAGCTGCTATTGTTTCAGATATAAAATTAACAAAGCCTTCATGCATTTTGGCATTTTTTTACTTTTCTTCATTTTTAGCCAGCATATGCAGCAGAAGTATTATGAAATTTGTATACTCCTGATTAATAAAACTAAAACCATAAGTACTTGAGTTTCATAGAAAATTCAATATCATAGATTATAATTACACATGCTATTCAGGTAATAACATTTTATTTCTTTACTGAGAGTTTAGGGGACATACTTAACAATTTACTTGCATTTCTCCACAGTAACTAATATAGTATCAAGCATACTACTAATACCCTAGGAATACCTGTTGAATTGAATCCACTGAGGCAATGCTTGGTGATCACCCTCCCCACCTTTTTCTCCACATAAGTGTTTTTTTTAAAGATACATGGCTCTTTTTGTTAAGTAATACAAATTTGAAAGTGAACCATAAAAAAGTTGAATGAAATTATCTAGTCCTAGTCTACTGTAATTATATGTTTCAATGATTGGACTATATGATATTTCTATCTTGATTTATCTATCTTGAAAATGTTGTCTCACTTACATATTTAATGTGGTTTAATCTAGATTGGTATTTGGAAATAAATAGTCTCTGAAAGTTATCCCAGGAATTGGTTCCAAGAGGTGGAAGAGCTAGTGATGGTTCCCAGGGAGAAGCAATTGACCAGTGGGCCAGAAGGAGGCAGCAATACAAAGAAGGCAAAAAACCCGGTTCAGCAGCAGGGAGCTTATTTGCCAGCAATATCACAGAAGAATCCAGTGAGTAGACAGCCAGCTTCTTTTCCAAAACCATAGCAAATGCGACAACTTACTGAAACGTAACCAATCTCCCATCCCTATATTTCCAGAACATAAACTCTTGCTTGAACACGGCAATATAGTGATTATAAGCTTTTATATAAAACATATTTTTGGAATCATCAACTATTATCTGCTAAGGAATTTCAACTTGGTAAATTACTGTCTTGAAAACACATAACTGCCTGCTAAGGGCTGCTTTTCTCTTGATACTAAAAAAACTAGCGATAGGGTCCTTTATTGAATTAAATTTGTATCCTATTTCTAGAAATTTGAGCTGGTTTACAAAAATATGTATCATATAAAAGAATAAGATAAATGTGTTTAATTCTAAGCAACATTCTTTCCTCTAATTTTAAAATTTCTGAAATGAGGGAGTCTGTTTAAATGGATGTGTTCCTGATAATGTTTCTCTTTCTATTGAGAGTCTAAATCTCAGCCCCACAGTCAGTGGCAACTGAGAGTGAAAGATAGCTTGCCAATTGGAAATCCAACTGAAGGGAAAATATGGGTTAAAGAAATAGAAGGGGGATTTGTACACTTAGCACATACTACCACTAATCTGGCTCTAAGATTCTAACAGCTAAAGTTGTTAAAAGATACTTATCCAACAAATAGGCATTTGCTATTTGCATATTATTTACCAAAGTAACCCAGTTGTTCAGGAAAACACTGATACTAAAATGAGAAAATTTCATTAAAGAGAGAAAAGCACAGGACAGTATCATGATGCCGAGAAAAATGTCTTTATGAAAAGACAACAGTGATTGTCCTAGGTTGTGCCAATGACAGAAGTACAATTCATGAAGGCAGTGGTATAATTTATTCAGAGCGAGTTAGAAAGCTGGCACAGGTTAGGGATTGAATGTAGCTGTAAATGTGTGGACAAAGATTATAAGTAATTTAAATAATTAAACACTGTACTATATTATCACCACCACAGCCTTCTTACATTCATATGAACAGTGAAGAATCCAATTTAAATGCTCCATTTTGTCCTGATAATTTTTATTCTTGTTCCTCAATCAATGTCTTAGTTTTCCAATGGCTTCTATTTGGCAGCAAGGACCGAAAATATGGAATCCTGTATTTTTATTTTAACAATACTACCTTATAGAGTTGTTTTATTATCCCTTTACTATTCATATGTCCTTGAAATACCTCCCTGGAGAATATACTTCTTACATTAGACTTCCAATAAAATAATCCCACTGCTAAACATTTGTTCTAATGTTCATTTTCTTCCACTTCTATTTCCCCTTCCCCTTAACAACTGCTACATTTATATATTCTAGATTTAGTGTACATTTTTAACAATTACTTTAATAATATATTTCAATAAGTTTTCATCACCTTTGCTTTTTTACCAATTATTTCTAACAGGACTTATTTTATTTTCCTTTTTAACTATAGTAATCTAATATTTTTTTCAGAGATTCTGTGGGAGGTAAACTGAATTCTTGTATATCTGAAAATGTATTCATTTCTCTCTTAATACTGAATGATAGTTTGGTATAGAGTTTTAGGTTCAAATTACTGAAGAAACTGATTCATTGTCTTCCTGTAACCAGTGGTGTTGATCAGAAGTCTGAATCTGATCTGATTCTTTTGTCTTTAATCCAATATTGTCTCTGGTATTGTTCAGGGTTTTCTCCATATCCTTGGTTTTCTAAAATTTTTTTCTACTGGGACTCTCAGTGTTTATATTTTGAATATTTTTTCCTGTTTGGCTTTTTAAGGTTGATTATTTCTTTCTTCAACTCTCATAAATTGTTAGGTTTTTTTTTTCAACTATGAATTTCCTTTCTTATTTGCCTTCTGCTGTCATGTTTTTCAGATAGACTTTGAAACTTTTGGATCTATCCCCCATATGCCTTAACTTTCCCTTTTTTGCATCTCTGTCTCTTTGTGCTATATTCTGAGAAAACCTAGCGCCATCTTCCAGCTTAGCAATTCAGCAATTCATTCCTCATCTAAATCCTTTTTGCTCTTCAGCTTGTTGTTTTTTAACTTTTTTATTTCAACAACTCTATTTTTAATTTCAACAATCTCTAAGTGGCTCTTTTTTATCGAACTGTCCTTATTTTTTATACTTCTGAGAACATTAAGCATATTATATAAAGTTTTAGTCAAATTGCTCTATCAACTGTTTCCTCAAATATGCATTTCGCATTTGCTGAGTTTGTTGTCCTTCTTTCACAGTGTTGGCTTTTCCCAAATACTCTGTGATTTTCACCTGGGTGCTTATTCTTTGGTTCCTTCTCTATCCACTTGATTGCTGTCTCCAATTGAGCAACTCACATGGGCAGGCAGCAAAGTATCCGCAATGGTTTTTGCTATATTCAATGGTGTGAATAAGAATGCTTCAGGCTGCAACAACTGAGTTCTGCCACAGGATAGTCCATATCCCATCTGGGTGTCTTCGGACATCAATCTCTGACTTTTTCACGCACACATTTGTTTTGGGCTAGAGGCAGGTACAATCATTATTGCTACTTGATCCATGGTGGAGCTCAAAGTGGACGATGTGTAGGCATCAGACTACCTTGCTGTTTCTGCCATAATACCCTAATTAATTACCCTCTTGTCTGCACCTGAGACTTCTCTGGCCCCTGGCTTCTCACTCTTTGGGCATGGAGCATTCTTGATGCTCCCACTATTCTGCATCAAAACATGCTCACATATATATTTTTTGCTATGATTTCACTCCATGGTCTACAGGTTGATTCCAGATTTCAGGTATTTCCCAGTTTCTGACATAATGAGAATTACCTTCTTGTTTTCAAATATGTATCTGTGGATGTTAAAACACATACCACACCACATGCAGACACAACCTCTATATCCTTCCTCATAGTTCTCTGGACTTTGAAGTGCCTCTTTTTTATTATGCATAAAAATTTAGCTGCAACTCCTGTCTCAAAATATGTGTAATTGAACTTGTCACAGTATATGTAAAATGAGAGACATTGCAGGAATAGGTCATAGGGAATATGTGTTTTCCAGCATTTTTATGAAAATGGGAGACTGGTTCATGCTTACTCCACTATCTTGAAACCATCTCTGAGAATAGCTTCCATTTGTCCCTCTAGATTCTTCTTTCACCCTTCTCCACCTTTCTCTTTGCCCCAGGAGTCTCATTTATTTGGACTACATCAAGGGGTTAATTTACCTTCTGACATCCTGTTGGAGTTGACCAGTGGGGATGATCAGGAGGCGCCTGGAAGGAGTGAGTAGAGTAAGGCCCTGCTATTATTGCCCTTGGTCTCTTACTGTGTGCCAAGGGCTGTCTGTGTCCCTAAAGCCACACTCCCATAAAGTGGCCCTCTCCATACTGCCTTCTATGGCTGTGTGTTCTAGTAAATGGTACCTGCTCCATCCTGTTATCCTTTTAGTGTTGGATGGACTAGTCTTTATCCCACTCTATCACATCTGATTTCATTAAATCCTGTCCACACTTTGTAAATAGTGATTTCTACTGCATTCTCCTCAAACTACTCATTTGAGGGTGTCATATTTTTCATGTCACAGCTCTATGATAAACCAGTGCTCTGTTCTCATATTACAGCAATGATGTTGTTGAATGCCAGATCATCAAATATCACCAATATAGCCCATTGATAAGACACAACTATTTATTGCTTACAGAGATAAGAGACAGAGACGATTTACCCTCAATAGAGCTTTGATAGTATCTCAGACAGGGAAAGGAAAAGTTGGATTTTATTAAGAATTAGAAATTTGGTTTAATGCAGATCTTTCAATGTGAGAGCTTGTTTAGAATTGGATAAGGATTATGATTTAATAGTTTAGGACTAATGGAAATGGCAAGGTAAGGATTTTGAGGTTTTCAAAGAGTTTAAGAGAATAATATGTTGGTGCTTCCTATTGAGGAATTGATGTTTTGGGGTGAAGTACTGAATAATAAAGTATTTACCTGGTCAAGGGTATCCATGAAGAATAAGACTGTGCTAACAGCTGCGGAATGATGTCGTGTTAATTTTCATGAAAAAATAATGCTTGTAGGTGGTTTTAGTCTTCAGTGTCCAAGCTACAAAAGGGGATAGAGGTTTTTTTTTCCATGTACTGTAATTTTCCCTAGTCGGAGGTGAATAAATACCTGAAGTTTCACTAAGATGGATTCCTCAAACTGTATTTCCTAGACAGCAATATACCTGAACTACCGTTTATGTTTTTCTTGACCTTCTGTTTCACAGACTTGCAGTCTTTGAAAATTTTATTTATTTTCATGTAAGAATACAACTCTTATGGATGTAAATTCAGTATCAGTTGTCTATGATTGGCTCTTCGCTTCCAGGTCCACCAAAGAATATACTCATACAAAAGCAATAGTGAGAAATACAGAATTTACTGAAGACATCATATGAGACACAGAGGGAGTCTCTATATTACACACCTCACAGTAAACAACTTGAAATCCCCTTCATATATTGCTTTGCTTCAAAGGCCTCTGAGCTGCCTTATAGCCAGTTAAAAAGGCCCTGTTATAGCACTGCTTCCCTCATATAATACTGATAGTCATTGGTTTTTATTTTTATTTTTTTGGAGTTTTTCCTTTGATCCTTAAAATTCCTCTTTGTTATAAGCAGAGAGATTCAACTGCAGTTTGTACCCCTAAACCTGTGCAACCAAAATGATCAAAGTGTTCAGCAATTAACTCCAACACTAAGTAATTACCATCTACCCACCTTAGGAACTAAGGATAAGGAAACTGAGGGATGAACAACTTTGTTATAAGAAAAACAAAATGTTATATGTAGTCATAAAAACTTATTACACATAGTAATAGCTTCCATATTACCTAGAACAATTTATGATTGATCTAAACTGATCTAAAGTAATAAATTAGATTGAATGGGAACTTAGTTTAGTTTGATTAACTGTAGACTGTCTTCATGTGTCATAGAGAATGGAATCCGCTTCCCTAGTTTTGATTTCTTTCTAGTACAGAAGGACCAGTTTCTTCTAGTTCACTGAATCATTCAGCTACCTGGACTCTGTTTCAGTTTAAGTCTGCTGTTTTATGGCCAGATTCTTCATTACTGGTGCTCTTAGACATTCATGTCTGCTCTGCATTTCTTGAGCAAAAGAAACAACCACAGGTGTGCTGGAGGCAGCTCCAGTGGCCCACAGAGGCCAACTATGCACATTTTTCTAACCCTGCAATTCAGCAACAGCAGGTTAGTAGCTGACATTGGCAATGGTGGGAGTGTTTATACAATGGAAACTGGCAAACACTGCAAATCAGGGAATTTTTTCCTTTTAGAAAGTCACTTAAATAATTTGCTAGTACCCCAGTTGAAATAACACAGGAATCAGCTGTATAACTTATGCAAATTCTAATTTCATGCCAAAATAACACAATCATTGTAATTCAAATAATGATTGTGTTTTCTTTTGGGTCAATTCTCTTTTGAATGAAAACTTATACATATCAACAATTTGTTTCACCTTAGGCAAAAGAGAATTGAAATGTCTACCATTTCTATTTTTCAGTTTATCCAAGCTACAACACACTGAAGGCATGTTGTATTTCTTCAGAAACTTTTCAGTAGAGACTGCAATTCACTAAGAGCTGCTGGGGCTAGCATTGTTTAATGTGTGGTTTAAATTTTATCTCATTTATAGAGTCAGGATATGCTACTAACCCATGACTTAAAATCTGACAGCTTTATCGAGCATCATTACAGCTGGTGTTTTTCACTCTGTTAATCTCACTCATCTCTGACTTCCTACATAATAACTGGAAAAGACATTAAGAATGACATATTTATGTGTGTGGACACAGTTGATCAATCCATCTAGGCTGTGGGGAATGCTGACTAAGGTACACCAGGTAAATAACTTGAAAGCTGTAAACTAAAGTCAGAAAGGCCTGCAAAATGGAGCTCTGATTTTTATAATCTCAAATGGTTCCTGTATCACAAACAGATGTGGAAAGAATTTGGGTCTAATCATGCAAGGATACTTGATAGCAATTTCCTGATTTCATTCAGCTATTTAAATTATCATGAAAATGTATTTTCCAAATATTACTTTGCATGGAAATAGGAAGAATGAAGAGAGAGAAAGAGAAAGAGAGAGAGAGACAGAAACAGAGAAAGACAATAAAGAAAGGCAAAATAATTCTGGCTTCTAATTATAAGAGCTAACAATTATGATGTGCTTGCTAAATGTCAGGCACTATTCTAAGTGCTTTCAATGTATTGGCTTATTAATTCTCCCAACAACACTAAGAGATAAATACTATATCTTTATCCTCATTTTACTAAATGAGGAATCTGAGTCATGGAGAGGATAAATGACTTGTCCAAGGTCACTCAGCTGTAGTGAGTGGATCTGAGTTTCAACTTTAATGGTGGATCTGAGTTTCAAACCCATACAGCCTGAACAGAGTCTATGCACCTAAACCCTACAACACACTGCCTCCAGTTGGACCTTTAAATCTAGCCCTGGTCTCTCTTTGGGAAAGTCCAATCAGGGTTTCACTTCATTATATGCCACTTTTTCATTATCCTCAAATAATACAATGGAATGAAAGAGGTATGAGAATGTCTAAAGACACCGGAACTGTTATAAGTATTTTATCTTTTTTATTCTGAAGTCAAAAAGTAATAATTAAAAGGAAGCCTAGTATTTAAATTTTTCAAGGACAAAAACAAACATAATTTCAGTAATAATAAGCATGTTTAAGAGCTCATTTTGTCTTAAAGTTTCATTTATTAAAAGGTTCATCTAGCAAACCAAATTTTGGTGACAAAGGTATTGTGACAAAGATATATTTGGATTTGCTTTCTATTTGGCTCAAAGTTCCACAGGGACAGTTATTGAGAAATCTAGCAGCTCTAAGCTTGCAGCAGGTTTGTGGCTTGCTGCTCCATTGGATTTTAACACAAATTTTATGTCTCAGTTTATGTAAGAATGTGTTGATTAGCTCTGTTTTGGTAACTGAATGAACAGAGAACTGCTCATCCATATAATCAAATCTATTCGTAAGTAAGTGAGATGTATTAACAGTCTCATGCACGCTGATAAAAACAAAGATCACTATAATTTAAACCCACCCTCAGACCTTTACATGATAGGAAGATGATCACACATCCACCGTGGAGAACTATTGCTCATGGAAAAAAAAATGTAGATAAATCAGCAGGCCCAGAAAGCTGAGCTGTGTAAGTTATATTCATAAAATATTTATGAATATTTTAATATAAAATGTAGCTGAATTTTTTAAGGCCAAGGATATAGGACATAAATCAAACAAACAAAGATACTTTAATACTTTAAAATCCTTTAGGGCTTCTGTAACTTTAGCAAACGCTATTGTAACACAAAGCTTTGATTTAGCCTTAAAGCTCAGCAAGATAGGTTAATAAATTACTATAATTTTGGGAGTTTATTCCCCCTTCCCTTCAAAGTCAAATGTCACACTCAGACTTACTCAACAAATGAAAGCAAAAACTTCTTAAGGAGTTTTGAAATATGACATGTGGAAGAAGGCATCCTATATCCTGGTTTGAAGTATTCCATTACAAAGTTTTTATAATTTTTATTCCAATAAATAATATGTCCCATAAAATAATCATATAACTTACATTCCAACTTTATCATTGTGTAATATTCCCATATGTCATCCCTCGTTATTTTCATATACTCACAAACTTGGTTACTCCATCAGCATAGTCTATCTTGCCAGTACCTGTTTGTCTGTGCCTGGCCACTTGTCTAGACCGTATTTATCCACCTCTCTCCCACCCCATAGAAAGATTATCTACTTCTCAAAGTTCAGTCTTATTATATTCTTCTTTCCCACAGCCATAATCACTCTACTTCCTGTGAATTTTCTTACCTCATTTTGAGTCCCTTGTCTTACTCATCAGTCTGTCCCAACTGTGCCTATAATTTCGGCTTACTCATGAGACAAGAATTATTTTAAATCAATTCAATTCAATAAATGAGTAATGAAGGTATCTGAAATTGCTTTAGCTTTCACATGAGCAGTGCAATCTCATTTGGTGCACAAAATAAAAAATACAAGAGCTAACATTACAGATATCTGGGGTTTGGAAAAAAAGGTATTTGGACTTTGTTCTTGACTGTCTGCAAGAGATTGTATTCTTGGATACTTTGTCAATATACCACCCTTGACCATTTTGACACAAGTTAAACAAAGGTTTGAGTTAGGAACCTATTGTTGCATTCATCTGTGTGTTGGGACAATGACTAACACTTACTCTCTTCAGTCCAGTGCCAGGAAAGCAGAGGTGGAAAGGTAGAGGCAAAAAAACAGAACTAAGATTAGGAATGATTCTCCTGAGAAAATCAGTGAGAGCAAGAAAACCATTTCTTCCATGGGCTTTCTATAGCTGACCTACAGCAGACAGGGTGAGGGAAGAAGGAAATGTCTTTATCTAGAATTTTTTTGGAAAAAAAATGTGGTGTAAGAGAAGCAATGGAAAGAGAGGAGAATAAGGACAGAATGTTTTGTTGTTCTTTAAAAAGCATTGCTGTGGTTTTCAAAGCCCACCCTCTTCATGGTATTTGAGAAATGCAAGTAAGTGATGTATGCTTTTCTTGAAAGTATATTTTGGTTATTCAATAGTGCTTCTATATTCTGCCCTCTTGAAAGACTGAAAGGCTTGGGGCATGACTTTATTCAGGTTTTAACCTCAGCAACAGAGCCACAAAGAAACGCTGGGAAAGTAATATAGAAATTCAGTCTCATTTTCATTTCTATCACAGCCTTCCACACTATCCAAAACACTCTTGAATACACAGAAAACCCTAAGTGCCATGAAAGAAACTGTTAAATACAGCTGTACATGCCTCCTTGTGTGTTCTACTCTACATATAAGACCACAGTGAGTGCTTTAGGAATGAATGTTTTGCATTGTCTTCTTTGGGGCACAGAGAAAAAAATAGTGATTTTTTTTTTCAATAATCCTTTCTCATGAACTTGAAACTTTGAAAGGGACTCTAAAGCTAATTTTTTATGTGATTTCATCTTGACCCTTAAATACTAATACATGGTTCTTGCCAATTATTTTTTCTGTATTTTTTCTTCACAAAAGGAAATAGTGCTTCCTCTAATGCACAGGCTACCACACCTTAGGCCCTGAAGTGATACCTGTCTTGATTTACAATATTTTGACATTATATAAGTTATTCCCAGGGGAACTATCTTGCAAAGTTAGCGACTTATTTTTGAAGAGAACACTCTTCATTAATTCAGACTTCACCCCTGCATGCATTCAGCTACTTTCCCACCTTAACCATCAGTGCGTGGATCTTCTTACCAGAACGTAATTGATGTTATCAACTTTTCTGCTTGCTCCTCAGTCACCTCAGAAGAGGGCCATTCTGTGGACCTTGGCTTTTCAATTGATATTGAGGAAAAAGGATTCTACACAGAGAATTTTCATTCAGCAGCCTGGGTTTTCTGAGGGGATGATGTGAATCTTGAGGATGGTCCCAGATGTCTTAGTAAAAAACCTCACCCAGTAGCTGGTAAGGACTCTACAATTATGGTAAAATGAATATGTCTTAGAGAACTTGTAGCCAGCCTCCAGGCTCTTTGAAGTCAGCGAATGTAAACGCCAGATGAAGTGTTTGGGGAGCTGAAATACGTATGGTCCCATAAGACTATACATGTACCATGTGTTTCTTAACATCATGAAAGAATCTGAAGCTATTAAAATAAAAGCTTTATTAATAGCTCATTCAGGCATTGAAGAGTAATTCCAAAGTTGGAATAAAGATTAATGTAGACAGAGTCAAGAGTCTGGGTTCATCCTATGAATAAAAAATACTTATTAATTTGAAAAAATGCACCAGACAGTATAAAGAAGTAACAAATTACCACTTAGTATTCCAATTCTACAGTGTAACTATATTATTGCTTCTGCATTGTCTTGTTATTACAATTAGGTCTAGTCCTGGTTTCTAAACATATATGAAATACTCATTTGGTATTATAATGTATTTATTTTGATGTACTATATATGATTTTACAGCTTTTTTACATTTAATATATTTAATAACTATACCTTTATTTAATAAGTATTTGTTATGTATTTTTACACACTTCATTGATATTCTAATAATTCCATGATGTTCTTATAAGATGAATTTAGTGAACTAAAAATTAATAGCTATATATAGTTCCCTAAGGCAATAATGGTTTATGATTAAAAAGCAAACTTATGCTTCAATTACAAGCTTCAGCATGTGAAATTATTATTTCAGTCCAATCTTTACTACAAAATTTGAACTTTTGTGAACTTCTGTTTTATTGGTATAAATTGCCTTCATAAATAGTAAACAACTTATTTATTTTATTTTTTAAATAATATATATTTTATTGCAGTAGCTTTTGTGGTACAAGTCATTTCTGGTTACACGAATGAATTGTGTAGCGCTGAAACCTGAGACTGCACATCCATCACCCGAGTAGTGTGTACACTGTACCCAATATGTAGCTTTTTATCCCTCGATCTTTTCCCAACCTCCTGCTTCTGAGTCTCTAAAGTCCATTATGCCACTAGGTCTCTCTTTGGGTACCCATAGTCTAGCTCCCACTTACAAGTGAGAATATGCAGTGACATAAATAATAAATAATTTGCCTCAAGACATCGTGGATTCAGATTGAAAAGCATACTTTAAATTATACAATCATGAATTTAACAAACACTATGCCTAATATGTTCCAGGCACTAAGGGGAGTTGCTAAAGATGTTTGAGAATATGACAGGCTCTATGAAGAGGTACATAATACTTTCAGTACAAACATCAATATGTGCTTAGTTTAATCTTAACCTCACTTGTACTGCTAAGATGTAATCATTGTTATATACAATATCATTTAACTGTAGAGTAAAATATAACCTTAGTTTTTTCTTATAAACATGAAATTCAACAGTGGAGGATTTTATCTAGGAAAAGTTGTAAATCTGAATGAGTTTTCTACACATACATAAGAGAATACAAGGTTTGTATTTTGCACATTTAGAATACTTATGTATAGTCACATAATATGAATGAATTAACCTTAGCCATTCATTGAAAAATAAGCATGGGATTTTGAATCTAAAACTTAAAGTATTCAGCAAAAAAAATGAGTACTGGCTAAAGGCTCAGATGATTGTTACGATAGCATTTTTTAGCCATAAAATATTTCTAAATTAAAGTATGTACATTGTGCTTTTTTAGACATAATGCTATTACACACTTAATAGACTACATAAATGTAAACCTAACTTTTATATGTAGTGGGAAACCAAATAATTTATGGATATGAGAGTAGATTCTTAATGGAATCGCAGGGCATGCAACAGAGGAACCCTGAATCTGACAACAAAGGAAAATGAAATGCGACCCTGGATAACAATGAGGCCAGATAAGGCGCTGGGGCATAAGGGCAAAGCAGGAAGGCTTGTAATCCTCCTGAGGTCGTACTCCCCCCTCCGTCTGCCCCATGCTGTCTCAGCTTTCAGGTACACAGGGCTCTCACAGTCACTCAACAGGCATTTTTAGGGTATCTACTCTGTTGCCTCTGGGATACTGCACGAGGATGAAATGATGGGTAAGATACAGTTTCTGACTGGGAACTCACAGTCCAGATCAGGAGACAGACAAACAAATAACTGACTATAATGTAATTCAGAAACACCCTGGTGGTCCTGGGTTCTCTTTGTCATAACTTTGTTAGGTCTCCCCTCTGGCACCATGGTGGGTGTGGATATCTTTATCTTATATTTCTACCAACCTCACTGTTCTGGCTCCAATTTTTTCAAAGCACTGATCTCAGATTATTCTTCTGCATATAGATACCCAGTTTTTCCAGCACCATTTATTGAAGATACTGTCCTTTCTACAATGTACATTTTTGGCACCTTTGTCAAAAATGAGTTCTCTGTAAGCATATTGATTTATCTCTGGGTTCTCTATTCTATTCCACTGATCTATGTGTCTGTTTCTGTGCCAGTACCATGCCATTTGGGGAACTATAGTTCTCTAGTATAATTTAAAATCAGGTAATGTGATTCCTTCAGTTTTGTTCTTTTTGCTTAGGATAGCTTTGGCTATTCTGGGTCTTTTGTGGTTCTATGTCAATTTTAGGATTTTTTTTTCTATTTCTATGAAGAATGCCATTGGTATTTTGATAGGGATTACATTAAATCTGTAGATTGTTTTGAGAAGTATGGGCATTTTAACAATATGGATTCTTCCAATCCATGAATGTAAAGTATCTTTTCATTTTTTTGTGTCCTCCTCGATTTCTTTCATCAGTATTATATAGTTTTCATTGTAGAGATCTTTCACTTCTTTGGTTATTTTCTAGATATTTTATTGTATTTGTAGCTATTGAAAATTGGATTACTTTCTAGATTTCATTTTTTCAGATTGTTTGCTGTTGGCGTATAGAAATGCTACTGATTTCTGTATGTTGATTTTGTATCCTGCAACTTTACTGAATTTGTTCATCAGTTCTAATAGTTTTCTGGTTGAGTTTTTTGGTTTTTCCAAATATAAGACCATATCATCTGCAAAGAAGAATAATTTGGATGCCCTTTATTTATTTCTCTTCTCTGATTTCTCTAGCTAGGACTTCCAGTACTATGTTGAATAACATTGGTGAAAGTGGGCATCCTTGTCATGTTCCTGATCTTACAGGAAAAGATTTCAGGTTTTCCCCATTCAGTATGATATTAGCTATGTATCTGCCATGTATGGCTTTTATCATGTTGATGTATGCTCTATACCCAGCGTTTTGAGGATTTTTATCTTGAAGGGATGTTGAATTTTATCAAATGCTTTTTCAGCATCAATTGAAATGATCATATGGTTTTTGTCCTTCATTCTGTTGATATGATGTATTACATTGATTGATTTTTATATGTTGAACCATCCTTGCATTCTTAGGATAAATCCCACTTGGTCATGATGAATGATCTTTTTAACGTGTTGTTGAATTTGGTTTGCTAGTACTTTGTTGAGGATTTTTGCATCAATGTTCACCAGTGATATTGGCCTATAGTTTTCTTTTTTGATGTGTTTTTGTCTGGTTTTGGTATCAGGGTAATACTGGCCTTGTAGAATGAGTTTGGAAGTATTCCCTCCTCTTCTATTTTTTGGAATAGTTTGAGTAGGATTGGTCCATGTAATTTATACGATAGAACTCGAAACTTGATATTATCACTTCCATTTAACAGACGAATATATTAAGCCATTATGTAATTAAACTAGCCTATTGTTATATAGCTATAATCATGGGAATAGCAGGATTCAGATCTCAGAATTTTTATTTCTACAACTAGTTATTTTGCTATGATTTATATCAGTTAGGATTTTCTGTTGCAACAGAAAATCTGACTCACAGTGTGTTAAGCAATGAAGGGGATGGACTGACTCACAAAAGTTGAAGGCTTGGAAATAGCACGGGTTTTATTTTGTTTGGGTGGCTCAAACTTTTCATCAAAAGCATAATTTCTTTCACCTCCTTCCTTGGTGTTGCAAGCTTTCCATCTGGATTTAAAACAATCTCAGCAGTTTCACCCTTCATATCGCAAATCACAGAGTCAGAAAGAGAGTGGAGACAGACTTCAAACCTCAGATGTCATCATTTTGCCATGTCCCTTGGGGACCACTGTGAGCTATTTCACTTAGGCTAAATACAGGGGGAATAGAATTGTCCTGATTGAGTTACCAGAAAACCAGGGCCCACCCTGGACCTGAGGGTGGAGTGATGTACTAACTTCCATGAGTTAGTACATAATGGGGAAGAAAAGAGGGTATTGGGAGAAGACCTCTGACCTCTCAGACTCAAGCCATACTGACACAGTAACACTCTGCACCAAATGAGTAATAAACAACACTCACACGAACAACTCACCACCTAGTGTCTACAAATGAAGTGTTTTGCCTCTTCTTGGTATAACAGTACTTGAAGGCTAATCACTTTCTTTAAAAATCCTGTCATTCCTATCAAAGAATTGCCTTTGAATTTTTTATGACTTGATTCTGACCTAGTTTATTCTCAACTATTAAGAAAAATATTAAATACAATAAATAGCATATGAGCTCTTCTTAGCTACACAGCTGAACTAACATTGTCTCAAATATTTAACTGTTTATGGAATGAGCAGGGTTCAGCTGGTGTATTACATAAAACAACTTATTCTCAAATCTCTCCATTTAACTTGCCTTGCTAATCCATTCCTCCCTCTCTGTGTGAGTTCTGGGATGAATCCTGATTTTTGTAGTCTCTCTTAGACAATAAAGGCATCACCCTTTGTTTTGTCATTAGAAGTCCAGTCCAGTCTAATAATCATAGAACTACAGGTCAGTCTAGTATAATAATCAAAATTTCTGAATCCTTATCCAATGTAAAGCTTCCTTTCTTCCCCAGCTTGAGCCTGCCTCAGACTTGCAAGCATGTATTATCTTCTTGACTATTTCCTGTCTCTATTTTCTATTTATCAGAAATCCCACCTGTACACCTTCAAATGTACTTGAATTTGTACTTGTGTCCCCCTTTCTCCTTCTCCTATTGAAAGGCAGTCCCTACTCATGTGTTGTTGATCCCTTTTGCTCTTCTCATGACTTACAAAAATATTGGGAAATTACAAACTTCTTTAAAGTAGCAGAGGGAGTTACTTTTTCTTAATTTCTGTCATCTGACAAATAGACATCCAGATGAAAATAGATGCACAAGAGATTAGAGGAAATCACTGTGCCCAGCAAAGGGAACAGAGTGTGAATGGGCAGAACAACCTTCGGACCCCGATGCATGTCATTTTGGTACCTGCAAAAGAGGACGAGAAAAGAAACAGGGTTGGGCAAGAGCCTTGAACTGCAGTGTGGCCCTGAGAAATTCTGAGACAGACCAATAGGGAGTCCCAGAACAGAGGGTCCTTTAGAGACTGGCCAGCAAAAGCCTGACTCTAACAGCCCCTCCAAATTCAGTCACTGGCTGGAAGCAGCTCAGGAAGAACATGGCCTCAGTGTGAGGCAAGATGGATAAGGGTGGCAGTTGAAGGGTTTGAGTCAATTTCAGCCCTCGCAGCAGGTAGAGCTGGATGGTGGACATCTAAGATTGCCACAAAAGGTATAGAATAGAAAGCCCTGAGGATAGGGAGGTGAGGGGGAAGCAAATTGGTAGGAATAATTCTAATTAAAATGTGAAGAATACTACTTTGAAAATAAAACAATATAGAAATAAATTTTAAAATAAAATACCTAAATTAACAACAGGAAAAATACATTCATTGTTCTTAAATCTTAATATTTAAAGATGTAAATTCTTCACATTTCAATCTGTATTCTAGGAGAGTACGTGTTTCGTTTAAGCTTTGGGGTTTTTCATTCTTTTAAAATTATCAATTTGATTCTAAAATATTTATAGGAAAGCAAAGGGCCAAGTTACTAAGCTGATAATTATTTTATCCAGATAAACAGCCTTTTACTCTCTAATTAGATTAAAATGCAAGTACATGGGTATATTTTTACTTTGATGTGAATGAATTTCAATTAAAGTTTTATCAGTTAATCAAATATATAGATGATTATTTAGCAAATAATTTCTTAAATGGTTAGGGCAGTCAGTGAAATTTCCCAAATGATGAAATTTAGGAGTAGAAGTGTAGACCACAAATGGGGAAAGAGGGCTGAAGAGAAACTTGGTAACAGGACTCAGATGACAGAAGATAAAGATTGCAAATTTTGTCCAAGGTCAACCTTAGTTGGCCCCTTAATACCTTTTGAATGAACAAGAACAAAAAACAATTGTGTGTCATATTATTTCTCTTTAAAGACACAAAGACAGGCAAATTTTTAAAATCATAATAGGGCTTCTGAATTTTTAAAAGGAATCTGGCTTTAACAAAATAAATGTTTATTCATGGAGACTTTATTAATGTATGTTTCACACTTCCCCACTCCCTTCTTCTCTTCCTGTTTTTTTCTCTCTCTCCTTTCCCATTTCTCTATATTTACCTCTTCTCTCCTTTCCTCTCTCAACTTCTGACTTCACAAGATCAGTCTTAAAGAAACGAGGAAATTTAGAAGGAATATAAATAATGATTACCCTTTAAAAGTCATACTGGTCTGACTTAATAAGTTCACTGGATTTTTTCAAAATATCCAAAATCTTGACACACCTTTTTGTGCCTGTCTTTCTAGATAAAATAAATGCAGTTTAATACAATGTTATGACTTATTTAATTGCTGATACCTTTGCAACTGTTCAACTGATATAGTTAACTGTATCTCATGTATTCAATGTGAAACAAATACAAATATTTGCATTGCAGATGACTTCATATTTAGGAGGCCCTGAGGCTTTGTAATAGGAAGAGCTGAGGCAACTTTACTATAGAAGAAATGGTACAATACCTAGTTAACCTAGGATTTTATTCAACATAGAAAATGCTGCCCTGGCAGGGATTCATGTGGCTGCTGAGTCTACTTCTCTTTTTAAAAAATGTATTCCTCTGTGCTGAAGAGTACCCTCTGAAATCCATTGTCTAGTCAAATATACTAAATGAGGGGTTGAGGGACTTTAAAATTACACATATTTTCAGCACTTCTGAGAATCTTATTCACACCACAAAACATTGTTCTGGATGCACTAGAGAGGTTTAATTACACACTGAAGATAAAAAGATAAAGCAAAGAGACCTGTAGGTGGGATGGAAATGATTATCCATAAGTATACAGAAACTGAGCTTGCTAGTAGCTTGCATAACGAATTGCCCACACCCGATGGCATTTGCATGAACATTTTCTATGAAAGCCTAAATGCTTCTGAGATCTGTTGGCATAAACAAAAGAAACAGATGTTCCAACTTTGATACTAAGTAAATTTGAAAAGAAAACTATACATTTAGAGAAGAGCAAACCGTAGAGGAAATTATGGATAGACCCATCTTTCTGAAAGCTCTAGAATTTAAAATGCTGCTGTTATAATACAATTTTTAAAATAAAAAATACAAGCCCCCTTTGAAATTATAAGGTTTTCAGATTCTGTATTGTATGTAAATATGCATAAAAGGATGAAGTAACTCAGCATTTAGCTCTTTATAATAAATACAGAACTGTGTAGTAAAGTATCCTATTGGAGGGAGATGTAAATTTAGAAAATCAGTCTCATTTTCCCACCACCTCATATTATACCTTCCTGTGCAATGTAAGCTGAATACTTCCATCTGTTCCCAGACCAGAATCAAATAGGGCAAATATGTGTGTAGTATATTACAGGGTCACCTTAAAATATCTCCCTCTTTGAAGAAGACCTAATGCCCCAAACTCCCACCATGATTAATACATAAAGGGAAAATTTGCAAGTTATACTATGAAATAAATGAATATAGTCTGCACCCTTTATAATTAAAGGTAAAAACAATAAAATGAACTATTCAAAAGGGTTATACCCTAGAAATAAGTCCTCTACAAACAAGAATCATTTTTGCCCTCACAGCTGAATAATACAAAGTAACACAAATTTTAAAATGAGCAAAGGATTTGAATAGACATTTCTCCAAAGGTATACAAATAGCCAATAAGCACATGATAAAACATTCAACATCAGTAGTCATCAGGGAAATTCAAACCAAAGCTACAATGAGATATCACTTCATACACTAGACCACTTCATACTTTTTTAAAGTCAGATAATAACAAATATTGGCAAGAATGTAGAGAAATCAAAAATACTCATACACTGCTAGCGGGAATGTAAAATTGTGTAGCCTCTTTGGAAAACAGTTTGGCAGTTTCTCAAGAAGTTACACGTAGAGTTACCTTTTAATCTAACAATTCCACTCCTAGGTATATACTCAAGACAAATGAAAACATATGTCCACAGAAAAATTTGTACCTAAATTTCCATAGCAGCTTTATTTTTAAAAAATGTAAAGTATAAATAACCCAAGTGCCCTTCAACTGACGAATGAATGAACAAAATGTGCTGTGTCCTTATATGGAATATTCACCAATTAAAAGGAATATAGTGCAGGTTATGACATAGCTGAATCTTGAAAACATTATGCTAAGTGAATAGAGCCAAACACAAAAGACCACATATATATGATTCAGTTTATATGAAACGTCCACAATAGACAAGTCAATAGAGACAGAAAGCAGATTAGTTGTTGTCTGGGGCTGAGGGGTTAGGAGGAATAGAGAATGACTGCTATTGGTTATGGAGTTTCTTTCTAGAGTGACAAAAAACTATTTTAAAATAGATGGTGTTGATGGTTGCACAACTCCCTGAATATACTAAAAACCATTGAATTGTACACTTTAAGTGGGTGAAGTATATGGTATGTGCAGTATATCTCAATAAAGGTTTTTTTTAAAAAAAAAAAAACAATTACTTTCATATTGATAGATTCCTTAAGTAAAAGATTGTTGTTTGAAAACACATTTTACTTAGGAGAGACAATTTGTTATTAGATACATACCTTTAATTATAGTAGTTTATCTACTAGAAAGGCAATCTAGTCAATCATTTAACATATATTCACCAGCACAAATGGCTCATACATTTTCCTTCCACTTCCATAATCCTTCTTGAAGTTCTTTAGTTATCATTTACTCTCCCACCTCAGATTTAATCACCTTTCCTCAGTCTTCATTCTTCTTGACTTCTTGAATGAACTAGTATTAAAAATGCTATGCTATGGTTACTTTTATGGCATTGCTATAGAAATGCTGACTATTCCCTATATCTTGAAATGCTTCTCGTGCCTTCTGTTGATTTTATACTCTTGCATCTATGCTCTGTAAGGTCCGTCTGCTCCTTCTTTGTGTTGCTTTTTGTCTCCTGTTTTGCCGTCTCTCCCTAAAGGTAATTATTCTTCAAGATTTTTTCTTCAGTGCTCTACATTTCTCTTTTAACATTTGACCCTTTGGTTATGAATCTTCAATCTATTTCTATTTTTTTTTTTTTTTTGAGACCAGGTCTCACTTCCGTCACCCAGGCTGGAGTGTAGTGGTATAACCATGGCTCACTGCAGCCTCAACCACTCTGGGCTAACATGATCCTCCCACCTCAGCCTCCCAAGTAGCTAAGACTACAGGCACATGCCACCATACCGGGTTTTTGTATTTTTTGTAGAGACTGGATTTCACCATGTTGCCCACACTGGTCTCAAACTCCTGGGCTCCAGTGATCTACCAGCCTCGGCCTCCCAAAGTGCTAGGATTAAGGCAGAATGACCCCTTGAGTCCAGGAGTTTGAGACCAGCCTGGGCAACATAGTGAAACCTTATCTCTAAAAAACACTATGGAAGAACATATTCAATTGATCAACCACACCATGAGACTTTAGTTCATTATGAGGATTATATTATGAATGAAAATATCATTCATAATATTTATTACTTTTTATCTACCTTCCTACATTGATGGGCCATTGCTTATCCAAGCAGAGAAGACTCCTACTATGGATAGATTTAGACAAACTATAGTCATTACTGTAAATATTCTAAGTCACTATCTGTTGAATCATACTTTGAAAATAAAATTCTTTAATAAGGCTTATGACATTCTAAATACTAAAAGCCTGATATTACTGCATAGTATTCTTGAAGTCCATGAATAGTACACATATAACCAGCACTGAGTCCTAAGAAAGAGGAAATGGGTTTAAACTGAAGCAAAAAATAAAAATAGATTTACACTGCAGCAGGAAGAATTTTGGTTAAAGATATGGGAGACCTTATTAAAAATGAGTTAGCCTTGAAATGGTTTATTAGATCCTTTTTTAGGCCTTAAGAATATTAGGTATTTTGCAGTAAGTGCAGGTGCTAGAAAACTATGGGATAAAATAAATAACCTCTGGAAAGGCCCCTCCCATCTTCCAATGCCTAAGTCCTTAGGCTTAGGCTATTTTTGGTTTCCTTTCTGAGATGGCTCAGAAAGGAGCCTATACAATGAAAGTAAAAGCAGCTCTTGATTTCTTTTTTCCCCTCACTACTCCAGGATCTGTTTTTGCCACAACTTCATAAGTATTTCAATTACTTGTTCTCTCAACAATCCTGCAGAGAAGCTCTGCTCCCACCCCCCTCTTTATAGATGGAGATATTGAGGTTAAATGATTTTCTCAGGGTTACAAAGAAACCTAGCAGCAATGAGGGAATGAGAACTAGCAGTTCAACCTTCTGCCGGATGAATAGATTGAGTTTCTGAGCAGCTTTGCTATTATATTGCAAAGAGGCCACGCAGCAGCCTGGCTGAATGTGTGAGGAAACCGCGTCCTGGAAATGAAAAGGAGGCTGCAAGGAGAGCATTTTCCTTCTTATTAATGACATCGGCAATTGTCTAAAGTTGGAAAGAAAGGCCCTTCAGAGAAAGAGCCTTTTAAAAAGAGGACAAATAGCAGGGTACTCCATTTGGGACCCTCCCTCAATGAGACTGTTGTTGTCTGTCTACTCACAGACAGTGCCGCCAAGAAAGCCGGGCTCCAGATTGGAGATGCGGTACTGGCTGTCAATGGCACTGAGGTCACCAGTGTCGAGCTTGCAGAAGCTGTGAACCTTGCAATGAAAGGTAGGTGGGCCAGTTACAGAATCCAGAGTTCATCTGAAGGAGCAGAAAGCTGCCATACAGAGTTCCAATGTGGGAGGGGACACCTACAGGTGTAAGTGCACTTCTCTCCCAAAGCTCCCTTTAATGCCCTGTCATCAGCATGAGTTTTCATAGAAATTAAATCACATTTCCCTCCCATTTTCCTTCTGTATTGATGGCTAGCCACTAAACTGAAGCGAGAAAATGGCAGTAAGTAAAACATACCCTATTATTATCAAAATATTTACTTAAACTCCTTATACATGCACAGAAAAATTCTCATTACAAGAATTCATTTACTATTACCATCCTTTCGTCCCACCTTCCTTCCTCCCTCCCTCCTTTCCTTTTCCCTTTCCTTTCTTTCCATCAGTTTTGAGAGTTAACAGCCTCAGGATTTTAATGTAAAAAAAAAAAAGAGAGAGAGAGAAATGAAGAAATCACAGATCTAAAGCTTCTACAGATTTTCCCAGGCCCTTAAAGCAATTGTGTTGCAGATGGAATCACCACAAGAACAGTGAGGATACATGCCCCACACCCTTGCATCCTCTCACATTTCACTTTGTGGAAAGGTAACACCATCTTCCTCTCTGCAAAACAGCTTACTTTTTTGGCACAGTGTTACAAACCCTACCTCCCTGCAGACCTAAAAATACCCAGCTGGTAAATGCTGTGTTCCCTCATGGAGTTATTTGGTGTGGTTTCCTGTTCCGGGCTTCCTGAAGGCTCCATGAGTACTTCAGTGCCTCTGAAGGTTATTAGCAGGCAATGAGATATTAAAAATGTGTGCATTTGGGATAGGTCACATGTGCTAATTAGTAAGTGTAACTGGCTGAGCAGTAAGTATCATTTGCCCTTTTCTCATGATGAAACCATGCTTGATGATTAGCAACATTGAGACTTCTCTAGCGTAGACGAGCAGCACAAAAAGAAAAAAAAAAACCCACTAACAAATGCTGTGTCTTCATAAGTGATTCTGAAACTTGTAGGATTTGGCTTGGTGTTTTGCTGCTCTGTGGGACTTGGACTAGCTGCACCGGGAATCCAAGGTCATTGTCAGTTAGCACATGCAACAGCTATTTATATGTCTTGCACAAATATTTATCTTGTATGGAGTACAGATGAGAAATGGAGATAATATAATGATTATGCTAATGAATTGATAGTATTCCATAGAATAAGGAAATCTTACCCATCTGAATTTAGCTGTTCCTAGGTTCTTCCTCACAGATAATTACATTTCCAATTTTCTGAGTTAAATAAAACCTACTTTTAGAAATATTGCTACTTTTAGTACTTCTTTTATTTTTCTCCAAGAGGCCTAATGTTCTTTATAGCACTAAACCATTCAGCCTCACTACATCAGCTAATAGAAATAAATAGAAATCATCTCTAAAACTTGAATGGAGAGATTTCTGATTTCTGACAAGGTAAGGAACTAACACTGATACTGAGAGAAAAGCTATATTCAACATCCTAGCCATTCCTGGAAGTTACTTGGGCGGATGGACTTATCTGCTGATATAATCTGGGCTCAACCACTCCTTGGTTGCCACCTTCACTTTTCTCCCCAAAGGAAACCTTAATTCTGTGTCTGTTCCAATTCTTCTCAAACCCAACATCAGAGATACATCAAAAACATAAAAGTGAATTATAGATCTGAGATGCTAAAAGTAAAGGCAAGATCATTTGGTGCAGGTGCATATTAGAAACAGTGAGAATTACAGGCAGTAGCAGATGACAGCTGAACACTTCATGTAAGGAACAGGCTGAGGAACTGCTTCTTAATGTTTTTTCTATTCCATATAGACCTAGGTGGCCAGTTCTCCACATCACCTGAAAGCCAGAGAAACAGCAGCACCTATAATGGAGTCAATGGGATATTATCAGGGTGGCCCATCATTCCTTACCCAGATATAATCTCCTGCACATCCTAGGACTAAGTAATTATAGCACAGCTTTTTGTTGAGGAAGAGTAGAGTTTATGGCAAAGGAAAAGGGAGAGTGCCTGAGATTCAGGGTCATCTTGTAAGAAAGCAAATGAGGCAAACATAGTGATTGAGCCAATATAGCAACCCAAGAGGCTTACCGCCCTGAGGAGTACCCTGTCTCCACCACCACACTCACCAGGAGGGATGTCAGCCATGTTCTGGACTTTAAACTTTCTCCCAGTACATACTTTCAGCCAAAGTACTTAATAATCCCAGAGCAGTAAGAGTTGTCTAGTAAAAATAACAAGACATCTGAGAAACATAACTGCAATAAGAGAAAGATAATATATGGAACAATCTGTAACAACCAAACCAAAATAAATTAATAGATCGGAGAGAACAAGCACTTAAAATAAGATCAATAAATATCATAAAAGTGGTGAAAAAGGACATTTGTAGGATATTTAATATAAAGCAGAAAAAGCAGACATAAGGGAAAACCAATCTTCAGCACCAGGTATAAAGAAAATAATTGTTTAAATAAAAAATGCAGTAGGTGAGCTGAATAACAGAAAAAATACAGTAGAAAAATTTTAAAGATCCAAAATATTTAATGTAAGAACTTTCATAGAACGCATCAGGTGAGTTTTTTTAAAAAAGAAAATATATAGGAAGAGTTAAGAAATACATAGGATACAATTAGAAAAGCCAATATGGTAATATTTCAATCAAGAGTGCTTAAAGGAAAAAAGTAAATAAGTACATGGAAGGAGAAATATTTTTGAAGAAAAAAATTAGACTTTTCTAGAATTAAAGAAAGAAGAGAGAACTCAGGAAACACTTATAGATCGCCACATAGATAGGAATAAAACCCTCATGTTGGCATATTGTAGTGAAATTTAAGAACATCAAAGATAAAGATTTTTTTTTAAGTTTCAAGACAGAAAACCACTGAAATCTGATTGATATCAGACTTTTTAACAGCACTGGGTACTGGTATACAATGCAATAATATTTTCAAAATGTTAAAGAAAATTAGCATTATAACTCAAATGTAATATCCAGCTAAACTATTACTTAAATGTAAGTGCAAAGACATATGTGAGCATTTAGCTTTATAAAAGATTGTCTGAAATACTCTTAAATGAAACACTGTAGCAAAAAGAAATACAAATCCAAAATGCTTTTATAGTAATCATGGGAAATAAAGGTGATGAAATAACTTAGTAAAGTTTCCTATTGTCTATATCAACCCCTCTCCAGTACAAACAATTTTATCTAACTCAGAACTTACCAATCTCATAAAGTGGTAAAACAACCAAATAAAAATTAAGCATTAGTAGGAAATAATACCAGCAAGATGCCAGAGTAGGAACACCCTTTTCCCCCTTACAAACATATGAATTTATCAACAATTCATAGACAAATTCTCTTTGTAAGAAATCCAGAAACTTACTGAAAGGCTCCACATCCCAGGCAAACACTAAGCTAGACTCACCGAAGCCAGTAGGGAGATTTGGGACACACTCTTGACAGAATCCTTACACCGAGCACAGCACTGTACAATCAAGAAGGGAACCCCTAAGCTACAACCTTTTCTAAGGGCAGGGAGCGAGTGTAATTTGTACATCCAGCACCCCAAATTTTCCAAGGGACCTCAGCAGGGACTAGATTCTGTTTTGCTGACCGTGGAGCTCTGATAGAGAACACAGACAGCAGCTTGGGCTGTTAAGCACCATAGATCCTTCCTGTTGCTCAGCATAGAGCAAAGACAAAAAATTCCCAGCACTCTGCTACCCTTGGGAGGGAGAAGGTTGATCTGTGTATCCATTTCACTACCTTCTCCAGGGATGTCCAAAAAAGTGTCTTGGTAATGTTGGAGCTCTGGCAAGTTCAACATATTCATATCAGAAAGAAAGAAGTTAAATTATCCCTGTTTGCAGACAGCACAATATTATAAATAGAAAACCCTAAAGATGCCAAAAACAGTTCGAACTAATAATTGAATTCAGTATAATTGCAGGATAGGAAATCAACAAACAAAATTCAATTGTGTTTCTATACACTAACAGCAAACTAGTTGAAAAGGGAATTAGGAAAACAATCCCCTTTACAATAGTAACCAAAAAATTAAAATACTTAGGCATAAACCTAAGTAAAAAGTGACAGATTTGTATACTAAAAACTAGAAAACAGTGATGAAAGAAATTAAGACACAAACAATTGAAAGATATCCTGTGTTTATAGATTGGAAAACATCATACTATTTAAATATTCATACTACCCAAAGCAAGCTATAGATTCAATGTCATCTCTATCAAAACCTCAATAGGATTTTATAAAGAAATAAAAAAAATTTTAAATTGTCATGGAACCACAAAAAGCCACAAATAGCCAAGTCAATCTTGAGAAAGAACAGCAAAGATGGAGGCATCACATTTCCCAATTTCAAAATATATTACAAAACTATAGTATTCAAAGCAGTATGGTATTGGCATAAAGACAGACAGATCAATGGAACAGAATAGACAGCCCAGAAATAAATCTATGCATATATCGTCAACTGATCTTTGACAGGGGTGCCAAGAATACACAATGGGAAGAAGATAGTCTCTTCAACAGATGGTGCTGAGAAAACTGGATATCCACATGCAAAATAATGAAATTGGATCCTTATCTTACATTCTACACAAAAATCAACTCAAAATGGATTAAGAACTTAAATGTAAGACCTGAAACCTTAAAATTCCTGGAAGAAAGCATAGGATAAATGTTTCTTGATATTGGTCTTGGCAATGACGTTTTGGATATGACACCAAAAGCACAGGCAACAAAAACAAAAATAAACAAGTGGGACTACATCAAACTAAAAAAACTTGTGATGAGGGGGTTAATCTCCAAAACATAGAAAAAACTCATACAAATTAATAGCAAAAACACACTAACAGCCTGATTCAAAAATAGGCTAGGGAATTTCTCCCAAGAAGACATACAAATGTCCAATAGGTATATGAAAAAATACTCAATGTTACTAGTTATCATGGAAATGCAAATCAAAACCTTAATGAGATATCACCACACACCTACCAGAATGACTACTATTAAAAAAACAATAGACAACAAATGTTGGTGAGGATGTGGGGAAATTGGAACATTTGCACACTGAGGGTGGGAACGCAAAATGTTGTAGCCACTGTGGAAAATAGCAGAAAAAGTCCTCAAAAAATTAAAAAGAGAACTACCATATGATGCAGGAATCTCACTTCTAGGTATTGATGCAAAGGAAATAAAATCACTATCTCAAAGAGATATCTGCATTCCCATGTTCACTGTGGCGCTATTTATAATAGCCAAGATGTGGAAACCACGGTGTCCATCAACATAGATTAAAAAAATATGCATACATATAAATGAATACTATGAGCCCTAAAAAGAAGTAAATTCTGCAGTATGTGACAGCATGGATGAAACTTGAGGACATCATGTTAAGTGGAGTAAGCCAATTGCAAAAGAACAAATACTGCATAATTCCACTTATGTATGGCATTTCAAACAGTCAAAATCATAGAGGCAAAAAATAGAAAGGTGCTTGCCAGGTACAGGGGTAAACTGGGACAGGGGAGTTGCTAACTAACCAGTAAGAAATTTTAGTTATGTAAATGAATATGTTGTAGAGATCCATTCTACAACACTGTACCTGTAGTCAACAATAGCGTATTGTACAGTTAGACATTTGTTAACAGGGTAGATATGTTAAATGTTCCTACTACAATAAAATAAAACTTTTAAAAAAGTACCAGTATATAAAACTTGAAAACAGCATTAAGAAGTTTGAACTTGGAGAGAATAACTAGATTCTACATCCCACAAAGCATATTTTTTTTTCTGAGTACAATGGAACATTCATAAAAGATGACAATGTATCAGGCTATGAATGAAACCCCAATAAATTCCAAAGACTCAACATCATACAGATTATATTCTTTATCCATAATGCAATTAAATTAAAATTAAATAATAAAAGAATAACTGTCTTTAAAGTTACATGGCTTAAATTTTTGTTAATGCCTCTGAGAATTATTATACCATTTAAAACAGGGTAACAGTGAAAACAATACATGTTAAATTTATAGAATATAACTGAATAGTGTTTAGAGGGAATTTATACTTAAAATATCTTCATCAAAAGCAAGAAAAATTTAAATTCAGTGAATGAAGTTTCAACTCAATAAGTTAGGGGAAAAAAGCCATAGAATAAACACAAAGAAATCAAAAAGAAATAAAAAATAAGTACAGGATAAAATTACTGACATCGGGAATTAAAAGAAAAATACAGCATACTAATAAAATTAACAGCTGGTTCTTTCAAAAGATTCACAACACAGATAAATCTCTTGCATCACTGATAAATAGGAAAAAGAGAAAAAGAAGTAAATAGACAAAATAGAGAATAACAAAGTAAAAGGGAAAAACACACATGGTTTTTGAAATAATAAAATACTACTTTGAACAACTGTAGAATAATAAACTTTAAAGCTAGATAAATAAAAACATTTTCTAGAAGCATTTAGAGTGCTTAAATTAGTGCAAGAATAGACAATCTGCAGGCTATCATAATTAAACATATTGATAGAATAAACAAAGACACCACTTCATCTCTTTCCCATTTCCATCCCCACCCCATCTCCCATTCAAAAGCCCAGGATACTAGTCTCCTCATTTTTATAGGGGAGACCTATCCGACTTTCAAACAACAAATAACCCCTATTCTATATGGTTTTTCCAGAAAACAGTGAATGACTATTCAGCTAACTCTATGAGGCTACTGTAACCTTGATTTCAGAACCAGATAAACATATTATGAAAAATAATATATCCATTCTATTTACGTATAGATATACAAATTCTAATGAAAATGGTAAATACCTAAATCAAACTTTTTATTAAAAATACGTGTAGTATATCATAATCAACTAAAGTTTATACCCATATAATCACAAAAAAATTTTAATGCAATTCTTCGTTAGTATGAAGAAAAAAATCATGATTGTCTCAATAGTGCAAAATAATCATTTAATAAAGTGCAGTATGTACGTGTGTGTTTGTATTTAAATCCCCTAAATAGTAGAAACAACAGGTTCCTTTCATAACCTGATAAAGACTATCTACTAAAAACCTAATCATAAATAAAAGTACATAAACAGGAACAAAAACATTTAATGGAGAAACTTGTTTTAAGATTCAGAAGAACAATGCTGATTATAACAACCTTTGTTTGTCCTAACATCAAAAGTTCTGACCAATTCAACTTAATCCAGGTACATAAAAGATGATCTAAATAACTGGAAATGTAGAGTATATTTATGGGTGAAAAAAATCTGTAAAGATTTTAATTCTCACAAAATTAATCTAAAAATTCAGTTGAATTCCAATAACATTTTATAAATTTTTGAGTAACTTGTCACACTTATCCACAAACATGTGTAGAAAATAAATGTCTTCAAATAGCTATGTCATTTGTGAATACAGCAAACAATGACAAAGGAACTTTTCATACCAGATGTTAAGGTATATTATGAAACCATAATTTAAAAAAATATGGCACTCTCATAGGAACAGATGATAGCCCAGTGGAATAGAATGGACTTGAAATCTCAGAAACATACTCAAATGTTTACTAAAATGACATATGATAAAGTAGCACCATAATACAATGGGGATTTTTTATAGAAAATAAGTTGAATTCATACCTTCATACATTGTACCTTCCATTTTATACCATATACAAAGGTGGATTCAACTATATTAAAGACCTCAATTTTAAAGTTAAAACGTAGTGTCAGTAAAATAAATTGTTGGAGAATAACTTTGTTAGTAATCAGAGAAATGCATATTAGCAACAAGATAATATTTTAGATCCACTAGATTAGGAAAGAAAATATATTAGAAAATCAGATAACAGCCAGCTTTGACAAGGATATACAGATATAAGTACATAAGTATACTCATACACTCTTGTTGGGTTATAGGCATTTCAGAGAGCAATCTGGTAGCATCTAGTGAAGCACTTATAAATCATGTCCTAGCAGTTGCATTTTGGGGCAGATAAGCCCAAAGAAACCATTGAGTGGCCACATATAAGGGCATTCATTGCAGTGTTCTCTGTGGTCGAGAGGAATCAGAAGCAATCTAGGTGCCCATCTCTAGGGGAATAGATAAGTAAGCCATAATGGATGCATACTCTGAACTTCTGTGCCTCATTTTGAAACAATATACAAGATATGCATTTAGCTGGCACCATGGATAGATTTTTAAAACATGATTTTTGAATTGAAAAAGAGAGAAAGGGAGAGAGAAGGTGGGTGGTGAGAAGGGTGGTGGGAAGGAAGGAGGGAGGAAGAGAGGGAAGGAGGGAGAATGAAGGAGGAGGGAGGGAAGGAAGGAGGGAGGGAAGGAAGGAAGGAGGGAGGGAGGGAAGGAGGAGGGAGAAAGGAGAGAGGGAAAGAAGGAGGGAGGGAGGAAAGGAGGGAGGAAAGTAAGGAAGGAGGGAGGAAAGAAGGGAGGAAAGGAGAGACGGAGGAAGGGAGGGAGGAAGGGAGGGAGGAAGGGAAGGAGGGAAGGAGGGAGGTTGGTCTTAGCATGATACCATGCACATAAAAGTAAAAGATACACAAAATAGTGTGCCATATTTCTACATCAAATACATTTTGTGAATGCCTATTATGGGAAACAAAACATGTGAGGAGAAAATAGAGTAAAACAAAGCAAAAAGGGAGACTTGTACTCTAAAGGCTATCCTGCGCCAAGCCCCAGTGTTATGATTCACTCAACGATCTGCATCTGAGTCCAAAGCAACAAAGGAATGCCTCCAGGGATGGGGACTCACCCTACATGATTTTAGCTTTCTCCATCTTCTAAAATTTATAGGCAGTAATGGTGAAAAAAAGGAAAAACATCGCAGGATTACTGAGAAGCACTGGGCCTCTGAGAAAAATATACATGACTATGAAACTGAGGAGGAAGAGAAAAGGAAGAAATAAAAGGAATAATTAAAATTTTATGTAGTGCTTTCTTTACATATTTAATTTTGTTAACAATTCTATAAATGGTCAGGGTATTTTCCGGAAAATACAGAATTTGAAACAAACTTTTGAGGGTTCTCTTTGGGAAGGAAAGCTATCAACTTGTCTGAAGAAAGCAATAATCAAGACACAATGAATAGAATCTTTTGTTAAATTCATGTGTCATATGGAGGTCTTGGAATACAAATTTTGAAGTATTTATTAAGAGCTCATTTAGAAATCTAAATATTTCCACCTGCCTCTCATTTCTGTTTGCATAAACGTCCTGAAAGTCTAACTGATATCTTTTTGACCACTATATATTTTTGTACAAACTCATTCCTATGTATTTAAAACTCGGTAAAATCCTATCCTACTACTGGTTGCTACTTTACTGATTTAGATTTATGAACAGCAAATCACTTTTCCCAGAACATTGAATCCTAAATTCAGCTGTATGTCAGACTCGCCTGGAAACTCTTTTAAATGCAGAATTCCTGGTGGTGATTGCACATTTGTAATTTTAATCAACCCTCCCTGGCAATTCTCTCACACCCAACCCAGCACAGCTCCACATCTTAGAGGCATGGCCAAAAGATTACAGCCTTAAGATTAGAAATCTGTTTTGTTAGCCTCTGAGGCAAGTGTTATCTTACCTCCCTAGCCTCACATTAAAAAGGGGATTTACTAGATGTGTAAAAGTCTAATTTTATAATTAAAAATACTATTCAAAAATACTAGTCACACATACCTGTACAAATTACCTTTGTTTTGCAGATGGGAAAAGCTAAACTGGAGACTTAAAAAAGCACTTGGTGTCACATTGTGAGTGAGGCATGCATTCTCCATGTGCATTTTTATTTTAATTAGGTCTCTTTTAGTTTCTGGTTTTGGCTTTTTTTTTTTTCTTTTCTTTTCTGAGATGGAGTCTCGCTCTGTTGCCCAGGCTGGAGTGCAGTGGTGCGATCTTGGCTCACTGCAACCTCCGCCTCCCGGGTTCAAGCGATTCTCCTGCCTCAGCCTCCCAAGTAGCTGGGATTACAGGCGCCCACCACCATACCTGGCTAATTTTTTGTATATTTAGTAGAGATGGGGTTTCACCATATTGGCCAAGCTGGTCTCGAACACCTGACCTCAAATGATCCAGGTTTTGGCTTTTATAAGGGCTGGTTATTTGCAGAATCAAATGGAAGATTTAATCACCAATAAGAGAGTAATGGTAAACAGTGAGGTTTAATCAACCTGGAAGTTCTTTGCTTCCATAGGGCTTCCTTGTTTCACTAAGTGCAGGCTTTAATAAAACCAAATACAGAAGCACCTCTGGAGTGCAGGTCCTCAGCTACTGAGCACAGTGCAAACCCTCGGGAAAGTACACGTCTTGTACATTTCTCACCTGCACCTGCGACGGTGGTGGAGTTTGCCTGACAGCAGAGGTGAGACTGTGACACAGTTTAAGATTGGTGACATAATAAGAAGACTATGATCCAAGGAGAAAGTGTGAATTAGAAAAAGAAATCATTTTTCTCTTTCCTGTAGCTGTAAATAATCTCACCCACAATTCTTTACTTTCAAAACTCTAGACCAAAGTGCTAGGGAAGAAGAGTTTGCTGTACAGCTTTTATTTTTTAAGGACATCATCACCAAATAACTGGATTCTCTAAAAATGTGGGTTTTCAAACTCTTTCATCTCATGAAACTAATAGTTCTCTTGACTCCTTCACCTCAGGCTGTAGACATTTACCTACCCACATCCTCCCACGCTCCCTGCAAAAGCAAGCAAGATTTTGGGGATGTCCAGAAGAGAAAGGCAATGGTTATATGTTTCTTTTCTCCAAAGTGGGGAGATACTTAGAGAAAAAAGTGCCGGTTGGGGAAAACCTAATAATTCTGTTGCTGAAAAATGCTACAACTGAAAATGAAAGCAGATGGGAAACTAAATCACAGTTAAGGCAAAGAAGAAATATGGTTGGTGGCAAAGACTGTGCTAATGAGCAGAGGCTCTCAGAAACAGGGATGCCTAGGGACTTGGGACTGAAACTGTGGTCTGACATCACCTGAGAACTTGTTACGACACAGACTCTCAGGTCTCATGCCAGGCCTACAGAATGAGGATATGCAGTTCAACAGACCCATCAGCTAACTGGCATCTACATTTAGTTTGAGAAACAGTAAACTAAGGCACTTCCATATGTTAGGGTCCCAGTAAGTTAATAAATAGTAACAAAACCAGGAGGTTTTAAATGTTTGTACTTGACAGTTTGGTTAACACACAGAAATTACAATGACTATACAAATAACCTCATTTGAAGATAATATCAGAAGTCTAAAGTCTGAAATCAAACTTCTCTGTGAATGTCAGGCCCAAGTGCCCTGGGCCCCCGATAGGACCTGTTTATAAGTATAAAACCACTATTCCCGACAGCTGTTTAGAAGCCAGCAAGTCCCCATGCATCGGGATCATGTCTTAACTCTGAATGTGAAAAACTTTCCTCTAATATGATGACACCATGCTTCAGCAGGGCCATCTGTATCCCTGCCCCAGAGAGAATGTTTTGTGGTGCACTAAGTTATGTTTATGGCCGGGCTGAAACACAAGCTTAGCCTGATCAGTATCAGAGAAACCCACAGGCAGTCTGTGTAAGCAAAAGGAAAACGACCTCAAGGGGCAGCCCACTGCAGCAGTACATAAATAAATTGGCAGATGTGTCAGCTATGCATATTAGTCCAGGCGTGCAGTTCTTTGGGGACTGAAGTCCAAAGACAAAGACATTTGTGGGTTGCCGGTCAATCTGGAGCGTTTCTTCTCATTTTTCTGCATGTGTTTTTGACAGGAGCTTAAGGGCAGTTCAATAAATTAAAATGTATTTACATGGCAATGAAGAATTATCTTGACACACAGAGAGTTATTTAATTACGAAGGTGCTTTGCGTGCTGCTAAAGTTAAGACTGTGTCAGCCTTTCTGGGACAAATCTTTATTTTCAGGGCCATGTGGCTCAGCCAGGAATGATCCCCTGGGTTGGAGCTTGTCATTTATAGAAGAGGAGTCTCCTTGCTGACCCCCATTTCCATAGACAGCTCTAAACAGATCGGTAATCTCAATGTCAGACATCATGATGAAGTCAGCACTGCCAAGGCCAACTGTCCTCCTTCAGGGATGTGGCCGTCCTCTCAGAGGAACTGTAAATGAAGTCATATCCCATTTGCAGTCTTCAAAGCATGTCAGGGTTGCTATCTGTCTGAGTGACATTCAGAGAATTTTCTAGAAGCATCAAGAAGTAGGTGTACAATAAAAGCCTGTGTCCACGCTGCAGCATCAAAGCATAGTGGGTAAACAGTGACCTCATATTAACAGGGATAGGGACAATTTTCCCCCAGGCTATACCATGCCGATCCTTTGGGAAAGGGGTGCCACTAGTGTCCAGGCACCAAATAAGGCATTCTATAAAAGACAAGACAGGAATCAGGAAGCTCAAGGTTTAACCCTTGGCACTATGTTGAATAGGCAAGAAAAAGGGGGAGAAAAGGAAAAAGAAACATTTGTAGCTTGCCCTGCCTAGAACTTCTGTCTATTTGCAAGTTCAAAGGTTTGTCATTGATTTTTATCAGAGACAATATTGGCAATAGTTATAAGCAGTGACTTAGATCCTGCCTTTGGCTAACCTAAGTCAAAAGTAAGGTAGAAAGGTAGCTAAGCATCACTCATCCTTCTCCTCAGGAAGTAAATCAAAGTCTGTTTAAAGATTTAGCTTGATTATTATAAACGGTGAAAATGAACAGACTTAAGGAGCTCATAACCAGAACAAACATGGCTGTGTGGTTGAATGGAAAGAGTTCTGCACTAGAAGTCAGGAAACCTGGGTCCCAGATTTCATTCATCACCTTATGGGCTAGGGGTCCTCAGTGAAGTCACTTTACCTCTCCAGTTTTCATTTTCCTCAAACATTGCATTACTTGAACATTTGAATTACTGAGGAACTCTTTGGTTCATTCCAACTGTAGGATTCTATTTCATTCCACTTATAAAAAACTATAACTTTTTTCTCATCCATTCTTTAGTAACAGTCTTTCCAGTTGATTGTAAGATTTTCAGCCACTGAACTATTCCAAATGCATGCCTCTAGGTACAGACATCTTGACCCTGGTGGTAGGATCTGATATCAGCCGCTGTCCCAGTACCCCTTGGCCCACCTGCCACGGCTACCTATATAAGAGGACTCACTCCGGGATCGTGAAGGGTTGGAGAAAGAGGTGGTTTGTGCTGAAGTATGATGGATGCCTCTACTATTACAAACATAACAAGGTAAACTGAGGGGAGGGCTGAGGGCTGACAGAGTAAGAACAAGAAATCTCAGAAAGTACTGGTCACATAGACCATTCCATGACCAAAGTATTGTCTTGTAAGGTACCATATTCTAGGATTTTGAAAGCAGTGTTCTCTCCTGTGACTTCTCAGGAACTTTTTCTTCTTTAGAAGCTCAGAGAATTGTAATCTATTTTCTCTGCTGCTGCATAAATCGAGGCTGGCACGTGCATTTCTATCTTGTTTATTCTTACTTTCAGATCCTCTGTGAAAACTTCTTATCAAAGCCAAAATCTAAGAACTGAACTACATATCTAGTACCCTAGAGAAATCAAAGTGGGGCACAATCAGTACCTGGGCACTGTTGTCCAAGCAACAGGGCTTGGATGTCATTACAGCTTCTGAAGCAGAGTACCAGAGAAGCGGCCTGAAATACCTTTTTTCATTTCCCAGATTTCATTAAAGCAGTGATTTCTAACTACAGGTAAAAGTTGGAATCTCCTAGAGAGCTTTCTCAAGATATGCAGACTCAGTTCTCCTCCTAGATGTTTCTAATTCAGCAAGTCTAGGGTGGGGCTGGGGCCTGAGTATTTGGAGAAAGCGCTTCAAGTGATTCTAACATGCAGTTCAAACTATCAAACTGCAAGCCACATCTTGTCAGCACAAGTGTTTTCTCTGCTCTGTGCAACACAGTGTCTAATTTATTTATTTATTTATTTATTTATTTGAGATGGAGTCTTGCTCTGTCACCCAGGCTGGAGTGCAATGGCGTGATATTGGCTCACTGCAACCTCCGCCTCCCAGGTTCAAGCAATTCTCCTGCCTCAGCCTCCCAAATAGCTGGGATTACAGGCACCTGCTACCACACCCAGCTAATTTTTATATTTTTAGTAGAGATGGGGTTTCACCATGTTGGCCAGGCTGGTCTTGAACTCCTGACCTCAGGTGATCTGCCTGCCTTGGCCTCCCAAAGTGCTGGGATTAATTAGATGCAAACATTATAAAAAACAGAGCTTTCACATAGAAATCTCAGTTTCTAACTTCTCTTGAAAAATTCCCTAGCAACAGCTTATGGGAGCTGAGTAGACTCCCTCCTCCAGGACCTCCTCCTCTCTCATCTAACAACTCTGGGTCACATTTGTGACCCACCTCTAATGAGTGTTCACAGCAGTTTTGATTGTTTACCTCACTCATGATACAATCTTATTTTTTTTGCCTTTATTTTGCATTGCCCTAGTATCTTAATTTTAAGCTGCAGATATAATAAAGATATAGATAAATACATACACACACACACACACGCACACATATATACATACACATATATACACACACACGTATATAAATAACCTTAATTCCTTTCTGGCACAAAGGAAGGAATACATCAATAAAGAAATCGATACTTCTTTAAAATGAGGAATAATTTTGCCTATTATTCCTCATTATTGTGAAATTATTGTGAAAACTTTCTACTTCTAGATTATGAATTACTTGTGACATAGACCGTGAAGTGTTCTCCCTTTCATGGCAATGTGAGCCATACAGCTACTTTGAAAAACTTTGTCTGCCTCCAGGGCAGGAGAATAGGATTCTCTCCAATCAGGATGCGAAAGGATGGTCTGTCCTTGGTCTCTGTGTTCGGAGTATTAAAGTGAACAGACCAGAAGTTTTCCACCTGGGTAGGCTTTCAGAAGCCTCCTGAGGAGTTTTCCAAAGTACACATGCAAGCTGTTTGCTTCTCCCTTACTTGCTGAGTCTCCAAGAGTGGGGTCCTGGAAATTATAGGATCTTTTTCAAACTTTTAAAGTAATTCTAATTTGTAACTTGGGTGAGTATCATAACCAAGTTTATTCCCATTTATAGTCAAAAGATAAAAATAAAAATAACTAACGTAATCTTGCCAATTGTTCTTCTTGGAATGGGTTTTTCTTTATTCTGAGATTACGTCCTTCCTAACTTGTGGTGATAATTTGTGTTTCCTCTTGTGAAATGGTGATAATAGTAGATGCTGGCCAGGGCTTGGTGGCTCACATCTATAATCCCAGCACTGTGGGAGGCTGAGGCAGGAGGATCACTTGAGGCCAGGAGTTTGAGACCAGCCTGGCCAACATGGTGAAGCCCCTTCTCTACTAAAAATACAAAAATTAGCCAGGTACGGTGGCACATGCCTGTAATCCCAGGTACTTGGGAGGCTGAGGCACAAGAATTGGTTGAACCTGGGAGGTGGAGGTTGCAGTGAGCCAAGATCATGCCACTGCACTCTAGCCTGGGTGGCAGAGCCAGGCTGTCTCAAATAAATAAATAAATGAATAAATAAATAAAGCCCTTCCATATATACACACACACACATATATATATATATATATATGGCAACTTTATGTCAAGCACCCCATATTTTAAGATTCCTGGTTCTTGAAACTCAGAAGGGTTTCTGGAGCAGTGTTTTAGGTCTGGGTTTGCCAGGTGGCAGTCACAGGACTGGTGCTGTCTGCAGATGTTATGCTTGGCTAGCACAGTGTTTTTATACATTTTTTAATTAAATGCGCTCAGGTGAAGCATGTGCTCGCCAATTTGCCATAATCCCTACTACTCCTCATTTCCTTACACTGAGCCCAGTCATTTAAATTACCCACCAGGCCCTGCAGGGATTTGAGCGGATGAATCCTGGGGTGGAATTTATGTGAAAAATTAGAACTGTAGTGGTATTAGTAGTTGGAGTTAAAATATATAGTTTTTAGCTGCTAGTCTTTTTTGGAAAAGAGATGTGGATCTTATGATTTGAACATAGCTAAGAAAAAAACTATTGTGAGTAACTGCAGTTGAGACCATCATTACCACTATAGGGTTTTTGCTGCTGCTGTGGTGGTGGTGGTGGTGGTGGTGGTGATTTTTATTTTATTTTTTTGAGACAGAGTCCTTCTCTGTCACCCAGACTGGAGTACAGTGGCATGATCTCAGCTCACTGCAACCTCCACATCCTAGGTTCAAGCAATTCTACTGTCTCAGCCTCCCGAGTAGCTAGGACTACAGACACACGCCACCACGCCTGGCTAATTTTCGTATTTTTAGTAGAGATGGGGTTTCACCATATTGGTCAGGCTGGTCTCGAATTCCTGACCTTAGGTGATCCATCCACCTCAGCCTCCCAAAGTGTTGGGATTACAGGCATGAGCCACCATGCCTAGCCCTTTATTTTCATTTAAAGTCCCCATTATGACCCAGAAACACATGAGGTTTTAATGCAGAGATGGGAGAATATAAAAGTACAGCTTTATTTTGTTTATAAAGAGCCAAAATCAGACACCCTTTGGGGCTACAGGTTTCAGAATACATTATGTCTGATCATCAGAATAGATAGCAATGACTGAGAGTAGTTAATGGTGCATAAGAAGAAGATAACAGAATAAATGAGCAGAAAATGAACTCAACCATACAGTATTCAGTCATGCAACAAATATTTATTGAGTACTTTTTAAAAGCCAGGCATTATGTTAAGCGCTGGGAAGACAACAGAACAGACACAGTGCCTGCCCTGTTTGTGCTTATAATTCCATGGAAGAGACTGATATTAAGAAACAGATTCACAAAATATGCAGTTGTGATTAGTACTATAAGTAAAATTAAAGGGAGGGAAAAGAGAATTGTAGCAATCTAGATCCAATCAAGAACTAGAATCACTCAGTGCTTTAAACAGGGAGAATTTCATATAAAGAGTTATTAAACTATAATAAAAGAATAACCATAAAATATAAAAGAAACTGTATATGGTACCAAGGGAGCATGTCCAAAGGACAGACCTAGAAGGGAGATACTTCTCAGAGGCTGGGAATTCAGATCTCATGGGAGAGCTGTCCTTGAATCCACTGGATGGCAGGGCAGCAGATTTTCCAGGCCAGGGTTAGTCTGCAGTCACAGGGCAAACAAGAAGCAATCCGTTAGGGCACAGATGGGTCAGGCAAACCTCAGCTGGTGGCTGGTGCATGGGTTTGCAATGAGAATGAGGATGTCCATGTAGCAAGAGGCCTGGAAGATGAGGTGTTCCTGTTAGAAAGGCCCTGTTGGGAGGTGGTAGTATAGGAAGGACTGCAAGAGAAAAACATAGGAGAGACAAGAGATGAGCAGAGAGAATCACTCCACCTGCACTGGCAGGCAGGAGACCTGGAGTATAGAATGCCTATACTGAAAGGGTCACAGAAAGATGATTTCCAGACCATGTGAGAGGCGCAAGGTCTCAGAGAGACTGTGCATTCTGGGTGCATGGCTGGGACAAAGCACCCCTTAATGTCCACACATCCACCCTGCAGCAGATGGAAAGAGCAGGAGCACCCCTCCCACTTGCAATGTTCCTCTAGCCTCCTCTGCTAAGAAATCTTAGCATCATGCTTTCTATTAAGAAGAACTATGTAGAATAATTCTGCCTATTATTGCAGAGTATATATCGAGGGGTGAATTTGGAGCTGAGAAGCAATAAGTTGACAAGTGGCAGAAAAGCAAAATGGAGGGTCTGGTATAAATTAGGAGGAGGAAGAGATATAATGAATCCCTTTTTAACGATATAACAGGCTTGAGGGGAGCGTTGAGGAGAAGTTACCCAGACAGAAAATTGGGATGAGAACTCCCCAGGCAGAAGAAACAACATGTGTGAAATTCCTCAGCTGGAAAAAGCATGGTATGTTTGAGGAACTCAGAAAAAGTCAATGTGGCTAAAGCCAGAGTACAAGGGGGACGCCAGAGAAGGAAAAAGATTAGGCTAAAGAGGTAGGTGGGAGGCCAACTACACAGAGCCTTGAGGCAATAACAGGGACATTTGGGTGTTCTTCTTACTATGATCAAAAGCCACCAAAATGGTTTAGGCAAGGGAATTTTCAAAAGATCATTCCATTATGTAGAGAATCAATTGAAGTGGGACAAGAGTGGAATGGAAATACTACTTAGAAAGCTAGTACCAGTATGGGCAAGAGGTGATAGCAGTCGGGTCCCAGGTAAGAGTAACAAACAAAGTAGATAGATGTCCAGATATACTTAAGAGCTAGAATCAATAGGATTTGGTGATGGATTAAATGTGGCAGCATGTCTTAGTTTCTTCAGGCTGCTATAACAAAACAGCATCAACTAGGTGGTCTATAAACAACGGAAATTTATTTCTCACAGTTCTGAAGGCTGAGAAGTCCAAGATCAAGGCACTGTCAGATCCAGTGTCTGGCAAGAGCCCACTTCCTGGTTCATAGATGGCTGTCTTTTCACTGTGTCTTTACGTGGTGGAAAGGTCAAGGGAGTATCTGGAATTTCTTTTTATAAAGGCTATAAACTCATTTATGAGGGCTTCACCCTCATGACTTAAGCACCAAAGGCCTCACCTCCAAATGTACTCCCTTTTGCAATTAGGTTTCAACAAATGAAATTGGGGGAGGTTGGGGCGGGGACAAACTTTCCATTTATAGCACAGTGAAAGGGTAAATAAGAAGGAAGTTTCTGGCAAAAGTAATTGATTGGATAATGTATTATTTACTGAAATAGGAGGTTATAAGGGTGTAAAGTGAGAGTTAAGATCCTCAGTTCAGTTTGAACTATTGTAATACTGTGATTGACAATGTGATTGATATTCTTATGTAGGTACCTGGCTATTCTATATTATATACATTGTATGCAGTATATGTTACAGGATGGTATGTAGAGAATATATAGAGTGTTCAAAGCTACAGAAATTGATAAGATGGCTAAGGGAGAGAATATAAAGTGAGATTAAAAGAGAGTCCTTAACTTAAGTCCTAAGGGTGTACAGAAAAGGAGATAAAAAGGTGATTGAAGGAGTGGCCAGAGGGTATAAGCAAAACTCCAAAAACTGTGTCATAGAGCCAAGGGCAAAAAAACAAAACAAAAAAATAAAAGGTTTCAAGCAGGAGAGTGATTAATGTTTCCCAGTGCTATGGAGAGACCATATTATGACAAGGATTGGAAAGCATCCAGTGGGTTTTGTGTCATGGAAGTCATTGATAACTTTGGCAAGAGGCAGTCTTAGTTATCAATAGTGAGTTCAGAAACAGCCAATTCATTAATGTCAACTGAAAGTTGAAAACAACATTTGAAGACTCGTCTTTTGAAAAGCTTGGCTGTGAGAGAGACTAGAGAAATAGGGAAACTGAATAACATTTAGTCCATTTACAGTGAATGTAATTAATGATATAATAGAGTTTAAATGTTATTATTTTTGCTTTCGATTTGTCCGTTCTGTTCTAAAATAGTTTTATTACTTTATGTATCTTGGTAGTTACTAATTTTTGCTATAATTTTAATAGCTATTCAAAAGATTACCATATCCACTGTGACTTCTTATAGTATAAATTAGTACTTATTTTATGGACATTATAGCATCTAATTAACCATGTCCTAAGTAATGTATTTGTGTTATGTATTTGAATTCTGTACAGTTTGCAAATCCTACATTAGAATTCCTGTATACAATCAACATTCTTTTATATGTACCCACATATTTACCTTCTATTGATATTCACCTGTTACCACATATTCAGATTTAAACCTGAGACTATATTCCTTCTTCCAGTAGAAAACTATTTAGTCAGAGGTGTGCTGGTGATTAGTTTTCAGTTATCCTTGCATATATCTTTATACCTCCTTAATGCTTTCAGAATTGTTTTATTGGATATAGAAGTCTAGATTTGGTAGTTGTTTTCATTCAAAACTTTGAATGTGTCTTTCCAGTTTTTTGGGGGCAGGTGGGGGGCTCTCATTGTAATAATAAGATCATTAGCTAACTTCTCAATAGAACAATGAAAGCCAAAATAATACTATTTTTGTCTCTCTGTGCTTTATTCTGCATATATTCTTCTGACATACTTCCAACTCTATAGTTTAATAGCAGATTCACTCCAGTCATTAATTTCAATAATTATATTTTCATTTATAGTTTCCATTTTTTTATAGTTTTCTGTTTATGCTGAAATTTTCAAATGATTTTATTTCCTTGAACGTATTAATCATAGCCATGTTAAAGTCCATGTCTAATGGTTTCTTTATCTGGATCCCCCATAGTCTGTTTCTATCACCTGCCATTTCTGCAATTTTGTTTCTGTTGGGAAAATAAGAATATTCATAATCCAAGGTCATTTTAATGTGATCAGTGCTGAAATGATTGTGAGTCAACCTTCAGTCCCTGTGAGAGTTAGTCTTTTTCCAATTTGCCCTAATTTCCAGTATTATTCTTCAAGGTTTTAACTCAGTCTTACATAACAGGACCACCTCTCTGACGAGGTCTTGACTCCATGAATCTGTTGAAAGCTCTGCTCAGCTTCTCAGCCTTTTTAGATGGAAGTGACTCCAATGTTGGGCTCATCTTTTGCTGGACTTTAGCCCCATTGGTCTTCACTCTCTTACCAGTTCTGATATATTCGAAGAGAAACATACTTAAATTTTTAAATTTTTTTCAGCAATACAGTTGTTGCTCTAACTAGTCTGCCATTACCAAAAGGAGAACTCCAATGACAGCTGAAAAGGAAGGTAGTATGAGGGAAGAGTTGTTTTTGTCATAGTTTTTAAGATGTGAAGTACCAATTTAAATGTGAATGCCTGATGGAGGTAGTAACAAGTAGAGAGAAAATTTGAAGATACAAAAAAACTGATAAATAATGGAATAAATGATGGAAACATGTACTGTGTAGGCCATCTATCCCCAAAATCACATATATCTAGCCCATAGGTTCCAGCAAAAGAATTTATATAAGACTGAATGTTCAGCCAGGTTAAAAACAAAAGGAAGTATTCCCTCTACATTGTAGCAGAACAAGCCAGTTTGTGTTCTGTTCTATGAATCTGTATATATGCAAGAATCCAAATGTGGGAGTGTGGGGGGGACTAGGAGGCACTTCACACACTGGGCTTTACACATGCTCAAAGAAAAACACAGTGTTATGTTTGAAATACTTGTCTCTATTTCAGGAATTCTGATCATCGCAGCATATTTACTCTGCTATGCTGGGTGAGGAGTCCAGGGGATGGCATGGCACACAATAGTGACAGGAGACTTCATTTTGAACAAAGAATAAAATTTGGAGCATGAAATAAGATTAAATATTTTATGCATGTATCCTGAATGTCTTTTGTAGCTAAGGCCTGTTAATCTTTATTTCCTTTTATCAAAGAAAAATGAGCGATATTCCCTTCCAAAATTGCCAAGAGGCTAACAATTCACTTTTAAAAGCTGTAAAGCTCTAAAAGTAAATGGAGATAGGGTGGAGAAGTGGAATAGAGTGTGAGCTTTGAAGGTCAGTTTGGCTCTGCAGCCCAAAACCTTAGAATAATCATTTTATGCTACAACTTTTGGTTAACTAAAAATTACCAGAAAAATGGGTAACTCTTGGGACTTACCCTGGAATTAAACCAAGAGGCAGAAGAGAAACAGGCCCAAAGAATAACTTTGAATGGATGGTGAAAGGAAACAATATTGTTTATTTCTGATGGCACCTTATGGTCCCATTGTAACCCAAATGGCCCCATGCCTGTTAAATATTCAGGTGACTATATGGTAGAGACAGAATGTTGGAGCTCCGGGGAGAAACCTGGAAAGAGATTCAGCTATGTTAATCATTTGCATTTAGAGATGGTATTATATGCCATGAGGTTACCTAGGAAGAATGTCGGTTACAAGAGAAGAGAGCTGAAGACAAAGCCCTTGGGTGGAGGACAGAGCCTGTCAGAAGTCTGGCGCGGGAGGATGATCTCGCAATAAAGCCTGAGCAGGAACTGGGCAAGAGGAAAAGAAAGGGAGTCTTTTGTTCCCAGAGCCCAAAGAGGAATGTGTTTCAAGAAGATGGAAGTGGTCAGTAGAGTCAAATGCTGCTTTGAAGTACTTGTCTGCTAGACAAAAGCATCTTAGTGGGAGAGTGGACCTGTCTTGATGTGGGCTCACCTTGTCTGGACTTGACTTATCTATATCTTTGATCTCACTTTTTCTCAACCTAAAAACATGTTTGTCTCTGCCATCCTGGGGAAGGGGGTGGTGGGGGGAGCTACCTTGAATGCACGTTTCTCGTAACTTTCCATATTTCTCCTCCCTTTCTAATGCAAAATCTTTGAAAAAGCCATCGAATGCTATCATTCTCCACTATCTTTTCTAACCTGCAACAATCAAGTGTCTGCTGGAGTTGTATAGGTTGTTGTTGAAATCACAAGCATGGCCAGATTATCCAGGAAGAATGTGTGGGATAAAAAAAGCAATGAGCCACCAACATTTAATAGAAAATTGTGTTTATATAATACCTGATAAGGCTTTTATGAGGATTAAATTAGGTAATGTATGTAAACCAGTGATTACAGGGCCTGGGACATAGTTTCAGATACTATATTCCATCCCCTTGACACGTTTTTACCCCATTCTCAGTAAACTGCCCGTGGTTGTGTAGCCAAGTAGTACAGATTCAAACTCAGGTTTGCTTGCCTAAAAAGATGATGTTCTTTCTTTCCACTACATTGAGTTTCCTTCCTAATGCTTGTGTCCCTAGTTTTGTGCCTGACTGCAAACCACCTGCTCCTGGAGACCACACCCCAGGTTCAGCTCCTAGGTTTACATCTTGGGTCTTGACCTCTCCCTGACAATCTGATTCTACTCTAGATCTCACCTGTTCCCACATCCTAACTGTGTCAGACCCTAGAGAAAGGTGTAAGACTACAGAGAGGCAAATACGTGAACTATTAAGTAGGATTTGTGAGCATCATTTGCGGAGATCACAAGAGTAAAGCAGAGAAATGCCCAATTAATAGAAGAATGCTTGCAGCATTTAGAAAGAAGAGAACAAGTCAATATATGCATGTGGTTAATATAATTGAGATCTTAAGGTCATCTCCAAGTTCCCATACCTCATTGGAATCTTATTTGTAATTTAAGAGATGCCCAGTAGATGGAGCAGCTTACTCATGCATGATTATTTTCAGAGACCATGGATCGTTTGAATCATAAAATTCCTGTTAATGCTGGAAGAGACATAAAAAATAATTTAGACCCTCTCTTCCGAAATAGAAAAACAAGGACTAAAAATTATGCAATTTACAATAGATTTACAGCCCTTAAGCCAGGTAGCTGATGTTCATCTGAAATCCTCCTGTTGATACTGGTCACCAGCTTCTGACTTTGGACAAATTCCCCTAAGAAAGGAATGGCACTAAGCAGCTAGTTCTAGGTTAGGAGGGTGTTAGGGTGTTAGGGTATGTGGGGGGAATGTTGTCTGTTATAGGATGACCACATTTCTTAGGATAATACTTTGTTGGAGCAATCTTCCAAGTATTAAGAAGTCCCCCACCACCCCTCAAAAAAGCGCATTTTAGAATGGGAAGAAATCCACCCCTTTGCTTCTCTGACTTTCTCTCATCACCTTCTGCTTTCCTCCCTAAAACCAAATCCCACTTGCCAAGGGTATGTTCAGGTTGTTAATTAGAAGGCTAGTATCCAAAAATAGCTCCCTTTCCAGGCTGCCCAGTACCTGAAATTCCCAGGGATAAAAGCAAAGCCATCATTTCATGTCTGCTTTTAAAATATATTCCTGGGAGAAATCCATATCCATTTACTTACTTACTAAATGCTTATTGAGAACTTATTATATGCCAGGAATAGAGCTGCAAAAATGGTAGACAAGGCCTACAGTTCTCATGAAGTTATGCTTTACTATGGGAAAAGACAGAAAAGAAAGAAGACAATTTTAGATACCGGTAAATATTTGGATTTGAGAGTGGCTGAAAGGGTGGGATGAGGTTGGGAGGCTATTTTCAAGGTATAGTCAGGGAAGTCTGTCTCAGAAGATATGATGTAAGGTAAAACAAAGATCTGGGAGAATGAAACAGCTAAAACAAAGGACCTGAAGAGGGAGCATTAAACTGTTTTCAATCATTATATTCCTACCAAGCATTAGACAGTTTATCAGGCTGCTTCTTAAGTGCTGCTACCTGGTATAAAGAAAAATACCAAAGGAAATAAAGCTCAAGTGAGGAAGAGGAGAGGGGTCTTTCTGCACCACATCAGATATATCCCCTTTCCCTAGGGTGAAGGGGCAATTGAGTGCAGCAGCGTGGCACTGGTAGGTCAGGGAGTGCTGGAAGGGGAGGCGGACATCACAAGACACAGACAGACCCATTAAGGACAAACTGAGGATGCCAAATGCAAACTGTAGGTACATAAAAGTAGTTCTTGAAAGAGCACTTAAAATAACCAGCCTATTCCTACCTCTCTATCTCAGTGTTTCTCAAATTGAACCACCGAGGCAGTTGTCAGATACTCCAGGCATCACATCGGGTCTACCAAATTGGTATTTATGCAGTGGGGCTCAGGAATATGGATCTTAATAAACACACAGATCATGAATGTCATGCACACTCAAGTTGAGAACTGATGCTCTGTAAATTCATATTTGTATCAGTGCATCAGCTCTTCAACATGGCCGTCTTTCTCCTTGCACAGGGTCAATTGTTCAAAGTAGAAAGAGGCTAAAACACCTCTGAGAGAAAAGAAAAGATTAATGTATCATAAAAAACCTGCAAAATACTAGAGAGTTTTTAATGAGATCTTTAATATTGCTCTTTATAAAAAAAGACATAGGTCTTTGGTAATTTGCTATTTTTAATCTGTAATATATAAATATAAAGGAGTATGTTTCCTTCTAAATTTGAATTTAAAAAGGACATTGGCCATCCTTCAAAAATACAATATTGTTTTTTCTATGGATGTTGTAATTTTGTGGGCAGTAATTTGTTCTCTCTAAATCTCAAGAACATTGAGCCCTCACCTCATCCTGTTGTTGGGACACAATGCAGAAGCAGTTCTGTTGGTGAAATTGTGGGTTGGGAGGATGCCATTTCAACTTCTGCAGCAAACAATGACATGGCCAATGCATTTGGAGTGATGGAGAAAATCTGTATGTTCTTCATATCCATTGGTATCTTTGTATTCAATTTAGAAAACTGTGCCCAGAACAGTAAGAGTAAATCTGGACTCCTTACCTACCTTCCATCCTTAATTAGGTATTGGGTTTTTAAATAATCCTTCCACTAACCCAACTCCAATAACCAAACAGAACAGCAGGATTATCTAGCTGCCTGATATATTATAGTCAGATAAATGCTTGATTATTTACATTTTATGCTCAAAAATTTGAAAAGAAAGCATACGATCTCTTTCTTCCACAGATTTTTCCAGTAGGCTATAATGCCTAACATTAGCAACAGCAGCAGCAGTTATAGCAGCAGAGCCTTTGGAAAAGGTGTTCCAGAAACCTGACAACGTTTGCACAAAGACTGTTAAACCACTATTCACACTTCTTTAAGTGTTTTAACCAAAATGTCAGAGGCTTCATTAGGGTGGAAACTATTTTATGGTTCCCTAGTACATAAATTTTTTTCTTGGAATTACCTTATTTGAGTCAATTATCTGCTAAAGCAGCAATGGGAGAATCAATCAATGAAAATTTGTCTCTTTGTTCTTCACAAGGAATTCTTGGAGTATGATTCCAAGAATGGACAATTAAGACAAATTATTCATGAAGTACATATGTCATTTGCATTTTTCCCTTTGGGATAAGGTTGTCATCTTTGTTTACATAAAAGGTATTTCCTTGCAGAGCTGCCCTTTTACCTCAGAACTAAGATAATGTTTCCATTTAAACTGAGTCATCCTTGTCCTAAATATTGCATAATGGCACAGACTGCTATCTCCTGTTTCCTTGGGCCAAACACAATGACAAGGCAAGCTAGGCTGTGGTCATTGAATCTCTTTGTAATCACTGCCATTTTGTGTGGTGGTCAGATGCATTTGTTATATCATGGGAATTATAATACTGAATAAGTTGCATAAAATTCTATCCAAGAAATCTTAAAAAGCTTGCAAATGGAATGCCTTATCTAGCTACGAAAAAATGTGTTCTGAAAGCACAGAAGGAACATTTGCAACTTGAAACTTTTCATCAGAAATTGAGAGAGCTCAAGGTCAACTTAATATTAATTCTCCCCAGTTCTTTAATCTAACAGATATCAAGTTGCATTTGAATCTGGCAAAGAGATATGTATATAGGTCAGTTTAGCCTTCACAGGACAAATTTCTTGAGAAATATTCTGTATCCATCTATTTACTCTTGAGTATCATTAGGTTATTTTAAGGTGAAAATGACCAAAACTTGCCTTTTGCATAGAAAGGGAAATTCATTTCTGGTAAGCTGAAATTGCTTTGAATAATTTATAGAGAACAGAGAATTCATCAGATCTGATATCATCAGCAGCCTTGAGATTGCATTGTTCTGTAATGGGTACTATGGGAACTGGAAAGCTGGAGTTGGTTAGCATGAGAATTTCTATCCAGAATCTCGTGTAAGTTAAAGGCAGGCAACATTTAAGAAAGGAAAAGTCTGAGTTTATATAGGAAGGAACCTTTTAAAAAAATACTCTCACTGTAAAGGATATTCTGTACACCTCCCACCTGACTACTGATATTCTTTTTCTTTGTATGATTTCATTTATTTTATTTTATTGCATTTTAAGTTCCGGGATACATGTGCAGAACATGCAGGTTTGTTACATGGATGTATGTGAGGGGAGGGGTGGGAACTTAGAGGACGGGTCAATAGGTGCAGCAAACCACCATGGCACATGTAGGACTGCTGATATTCATACCACCATGGTGGAATCGGCTGGCACCAATATGCAGGGCCCCTTTCTTATAGCATCACCACCTTCTCCTCCTTTTCATCATTGAGAAGATATTGAGAATAAAAACAAAATAAAGAAATGAAGCCAAATAAAATAAAAACATATCCAAATAAAGTGATACAAGAGCTCCAATTCATTACTGGCTAACTCCCTATTCTTCTAAATGGTAGGACTCCTTCCAGTCTTTCACACATGCTGCTGAAATATGCTACCTTGAATTCCATCTTAAATTCACCAATTTCTAATCTTGAGATTTCCCCAAGATCCCATGTTTAACCTTCTTGTTCATTTAAAATGTTCTTATTGACCATCTTTTATATGTAAGGGATACAGCTAATCGTTATTCTAGAAACCAAGTTGAATGAAACAAAATTTCTGCTCTCATAATGGGTGGCTGTTGAACTTAAACTTTTAACATGGGTAGGATTTCTGCACATGTAATGTGGGGAAGAGAATTCCAGATGGAAGCAAAAGCCTGATGAAAGGCTACACAGGAGGGTGTTGGGATCCAATTAGGGAGCCAAAAGTGGGCCAGTTTGATTGTATCATGGGATATGTGGAGAAGACTAATGGAGACTTAGACTAGAAAGGTACACCAAAGCCAAATAATAAAGAACTCTACATTCAGACTTAAGAGTTGTACTTTATTTAGGGGGCAATGAAGATGCACTGAGTGATTTTTGAACACAGAAGCATAACTGAAACATAAATAAAGCTATTCTTTAGGACTGCATGGTGGTGCTGGGAGCTTGGGTTGTAAGATCAGTCAGGAGGCATTGTATTAATTCGGACAAGAGGTAAGAGGCTGAATTTGGGTGATGGTGCTAAGAATTAAGAAAATTTATCTCAGAAATATCTTAGTTGTGAATCTCCTAATCTAAACGTCTTCCTGCTATCCTGTGCTCCTTTTACCAGTCTTGAATCCTCATACCACTGTAGACACCCTCCTTTACGGTTTTTCACCAAACACTTCAGCCTGTAGATATGGAGGTTCTTAACCTGGGGTCCAAATACCCCTTAGGGTATAGTATTAAAAGTTTCTTTCAGTTGGATAGGGAGAAATATTCTCTCTTTATCACTAATATTCAACTGAAACCTAAACTTTTCTTTAATTATAAAATAGGCAGCAAACCACCATAAAGTTGGCTGTTCTGCCAAATGTTTAATAACAGGAATTGCAGATATTTTATACTACAGTTATTCATATACTGAACCACATAGTTTATATTCATCACTATTGCAAAATTAAGGTAGCGCCCAGTCCCATTACTTGATCCTATTGTTTAATATACTACTAAAGAAGCAGATGTGGCTGGGCACGGTGGCTCACACCTATAATCCCAGCACTTTGGGAGGCTGAGGCAGGCGGATCACAAGGTCAGGAGAGCAAGACCAGTCTGGCCAATATGGTGAAACCCTGCCTCTACTAAAAAAAAAAAAAATACAAAAATTTGCCAGGCATGGTGGTGGGTGCCTGTAGTCCCAACTACTCGGGAGGCTGAGGCAGGAGAATCACTTGAACCCGGGAGGTGGAGGTTGTAGTGAGCTGAGATCGCACCACTGCACTCCAGCCTAGGTAACAGAGCGAGACTCCATCTCAAAAAAAAAAAAAAAAGCAGATGCTACCATATCACAAATTTTCCCTTAATGTTAGGTAATGGTATTTTAATATAATTGGTTTGCTTTATAATCCTGAAATCTCTAGACTACCAACCACCAAGAAGCCTTGTAGAAGTCCAGGTCATCATTTGAGACAGTGGCTGAGCTCATAATTTTCTGACCATCTCCAAGTCTAGGTCTATGCCAGGAGAGATAATACCCCCGTCACGCAGTCCTGAAGACAGCCTTGCTTTGTTCATCACTCAAAGACCCGGGAAGGAAAAGTATCCCCTCACTTGCCACCTCTTGCTGGTTTCACTTTTTCCCTTGTTTTTCCTTTTCTCCTTTTTTTTTTTTTAAAAAAAACTTCTATTGTATGACCCCTCTTGGAAACACCTTCAGAATATCATTGCTTCTGTAACTAAGCACAATCTCAATATCCATTTTGTTCTAAATTTTTTCCTGGGGAGTTCCATGACAAATAAAATGTGGTACTCTTCCTGGATCTAAGTCCATTTGTTGTTGCTGTATACTAGAAGCCAATAACTTTCAAAGGTGAATGCCAACTCTCCATCAATTCACTTCCTTATAGGTGGGAGGAGGAGGTAAAAGAGGAATTTCCTGATAAGAACTAATGCTGTGTGTGGCACCTTGACCATCCAGTAATGTGGGGAGAGATACATGAAAGAAATGGTTGAATAAAGAATGGAAATGTAGTATTTCGGGGAACAGGGAGTGCACCAACGATGAACTCTGCCTAGGGTTAACCCTAACTGCTCCACTGTTGAGAATATTGACACATGTGCATAAAAGGATAACCTATGTTATATAACTTTTCAAAGGGCACAGACTTAGGCCATACACTGAAAATGAAAGCACAATAAATATTCTCTTTGTTGACAGTGTGAGGAAAACTAGAAAAATTTTGTTTTCATGAAGGTGCCTTCCGATTTACTTCATTTCCCATGACTAAGAGATGGCTTTGGTGATTAAGGAAAAATACTATGCAACTATGAGTACTGCAGAACTTTGTGGAGATTTCAATGTGGTTTTTTTTTTAGGTCTTTTTTTTACTTTTAACATAGACATCAAATGACTAATGAACAAATAATTAGCTAAGAAAATGTACACAAAATTTTCTACCAGTATTCTTTCACATTATTGGAAGCAGATACATCAGTGAGGTTTTGAGGCGTTATTTCTGAAAATCTGTAACTTCACATTTTCAGTAATAACCAAGAAAATAGAAGGTGAAGTTTGATCATTAAGATTACAGCCACAGATGCAAGGATATTTAGTATCACAAAAGGTAGGCTTAGAATTCAAATGACTTTCATAATTTGAAAAAGTAGTTGTGTCGGGGGACAAATATATACTAAGGGAAGAGGAGCCAAATGGATATTCATGTATGACCAAAAATGTCAAAAGGTTAGAGTGGGCCAAAAGAATCCAGGAAGCAAAAGTAAAATGGGATATGAGAAAATGCTCACTCTCTGGCAACCATGAAGTCACTGTTTCAATAGCAATAGTATCAGAGGGGCTTTGGGGTGAGAGGTGCAGGGGTCAGGATCAGGAGGGGAGAGGGAGGCTTATGGTGCCCTGTGCCCAGGGAGATGGAGCATGACTGTCATAGAATAGGTCACAATGCATACAGTGTTAGGATAACTAATGGCAGAGTAAAAAGGAAAGAAAAGAAAAGGAACTTGCCTTATTACATTTGGAAAAGAGAAAATAGAATTAGGTGTGCAGATCAATACTCTTCCATGATGATATTCAAAGAGTCCACAGCAAAAATAAGAATAAAAATAATTAAGGGCATTGTATTAAGTTGTTCATAAGCATATTATTTTCAGTTCAATCGTGTATTCTTTCTTTTGCAATTACATCCTTCCTAATTTTCTGGGATCAAATTGTCTTTTCTTTTTTAAATACAAATAATAAATGGTAGTATTTTTCTAAACATTCTTTTTTTGGAAAAGTTTTTTAAGAAAGAATTGAAAGGTGTATCCCATCTCCCCAGTTTAATTGTTTAAGAGTGGGGAGTCCAGTCCAGTGATCCCTGAGGTTGTTTATTACATATATATCTTTCAGAAAATTTTTAGCCTGCATCCCCAATATATGGCACTTTATTTATAAATTACATTCATATGCTAGTCTAATATATATTGGTATTACTAAATTTACACAAAAATATAAATTTTAAAAGATGAAATAAAGCATTTAAAACGTTATTAGAAGTTCAAAAAACCCTTCATATTGTCTCTCATTCTAAAAATATTGTAATTGAAACCAACTGATTAAACATCTCATTACTTTTTACATCTTTAACATTTTGCCAGGCAGGAATTTAAAGGCTTGGTTCAGAATTTAGTTTCTTTTCCTACATAGTTTTAATAGCTATCATAACTAAACAGTTTCCAAAGATGCAGGCATCCACATGGAAGTGCTTTATTGGCTACACTTCCTAAATCGTGGTACTCATTTTTTAATACCATCCACCAATTAAACACATTTTTGTCATTTAAATTTGGCTACTAAATTTCCATCTTCTCTGATGTCCATTCATTCAAGCAAACTAACCAAGCAGTGGTACGTTTTACTATTTCTGAGAAATGGATTCAGAATATGTTATTTGAAACATTTGAGAATTTCAAGCTCTTTAAGTGTGTAGAAATATGTTTTTATAGGTGAAACCCACTATTTATGCCAACTAAATTATTAATGATTGAAATATTCCCAAAATACTTTTTTTTATAACATGAATTTCTTTCAAAAGCAGTTCCTTTCTCATCCATTATTAAAATGTGACCTTTACCTGGAAGGGGCATATAAGTCTCCTTATTTTTTCAGCTGTCTGCTCTGTAGCACACTATGGATAGCTACTTGTTATCGCAGAAAAAGGTCAGCAAACTTGGTAGGTGAGGTTTGATTGTTTATTATTATTATTATTATTAAAGAAAGCAATGTGTGTGTGATTCATCTTTAAGTTTGACATTCCTGTAACATACCCATCAGACCTCTGTGTTGTGCAAAACATTTTTGTGATCACTGTCCCATATCAGTAGAAAGTATTGTAGGGATTTTAAAAACATAAGGTAATATAATTTCTTAATCCACTTAACAAGGCACTAACATTGCAATAATGGTGAAAGTGAACATGTGGCTGTACAGACAATACCTTCATATTGTGGGACTCATACTCTGTCCTTCAGCAGATGGAGGCCTCAGGTACAAGTTCCTAACTTGTGACTCTCTGAAATACAAACTACATGACAATGCCAGGGACATGCTATATATGAAATACTCATAAAGCTTAATTTATTATTATATTTGAGACAAAGATCTAAAAATAGAAGTTCTATAATTGCCTCCTTATAGCTCAGTCTCTGAGGTGTGCATACCATAGATATCAAAGTTTTAATCAATTTAGATAATGTGCTTTTTATTTCTAATTGATTGTCAAAGGCCAATAGTTTAAATGGCAATGTTTACTCAATAGCGTTTTCACTTGTTTTTATGAACTATTATGTAGACTGTGTATACAAATTCTTTAATTTTTCAAAGAACAAATTAAAAATAAAATGACAAAGTCTAGAAAATAACTGAATTAAAATAAGGATTTTTTTTAAAAAATTGTTAAAAAGAAATTATGAAAAAATCTTCCTCTAGAGATCTTTTTCTAAAGTATTAAGCTGCCTGAGATGAAAGGAAATCCATATTACAACATGGGATTGGAGCCAGAATTTCCTGCTGATTCATAGGACACACAGCCCTTGGCACTGTGTATCTTGAGTTTTCACAAGAAGAACTTAGGCATAGCTTTTTCTGGTTCACAAAGAAGGCCTAAATGGCATTCTCCCTAGAATTAAAAAAAAAAAAAAAAAGGATCCATTTGATTGCTGTTAATATCACTGTTATCAAAATGTTATCATTACTCAAAAGCTTGATTGAATTTAGATAAAAACTAAAATTTAATTAAGGATTACTAAGACAAGTAGCCTGAAACAAACATCTAAGGACTAAAATAATGAAAACACTAGCCTTTAACATTTAGGATATTAATTGATTTTTATGAAGCTGATAGTATAAAATTAGGGGACTATAACAAACAGCTATAAAAGTAGCCCTTTTGTAGTATATGTAAATGGAATTTGTATAATTGGGCCACATAAAATTACTAAGAAATAACAGGATGTCAAAAAATTTAAACAGTATTTTCATGTCTTCAAGGGTATATACTCCTATAGTGTGTGCACTTGGTATCATGTAACCTGTATTCAGAGTCCACTCTACTATTTGCTGGCACTGTAAATCTAAGAAGTTACTTAACACAAGCCCTAGTATATTCCATTAAGTGGGAGCTGGAATGCTTGATTCACCAGGGCATTTGAGAATGAAGTAATAAAAGGTCCTAGTCCAATTACCAGCAGTCACATGATTAACATTGGCTTCTTTGAAAAAAATGGTGGATTCTATAACTGGAAACTCCTGCCAATTTGACCCAATTATGATTCTTATAGCCAAGTTTGGATGCAGAAACCAATGACATGTAAAGCAGAGAGAGATGCTTTATGCTGACCTCCCTAAGATCCTCATGCTATCTTTTTCAATGCATAGATATTTGGTGGATGCCAAATATTTGCGAGGTATCATGGCCGGCATTGGGAATACTGTTGGTAAACAGAACAAAATGATGCCTGCTCTCATCGGGTTTATATTTTAATGAGAGATATAATAAACACATAGATAATCCACTACAGAGTATGATATGTGCTATGAAGTTCTAGGATGTAAGTGGCCAAGTTAAGGGTTCCTTCAGACAGAGGTTGAAGCAAGCAACGAGGGTGATGAGCCTAGGCAATGAGGCAGCCTCTTAGAGCTGGGAAGGGTAAGGAAATGGATTGTCTCCTAGAGCCTCCAAAAGGAGTGCACCCGTGTCACCACCTTGGTTTTAGTCCAGTGAAACTACTTGCAGACTTCTGACCTCGAGAACTATGTTGTTTTAAGCCACTAAATTGGTGGCAAATTTAATACAGCAGTGATAGGAAAGAGATACAATGCCTGGCTGTCGAGCAGAGAATAGCTTGGAGGAGGACCAAGGGTGGAACTGGGAGGCCAGTAGAGATGCAGTCACAGCAATCCAGACACAGGTGGCCTGTCCAATCATAGCAGTGACTGCACAGACCCGAAATAAGGAGACATACCAGAGATGAATTTTGGAGGTAGGGCTGATCGGATCTGCCAGATTCCCTTTGCTCCTAAACTATTCTTTGTTTGGCAGGAGCTGGAACCCCTGGGTACTATTTGGCACACTGAAGCTATCAGTCTTAAAAAGCAAGTGCTACTTTACTAGGTGACTGATGTGACAAATAAATAATTTACTCACTAGCCAGAAACATCTAGCCAATGGAAAAACCCAGCTCAGATTCCCAAATGAACTAGTCTAAAGGCAGACTGCTCTGTACTGCCATACAGTGGAGAAGCAAGGCCAAAGATGGCAGTAAGCACAAAAGTGGATGTCTTTGAAAGGAAAAAGTGTGCTTGGGAGGTAATTCCAGGCTACACAGAATTTCCTCTTTACGAGAAATAAGAATGATTTTCTTCATAGTGGAAGAGAGAAGAAAAGTAATATCTTTCTCACTCAGCACTATTTGTCAGACTGCTCTGAACACTATTGCCCCCCTCTTTCATGCCCCGTGTAGGTTAGGGGGCATGATTACAATTCCAGGCATTCCTATATGCAAGATTTCAGGCTCTGGCCTCTTCCCATGTTCCTGTCACTGCAGCCCAAAGCTGTCCAAAATATCAGTTGGAAAACTAAAGAGAAACAAGGCCAGGAGGAGGAGGGAAAGTCCATCAAAGCCCAGCAATGCTGCCCCTATCACATAATGGGTATTTCTTTCCTGGAGAGAAGACTACACATCAGCCATCCAGGACCTTTCCTGCAAGGATGCCGTAAAATCACTTGCTTCACCCATCGTTCACTACCTGTGTCACACGTTTCTCTGTCAGCACCTGCGGCCCACCTGGGCTTCCTATGGAGGTATCTGACCCCAGCAGACATTTTTTAGCATCTGCGGCATGACTCTCATTTCTGCCAGTTCGCACGGTTGTGTTTTTTTGTGTGTGCCACACGCTGCCTCTCCCTCTCAAGAAGCCCTCTCTGAACCCACTAACTCCCCACAAGAATGAAACCATGGTGGTCTCATCACTGAGGCTTCCCATCACAAAAGTTCTTTGTGGTTAAGGAAAAAGAGGAGCCAACCATGTTTTCAGCACAGTAGGGATGCCCATGGGAAGCCACGAAACTCAGAGTCGACCAGTGAGACGCTCTTCTCTAGGGTAAGGGAAAAGGGAGTTGTGCAAATACGTTTCAGAACACTCATTTCCCCTCTCTCTGTCCTCCAAATCTCCTGGCCTTGTGCATAGTTGCTGTCTTCTCCAGTGCCTGTGTGGTCTTTTGTGACTCCAGGCTCTATCAAAACACTGAAGAAGCCTCATCTCAACCCAGCTGAGCTGGTCAGCAAGTCTCATGTTCTCCTTGCCCAGAATAACCAGAACAGATCACTCTTCTATTTTTTTTTAATATACACCACTTTGATTTAATGAGCTCATTTCTACCTGAAACCTGCCACTCCCACATTAATGCCTCATTTTACCTTCTTCATACCTCCTAGATACCCCAAATGATTTGTAGGTGTGTATCTCCATTTTATTAATATATATGATGAAAAACAAATTACTTTGCTAAAAGAATAACAGATACTCAGTGCTTATAAAGAAGGTGCCTTTTCTCTCTGATCTCCCCCGTAAGAACTAAACCTCATCCCTGGTCTCTATTTTGGGAAATTTTTCATCTCACAGGCCACAAAGACAACCAATTTCTTGAACAGAATGGCACTGTGATGAGCGCAGAGGTCATGCTGAATACTGCATGCCGTTAGTTAATTACACACTTTTCCAAGGCCGTCCTTGGTACAGATGCAGTGAATGCTAATGGCATGTGCTTTTTGTTCCAGCAATTAGTTTTGATCTCTGTGGCTTAATGCTGTGTTCAGTTGTTCTGAAAGAGAAAAAAAAAAGCTCTTCGTCAGCACCATTTATTTTCATATATTCATTCAGGAAGACTTATTGAAGCCTACCTAGTTCTCTTCTAGGCATTGTGAAGAATGAAAATGAATCATTCTCCCCACTCAAGAAGTTAACAGTATCTAAGAGGAGAGAGAACATGTAAGCAAAATATGACATACTCTATGATCCTGTGTTTGGAGGAGGGAAAAGTCCTTTCCTTTATTCAATAAATATATGCTAGGCACCATTTGAAGTACTCAGGAGACAGAAGTGAAGGCAAAAAGGGGCCCTGTTCTGTTAGGGAGAGATCGTCATTATGCCAGTAAAAAATTAAATATATAAAGTTTATTTTAGAAATGATAAATACAATTAATAGAACAGGAATGGATGGGAGGGAGTTTAGCTTAGAGCAGCTATTCTGGTAGACCTCTTTGAAGAGGCGACCTTCTCTCTGATGACGACTGTAGTCAGTCAAGTCCTAGAGGAAGAGCAATATAGGCAGAGAAAACCAGTGTGAATGCTGTGAGGTGGGCACAGTCTGGGAACTTCAGGAGAGAAGTGACAGTTCCTCCCCAAAGAATGAGTAAAAATGGCATTTAGGAAAAATAAAATGGCCTAAGCAAAAGCACAGAACTGGGAAAGCAGGAACTGTATTTAGTTGGAAGCAAGCATGGATTTGAATCAAGGTCTGGTGAAACCTGAAATTCAGAAGATAAGATGAGGGTAGATTATTCATGGAGAGTCCCTGAGAGCCAGGCTCTGGCCATGGACTGCGTTCTGTAAGTGAAGAGCACTGCAGGTTTAGAGCCGTCCATGATTTAATAAGAATGCGTTTTAGGAGGATTTTTCTGGCATTAGTGGGAATTATTTTAGACTTTGACAAACAGGTATTCCTCTGTGCTTCTATTGAGGCTTCCTATTTCCTGATAAACAGTAATCTTTATGCCTAAGATTCTTGCAAGAGGCTGGGCTATAAAATAGCCTTAAGTAGGGCTGACACTGAAATGTGTGGGGTCCAGTGCAAAATGAAACTGTTGACTGCTTGTTCAAAATACAGTTTGAAAGCTTTCCCCTTTCTTCTGCCCACCATCTCTGTCTTGATTTGTTACAGTGTTTTGTATGTGTTATTTAATGTTGTACTTCTTAGAGCACAAGGTTTGTTGGGCTAGTGCAGACCATCACAAGTACCTGGTGCACTGTCCCCACCCAAACACTCCTGCACCCAAACCCAGCACCCTTTCAGAGGCAGAGGGCAGTGCTGGTCACTGGGTGGAAGCCAAGTAGCATGAGGCCAAGACCCTGTCCCAGGAAGAAAGGGATGTAACGGGCAGGTAGATGAATGGAGGCTTCATCACGCTTTACTTACAAAACATAAATTCAAGGATACAATCACTAAAAATTTCAAGATGCTAATTGCATCCTTCTACTTGCAGGAACTTGATGACACTAGTAGCACACTCATGACACCTGCCCTGGTTTTAGGCCAGAGGAGAAGGTAACTGCATTTCAATATAGATTTTTCCTGGGCACTTAAACTCAGTTAGCTACTACTACATTTAAACAACACATGTGCTACTATAGCTATTTAAGATGTTACCATTGCGGGGAACTGAGTGAAGGGTGCATGATACCTCTCCGTATTATTTTTTTAAAATTTCCTGTGAATCTATAATTATTTCAAAATGAAACATTATGTACAAAAAACCCTCATGCATGTCATTTTGGGGAAGGAAGAAAGAGAAAGGGGGGAGGAGGAGGAGGGACAGAGGGAGAGGAAGAAAGCAAGAAAGAAATGTGTGAGCAAGGTTAAGAAGATAAAATTAAAACCACTTAGTGATACTCAGCTGGACATCACAAGTTTATCATGCAACCTCAGCTGGAAATGCAAACCGTGTTCATGAGCTAGGAAGGGATGAAAGGAGAGTGGTCTGGCTCACATTCCAAAGATGAAAAATGAATCAGCTTCTTTCTGACCACACTTCCCTTTTACCCTGTCCAAGTCCATCAAATGGTCATTTACTGATGGCTCACTATGCACAAGGAATGCACTGTCCTGTGCTCTGTGGGGTCACAATACAAAACAATAGCATTTTATGGAAGAAGTGCATTCCCAAGTGCTGATGGAATTCAAGGCTAAACTTGACGAAGGATGGCAGGTACTTTAGTTTTTAATTTTTTTGTGGGTATATAGGTGTATATATTTATGGGGTACATGAGATATTTTGAAACAGGTATGAAATGTGTAATAATCACACGTAAAATGGGGTATCCATCTCCTCAAGCATTTACCTTTTGTATTACAAGCAATCCAATTACACTCTTTTAGTTATTTTAAAATGTACAATTAAATTATTATTAACCAGACTCACCCTGTTGTGCTATCAAATACTAGGTGTTATTCATTCTTTCTATTTTTTTATACACATTAACCATCCCCACCACACTTCCCACCCTACTTCCCACTATCCTTCCCTGCCTCTGGTAACTATCCTTCTACTCTCTATGTCCATGAGTTTAATTGTTTTGATTTTTAGATCCTACAAAAAAGTGAGAACATGTGATGTTTGTCTTTTTGTGCCTGGCTTATTTCACTTAATGTAATGACCTCCAGTTCCATCCATGTTGTTGCAAATGACAGGATCACATTCTTTTTTATGGCCGAATAATACTCCATTGCATGTAAGTACCACATTTTCTTTATGCATTCATCTGTTGATGGACACTTAGGTTGCTTCCAAATCTTAACTATTGTGAACAGTGCTGCAACAAACATGGGAGTCCATGTATCTCTTTGATATACTGATGTCCTTTCTTTTGGATATATCCAGCAGTGGGATTGCTGGATCATATGATAGCACTATTCTTAGTTTTTTTGAGGAACCTCCAAACCATTCTCCATAGTGGTTGTAGTATTATAATTTACATTTCCACCAACAGTGCATGAGGGTTCCCTTTTCTCCACATCCTCAGCCATGTACTTTAATTACCAGCTAAATAAGTAATATCTGTGGAAATAGAGTAAACAAAATTCTCTTGGCCCATGTGTTTTAAAATTCTTGTTGATTTAATTTGATTTGGGGGCATTCACCTTATTTCTGATTTTGTGCCTGATGTTTATATAATACCATGCCAAATTTGCATAATTCAAATTGACATTAGAGGTGACTATACAGATCCTAAAGCGGTATTATTGGGATTATATAAACTAACATATACAAAGCAGCTAGCACAATCCTTGGAACAAAACAGGCAGAAAATGAAAGGTAGCTATTCTTATTGCTATTATATTCAATAATATTTCCAAAAATCACAGACTTTAAACCCAAGGAATAATGTCTCTGAGCTATAAAGCCAGGGAATGATCCATTTTTAAAAATCCTATGAGTAGAATAAAAGTAGCATTTATAGAGTTAAAACATTTTATAAGAAAATACCACTTAGCTTTGAGGTTCTACATGTTTTTTCCACTGAAGGGAAAAAAATTAATACCAAGTCAATTATTCTGCTTCTGTGTAAATGTGGAATAGAATAACAAATTAAACCTACACATCATTCCAAAGCACTGGTCTAGCCAGTGACTAGAATAACTCTTCCACATCTTCATGCGATCTGAAGTTAGGCCTCCTTTTGGTTCTCTCCATCCTCAGTATATCTGTCCTGAATAGCACACCCTGCAGGGCCAGTCTACTTTAGTAGAGCCTTGAGGATTGAAAGAAGGCAAAAGCCACCAGAGAAGTGCCCCTCACCCAATTACAGGGAGAGGAAGAGATTACTAAAAACAGAACTAGAAGACTTCTCTCTGTACAGGCTACATTATGGCTAGCTATGAAGAAACATAGCAAGACACCAGAAACATAATTCCAGAAGAAACCTTTATGCCGGGTATCAGAATCACAGGCTCCTTCACAGCTGTCCACCTTGGCCAGCGTGTGTTTCACGAAGCTCTTCCCCTGGATCCAGCACTGTTCTAGCTACTATTCAAAGAAAAACATGTAATCCTTCTGAGATGAAACTTGTTTCTACCTGGGACCATAAGACCTACATGAGATAGTCCATCTAAGAAGAGATTACAGATTAGAAATGAGTTTTACAGATGAGTCCAGGCCCTACCCCTGCTCTGGCTACCTGAGTGGACCTGGACAATTCAAGGAGCTTCTCGAAGCCTTTTCCCTCCACTATAAGGTAGAGATAATAACGTCTGTGACCTCTGGAATTAAAGTGAGTGTGGCATTTAGTAAATCCAGGCTTTCTGAAATAAGTCTCACTTCATGGAGACAATCTATGTTGTGGTTAGGAAAGCTTCAGTTCACATCCTGGATTTTCCAACTATTAGCTGCATTTCCTTGGTCAAATTACTTAACTTCACTTGCTTCCATTTCCTCATTTGGAGAATGTAAGTGATGTAGCCCTCATAGTGGATTTTTTTTTTATAACCTTGCCAAAATCAGCAAGACAAACCCTTATGGACATGAAGAATCAGAGCCAGAGTTCATTTTCCCTCGAGACAAAGCTAAACAGCATTCAGAAATCACCTAAACTATTTTTAGCACTATGCAGGTAAAAATTTCCTTTTTTCAAATGTCTGAACCATCCACATTTCTTGATTTTAAAGATAAAGAAGTTTACTAGAAACTCCCAGTCACTGCTTTGGGTATGACACAGCACCTACTGCAGAGAGGGAGAGGTGTTCTGACTCCTTTTATGACGTCCCTGGGCTTCCACAGTAGATCATAAGATGGGTTCTGTCAGTTAAGGTAGGCTCAGTGGGAAGGCTTCTGTCTGTTATTTACTAGACATACTAAACCACCTGACAACTATAATTTTCAGATGCCCAAAGATATTTTGCACATATTACATGTTCTTTCGCCCTGCTCATATGCCTGCTGGTCACCTTCTGAAAAGGGAGTACCCTGATCTTTTGGTGTCTTACCTAAGAATAACAGACCATACTCCCAATTTGCTAATCTCATTTGGTTCCTCAGAAATATAAAAAATCTTTAATTACATGATGACTATTAGGGAAACACACAGGCCCATACATAGAGTATTTGATGAACAATCTCCCTGAAGAGATGACTAAATCATTAAAGTTGCTGAGAGTAGATTTTGTGTTGTCACCATGAAAACAAGTATGTGAGGTAATGCATGTATGAATTAGCTTGATCTAGCCATTTGACAATATATGTATATTTCAAAACATCATGTTGTACATAATATTATATACAACTTTTATTTGTCTATTAAATTGTAAAAACCCACCTGATTAAAAAATGGGCAAAGGAATTGAGTAAACATTTATTCAAAGAAGATGTATAAATTGCCAATAAGCAAATGAAAAAATGCTAAACATCATTCATCATTAGGGAAATGCAAATCAAAACCACAGTGAGCTATCACTTCCCACCCATGAGAATGGCTATTATCAAAAATAGGAAATACCAAGTGTCGGCAAGGAGGAGAAGAAACTGGACCCCTCATGCACTGCTAGTGGGAATGTTAAATGGTACAATCACTATGGAATAAAGTATGGCCATTCTTCAAAAACTTTAACATAGAATTACCATATGATCCAGCAACTCTACTTGGTATATACCCCCCAAAAATGAAAGCAGGGACTCAGACAGATATTTATATACTCATGCTCATAAGAGCATTATTCACAATAGCAAAAATGTGGAAGCAATCCAAGTGTCTATTGACAGATGAATAGGTAAACAAATTATGGAATACAGTGGAATATTATTCAATCTTAAAAAGGAAGGAAATTCTGCTATAACACGTATGCTATTACATGGATGAAACTTGAAGACATTATGCTAAGTGAAAAAAGCCAGTAACAAAAGTACAAACACTTTATGGTTTCACTTATATGAGGTATCCAGAATAGTCAAATTCATAGACACAGAAAGTAGAATGGTGGTCTGGGACTAGGGGCAGAGGGGAATAGGGAGTTATTATTTATGGGTACAGAGTTTCAGTTGGGAAGATGTAAGAAGTTCTAGCGATAAATGATGGTGATGGCTGCATTTTAAAATAGTAAAAATAGTAATTTTAATGTTGTACATATTTTACCACATTTTTAAAATTTAAAATTAAAAGAAGTTTTCATATTTACTCTCTCTAATGGTTGATCTGAGTAAGCTTGCCATCTCAAACATTTCCATGAATGATAGCTATGATCTAGTAAAAAGAGGTTTTCAGGCTGACCTTGAATTCAATTCTGGCTCTGCCAAAGACTTTCTACTCGCATGCCCATAGATAAGACACTCAAGCCTCAGTTTTCTCATATATAAAATGTGGAGACTAATTTATCTTACAAAATCATGAGAATTAACATTAAAAATGTCTAGAAAGTCATTGACACTAAGGAAACAGAAACTATCATCAGCATCATCATTCATCAGGTTTCCCACCCAAAAGTCCTCTTGGGGGGAAAAAGTGCAGAGCACAGTGCCTGGTACATAAGAATTTAATCTCAATGAATACTGAAAGAAAGAACCACACAAGGTATTATATAATTGTGCACTGAATTGTGTGACACAGGCACGCTTTATAGGAAGAGAGAGATTGGTGTTGACTACAGGAGGCAAAGAAGACTTCAGGAAGGAAGAGGAGTTTGGGCTGCACCTTGAAGGATAGTTAGGGTGTGGATGGAAGGAGGAGTGATGGGAGGGCATGAGTGGTGAGGGAAACTTGGGCACAGGCCAAGGAGAAATGAGTGTGGGATTGTGGAATGTTCTGGGACACTGATGATTGTTACTCAAATTCAATAGTTAAGGTGGAGCCGGATTATAAAGGACATTGAGAATCAACAGAAGAGCCTTGACTGGATATTTTTAAAGAATTCATTAGTTTGTCAGTGTGGGTCCATTCAGGAGATAGAAATAACACAGGGTTCTCCCAGAGAAAACAGAGTCAATAGTGTGTGTGTGTGTGTGTGTGTGTGTGTGTGTGTGTACGTGTGTGTATGTGTGTGTGTGTCTGAGTCTGTATACGATTGACCTGGGGGTTGGAGGTGCCAACCTGCCTTCACAGTTGAAAACCCGAATATAAATTTTGACTCCCCAAAAACTTAACTACAAGTTGACCCTTGAACAACTTGGGTGTGAACAGTGTGGGTCCATTTCTACCTGGATTTTTCTTTTGCTATTGTGGTAAGCTCAAGTGTTGCCAAGTATGTGATTATTGGCAAGGTTTCTATCAACAGTAGGCTATTAGTAGTTAAGTTTTGGGGGAATCAAAAGTTATATGAAGACTTTTGACTGTGTAGGGGATCAATGACCCCTAAGCCCAGTGTTGTTCAAGAGTCAACTTGTATTAATAACCTACCATAAACCAAAAGGCTTACTGATAAGTATGTTCACGACACTTGAGCTTGCCACAGTAGCAACACCATTAGCATATAAGTGGACTTGTGCAGTTCAAACCTGTGATGTTCAAGGGTCATCTGTATATATACACACACATACATAAATAAATATATATACAGAGAGGGAGAGGGAAAGATTAAGGGAATTCCTGGAGGCATAATTCTGTCTTCCTCCGGAAGACCTCAGTCTTTTTCTCTTAAGTACCTCAGCTGATTGAATGAGCTGATTGAATGACCCTTCCAAATTATGAAGGGTAATCTGGTTTATTCATAATCTATTGACTTAAGTGTTAATCACATCTAAAAATACCTTCACAGCATACAGTTACAAGAAATAAATTCTAATGTGTGCTAGCAAAACAAGGTGACTATACTTAGCAACAATATTTTGTATATTTCAAAATAACTAGAAGACTTGAAATGATACCAACACATAGAAATGATAAATATGCAAGGTAATTCATACCCCAAATACTCTACCTTGATTATTATACATTCTATGCAGGTAACAAACACTCACATATACCTCATAAATATGTAAAATATTATGTATCAATAAAAGGAAAAAATAACCAAATACTTACTTCACACAAATTAATGACAAACCCAGGAAGTGAAGAAAATCCTAATAAACTATAATCTCTCCTTTCGGGGGTGGGGGGTGGGAACAAACCCTTCACAGCAACACCTAGAATGGTGTTTGACCAAATATCTGTACACCACAGTGTAGCCAAGTTAACATACGCAGACTAATGTAAACAGAGGAAGGAAGTTTAATATAAAGAAGTATTAACCGATGATAGGAGAATAATCATAAAAAGAGAACTCTAAAAGGTGTCTTTAAAAAGAGAGAGTACCCAAGGCAGGACAAATTTGTAAGTGAGGGTTCAGACCTCATTAGAAAAGTTTAGTTACAGCCCACTAGATGATGAATGTTGCTGGTGAAGGAAAAATATTTGAAGGGTTCAGATCTATTTTTACAAATCAAGCCACAAAGAGTGAATTTGGAGCTGAGAAGTGGCAACCAGGACCATGGACAGTGCAATGGAAGTAGACTTTGGGTGGGCACTATCAGACTGTTTAGATTAAATTGCTGAGTCTGACATCGAAGAAACTCAGCTAGGAGTTTGCCGTGTTGACACAGGCATGATGTTAAGGCTGTGCACCAAAGTGGTATCAGTAGAATTAAAAAGAAGGGTGATATTTCAAAGGAAAAACAGAATTTTTCTTCCAGTTTATTACCTCAATTTTAAAAATCTAAAAAGTAGAGGGATCCAAAAACAAATGAGAGAAAGAGAACCACTCTTCCTGTACTCAGAAGCACTGAGTAAGCCATCATGCGGATAGATAAACATCTGGGTCCATTGAGAACCAGAACACTTCCTCTCAGGAAAACCAGGTCACTCCTTTCAAAATGAGGGGCAGAATGGGCAAGGAAAGGGCCACAAGTAATAATGGACACATTGGATTTAGAAAAATCCAGGGATCTAAGAGCATCCAAGGAAAGAGGACTGAGGAATTTTGTCAAGAATGAGAGAGAACTAAATGTAGGAAATCAATCTAAGACTTAAGGCCAGGTAGAACCTGAGTGCCTAGTACAGTGTCTGGCAAGAAGGTACAGACATATTTAGGAAGCTCTGGTGAAAGGAAAGGAGAGAAGGTTTAGAGCCCAGGGTGCTATTTCAGGTGTGGGAGGGGCAGAGTTTGGTCAAGGCCCAAAGGCAGCCTCTCAGAATGTGATCACAGAGGAAGGAAGACTCAGTCTGCAGGAAAGTCAGCCTTTATCTGTGGGTTATGGGAGATTCTAAGTCCAAGTTTAACCAGAGACAAGTACTAAATCCCCAAATCTCTGAGTATAGTGTAGGATTAAGCATTAAATGGGCTCTGCCACCTGAATTACAGAAATTCAGGCGCAGGAGCCAACCAATCAGAGCATCGCAACTCCTTTCCAAATAGAAAAATGATGCACAGCCTAGTTCACCTCTCTGCCTTCTCTGTCCATCCCACCCCAACCTTAGCCCTGGCCCTGCCTCCAGCCCAGCCGCCCTCCCAATAATGATCATCACTGGTTCTGGAGGATCTTTTCTCCCATAGCTTTTTTGATTCCTAGGGATATTGTAGTGATGCTTCATTTGTGCTTAAACTGAAAGCAGACCCCAGATGTGGGAAAGAAAAAACCTTCCTTGAACAGTCATTATGGGCCAAACACTACGTAAGTAATCTCATCTCATCCTCACAAAGGAAGGTGCTGTTTCCTCCATTATAAATGAAGTCACTGAAATTCAGAGAGAAAGCCCTCACACTCTTCATATAGTCTAATTCTTGGAGAAAAAAATGCAGATGTAGAAATTTACTTTTAATAAATTTACCCTTGGCACCCCTATTAAAGCTTCTCTGTTAACTTCTTCTCTAGGTTCTCACTCTTCACTTTCATCAAATTTCTATATAATAATGGAAGCTAGTATTTATACATCCTGTATGACATGCCAGGCAGTGTTCTGAACACCTTATGCATATATTAACTCAATCCTTATAACAACTCTTCTTTACGAGTAAGGAAACTGAGGCACAGAGAGTCACAAGCCTAAGGTCACAAAGGTGACCTAATAACAGTACAGTGAGAATTCCAACCCAGATCATCTAGCTGTAGAGTCTACCTACAAATGAACAACATGATGAGTTCTGGGGACAGAGGAGGGGGGACAAACATCTAATTGCAGAGCTTAAGATGCAGAATGTCTTGATTTTAAGGTTCACTTGGTAACTTTCTGACAACTTCTAACAAGATCATTACTGTTATTGTTTTATTATTTCATAGTCTTTCTGTCATGATGAAAGTATTGGGTGGTAGTTATTAAGGGATCATTTAGGAGCCAAGGAAAAAGGTGACAATTGAGCCACGTGACTGAGGCCAGAAATGTCTCTTCAAAGCTATAGAGCCTAGGCAACTCAGACTCCAATACCATCAGCATCCTTCCCCCTTGGCTACCTTTCCAGCAGGAAGCCTGTCTGGGCACAGTGTAATATGCTGGTCTGATACCCATGAACTCCTTCAGCCCCAAGAGCTGCCTGTGTTTCCTGGAACCTAGAGTCTCCCTGGTGCCAGGAAATGACACGGTGCAGCCAGCATGAATTTATCACTGCTAAAAAATGATTCCTCATTCCAGACAAACTTAAAAGAAATGCACAAAATTCTGAGTTTGCAGCCAGGCATCCTTATAAAAGCAAAGAAAGAGCCATGACCATATTTAAAGATGAAGTGTCTTATTCAGGTGCTTCTATTTAGAGAGTCACTGCAAGTTTGGGAGCAATGAGATTGTCTCAATTTCCTGATAAAAGCAATATGAGAAATGTCAAATTCTCAAAGCTTACACAAGGAACCCAGTACCACCCATGAACAAGGGTCTGACTTGCATGCTCATTTTACTTTCTGTTCATTGTCCTTTGTCCATTCTTTCTTTCCTACCTGGAGGGAAAAAGGGAACGCATGCATAAATAAACAAATACATATATACATACCTATGGAAATGCACGCATACATAAATACTCTTGAGTGGTATAGTGAGGGGCTTACAATCCCTAGGACGTCGAGACTTCTATTTATTCACAGGACAAAGAACAAAGATCACTCCAGTGAAAGCTCTCTTGTATCTTTCCTTCCCTGATCCTATCAGCTATGACATGGACAGAGGCCATCATTCTCATAGCTATTGAGGAGTGATGGTTTCCAGTCACTGACAGGGAGGCGGTGCTTCCAAACTGCCACCTAGAGATAAAGCTCTCAGCATCATTAATAAACCTCTGAGGGACAGCCATTCCTCAATTTTGCTTCAAACTCCCAGCTTTAAATATAGCTCTCTAGATGTGTATTTCATGCACCTTTTCATGTGGTGTTTTGCTTTAGGACATGCTTTCTTTCCCTCTAAATTTTATCCTGGCTCTGTTTTCCCCACTGAAAATTAGTTCTTTCTCATGGCTAAAGATGCCTTTTCGCTCCTCTTTAGTATATGGATTTTCATGGCTGTGCCTCCAGATAAAATGAAACATATTGGTAGAGGGTCCCAGACTTTTCCCTTTTCTTAAACAGGAAGCCCTACCAACAACAATAAAAACTTCCTAGCAGGTTCAAAACAAAACTTTAACCACAGCCAATAATTTTAAAACATTTGTAGGTGATTTTATTTTAGCAGAGAACCCGTTACAGAGAGTCACAAATGCCTTTATCTGTGTTTTTCTTTATATACATAATTTAATTAAGTGTATTCACTCTGGGTTGAGTTTTTCTCATTATTATTGTTTACTATTTTCCTTTTTCTGAGCTGTGTGACCTTTGGGATGATTTCTGTGAAAGTATTATTTCCATAACAAACAATGTCAACATTATCCAAGGCTGTCTGGCACAAACAACCCAGGTTCCTTTATTCTCAGTCTATTGCTTCTGGACATCACTAAACAATTCCTTGGTAAATCCTTTCAGCATCTCTGTTATTTTAATCAATCCTGCACACAGCTGGTTCTACAATTTGGCTCAGGACTAGAAAAATGGAGCTGGAGCTTTTCTGTGCCTTAGAAAGGATAATTTAAAGTTGTAGAGAAACCAGTCTTAAAAATCTTCACTGTTTCCAGCAACAACATAAGAGAGACTTTTGGCAGAACTGGAGGGAAGGAATCAATCAGAAGCAATTTAAAAATTATTGCCAAACTGAGGGATTGGGCTTGTTTAAGGGAGGAGTTAAAAACCCCAAGGACATGGCAGTAAGATAGAAGGATTCTAATTGTCCTTTATCCTCAGAAAACATTTGAGTGGGGAATATGGCACCATAGTCCAAGCAGCATTAGGATTAGACTAAATGGGGAATCTTTTCCAACACCTGTATATCCATAGGAGTGGAGGTTAGAGGTGCTTGGGAGAGGGAAACAGAAAGAACAGTAAGACGGGTAAGCACAGCTGTAAGAGCACCCACACGTGCTACACAGGATCTGTCTCCATGGGTTTATTGCAGCTGCTCCCAGGGCCATAGCAGGCTTATAAGCAGGGGCAGCAGCTGAGATTGGTAAAAATGGAATCTGGGCCATGATGTAGACCACGTAGGAGATCATAGGCCTCGTTTTTAAATTCAGTCCATTCAGTAATTATTCATTCTTCTCACATAGTTTCAACTTTAGCAGAAGGGAAAGATCCTCATAAGTGACTCATAAGGGAAAGATCCTCATACTATTTTTGGTATGTCTGTGCCATATGAAAGAACTCCTTTGCATTCCCTACAGCAAAGGATGTGGGAGAACACTGGTAGTCCCAGAGTAACCTAACAGCATTGCTACTGGGAGATCAACATATTATGTCATCTTATCAGTATAATGGATCCACAGGAAAGCAGGCCCAGTGAGTATTTGCTTTTAGTAAATAAGTATACCTGCCACTTACCAACAGAATAAAATCTCCAGGCCTTGTTTATGTTATCTCATTTCTTTTTATCGTTTAAGATGCTTCTGGGAAAATTACATATAATTAGCCACTCTGTGCAGGCATACAACATCTATAGCCTTATTAAAGCAAATGAAAATATATTATTCTGGTTTCTAATGTCATATTATTGGCTATATACAATTTTTATAAGATGTGCTCCCATCTGGATATTTATTTAAACAGATCAAAGTTCTAGATCTCTGTCTCTATTCCAGGAAAGTTGATGATGTCTGGAAATACTCTGTCTACTGAAATGTTGAATATCACAGCCTTCAAATGCTGACTTTAAAATCCAGCAGTTCTCCAAATTCCAGTGGCCCAAGAAGCCAGACATTCAACAGAAACAGTGTGGGAAGACAGAGCTAGGAGACCAGGGCATAAGTTCTATCTCTGTGTTTCTGTCCATTAAACCTTGGACCATCTCATCAAATCTGTTTCTTCCTCTAGAAAATGGATATATTAGCTTCTGCTTCATAGAGTTGTTATGAAAAATAAAAAAGAGCCCATGAAAATACCATACTACTATGAGATACTATTTTTAGTTGAATAATATTCTTCTATCCATCTACCTGTACTTGTGACTTGCAAGAAATTTTTTCATATGTGTCTATGTACAGGCATATATACATATATGTGTATTTTGAGGGAAAGGGTTCATAGCTTTCATCAGCATCTTAAAGGAGTTTATTACCTAAAATTGGTTAAGAACTTAAGTTAGGACTCATCTCTTTGTGATACACATATGCAGAGATGTCTACAATATCTATGTAATCTAAGATATATAATCTAAGACACTTAGATTCAAAGGAACATATTTATTATTCAACAAGTATTTATTTAGTGCCCAATTATTGGTATAACACTAATAAGAAACCCAAAAAAGGTGTTTTTTTGCCAACTTGTACCCTTTTCATATATCATTTGATTGCCCAGAAAATTATTTCTCATAGAATAAATATTTTAAAGACATTTCACCAAAGTAGAGATATGTCATTAGTGAAGACATATCAGTGGTTAATAAGCACATTACATGGTACTCCACATAGTGAGTGTTTTGAAAAATGCAAATAAAAACCATAATGAGATAACTCCCACTAGGATGTCTACTATCAAAAAGACAAACATTACCAAGTATTAGTGAGGGTGTGGAGAATCTGAAAAACTCATATACTGCCCATGGGGCTTTAAAATGGCACGGCCAATTTGGCAAATGGTTGGTCAGTTTTTTATAAAGTTAAAGTTAAATTTACCATTTGACCCAACAATTTCACCAAAGTAATCTACCAAAGAGAAATAAAAGCATATGTCCACACTGAGACCCGTACACAAATGTTCATAGAGACATTATTCAAGACAGCTCAAACTGGAAAGTAAATGTCCATAAATTTGCAAATGGATAAACAAAATGTGTCATATTCGTACAATAGAATATAATTCAGCAATGAAAAGTAATGAAGTACTGATAAGTGATACAACATGGATGAAACTTGAAAGCATTATAACAAGTAAAGGAAGCCAGTCACAAAAGACCACATATTGTATGATTCCACTTACATCAAATGTCCGGAAATGGCAAATATGTAATGACAGAAAACGTATTTTTGGTTGCCTGTGATTGGGAGGTGTGAGGCAGTAGCAACTGACTTACAAACAGACTCAAAGGAAATTTGGGGAATATTGGAAAAGTTCTGAAACTAGTTTATGATAATAGTTTCCTAATTCTATAAATTTATTAAAATGTCATTAAATTATACATGTAAAATGAGTGACTTTGCGGTAAGCTAAGTCTCAGTGCAGATGTTCTTAGGACATGAAAAATGGACAGGATGTTTTGACATACTGTTGTAAAATAAATCCAAATAAAATATTTACCTATAAAATGATTTAGTTTTTCATACATAGTATGATATTTTAAACTACTGTCCTTTAAAGAAAAATACTTTTTATTCTCTGCATGTGGCAGTTTCTTAATCTGTAGATGGAGATAAGAGTAACTACCTCATGAGCATTAGTGAAGAAAAATCAATTAATAGATGTAAAGAACTTGGAAGAGGGCCTGATATACAATAAGCATGAAATATATGTTTTATTATAGGTACTAACTAGAGATGTATGTCACTACCAACCACATATATTTTGTGATATTGATTTCTTTTGATTTTTTTTTCTGATGGGAAAAAAATGGACATTAATAATGAATAATACTCTCCAAAGTTGGCATAAAGGCCGAGGCAGGCGGATCATGAGGTCAGGAGTTCGAGACCAGCCTGGCCAATATGGTGATATGCCGTCTCTACTAAAAATACAAAAATTAGCCAGGCATGGTGGCATGCACCTGTAGTCCCAGCTACTCAGGAGGCTGAGACAGAAGAATTATGAACCCAGGAGGTGGAGTTTGCAGTGAGCCAAGATCGCGCCAATGCACTTCAGCCTGGGTGACATAGCGAGACTCGGTCTCAAAACAAAACAAAACAAAACAAAACAAAACAAAACAAAAAAAATTTCACATAAATAGACTACTTAAAACGGATGTGGGAAAATATCATAGCTAGAAAATTTGGAGTTTCATGGAACATAATCCATAAAAAAATCTTATTGGTTTTATTTTCATTTCAGATCCAAAAAACAATCAATCAAAACCATCATTTTAGTCCTCCTTTCCTCTCTCTTTTTCTCCCTTATCTGCTGACAGTGCCCATATTGAACATCTTTCTTATCAATTACAGGATGAAGGAAAATGGCCACCTCTAGAAGTAATAAAATTAGAAGGTGCAGAAGTTAGCATTGATAGCAGCTTGGGAAAACCATTTGTGTTTAACTGTGTGCCTCAGTCTGGAAATAGGACTTTTTGCCTCTATGCAACCTCAAACCAAGAAATGAAAAGGTAATTCACTAATCTTTTATCTTACATAGTTTCACTTTGAATGAGGGAAATGCTTCTTCCACAGCAAACTTACAGATTCTTAAGATCGGAAGCAGGAAACAACAGATTCACAGTATGAGTCAATAAATATCTTTTTTCCCACCCACCCCCCTTAGGTAGGAAAAGTTTGATTCTTCATTTTCCCTCCAGATTTGTTCTAACTATTTCCAAAGAACGTAAGGATCATACGCTAACTCACCTTAGGTCTCCATTTTTTCTTGAAAAATGTAATTATTACTGCAGATCTCATCTAGCATTTCCAAAACTTGCCAAGTGTATGTATTTTAAGCTAATTGGATGAATAAATAGTTGTAGGTATAAAAATAATTTATCAGGATCACAACTTAATAAAATATAGTGAGAAAAGCAAAATACTCATAATAATGTAGCTTTGCAGAGGAATGAAACTAGTTGATATCTTCACATACAACCAAAATGGAGGAGGATTGTGCTTACAATCTAAGAGGGTAGCCTATGAGCTCTGATCATTTAGCCACCATAATCATTACTCAGTCCCTGAGGGAATGGAGATCATAGGTCAATCCAATGAGTCGACTGAAAACTATTGAAAGTAATGCTAGAGTGAGGGGTGAGATATAGTGGCGGACAAAAAGTAAATGACAAAAAGGCCACAGGTCAACAGTGTTTAGTATCAATGACACATTTCCTGAAGAACGTTTGGGCCCAGCTCCAATCTTCAAGGTAGTCCTAGGCTGAAACATATTAGGCAAACAATACACCATCTCTATTTGTGGAACATTGTAATATTCAAAAGCATGGCACTCTAAAAGACAAACAAGAAAACATGATAACAATTTGATTGTACTTCAATTAATGCACAAAATATTTATTGGCCATCTAGTATGTCCAAAGACACTGTCTTAAGATCTCTAAAGATTATTAGTATAGTGAAGAGCCAATCCTTGCCCTCAAAAAAACCCTCTTAACTAAGAAGATAGGGCATTTATTTCAATATATTGAATCCAAAATAAAAATTGAGAAGTGCAATAGGAAAAGACAAAGTGGCATAAGAATTGAGAGTAGGAAGAGAGGTTTTCTAGATGGGGGTATGAAAGAGTTGTTTATAAAGGGTATGGTATAGGATTGGATAAGCATATAACAGAGAAGTAGAACATAGGATGGCAAATGGAATAAATCAAGCTTTGGGGAGAGTAGCAGGCAGTATAATTTGATTGGAAGTTAGGGGATTAAAAGAAAATTTAAAAAGATTAGCAAGATAGGGTGGGCTGAATAGGCTGGTGCCTAGCTAAGGAGGCAAAACTAAGAAAATTCAGTCCTCAGGGAGGGGCGTTAATGGTGTGCTAAAGGAGGCCTCTATGTCCAAGGAACACTTAGGGAAAGACTCAGGACAATGATTATTTACCAGTCTTTCCATATTTTAATAGTCAGTACCTTACAGTTAATATACCAATTGTTATTAACTTTGTTGGTGTTAATAAATTCATATATCTTTGTAAAGACTGACTACATTTATTCTCAGGCATTAAGTAAACTATAGTAAAGGAGAAGGATAAGAATATTTCAAATATGCCAAATGGAAGTGCGATTTTGCCACCTAGTAACACCAATTTTGCAAATGTGTCACCCTTCAACTATAAACTTAGAGCAATGAAATATATCTGAGCCTCAAGACTGTTCTGCCTCAACAATGGGTTCAGTAGAAACAACAAGCTCCTCCAAGTGATATTTATCCAGTTCCCCAAGGACATCTCCTCTCACTTTACTGTCTTTCAGGTGGCTTGAGGCAATGGACAAAGCGGCCCGTCTTGTCCGCCAGGTAAAATTTCCTTGATATTTATCTCTTCTTTCATTTTGCATTTCTTCTCAGAGGGAGAAAGGAACATGTTAGATGTCATGCAGTCTACCCCGGGACGTCTCAGATGTGTTCTAAAAGCTGGGAAAGAGGATCTTAAGACAACAGGGTTTTTTGCTCAGTTCCTATGGGGGAGCTTGCATTCCTGCTGCTCTTTTCATTTTCAGGAGTTTGTATGCCATCCTTCTCAGTAAGACTCAGTGGGGAGTCACAAACTGGGGTGGAATTTCTGTTTCACATGAAGAAGTCCAGTAGTTCCCCATGGATGACAAACCACTGCTGCTGTTTTCTTTTTACTCTCCAAATATAAGATCTCAGGGATATCTCAGGATGGTGCTATTGATTGAGCAGCTTACTAGAAAATGAGTGTGTTATAATTCAGAAATACAGTGCTTTATGTTAGCATCCTTGTTCTGTAGACATATAAGGCCAATTTTCACAATTCCTGCCCATTCATGATTCCAAGCTTTGGAGCAAGATGGTTTTTAATTTAAATTTCACCTACAAACTGATAGATAACTTTATAACATCAACAGGCGAGTCATCACCTCAATGTCTAAGGCATTTGATATTTCTCTTTCTGAACTTGTTCTACAAACTGTTAGGGGAAAAATTGCTTTAATACCAATTGTTTCATTTTTATGATATAGATATGATTTCTAATGAGATTATAGATTTCCTTTAAATATGCTCATTTCCTCACAAAATGGTATACAAGCAAAAGTAATTATCAATTGTCTTCTCTACATATTTTGGCTCTGTGCCTTTGGGAAAATTTGGATTGTTTGAGCTTAAATGTACTGCCAGGTACCCTGTAACTGTCCTTTCAGAACAATAACAAGCATCATCATTGACAAACAACAGGACTTGTGTTTCATTTTACCTGGAACACAACGTTGAGCACACACATTCATCTCTCCAATGTGTCATCCTAATGAGCCTCAATATTTTTAAGAGGCATTTATTCTGCTAATGCACTCAGAGTCTGAAGCAAAGTGGAAAAAATGAACACCCAAACTCCCAGCAGGCTCCCATTTCGCAGCAAAGAACACAGCAAACTCTGCCTTCTGAAATCATTTGCCCTGCCATGTTAAAACTAAAGAGCAAAAATGAAACCAAACAAAGAAGAGGAACTGGCAAGTACAGGCAGGGCATTCTGATAAAGAGATAAAGCACAGTGCTCCCAGCCTCAGGTCACAGTTCCCAGAGTTCCCTCCCAGTTCCCAGGCCTGTGGAGGAAGGGCTGCCCTCCAGAGAAGAGAATTTTAATTTATCTTTGGCCTTCATGTCACTGACTGTGAAAGCCTAAGACCTGAGTTGGCCTGGGGCATTTAACTAGTTCCATTGCACAAAGGAGAGTTACAGGTAAGGAAAAGCACGAACCAAGGATTGCTATTCGTCACAGTGGACATACCAGGAACAGGGCTAGGAAGACAATCCCAATGGTGAGTGAGGTAACATCTTCCCAGACATGTTACCTAACTTATCAGGCTCAGCGCTTATAGACAGGGGCATTAAAAACAGTCTTTGCTAAGGTGCTTGTTTCCATTGCCTTTCTATACATGATTCCCTGTTCTTTGACTGATATACTTTTGATTTCCTCAGAATAAAATAGAAGCCAAAAAGAAGGGATGTCTATGGACACGAGAAGGAAAAAGAGTACTTCCCTATAGACAATGGATAAGTTTAGGTTTTCTGGCTAGTTGCTCGGGTATTCAGATTGTCTTAGCAAGAACCACGTAGGGCAGTGGCTTCCCTAGTGTCAGACAGACTTGGTCTGGGAGTTGAAGACTTTTGGCACAGGATGACCACTCAGCTGACCCTTTTATGTTACACCTGCAGAGCCATGTCTGGGAAGATGTTACTCTGCACAACAGTAGCCTCCCACCTCTGGCTATCAAGAACCCAGGGTGTCTGGGTCTTCTGCACCAGCTGGATATAAACACGGACATGTGGGTCCTGCACTATTGCATCTTGAAAGGATGGTTGGCTTGTATTTCTATGATAACAATCGCTCTACCCAAGCCTCAGGTATGGACTCAAATTTCACTTGAAATAATAGTAATTACAATAATAATAGTAGCAACATATTAGTTTTATTGATCTTCTACCTGGCCCTGTGCCATGTGCTTTACCTAAATTCTTCCATCAGTCCTCCAGAGAAGAGGTATTATTACTGTTCCCATTTTACAAATTAGAATGGGAAAGTGGCTGCAAAGTGTACATAACTTGACAAGATCACATGTAGTAAGTAATGAAGGTGGGATCTGAAGACAGCCAGGCTAACTCCAATGTACCCTTCACCTCACATTCTATTGCCTGGAAAAGTGAAAAGTAAATTCCTTTATTCTTTTTGTCATTGATGCATTCAGAGTCAATACCAATAGTTTTCTTAGGTAGTGACTTCTCTCTTTTCTCATAATGCCTAAGTCATTGTTATTGTGTAATTTATAAAGAGAAGAGGTTTATTTAGCTCACAGTTCTGCAGGCTGTACAAGAAGCATGGTGCCAGCATTTGTTTCTGGTCAGGGCCTCAGACTGCTTCCACTCATGGTGGAAAGGGAAAGCAAGTCAGCATATGCAAAGATCACACGGCAAGAGAGAAAGTGAGAGAACAGGGAGGTGCTAGGCTCTTTTAACAACCAACTCTTGCAGGAACTAACAGAGCAAAACTCACTCATTAACACGAAAACGGCACCAAGCCATTCATGAGGGATCTTCTCACATGACCCAAGCACTTCTCATTAGGCCCTTTCTCCAACACTGGGGATCTTTCCAGTTTGGAGGGGTCAAATATCCAACCATAGCATTCCACCCCTGACATCCCATAATTCATGTTCTTCTCATATTGCAAAATACGATCATCCCTTGCCACCCCCGTGACCCAAATACCTCCCATTAGCCCCGCTCCTCCAACATTGGGATCAAATTTCAACATGAGGTTTAAAGTGGTCAAATATTCAAATTATAGCACATAGTAGTCCTAATTTGGACAAGTGAGTAACAACAACAACAAAAAAACACATATTAACTATTTTCTTTGGGCAAATTGCTTAACTTCCTAAAACTTAGTTTCCTCATTAATAAAATGGGAATAACAGCTATCAATCTTCCACAAAACTGTTGTGAAGATCAAATGAGTCATTGCTATTAAAGTGATTTAAGAAAGCTCTATACAAAGTTTTCTTACATATATTATTAGATATATTTTATGTTTTACTGTATGTATTTTATTATGTATTATACTTATTAAATTATATATAATAGTTTAAAGTTATATGTACAAATGATCATACAAATAATATAATTTAATAAAATAATTGCACCTGATTTCCACAAAATAAATTACTTAACTTTCTTATAATTTTTGACAAAATATATCATTGGTGTTCTATTTGCAGTTAAATTTTTCCCATATGAATAATCTTTAAATAATTAGCAGTAATTAGCAATTGTGAACATCCTGGAATCTCAGTCATTTAATTTCTTCTTTTAGGATTAATGCTTATGTTTAGATAGGTAGACATGCCAAATTGGAAGGAGGCATCCAGTGACCATTTTGACCTTGGAAGTGTACAAGAGGTACAAAGTGAGCAACACACCATGGCCCGTTTTTCATCACTCAAGATGAACAATGAAATGAGTCTTCTCCACCCTCCCTTCCATTTTAAAACATGACCCTAACATCATTCCACTATGAAGAGATAGTCTTTCTAAGCCCTTACAAAACAGGCTGTTTCTATTCAACCCCAAATTCTTAGTTTTAAACAGCTGATAGCAGGATGGGAATTAAGGTAAACAAAACAATTAAACCTCCAAAGTAGTCACTGACTGGGACTTTTAGTATAAAATATCACTATAAACGTCTGAACTCCTTTAATTACCAAATCAATTAAGCTAATTTTCAAGGGACTGTTTTCATAGACAGAAAGAAAATGCTTGGGATCGAATCCACAGATTACTCCAAATTCAGAACTGTTAGCAAAGTGCTTTTAAACCCCTGGGGCCCAGAGACTGCCACTGATTACAAGAGGTTAAAAATAGTAATGACAGCCACTAGGTGGCTTTTCTTATCCCAAAAGGTCAGAGGCCCTACTTGAACAGAAAAGTCCTAATTAAAGAGCTGCAAAAACTGGTCTATTAAATAGCTTAAATATAATAACAGCAAAAGCAGCAGCTGTCATTCAGTGAGAGCAGCTCTTGTACTAGGCACTCTGTTGAGTGCTTTTACTTATTATTTCATTTAATTTCTACAACAACCCTATAAGGTAGGTTATAGGTTATTATCCCACCTACAGGTTTAGAAACTGATGCTTAGCAAGGTTAAATAATTTGCCTAAGTTCTCCTAAATAGTAAATGGTGAAGACAGAATTTGAACCCAGGTAGCCTAACTTATCAATAAAAAGAAAAAAATTGATGAAGAAGAAGAAAATGAAATTCCTGTTTATATTCAGCTCTTATCGTTGCATAACTCTTTCTAGAGATGTCTATCATTCTTTGTTGCCTCTAGAGCACGCCAGGGCCTTATATTTTGTCCAGAAGCTCCTGTTTCTGGCCTTATCTTCCGCTGTTTCTGCTAAAGTACCCTACATTCCACCCAAACAGGGCTGCATTCTATTTCTTTACCACACCCCACCTTGTTAATATTTTTCTGACCCAATGATTTTATTTGTGCTAGTTCCCTCCCCTGAACTGTCTCCTACCTACTGATCACCCAATATAAATTGTCCAGATTCTAGCTGTCCTTCAAACATCTATTCAAGGGCTGTCCATCTCTACTATTAAGCAATCTCAGATGGTCCTAGATAAATAAACCTTCTCTCTTTTCTGAACTTAACTGTCGTTTGACAATTATCATCCTTTACCTTGTGTTTTATTTTCTAATGGTTATCTTTTCTAAGGTATTATATGCTCCAAAAATGACACATTATGTGTACTTAATGAAAGAATATTCAAATTAACTTAACTGACCATGATTGCTATGAATTGTGAGTAATTTGTCATCCCCTCATTTAATAATGGAGATTAGGAAATTGAAAAGCCAGTTCAAAGGCAAAACTAGAACTCAGTTCACCACATGCCTGGCCTTTCTTCCATATGACACTCTTTCCAGATATAAACAGTTATCTAATTTCTTCAAGCACCATCCAGAGCTCTAAGGTTATGGTCATCCCACCCCACCACCACTACTGACACTCACCCACCCAGGTGTGGGAATCAATACACAGCATCTGGGGACCTGAAGACAGATGCACCATCCAAAGGACTAAGAATTGGCATGCTGCCTGCTTCCAGAGCCCATGCATGCCACCTGCAGTCCTGCAAATATATCCTACCCCATTGCAACTGCCAGCACTAGCATATACCATCCAGGGACCAAAGGACTATCCCACTTGGTGTTCCCATTCCCAGCAAAGCTGCACCACAGCCTCTATGAACAACCTCAGCCTAAGTCACTGAAGAGTTCACAGACACCAATGATATTATCAGGGCTGAAGAAATTGTACAAAGACTATGCTATTGGACCCACTCAGAATCAAAGCCAAAGCATCATACCTAATCAACATAATATGTAGACCTACAGAAAAATGTATTTCCTTATGACAGCCAATCCATAGAATTGGAAAGTGTTATATCAGATGCACAAAAAACATGAAAAAGTAGGGAAACATGACATCTCCAAAGAAACATCTTTGGGATCCACAAATAGATCCCAAAGAAAAAGAAGTCTGTGAAATGCATGAAAAATAATGTAAAACAATGATCTTAAGGAAACTCAGTGAAACACATGAGAACACACATAAAACAAAGAAGTCAGAAAAACAATTCAGGATATGAATGAGAATTCAATAAAGACATAGATATAAAAAAGAACCAAACAAATTCTAGAACAAAAGAATTCAATGAATAAAATAAAAAATACAATTGAGTGCTTCAACAACAGATAGATCAAGCAGAAGAAATAGTTTCTGAACTTCAAAACAGGCCATTTGAAATAATCCAGTCAGACAAAGAATAAAAACTAATTAAAAAGATTGCAGAAAACCTACGTTTGACTTGGGGGATACCAAAAAGTGAACAAATTTTTAAAATTTGGAAGTTCCAAAGAAGAAGAAATGAACAAAGGCAGACAAAAACCTATTTAGTTAAACAACAGCTGAAAACTTTTTACGTCTACATCAAGAGATATAAAAATTCAGGTGACAGGAAGCTTAAAGATTCCAAAATAAATTCAATCCAAAAAAGTCTTATGCAAGGCACATAATAGTGAAAGTGTCCAAAGTAAAAGACAAAGAGAGAATTCTAAAGCCAGCAAGAGAAAAAACTTCAAGTCACATATGAGGGAATGTCTATCAGATTAACAGCAGTTTTCTCAGTAGAAAACCTTACAGGCCAGGAGAGAATGGGATGATATATTCAATGTGCCGAAAGAAAGAAAACTGCTAGCCAACAATACTATACTTGGCAAAGCTATTCTTCAGAAATGAAAGAGAAATAACATCTTTCCTAGATAAACAAAAGGTGAGAGAATTCATCACCACTTGACTGACCCTACGTGAAATGCTCAAGCTGTTAAGCATTAGGGAGCCCTAATCTGGAAGTGAAAGAATAGCTATCATAAAAAGATACAGAAGTATAAAAGTCACTAGTAGAACAGATAACAAATGAGAGAAAGATATAAAGTTGTATCAGTTTTTAAGACCACAAAGTCATAAAGGTAAACCATAAAAGAGAGATAAAAGAACAAAAGATATTCTAAAATAAAAAAGAAACACCCAACTATATGCTCCTTTCAAGAAACTCACTTGACCTGTAAAGACATATAAAGTAAAAGTAAAGGGATTAAAAAAATATTCCACACAAATAGAAACCAAAAGCATGCAGGAATAGCTCTATTTATATCAGATAAAATTGACTTTAAGGAAAGAAAATGTGAGAAGAGACAAGGAAGCTCATTATATACCGATAAAGGGGTCAGTTCAGCAAGAGGATATGGCAAATAGAAATATACACCACCCAACACTGAGCACACAGAAGATAAAGTAAATATTATGAGAGCTAAAGAAAGAAAAAGACTCCAATACAATAATAGTTGAAAAATTCAACATCCCACTTTAAGCATTGGATAGAACATCTAGGCAGAAAACAAAGAAACATTAGACTTAATCTGCATTTTAAACCAAATGGACTAAACAGATATTTATAGAACATTTCATCCAACAGCTACAGCACATTCTTCTCATCAGAACAGGAAATATTCTTTAAAATAAAGCATTCTTTAAAATAGAGCATATGTTAGGCCACAAAACAAATCCAACAAATTTTAAGAAATTAAAATCAAATCAAATATCTTCTCAGAACACAACAGAATACCAATACCAAATTAATACTAAAAATTTAATACCAAAAAGAACTTTGGAAGCTGTACAAATTCATGGAAATTACATAACATGCTCTGGAGCAACTATTAACTCTTTATTAAGCAGGAAGTCAAAAAGTGTCTTAAATGAAAATGGGAACATAACATACCAAAATCTAGAGGACACAGCAAAAGCTCTGATAAGAGTAGAGTTTATAGCAACAAACACCTACATCGAAAAGTGGAACAAATACACAATTATGCACCTCAAAAACTAGAAAAGCAAGAATAAACCAAACCCTAAATCAGAAAGAAATAGTGCTCTGGGCTGAGAAAGTTGCCTCGTTTTTCTGCTCCGTCCTTGCCTTAGGTGTTTCCTTTCACTTCTCTGTTGACTTCCACTGTTTCTTCTTGGGTTATCTATTCGAAGTGTAATTATCTACTATTTTGGTTCCTCTTTGCAGAGAAGGTGAGTACCAGATGCCTGTTGTTGACATGTTGAAGACCTTCCCTCTTTTTTTTCAGCTCCTCTCTTGAAAATATATTATTTTGTGGTTAATAAAAATATTTAATCCAAACTCATCCATTCTTTCCCAGTCCTACTTCTTGAATATTTCTATCTCCACAGGTCCTCACTTTCTAGCCCAAATTATCTCAAATACAGATTAAAAAAACATTTCCTTTACTAAAATTCCAACAGAAAATTTATATCTAGGCCATGTTCTAAAATAGAAGCCTGTGATTTTTGTTTTTACCTGATTCTACTCTTGAATAAAAAATACCATTTGCCTGAGGATGTACCTTGTTCCAGAAGGTGAACTTTACCACACCCCCTCCCCACTCCCACTCTGACTGCTACTGGTCCAGATGGAAGCTCTCCCAAGGCTGATCAGCTGCTAACCCTTCTTTAGGGTTAAGGTGTCTGTGCAAGAGCTCTTCTGAAGCCCTTTACCATTCTTTTGATTTGAATAAATTGAGGTTTATATCATTTTTCTAAGTGTTCTGATCAACCTTCCTGTACATTCTTCACTTGAATTACAACCTGAGGCTCATGGAGGCATATTCAAATCTCCTGCGGGAAATTCTCAGAATAAATATGCCCTCTCCATCCTCCACTAAGAATCACTCCCTGATAAGCCACATCTTTTAAAGGGCTGGATCATCCTGCTTAGGCAGGGTGGGAGTGGGAAAGTTAGCATGTACTGAGTGTTTCCTATGTGTCAAGGATTAGGATAAGCACTTAGGTTTGTTATCTAAGTCTAATCTAAACAAAACATCCACTGTTATTATATTATCATAGGTGAGAAACTAAGGTTTACAGAAGTTACCTAACATGCTGATGGTAACCCAGCAATTAAATGATTAGAGACAAAATGTAAACAAATGATGCCTAAATCCTGTGCCCAAACTCTTACCCACAATGTTACGTATAGTACCCCCTGGCAGAAATTTGTCTTCTTAAAGTAGCACTTGGTCAGTAATACTGTTTGTCTGATCTCTGCAGCCTGGATATCAGCACACTCACTGCAATAGACAGGGTCTACTCAGTCCAGCTAGTTGTCATAACAACCACAGGAGTCATGAGGACAGCCGAAGAATTTGTTGAGAATGGCTGAACCCATGCTATGCCATGAACACTACAGGCACTAAAATACTCAGTTTAACTTAATCATATTGATATACAAGGAATACTAATCATTGTTATATTCACAAAGATTATGCAGTTCTAATGCTAATTTTCAATTCTTCTAGCTGATGCTAAGTAACTAACGACCTTTATGCTGGTCTGATCCATAATTCCTTTACTTATATTGCTCAATCTCTGCTTAACTCTTGTACATTCCACTTTGGCCTGGTTCTTTGATCTCCTGCCCTACAGAGGTCATAATCTTGAAGCAGGCCTTAATTACCACTTATATCAATATTTATCAAACTACAGGTTTTGACCCCCACTAGTAAGTCCAGCAATGAACATAGTACATTGTGGCCAGGATTTTAATGACAACAGAATAGAGTTTGAATCGAAAATGTCATGGTACACCATGATGTTTCACAAAGCTTTTGCTCTAATATGAAAATATGTCAAGGTCTGTACATATTAAATTTTTGGATCACAGCCAAAAAATTTGAAAAACTATTCAAAAACAGTCTCTGCATATGTATTTGTTCAAGTGGTCAGTTTTATGTTCAAAATCTTAGAAACAGTATTTAGATGGTTACTTCCTTTTAATTATATTTGTAATGTGTCTGCTACTAGTTGCTTTGTTCTTGAGATCCTGGCTTCTGTGGTCATTGCTACATAGAGACCTGGATCCTTGACTGCAGTATCTCAGATGCTTTACTGTTTTATTTTTATTTTATTTTGTATTTTAGTCTATTTCCTTATATTCTTCATTAGAGATCTGGGAGATCTTATATGACAGTTACTATTTTTGGAGGTATCTGTAGTATTGTTGGCATGACTTATGTCTTGTAACAGTCACCTGAGATGCTGAGAGAATACCGAGGACAGCAAAGTAAGGCAGGGAAAAGATAAAAGTAATATAAGGGGAAAAAGCAAGATGTAAGAAGCAACACAGCAGGTTTCCTGTAAAAACTATATTAGACACTAACCCCACATTTTACTTTCAGCTAGATAAATATACCTCTGATGTGTAATGAGGGAGTTGGAGAAATAGCCTCGTCAGTTCCCTAGAGGATTTCCTTACTGTCAAGGAGAGGGTTCGTACTTTAACAACATGCATTGCTGGCTCGCCTGTGCCTGCTAATGAAAAAGCCACAGCATGAGTATGCCAGAAGCCCCTTAGTCTTCTATTTAAGCATGAAGCCCCTTTTCATTCACTATACACTTGATGAGGTTTTTTTTTTCCTTTTCCCTCTCTCCAGAATAAAACTAGAAGTAACCAATTGTGACTGTTGACTACCGTTCTTGAATAAATCACATCAAGGTCTGTGTGCATGTCTCAGAAAGATATATTTTACATTATTAAAATAAATGGAACATGTAATACTTGCACAGTTCTTGTAAGAAATCTCTATCCAAATTAGCTTGCTAATTACTGCTGCTATCTCATAACAGAGAGAGATCAGCTCAATGAGGTCACCTCAAATGAGGTAATGGAGCTATAATTGGATATCTTTACTGCCAATCATTTCTTCCCTAGAACTGGTTAGAAAAATGGTCAGAAAATCCTTGTAGCAAACACTTCTTGGACAAACCTATCTGTTCTTAAAAAGAATAATGATAGATGAGGGTATTTATATCTCCTCAGACACATGAGAAAAAAATCTCAGAAGTAGGAAGAAGCCACAAACTAGTGCAGCAACATTTAATGTTGTGTATTCTATAGTCTGGAGTAGAAAATTAAGATAGCAAAACCAGCCAGGTATGATAAAGTGTGCCTGTAGTCCCAACTACTCAGGAGGCTGAGGTGGGAGGATCACACGAGCTCAAGAGTCTGACTCCAACCTGAGCAACATAGTGAGACCCTGTATCTAAAAAATAATAAATAAAAAAGCTTTAAATGATATCAAAATAACCTTCTGATACATCTTTAGGTATCCTATAGTCCTAAAATATCTAGCCTACTGCTTATTCTACTTCTAGTATATACTAAAAGGAAAATATACATCTACATAAAGACATGTACACAAAAATTCATGACAATATTATTCATAATAGCCAAAAAAGGAGAAAACTAAAATGTCTATCATTAATGAATAAATAAAATGTGGTATATTCATACAATGGAATATCATTTAGCAATAAAAAGGAATGAAGTTACTGATATATAATACAACGTAAATGAACTTTGAAAATATCATAGTAAGTGAAAGAAGCCAGCCACAAAAGACCGCATATTACATGATTTCATTTATATTAAGTGCTGCAGCTGCACCCCAGAGCTCCCGCCCCCGCCATGGGAAGGGGCAGGTCTCCCGCTTGTCCCTGGCTCCTGCCTTCTTCCTGGAGCAGGAGGCCCAGGTCTGCAGCCACCAATGCGGAGGCTGCAGCTGCACCCAGGAAGACAGGTCCTGCCTGTTCCCGGGTTCCCCAAGAGCACAGGGAGGCTCCATTCACAGCTAAGGTTGGGCGGCTATAGCCCCGCCCAGGAGGGTGGGGCTCCTGCTTATTCCATAGAGGCCGAGGCCTGGGTCTGCAGCTACAGCTTGGGTGGCTGCAGCCGCACAGGGAGCTCCTGTTCCATCTCAGAAGGGGCAGGGCTCCCACTGGCTCCATGAAGTGTGCAGCCCCTGCCGTGCTTCCCTGCTGCAGCCGGCATGAGGGCAGCAGACACTTCCATCAGTGGGTATGGAGTTTCTTTTTGAAGTGATGAGAATGTTCTAAAATTAGATTATGGTCATGGTTTCACAATTCCATAAATAAACTAAAATCATTGAGTTGTACACTCTAAATGGATGAATTTTATGGTATGTAAATTATATCTCAATAAAGCTATTATATAGATATAAATACAAATATAGATACAGATATAGACAGATACAGACATCTAGCTCAAAGAAACAAATCACTCCCTGTTTTGGTAAACACCATATTACTGGAGCCTACTAAAGTTTTTTTAAAAAATCTCATTTCTAAAATGAATGCTTTTTCTGAAGTTGGTTCTAAAATGGACTTTTAAAAAATGAAAATAGTAAAGAAATTTAATATTGCATCTAACACCCACCCCTGCCAATAAAGCAAGCAATTTTTTCTAATTTTTAAAGTCAAAAAGCCATTCATTCTGTTTAAAAAGAAAAATTGCTGTCTTTCTGACAGTGTACTTTGTTACCAAGTGTAAGTAAAAGGAAAACAAAAGCCAGCCATATTCAAAGGGACTACATTTTCCCTGCATAGTCTATTAATGCATTAGCATAGAATAGTTATCAGGTAAAGTGGTAAAAATCCAAATGGCATTTTCATATTTTGTCTGTTAGTAGTGCACTGAAGTGGCTCTTGGGAGGATGTGGGGGATGAGAATAGGAGTGAGCAAGAGGGCTTTAAACATCTAATCATCGCCATTACTCATATTGTCTACAGCCTGTGCATGAGATTCAGGCTGGCCTCAGAGCATGAAGACACTATGAAAAGCAAACAAGGGTTTTGATTTTTTCAGAATCTTCTCCTAGATTGAGATCTGTCTCCTGACCCCCAAACAATGGAAACAAGATTCAGGCCAAGCAATTTATAACCACTAACATGGATTCAAAGGATCACCAGGGAGAACTTATCTTTTAAAGCCAGTCATTTCTTTTCATTGTTAATTCAGTTGGCTCTCTCATATCACTCTATGGGTTCATATTTTAAATGTGCTTTGCATATGCACAAGTAAGGCGAGAAATCATGTATGTTGCAGAAATGGCCAGAAATCTTTATAATTCTTCATGGATTATAAAGGATGCTTTAGTGGTTCTGCCCAAGCAAATACTATTTAATTTTCCTTTTAATATGATATTGCAGGTATCATTCTTTGATACAGAAAATTGTATTTCAAAATGTGTCCTTCAGGTAAAGAAGCTAGTTTGGGCACACAGTAACCCAAAGCTAAACACTGAAAATGAAATAAGAAGATTGCAAAAATGGAAACCAGGAAATCTAAATTCCATTACCAGTCTTGCCATTAATCATTAGCATGTGACCTTAAATTACATATTCTTTTGGAGTCTGAGATTCTTCATCTGTAAAATGAGACAGCTGGACTAGCATTTCCTTCAGACACAAAATTTTCTTGACATCCTTTCAGACATCTTTTCTCCTTCTTATTCTTTCCCTCTTCTCATTTTTTTTTCCTTTTTAGGTGGTCTATATCTGCAAGGATATAGGGTGAGTGAACAGACCCTTAGTTCCAAACAATTAGTAATTGAACTCTAGCCTCCATCCGAAGAGTTCAAGACTTTCTATTTCTGTGCGGAAAATGAAACAGAAAACCGACGGTAAGTCAAGATCTTTGTATTTCTTCTCCTTTACCAGTCCTGAGAAGGCCTTCTTAGCAAACTCTCATCCTTACTTTCCAGCTCCAACTTCACATCTTCAGTTCAATTCTCCCTCTTCCTTTGCAGTCTTCATAGCTAATACTCTCCAGGATTTTTGTCAATGCATCCTTAGATAACTCTTCTAGAAGTGTTTTTTTTTTTTTTTCAAATGGAAAAATAGTCCACAATTCTTCCCAAGGCACTGGCTGACTCAGGCTTCAACATAAAAAATCCACTGTTGCCATAATCTGTAAATATTATAATTTATTAATTCACAGATTTGCTGTTTCACCTCTTTTCACACAACTCTTACTAAAATGTCTATCTGAATTTGGTCAGTTATTTGGTTTTGTTATAAGCCATTGAAGGACACAGGACTTACCTGTCTAATTCATGATATGTTCAGTATCAAGCTTGTCATGTACAAATGGGCACTTAGTTCATAATGATACTGAAATAAAAAAGGGCAGTAAAGTTCACAGAGACAAAGCCATGAGGCCAAGCAAGTGTTCTTTGGTACCTAGAGGATCTCCATCCCTCAAGTCTCCCTGACCTAACTCTAATCCCCGAGACATCCAGCGTCCTCCATCTCCCATCCGTACCTGCAACTGCTTCATGACCATCCCTCACCCCATCCAGTAAAAAGGATCTAATAAAGAAATTCACAGTAATTTGTTAAAACACATGACATGGTAAAACCTCCAGAGATATTTGTGAGAACCAGATACTAACCCAAAGAAATAACACTCTAAAAGTGGAATTTCAGGAATTTCCATCAGGTGATCATTTGGGGGATGGAGAAAGGATCTCTCTGGGCCTTCTCCCATTGCATAAACCTTGCCTGTTCCACTCATTTCTCAAGATGAGCTACAGCAGGAGGATCTTGAGAATAAAACTGCTAGATATGTGGCCAGGATCTTCTTTCCAGAGCTTGTGCTATACAATCTGGGTGACAGATTATGATAGTTCCCTTGAGGGTGAGGCTCCATCCAGCCAGCAGATCAGAGAAAAGGTCAATGAAACACAGTTAACTTCCATCTGATAAAATCCACTGGGTTCTCTAAGAGATGAGGTTGAATAGTTGGATCTCACTGCCAAATCCATAGGGGATTTTATAAGAAACAAGAGTCATTACAGAAATATTTCTAAGCATAAAAGCTGAGTGTCACATAGTACATGAAACTCTGGTTCCACAAAGTAGCCCACTTACACCTAAAGTAAGTTTAAGAAATGACACAAATCATATATCCTGTCAGAGAAACAAAGCACATTAACCAGGAAATCTGAGACAGACTTCCGGAAAGAATACTGGTAAACTGTTTTGGTGTTTGTGTGTGTTTTTAATAACATCTATTAACATCCCTTAGAGTAAATGTTATATAGGCATGTTTCATAAAACATCATCCCATGTTTGCTGAAGTGTCAAGAGTTTAACAAAGAACTATTTTGCCTTTATGGCAATATTTGTTTACTATGTGTTTGATCAATTAAGCTTTAAAGTTAAATAGAAATAATAAAATACTAATAACAATTTTTAAAACCCTATAGCTCAATCACTATTTATAAACATTATACCCTCTTCTGATCCTTTTATATTAGCATATTTCATTACTACCACAACATATTCTACATTTGGTATTTTATATTTTTATTAAATCTAACAATCTAAGGAGCATGGTTTATCCTATTAATTTCAAACTAAATAACCAAGAGAAACAATTAGAAAATAAATAAAAAGATTTTGTAATATTTCTTCTCCCCAGAGTCCAACAAATTGTGTAATGACCAGTCCTGTGTCTATTTTTTTCTGCAGCTGGATTACAGCTCTGAAAGCATTTATCAAAAAAAATGGCTTCCTTTGCATTAGGCTATTCAAGGCTTTATGAATTGACCTCTCGGACAAGCCAAAATGCGAAAGAGACCCTAACTCTTAAAAGGATCTACAAACTCATCACCAACTTGTAGAAACAAACAAAATGTCTATCATTATATAACTTTTCAAATGAATGTTCTTCCAATGTATTAAAACTGTGTGATGAGATTATAATTTTGTTTTTGAACCAAAGCACCGCAGCAATATCGAATGTGACATTGAGGTATACAACTTATATCAACATCACTAATACCCTCATATTTTCCCCCTCAGGCTGCATATGTTAGCAGTAAAATATTGTATGCACTGTACTCTCTCTTTTGAGAGCATAAGTACAGTAAAGCTTATCTAATTTTATCTTTTACATTCCTTGCTAAATGTTCCATTTTGTGCTTAGGCTCTTTGCTTCCTAGAATGTCTTTAGGCCATGATGCAGGAAGCTGATATTTGGGAAAATTAAGATCATGAAAATAAAGTGGCTTAAAAGATAAATAATTCATCCAAACAAGGTCGTCTTTCCGCCACCCCCCCCCCCTTTTTTTGAGATGGAGTCTCACTGTGTTGCCCAGGTTGGAGTGCAGTGGCACTATCTTGGCTCACTGCAAGCTCCACTTCCCAGGTTCATGCGATTCTCCTGCCTCAGCCTCCCGAGTAGCTGGGACTACAGGCACCCACCACCACACCCGGCTAATTTTTTATATTTTTAGTAGAGATGGGGTTTCACCATGTTAGCCAGGATGGTCTTGATCTCCTGACCTCGTGATCCATCCGCCTCTGCCACCCAAAGTGCTGGGATTGCAGGCGTGAGCCACCATGCCTTGCCGTTCCTCTCTCAAGCCATTTACAATCAACTGGCCCAAGTTCCTCCCAAGACTTCCCAGATGAAAGAAAATAATAGCTATTGCTAAAAATAATAAAATAAAGAATTAGGCTGAATTTAGAGAAGAAAACTCAAAGACATGGGTCTTATGTACTACCTGAATTTCTATCACGGTGCAAACTAAATATAAAAGAAGAATACTCTTCTCTTGATCCTGAAAGTAAAATACAGAGAAATTCAAAAGAAACCCTAACCATTGATTTCATTTCTCAGTGGAACAATCTCTATGTGTATCCAAAATATTGTGATGTACTCAGAAGTCCCATGGCCTAACTAATGAAACATGAATCACAGATTTCAAGAAGTTCAGCTGTAAGATTCATATGCTCTGGAGAAACTCACAAAACTGAAAACTTGTCTTTTTATAAAATAATAGTACTGTGTTTCAAACCTCACAAGGACCTCATAGCTCAACCCCTCTTCTTTGCAGAAGAGGCTCAAGGAGGTAATTTGTCTATTGAAGATGAAAAAAGTTGTTAATGGCAGAATCAAAACTGAACAGGTCTTCATCACTCCCTCCAGTGTTTTCATACTCATTCTACTCCTTATTGCACCCAAAACAATGTGGTATGGTTTCACAGAGATCATGAAACCACTCACTACCCAAAGTTGTCAAATACTTTCAGTCTTTAGGTAAGAACTGACACGTCTCGATTCTAGCAATAAATCTTGCTTGTATTTCTACAATCTCATGGAAGGACTTCATGTTAATTCATATTATATACTTTTCCAGAGTATTAAATGTGCAAAAGATATGGAAATGCATGTTATTTTCCCTATACTTTGCACCTCTGCCCCACCAAAAAGACTGAAGTCCTCAAAAAGATGGCTACAGCTTGCAGCTGTTGTTCACCACAACTCAGATAAAGGAGGCTTGTGCGTGTGTAAGGATGTGCTACTCAGTTCATGTATTAAGAGAAGCTGCTGAAATGAACTGATGCCAAAAAAGGCATGCTGTCATGCTCTGACCAACTTAATATCATAATCAGAAAATATTCAATTAACAACAACAGATAGCCCTCTGTTCTGAAAATGGTCCCTTTGTTCTCCCAGTATTTGCCATGATAATAATGAGGTCTTTCAGCAGAGGCAGCATCAGTAACGTTCATGTCAGAAACCTGGGGCTCACACATCCGCTCCCCAGCGGTGCGCTCTGCCTTTCTGGACCCTGGCCATGGAATGCACAAACTGTGCCGTTACCAGGCAGCCAGTTAGTGGCCACAGCTAACTGTAACATTAGCAGAGCTTTCCCTTGAAGGAGAAAAACAAAGCAACTACCTCAGAAAATGTGAATACAGTTTTCTCTGAATCAAGCATCCATATAAATCACTTGAAATTGAAAGGTATCGGTCAGGTGCAATGGCTCACACCCATAATCCCAGCACACTTTGGGAGGCCAAGGTGGGCGGATCATGAGGTCAGGAGTTTGAGACCAGCCTGTTCAATATAGTGAAATCCCATCTCTACTAAAAAATACAAAAATTAGCCAGGCGTTCTTGCGCATGCCTGGAGTCCCAGCTATTTGGGAGGCTGAGGCAGGAGAATCACTTGAACCCAGGAGGCGGAGGTTGCAGTGAGCCAAGATCGCACCACTGCACTCCGGCCTAGGTGACAGAGTGAGACTCTGTCTCAAAAAAAAAAAAAAAAAAAAAAGTGAAAGGTATCAACATTCAAAGTTCAGAGTCACTGACCCAAAACTACTGTTTCTGTTCCTGGACAGTTCTAGAGATTGAAATAGTCTCGGACATTATGCAAAAATTTTGTTATTGAGCATTTTTATGTTAAGAGGATTCTTAGCTTTTATATGATTCTCAAAGAGACATGTGACCCCAAAATAATTTTAGTTCTAATTTAAGAACATTTCCCAAAATCCACAAGTTTCCCATCTCCTACAGATGCAATAGGAAGGTAAAAGTGCAAGACCAGTCTTCTACATAGGCAGCATCTGACTGCACTTTTAGGGCTAGCCTTTTGTTAAATCAAGGAGATCTCCTGATGAGCCCAATAATCAGTTAGCCAATAACTGTTCACTGAACAACTACTGTGGGCCACAGTTACTGGCTGCTACCAGCCTACTACCATTAAGGAGAGTCAGGAAAAAAAATTCCAATCATACACTCAGTAGCCAGAGCATCCAAGTTCAGATTTTAGCTCTGCCACTTCCCGGCTGTGACCTTGGGCAGGGTACTTTAACTTTCCTTGCTTTAGTTTCCTCATGCATCGGTGAGGTTAATTATAGTACCTGCCTCATATGCTTATACGAATTAAATGAATGGTGTATGAAAAGCTCTGAGAGAGTGTGTGGCCCCACTGAACTCTATTTTCAATATCATTAGCAAGGATTTGTCAGTCCATATACAGACCTCACATCACTGTGTACAGCTTTGGAAGGAATACATCTCGTCTCTTTCATGTCACTGTCTGCTGGTAGAAAGGATGGAAGAGAGATCCATCAGGGTTTCTGTCTTAAGAGGACCTAATAGAGAGGGCCAAGTGTAGTTTCAGACTTTCTGGGTCAAATGCCACATAATCTTGCCATTTAGAATCCACAGCCTATGGTTGTCAAAATTCTGCTAGCCCAACTCCTTGGTAAACTTGGAAGATTTTCCATCAGTATTCCTAGAAGCCCTATCCTAAATCCAAAATGTTCTCAGAAGGTCCCTGCAGGGCCTAAGTAGTACTGGTGTAACTCTAATTCTTGTTCTGCCTCATCTATTGACTTAACGTGCAGATTAGAAGGAAAATCCCTCAACTGTTTGGTGTTTGGGTTTCTCAGTAGAATTATGTTCTATGAGGATAAATGAATAAATATCAAACAACACAATTATTTCTTTCCTTAAGAAGGGAACGCTAAAAGCAATCCATCTATTTTGTTTTTTGTCTCACCTACTCAGCCTGAGAAAATTTTCTCAATGACTCCTTGTCTCCAAATCACTTCCCAACTTATTCCTGGGTTTGGAACAATTTTTATCCCCTCAATTTTTGAGGGAAAAAACCCCACTTTCTCCAGAGAGATTTAGCTAACATAGTAGAATTGTGTTTTCCATCCAAGTTTGCCCAAGAACCATGTAAAACTCATTTCAGCAACATGTCAAGCAATTTTTTAAAGTAATCATTCATTATAACAATAAACTTACATCTTATATATGCCATTTTATGTACATATATTTGGTTGAATGAATATCCTTTCATGTGTCTCCAAATCTGTCTTTTAAAAATGGAATCCATTCTTAAGAGAATTTTTATGTCAGTGACTCTTCACAGGATATTAGCCTAAAGCAGAGGAATACTCAGGATGCACAAAGTTTTGAACATACTAGTTTAAAATATGCTAGTGGGTTATTTGATCAACCTTTTGAAGCAGACTAGGAAGGATCTTGGCATTTGTAATTATTGGTTTAATATCTTCAGGGAGGTAGGAATGTGTCGATCCTGCTTACTCTATGCCCTGAAGCTAGCACAATGTACAACATACACTAAGCTTTAAATATTTATCTAGTAAAAACATAAACAAATGAATTCCAGTTATAGTTACTGATATGATCACAGATGGAATTTGAATCTGCTAACTTTGAGTTTATATTCTAATTGTAACAGGACTTTAAGGATGAAAAATTACAGAAAGCTTTTAGGGAGAACTTGAGCCTAAATATATTATAATTATGAAGAAATGGTGGCATACACAGCAGGGGCAGCCTGAGCAGTGACTGGAGCATGAGAAGAAACTCACAATATCTTCTCTCTCTGCTCTATTACTCTTTGTGCATCTGCTTCATTCTTTCTCCCTGCAAGTTGACTTTAGTTGATACAGAGCATGAGTACATGAATCATGAGTCTTGAGCCATTTATGCTGGAAGTTGCAAATTTTTGTGTGAAAAATCAGACCTTAACGATGACCTTGAGCAGGATATAAATAACTCCCACAAGCTTAGCGTTCTAATAATGGAACACTAGGCATAAATGGGTTAAATCCTAGTGACAGTCACAACCTCTTATCAGCACCCACACATATTCATAAAACCTATGGCCAGAGAATGGGGTAGCAAAACCTTTGTAGCAATCATATCTAGGATCAACATGTTAGGGTCAGTTACTCTGCATAAGACCAGTAACAACAGCAAGGGCCTACCCAGTAACGCTTATAGGAGAACCAATCTCAAAAAGGGAGACTCTCCTTTACCAAACATGAGAAATAGAAGCCTTCATAGTTCCAAGGGACTTTCTCCCTCATGGAAGTAGATGCTGTCAATCCACTCTTTCCTAATTCTTACAAGTTGAGTTTCTTGGCTTGGATGGTGAGACCCAGATTGATACCTATGCAGCTGCTCTTCAAGTTGAATACTATCATTTGCCATCAAAGAATCTTGAGTGATTAGGGTGACCATATAATTTTGCTTCTAAATCAGAACACTTTGAGAGAAGACACTATTAATAATTATACTGGGACAACAGATGTAAGCAGAGAATGTCCCAGGCAAAGTGGGACATATGTCACTTTATGAATAATTCACAAACTGGTATTCTCTGTTTCCACATCCACATGGAGTAACATGATTTTAGTTGATAGCTTCGAGTTTGTATGTTCTCGGGTCCAGGTCCTTGTGAGACAATAATTTCTCTCTTTCAATCCCAATTCCAACAAACCAAAAGACCAATTACTTGTGACCAAGGAGATGAGGTCATATTATACACACATATATAAATAAACCCTGGGAACTCTGCAGCCCTAACACCGTGTGTATTTGTTTTTTGGAGTATAGCGTGGGGAAGGAAGGGTTACAGTTCCAAAAAAAAAAATAAATAAATAAGTTTTTAGGAAGCCAGCTGTTGGGATTTTATCCTGCTTACATAGGTTTAAATACATAGGTGTAGAGAAGACCTAGAAGCCAAAGAATTCCCATCAAAGTAACTATACAATTTAATGAGCTAGCTTGCCACAATTCTATGGATGCTTGAAGAAGACACAAGGTTCCTATGTCAGAGACAAAGAATTTTATTACTCATAGCAAAAGCAGTCACTACCCACCACTACTAAGCTGTAGCCCATAACACTGTTTCCAGCTCTGACACCAACTGGCTGTATTATCTGCAACAAGTCATTTGGCTTTTCAGATATTTAGTCCTCACCTTTATTTTTGCACTAGGTAGACACGGCCCAAAATAGATTTCAAAACTATTTTAAGCAACAGTTCTTGAGAAACTATTATTTTTACTGGGCTCATAAGAGTAGAATCAATTACCCCACATATTTAAAAGGTTACTATGTTACACAATAAACTACAATTTAGTTTGAGATTATAAAGAAGGTATCTGTAATTAAAAGTTATCTGTAATTAAAGTTATAAATAGAAAACAAGATAAAGTGGGCATTGTTCAAATAACACTGGATTCAAAACTTGACCTTTTGTAGAGTCCCGTTACTGTGTTGATTCAGCAGAAAAGCAATGAAGTGTTACATTGTGAATGTGAGTTTGAAACAGGAACCCTCTTGGGTAAATGCCAGTGAACCACACCAAATCCTTTATTTTTTTAAAATCGCCCTCTCAGATTTTTCCAACTGATTATACATATTTGTCCTTTATGCTTCATCAGTTTCTCAACTTGTAGACATAAATAAAATGTTTTGCTCAGTGAATTCATTCAATTGTAGTCACTGTAATTATGACTTTATCTTTAAATGATCCATGTTATATTTTTCTATGCTGTAAAATAATTTAGGATGTATTTGTTGGGAATTTCACTCTAGCTTTTGCAGCAAGGTGAGGTAATGTCACCCAATAGTTTTGCTCTACTTTCACATGGACTTTTTGTTCTAGCTTCTCTCATCTTTCTCTGGAATGTTAATTGCATGTGAAATCAGATAGTAATTGGACCAATATACTTACATACAGCCCTAGTTTTTTCAACATTTATTGTGATTTATAGGTTTCCACAAAAATATACTTATATTGTTTTCAGCTATTTTTTTTCCTTATTCTCATGAGAACATCTTGATTTTTTTAGAGGAATTTGTGTGCACGTATGTATTTATCATCTTTTAAAAAAAACTTTCTTAGGCATTTTCAAGTCCTGAGATAATACATTTTAAAATTCCATGACAGAGTTTTAATTGGACAAAAAACCCTTGAAATGCACTGGCAATAATGGAGGTCCCCCTTCTACTACAGTCCTGAAAAGATAAGTATCATTAACAATTGGAAGTTTCTCTTTTCCCTGACAACATCCATTTTTCTGTTCACAACTGTAGCATTTTACTTCAGGAACTGCTTATACTTGGTTGCAAATAAAGGAGTGGCTTAGAATTATGTGTGTGTCAGTTCAGCTAAAGAAGATATAGGTGCTAATCAATGGATTGCTAGAGTGGTAACATTTCTGGTTTTTCCCTGAGAATAAACAAACATGTCATGACTTATTTAAGATTATTGTTCCATCATATCCTGCTTCAAACTCAGAATGCTTCGGAAACCAAATAAAATAAATGTAGCCACCTGATAAAACTATGCAGGATTTATTTTTTCTCATGCACATTGGTAAAAACAGCAATAGGTCATAATACAATTGATAAATACTAAATTTACCAGAGAAAAAGTTAGGACCACAGCATTAATATTTTTAGCCAAATGATAAAATTGATTTTAAGAATGTATTAAAATCTTTAGCCTCATGGATGATTTACTGATTCATTCATTCTCAACATGTGCCAGGTGCTGGAGAACAGCTGCCTTGTAAACAAGGTCTGTCCTTATAGAGGAGCTGACCAAGAGGATCTCTCCCTAGTCAGAGGAGTCTAGGAATAAACTCATGATACAGTAAAAAAATTAATTAAATAAGTACAAAAAGTGATGAACACAAGGAGGAAAATAACCACTTTATTCTGAGGAGAAAAATAATGTTAGTCATATAGGATAGGCAGGGAAGTTCTATTAAATTAAGACCCAGAAGAGGAGAAGCCTCTTTGGGAACAGCTGGATTTCTGTGGCAGCAATAAAAACAAATGAACAATTCAGAAAAGAGGTTGAAGATGCAAAGGAGTTTACAGGAGCTCCAGGGCACCAAGGGCAAAGGAGATTGAGCCAGATCAACAAACATACTGAGCCCAGTATGAAGATGAGCTAATTATGGATACCTGAGAAGGTTGGGCTTCATATCATCACTGGGGTGAACTGGGAAGAGAGGCATGGTTGAATTAATTGTTATAGACTCATAAAGTAATCATTGTTCTGGCATTGAAGTCAAGCATTTTGCTAAGAGATAGGACAATTCCTAAATAAACTGACTAGGTATTAAAGCATCACTACTCAAATTTGCATCATTATTTTCAACTAATTATAACAGCTTAAAAATGAATATGGCAAATTTGCATGACATATTCTTGACACTACCAAAGCCCTACAACTATTTGTTGTGTCAACATTCAGTGAGAGAGAGTAGAACAGGGTGCTAAAGGATCTGATTCTCTACCACTCCTTGGACTACAGTCATGGAACAGTTGAACTACAGTCATGGAATAGTTTTAAGATAGTAAAGTGCTTTATGCTAAATCTTTTTTTTTTTTACTCTGCAATTATTTGGCTCAGTTGATTATTGCCAGTGGTAATGGGTCTTTTAATAGGTTAAACATCTTCATGATTGTTAGTTTTGCCCTTTTCCAAAGGCTTAAACTTGTACCCCTAAAACTCTGCTGGTTTTTCTCAAAAAAAAAATCATGTTTTGGTGCCTTTTAAAAAAATCATCTGCCAATACAAGAATAACACAAAGCATAAGTCCCAAAATTATAAGTCAATGGTGTCATATGCAAAGAACATTCAATACTCTTGTCATATAGTAAAACTCTTGGTTTGTACTAAAACAAGAATTTAAAAAGTAAATGACTCCTGAGATCATAAAAAAGTGATAAAAAGAAAATAAATACCCAGCCCTGACTGTAAAGAGCTTTATCTTAAAACTGCCTTAAAATTACCTTAAAAATAAATCCTGTGAAATGATTACCAACATGACCCAGAAAGAAACTGCCTGTCCATTTACAGGTGAATGTGATAGAACAAGAAGGAAAAGGTTCAAAGTAACCAACTCATTTGAAGTTTTCATCCTCTTTTTCAAAAGGAGTGAAATTGGTGATTATTTTTACTCTCATTTTCAAGATAAACAAACTGGTCTGTTGCAACCTGAAAGATCTTGTTGTCTGGAGGTTACCTAAGAAAAATGGAATTTGAGACAACAGCTCCTGTATAGCATAGAAAGTGAGCTGACTGGCAAAGATTTACTTTCAGAAGCCAGTACCATGGCAAGGAACTTCAGTGAAAGTAGAAAATAGAGAATAGAAACAATGGGGACCCATAGAAAAGTATTAGGTTCCCTTCTAGTCTCTCCTGAAAAATTGAAGTCAGTTCATTGACACAGAACCGTAGGTTGAACCTTGGCAGACTGAGAGCTCAGTCATAAGATGGTGAGTTCCTGATGTGTTTAAAGAAAATGTATCCCCAAAGGCATAATAACCAGGTCACCTAATTCTGGTCTCATAACCAGGTCTCATAATTCCAGAGGTAAGAATTATGCCACAGGAATGGCTGTATCCCTTCACATAAGATATTCAAATATTAATTTTCCTAAAACCTAAAGACCACTGACCATTGTATCGAGAGCTTCCCATAATGACACTAATAAGTAAGAGCAAGAAAACACGAGAAATTTTGGGTAGAATAGATTCTCCTGGCCCCAAATGGCAAGTATGTTGTGCCTGCATACGACATTAGTGACAGGAGATATGACAGGTTAAGACAATACAGCCGAGGAATGTGACAAATAGTACATGTCTATTTCTAGTGAACACTGACCTTCTGTTCCACAAAAGAGGAGCAAAAGATCATGAAGGACTATTTTACCTAGGAAGAAAGAAAATTCAGGCCCACCATACCAAGGGTCTGAAAGTTTCACCATTTCACCACCATAGAGCAATGGAAAAGAAGTACTTTCCACTTTATAGTTACTGCATCAAAATCCAGCCCAACTAAGGATGTCTTTGAAAGAAATAAGGTTCCCAGGGTAGCTGGTACAAAGAAGTGGAGGCTAGATCATATAGGTCATAAATTTATCCTTAACTAGAACATTTCAGCCATGTATGGTTAAAAGGCCAAAAACACTTAGGGCAGAATAAAGGCACAGTGGTGCCACCAGCCTCCTGCCACATTTCTACATCACCAAAAGAAGGGATGTTAATAGATTCATTCCCCTTTCACAGATCTCTGCATTACAGGGAAATAAGACAATGAATACCTAAACATATGTGGCCATCACATTCTGAACCAAAGTCAGCAGTTCTCTCTCTAGTTATAGCAGCACTGTCCAATAAGGTAGGCTCTAGACACATGTGGCTATCAGGCACTTGAAATGTGGTTTGTGAAGTGTTGGTAGTGTAAAATATACACTAGATTTAGAAGACTTAGTCCCACAAAAATGTAAAATATTTCAGTAATAACTTTTATTGGGTACATGTTAAAATGATAAGATACTGAATATATTGGATTAAATATATTAAAAATAAGCTTACTTGTTCCTTTTTAGTTTTTTAATGTAGCTACTAGAAAATTTTAATTTTCGTACATGGATCACAGCATGTTTCTACTGGAAAGTGCTGAGCTATAACTTGCATACAGTACTGAGAAAAAACAAACAGCAATGGAAACATGAGTTTTCTTCTCCAAGAAGTCTTGGCTGGAGATTGAGTGCCTCACAGTCTTTGTATCACTAAGAAGCTGAGAGATGGAAGGCTACACTTTCCAGGTGACTGAGATATTAGGAAATCTGTGACTCTATAAAAACTAAACCAAAAATCAATGAAACATACTATTCATGTTAGAAACTACCAGAACTCTTAAGAGAACAAGAAAAAGTGGCCTCATAAAATTGTTGAAACACATCTCATTCAGATAGGCATACTAAAAGCAATCAGTGTGAGGGCTGTGTGAACTCAGATGCTTAAACTAAAGTGATTCGTACTCCAGGATGCATTTGCAAATTTGCTGTAGGCATACATCAAAATAAAGCAATCCCAAAAGTGAAGTTCACTCTGTGACATACTGAGGATTAGCCTGTTCTATATCTATTCCAAAGTCCTTTTTGTATTGCTTCCCATACCACAGAGCTACACTAAAGAAGTTATTTCCCAGAATTCCTAGCAGCTTGGGTTCCAGATATGATTTTTCTGTCAATCAGATACACAAATACAAGACTTGGTTTGGAACTGAGTAAGTGGGAAGGTAGCAGAGCAGGAGTATTCCTGTTGAAAGATTGATTCTCAAGCTGATAGGTAGAAAGCAGCTTGAATTGGACAGGCAGCTCTCTGATGGTGGCCAGAACTGCAGCTCCTTGGCAGCCCAGTTTTGCCATGAAGATTTGGGAGTTGTTGCTAGAAGCTCAGACTGATATCTGTCTCTTCAGCTACAAAAGGTACATAAAAAATGGTGTCTATCTTATAAACTTGTGGTAAGGATTAAACTGGTACATTAAAAGGCTTGGCACAATGACTGGAATCTAGGAATCAGGTGTTAGCTGTTATTAGAATTTTAATATTGGCTACTAGGATTTGAATCCAGAGTTAATCATTGAGGAGGTTTGTTTGGTCAGTGATAAAACTAAGTTTTCTTCTTATGAAGACCCAAGAAAAGTCCCTTAATCTGGAGTCACATGTTGAAAAGAAATTGAAGAGTTATCTTCTTCCATAAATTCGAGAGATGGTAACTATAGCAGGTAAGAGTAAGAGAATATGGAATAGAGGAACTTCCCACACAGCAATATTCCAGGAAGCTAATTGCCTGAGATTGTTCAGGAAAATGTGTGCAGATGGAGGAGCCATAAATAGAATCATCTCATTAAAAATAACACCAAGCAAAACAAACAAAAACTTCTTTTGCTGCTGAGTTCTCATATTAATGAAAAAGTTAATTGATGGTTGAAAAAAGTTATTTTCTAGGACTTTGTTGTTGCTAACTTCATTTCCTGAGGACACCACTAATTAATTCTTTAAATGTCCATTGAGCATCCTATGTGCCTGGCACTAGGCTGGGACTGGGGATAAAATATCAGAAAGCAAATCAGTAGCTTATAGTTTTAATGCTGAGAATTTAGAGGAGCTGAAATGAGAAAGAAAGACTGATTAGAAAAAATGTCAACCTTGGGGAGACACTTGTCAGGGTGGGTAGGAGGCAATGAGATATTCCCCATAAATTTTTTTATTCTTTAATTTTGCACTTTAGCCTTCTTAGATACTTCCCTTCCCCTAGAGAGGATCAATAGTCAATCTAGAAACAATGCTATGAGCTGGTTGGCAAAAACCAGGGAGGCAACTATAATTTTTTAAAACAATCTCAAATTTACATAAAAGTTACAAGTCCTATAAAAAAGAAATTTATTTCTGGATAATTTAAGTTGCCGGGATGACGCTCATCACACTTAAATACATTAATATGTATTTCCAAAAACAAGAATGCTTTACTATACAATCACAATGCAACCATCAAAATCAAGAAGTTAACACTGATATATTACCATCAACTAATCCTCAGATCCCATTCACCAATTGTCCCATTAATGTCCTTTATAGGATGCACCTCAGAACCACACATTGCATTTAGTTGTTGTCTCTTTAGTCTTCTGTCTGGAACAGTTCCTTGACTTTCATTAACTGGGAACTTTTGAGGCTTACAGGTCAGTTATTGCATCACAATATCCTCAATTTGGGTTATTCTGATTTTACTGATAATTAGATTAAAAATATCACAGATGTGGGGCTGTATTCTTCTCTGTGCTTCCCATCAGGTGGCATATGTTCTCTATTATTTATTACTTATGTACACTTTGATCACCTGATTAAGTTAAAGTCTGCCAGGCTTCTCCATGCAAAGTTATTCTTTATTCCCCTGTAACTAATAGTTTGTGCAGAGGTACTTTTGAACTATGTAAATAGTTCAAATTTTCAATTTGCTATGTATATCAGTATGGATTAGTGGTTTCTGGTTTTATTCAATAGATTATAATCTATCTTTATCATTACTTATTTTGATGCTCAAATTATCTCAGATTTGGTCAATGGGAGTTCCTTTAAACTGTCTTCTGTGCCTATTTGATATGGTCTTATCATTCCTCGAGAGCTTCTTTACTTTCTGGAATAAAAAGATGTTCCAGATTCACTCTACTTTCCCTCCCCAGTCCTGGAATCAGCCATTTTTCAAAAAAACCCTGATTCCTTTTGGTTGAAACTAAGAGTACTGTCAGCTGTCAGACACTTCAGGGAGTGCCCCAGCTACACATAGCCACCTTGCTCAAGGTTACACTCTACCCTGTGCAGCCCGATTAAGGCAGGTGTAAAAGTATGGCCCTGAATATGCCTCCTGCAAAACCCAAAATACAGTGGAAGCTAAGACCTAGTCACTAGTTGTATTCGTTGGTTTTGGGGTGTTGCTCCTCCCAGGCCTTCTCAGCAGGCAGAACTACTTAACGTGTGCCTGTGTGTGTACATGAACATTTATATTTCTGTATATATCAGTGGTAGGCTTTAAATGTCCCCCTAAAGGTTATTCACATTCTAATCTCTGGAACCTGTGAATACCACCTTACGTTTTGTTTTGCTTTTAAAGAAGAAGAGGCACAGCCTTGCAGATGTAGTTAAGGCTTTTTGGATGAAGAAATTATCCTGGACTATCTAGGCTGGCCCAATATCATCACAAGGGACCTTATGAGAAACAGGCAGGAGCACCAGCATCAGAAAAGGAGATGTGACAAGAAAAATAGAAGAATGATGCAGAGCCACAAGCCAAGGACTGCCGTCAGCCTCTAGAAAATGAAAAAATCGTGGAAATTGATCCTTCCCCAGAGCTTCCAGAAGGAACAAAGCCCTGAAGACACCTAGATGTTTAACTCAGTGAAACTAATTTTTAACTTCTGGTCTCTAGACCTGTGAAAAAATTAATTTCTATTGTTTTAGTCAAGTTTGTGGTAATTTGTTACAGCAGCCCTAGGAAACTAATTCAACATCTTTTACCACATGGAAACCTTCCTCACCCAACCCAGACTCTAATATCCCACATCAGACAATGATCCTTCCCAACCCAATGTGAAGCCCCCCTCACTCACTGGGTTCCAACATCCTGAGGTACAAAGCCCTCTAGAGAACAACCTCCTTGTCATGCGGAGACTGTTTTCATGCAGGGCCATGCTCTGTATGGATGCTCTTCTCACCCCATCTAGGTTCCAACTCCCCCTCCACACACACCTGTGAACCACCCTTCTCTGCAGACATCTTCTTCCCCCTTCTTTTGCCCCAAAACACATTTCATTCCACCCTTCCATGGGCACATCTTTCTCCCACTGTTTACAACTAAGTAACCACCTTCTCTTCCCACAATAGAAAGCCAGACATTTATTATCTGAGAAACTGAACCGGGGAGTCTCCAGATTTGCACATCTGGAGAACTGAGGGAAGGTCTTCATACTCATAAGTGGGAGTTCCTCGTTCCACTCTTTTCAAAAAAGGTTGGCAATCAGGCTTGTACTTAAGGAGGTAGGTGATTAGGGGAATCTTCCCAGGGGCAAGTGAATGGTCTCACAGATCTACAGATATTTGGAAGCACTCTTTCACCAAAAAGGCTAGTCAAAAAGTACCTCCCAGGCACATAGGTTCTAATTGGCACCTTAGTGCATAATACTTGAATGATTGGACAGCAAAGTACCAGATATTTAGGAAAACTTCCAAAATGAAAGGTTTAAAAACAAAAAACAGAAAGACAAAAGAACTCAGAAAAAAAAGAGGAAATACAGGGAGGAACAATTCAAATATATTTAAATGTATTATTATATTAAACATAGGATTCTATAAAATATAATCAAAAGACTCATGAGTAAAAATGGAATGAATTAAATTTTAAAATCCAGCAGAAGAATTGAAAGACAAAATGAGGATTTCTTCTACAAAGTAGAACAAAAAGGAAAAGGAAATAAAAATAAGAGAAAATACGATGAAAAAGGAGAGTAATTCCAGACTACATAATATCCAACTAATAAAAATTACAAAAAGAAAAAAATAAGGAAAATCAAAGATATAATACAAATGTTAGCAGAGATGACAAATGATATAGATCTCTAAATTGACCCTCATAGTGTCCAACACAGTGAAGTAAAAGACAAAAAAAAAAAAAGGAAAAAAGGATCTGCACCGTGACGCAACATGGTGAACTTTTTGAACACAAGAGATAAGAAAAGAACCCTTGGCCAGGCGTGGTGGTTCACCGCTGTAATCCCAGCTCTTTGAGAGGCCAAAGTGGGCAGATCACTACAGGTCAGGAGTTTGAGACCAGCCTGGCCAACATGGCAAAACCCCGTCTCTACTAAAAATACAAAAAATTAGCTGGGCGGGGTGGCGGGTGCCTGTAACCCCAGCTACTCAGGAGGCTGAGGCAGGAGAATCGCTTAAACCCAGGAGGCGGAGGTTGCAGTGAGCTGAGATCACCCCACTGCACTCCAGCCTGGGCAACAGAGCAAGAATCCATCTCAAAAAAGAAGAAAAAGAACAGAACCGTAAAAGCTTCCAGTAAGAAAAGCTAGGCTATATACAAAAAGAGAATAAGAATTAGAATAACATTGGATCTCTTTATAATCTAGAATTCTATATCCAGTCAATGTTATTCTGTTCTGTAAGGACAGAATAACAATGTTTTCAGACTGAAAGAACTCAAAATTGTATTTCCCGTGAAGCCTTTTTGTATCAGTCAGGAGAGGCCAGGTTACAAACTATGCCAAATGCTTACTGTTGCACAAGTTTCTCTCTCACATGCTCAGAATTTGTGTGAATCCAGGAGACGCCCCAGGGCAAATGTCTCCCATGGCAATCTGGCAATCTAGGCTTGCTTTTGATCTGTGACCTTCTCAACACAAGGCTTCCTTCATTGGGAAAGAGATTGCTGTGGCCTATGGCAGGCACAGGTCTCTTCTACTCAGGGCCCATTAGCTAGAACTGGTCAATGACCCTACATGACTGCAAGGAGTCAGTGAATTGTCACCCTCCATTTTTCCAGGGCAAGAGGAAAACTGATTAGGGAGGGGCACTGGAAGGGTCTACCACATTTAGCTTAGGTAACCACTGTGGACTGGACTCGATCAAGCAAAACAAGGAAGTTAACCAAGAAAAAGTAAAACATGAGATCCAGAAACAAGGATTCCACATCGTTGGGTCTAAAAAAACATTCTGCCCATATTAAAGCAGTAGGACTGAGGGCTCCGAGTAAGAGGTCTGGAGAAAAAAAAAAAAAATGGAATTTATAGACTGTCTGAAATGTGTAAAGATTAAGGAAAAAAAAGTTCATTTCCAGTTGTAATGAAAAATAGAACAAGTACTTAGAAAACAATGCAAATAAAAATGTGGTAGTTAGCAAAAAATGAAAGTTGTATAAGAAAGAAATTATAGTTATATTCAAGTGAAAGTTGTATAAGAAAGAAATTATAATTATATTCAGCACTTGTCTTAGCAATAACGATTTATGTAGTCATAATAATGCAAACACTGACTGTTACGTGAAACAAAATTGTTATATAACTATAATGGAGTAGGAATGAAAAGAAAGAAAGTATAAGAGAGTTAAATACTCATTGGCCAATATCAAGACTTTAATATTTAATGTCATAAATTGGTAAATCGGGAAATAAAACATAGTATGTATATTGTACAATCCCTATTACCCCACCATCTCTTTTCTGAAGGTATTGTCTCCCCACAGGCTGAACCACCATCCTCACCTCCACCATTTTGTCAAGTTCCCCAAATGACTGGAGTTATGATGAAGTCCAACACCTGTATGGCCCACACCCCCCACATGTGAAGCACATTCATACTGGGTCACCTTTCCACTCCTGGACTTCAGTGGAATGCCACATCACAGGGAGTGGGGTAGGTCTTCCCCAGTGACCACCAGGGGCCAGATGACATGATACCCACGTATGAAAGAGTGAATGTCCCATGGAGTGAACTCTGACTCAAGGGAAAAAGGAGACAGGAGGAAGCCAAACAGATCAATTATCCTTCCTTTTTCCCATCCCCACAGTATTTTGGGACAGGGTTCCTCATCACAGGCCATGTGGAGAAGTTCACATGCGGAGGTGATGTGATGGCTGATCTCCAATGGTGACACATTACACGGTATTGCTTTGTGCTTTTGTTGCCGACTTCCCTTTTTCCTCACCTTCACCTTCCTGGGCTTATGCCACACAAGTATCAAAACGCTGATTCTTGAGTGTATCTGTTTTTGGAGGATCTAAGCTAAGACAGATTATTTTAAAATATAAAGATATATACTCAAAGAAATGGCTGCTCTGGTGAGTGAAACTGAAGTATAGGGAAGGTGAGGTAGATTATTACTTTCCATTGTAAGCCCGATTTTAAAAATTATTGCCATATATTACTTTCATTAAATAAAAATTTAAAAGCTAATATATTGTAACTACCATTATATGCATTTTAGATTGCTCACATACCTTTCAATAAGTTTTCCCCACAGATTGGAGGAATAAACTAACAATTATTTTAGTATTATAATAATGTTGTGACATAAACGTCTGCATTCATACACATTTTATAGATTTTTCTGGAATAAAAAACCCTTTTATGAAAAGTGAAGGAAGATGTCACCTTCAGATCAATACCTCCTTGTATCCTGCTTAAAGTGCGATATTCTTGAAATGGCAGCAACTGCTTCATAACAGAATAGCAATAAGCCAATCTATAGACTCATCTTAATGAATTATAGAGGAAAGAGAAGCAGATAAAAAAAGAAACCATTTTATTTTTATATTGAGTGCCTTTTGTAAAATGGAACTTAGGGTGGAATTAATGATTTAATTAAACCACTTAATGTTTTATTAAAGTCAATATGGCCTAGAGTTCCTGTGCAATCATCAATTTATCAATAAAACTTCATATTTGTTTTTGCCAAAGAATTTATATTTATTGTTAGACATGCCTGTATTACAGAGATCTAATTGTTTTCAGAAAATTATATATGCCCTTGTATTCCAAAACCCTTCCATTAGAGGAGCACAAATTTCTACTAAAAAAAAAAAAAAAAGTCAGGTCAGGCTCTGAAACCATGATTTATTCAGCTTGGTTACTACTCTCCATGAGGAGTTCTATTTCTGCTCTATTCAGCAGAATACCTGCTCAGCTTCTACAGTGAAGGAGGGGCTCAAGGTCACCAATGCAAAACCCACCTGAGGTGGATGCCTCCTGTAGGACGCACTGAAGCACCAAAGGTAATTTTCTCACCAAAACCTGTTAGTTCCTTCCCTTTCTTTGGAGTATGTCTTTTCTTATCCCTAACTCCCCCAGTTCTACATCCAATATCAATTTATTTATTAGTCACTGAAATTAAATGGCCAGTTAAAGTGCAAAGTGGATAAGGAGAGGCCTCCAAGACAATTTACAAATGCTAACCTGCCTATTTTCATTTGAAGCTTTAAGATTAGATGAAAAGGTTCCAAAAGAAATAGGAAGAGCATGGAAATGCAAAACCAAAGAAAGAAATGTGATCCAACATGTGTGTTCCCTGCCACACCAACTTTCTACTCGTATGGCCTCACTTACATAGCTTCATTTATAAGACCCAGGATAGCATGAGATTACAGACCAATCAGTTATAAGAGAGATAGATTCATGCCCACACCAGTCCTATTAATATCTTTTGCTTTGGTCTGTGTATTGCTAGAGGGGAACTTTTCAGACAAAAGCTGTCTTTTAACCAGAAAGGAGTATCTGTCCCTGTAATGCTGAAGTCTGTGTTCACAGATCAAAGCCTCTCTTAGTGGATCATGTTCCCACCCTCTCTTAGAGTCACTGTCTTCTCTGGCCCCTCTTTTAAAACAAAACACAGACACACAGGAGAATGTTTTAGTCAAATTTATGATATACATGCTTCACATCTACCCAATGTTACAGATTCATTTTCTCACACTTTAGCCTAATGAATTTTTATGACACTTACATGGTTCAAATTAATTTTTTTTTTAAATCCACAAGTTTCAAATGATTTGTTTTCCTACCAGATACTGACCAACTGGGTCGACTTACTTTATACTGCAGTTGGTGTGCCTGGAGGTATATGTATATGCTTTTGACTGTCCCACATGGCTGTCTTTGCCTATATTCTCTCCACTCAGTCTTCTCCTACACCATTTGTCCCTTTATGTGGTTTTTTTTTTTTTAATTCTCTGCCCAAAGTGTTTCCTTGATTGCTGAAATATGGGTTGGGTTTCTTTTTTTTCATCATGATTTTCTTCTAAGGAATGGCTGAGAAATAGAAGATTAGTAGTGCCATCTCAGAGTTATAATACTGGCATTTTAATACACTGAACTTTAATATATATTATATACAGACAGAATATATACACATACACACACACACATACAAATACAGTTTCAGTTAATGATCTTTTTCCCTAGAACACAGACACATATAATTTTAAATAAAACTGCATAAGAAATTCATGCATGCATTCTTTTAAGGAAGGAAGGGAGAAGGAAAGGGAAGGAAGGAATTGAAATTTTCTTTAACAACCACTAACCTCGTTTCTCATTTCTCCTCTTTATTTTCTGTCCCACAGGCAACTCCCCCACACCAGGCAAACAGTAGCACAATATACATAATTTTCTTTCAAATTTTTTATACTTATATGTATCCAGAAATAGCACACTGTACATATCCTTCTGCCACTTGCTTTTTTATTCAACAATAAGTTTTGAGCTGTGTCCCTAGTGATTTATATAGATCTGGGGCACTGTCATTCATACTTTTGTCAAAAATGCCCCCACATCTTTGGCGCCATGACTTGCTAAGGGAATAGCGCTACTTGCTAAGTATATAGGGACAAGTTCACTACTCTATCCAACAGTAAGTCCCCTCAGTAATATATTCACCATCACTAATTAATAGACGGGCAATTTTACAATAAATTCCAGATTTAAAACCAAAATGAAAAGCTTTTAGAAAATTTAAATAATTGTATACTTTAAAGAGCATTTTTCCAGCTGACTAAATTAAGGCACTATGAAAGTTCAATCTAAGAATACTCCTTGGCTTTGAATCTGTTGCCTTTTCTTGTGTTTGGAAATTAGATACATTCTTTTTTCCCCAAAAAAGCTCTTGCCAAAGTGTATTTTCTTCTGAAAGAGTTAAATAAGTGTCAATAGGCAGGCTAGCTCCCTTGATAATATTTCCTTCACTCAGATTATCTATTGTGGGTGAAGTTTTGCATAGAGATGCTCTCACTCTTCTTGACACATTTCCAGAAAATATGCAAATAAGGCTCATCTTCTAAAGCCTTTTACTCCACTGATGTGCAATAGCTAACACTCCTCCCCACTGCCCTAACGCCTGTCTCTTTTTTTATCCTTTCAGAAAAGGAAAGTTGCCTTTAAGAAGTTCTTTCCTTTCATCCCTCATCCTTGTCCTACCACTGTGCTTCAGGAATTGTTTTCCTACTATCGACCTAGTTTTCTATTTGTTTTGCTTCTTTAAATGCTCCTTCTGGACCCACTGTACTACCTAGAATTTTAATGAAAGCTTCCAGGAAAGGCATCTGTGTGCTCAAAGATGACAGCTTACGTGTATCAGAAGGATGGTGGATCTCTTGATACCCACCTCGGCCCCAGGTTCAGGTCCCTGCCTTACACCCAGCCTTTGCCGATCAATTATTCTCCTCTGCTACTGTTTGACACTTCTCACCTGACACATCCAACACTGCCTCCTCCTTCTTTCTTCCCACTGGCCCAAATTCAGTCTCAGCCATGAAACAAAGTATTTCTATCCATAAATGCAGGTAAGTTTGCTGCATGGTGTCAATTTAGGAACCATAAAACCTAACCTGGCTACCCCATTGGAAAGTAATGCTGCTTTTCTCTATTAGCAGAATAAAAATTGGCACTTATTGATGAGAGATAAAGAAGCACAGTGAATGAAAAAGCAAATTCATCAACTATTGAAAAGTATACCATTTCCATACAATTAGACACTCTGGTTGGTCCATTTCCCTCAAATGTTTTCTGCCCTTTTTCCATCTGTTTTCTACTTCAGAATACTTTTCTCTAACCCTTCTACAACATTAACTTGAGTGACCTGAAGGTTAAAGCCTGCAGGTATTAGAAGAAGAATTGCCAGTCATGCAAGCTGCCAAAAGCCAGCTCATCCAGATACTCTGGAGAATTTAGCACTGGAAACAAAGCAACATGACCTTTCTGTTTTGGGACATCACTCATTCTACCTACTTTTTCCAGTTCTGCCAGGAATTCATTGATGAAAGCAGATGACATCTGAGATAATACCTGGTCAGACTCACCTTAAGCCCATGGAGGATTTATCTTTGTTTCTACCAACTGTACAATAAGATTTTAAAATAGCACATTCTTAATTGTCTGTATTTATGTATATTCTCCTGAAAAACTGTTATGTAAGCAGATTTTCTTTAAACATGCATCCAAAGGAAATTCCCAAGTCAATTAGTTCATACTAAGAGAATACAAACTTATTTAACATCAACCTAAGTAAAATCCACTGGAGAAGATAAGTGTGTAGCTTAGAATTACAGATTGTATTCTCTAGTCAAAGATACATAAATTAGGCCTTAAAAAGTTACTTTGGATCATGTTTACTTTTATTACTGTCTATCTGGATAGATAATTGGATGTTATTGCTCATCCCTCATTTTCTAGAATGAGTGTTCTTAGTGTCAAGAATAAAAATGGACGTATGTACATCAAGTCTTGTTCCATGTAATGCTGTCCTTGTGTCAAGGAGAGTAAATTGTGGTAAATCTCTGATGTCTGGATAGCCTAACACTAGGATGAGAATACTGAACTTGCTTAACACCAAACTTGTCACCTTTCAAACACAGTATCTCATGTAACCCACTCCCAATCCCAACCACTGGAAATCTGCCAGCAAGTCTGGGTAGATATTTCGGGATGTTTTAATTGAAGGCCACATCCTTCTTCTTCTTACTGTCATTGCTCTCATCTAGACCCTTACGGTTTCAGTTTCTATTAGATTAGCAGCCTCTCACAGTCCATTCTCTGCCTGACTGCTTATAAATCTTCCATTTAAAATGCCATGTGTTTCATGTCAGGTTCTTCTGAAGCCTCTGCTCTCCAGCAGTGGTAGGCAGCATAAGGGCTCCCAAAGATGTCCATGCCAGATAGTGTGACATGTCATATCATATGACAAAGAAATTTTGCATGTGTAATTAAAACTACAGATTTTTAAATGGGGAGATTATCCTGGATTATCCTGGTAGATCCAGTTGGAACACATGAGCCCTTGAAAACAGAGAACTTTCTCCAGCTGGAAGCAGAAGAAATACAGCAGAAGAGAAAGTCAGAGAGATTCAAAACATGACAAGGGCTCAACTCACCATTGCTAGTTCAATGATGGAAGGCAAGGTGACAAGGAATACATTTCTCCTTTCACCACTGTCAATCCTGCATGATGGCCTGAAGGCTCTCCCTATCTACTGCTGCTCCGCTCAGAGGACCTGAAGGAGCTCAAAGAGGGTACCAGGTGACAGCCAGCAAGAAAACAAACCTCAGCCTTATGACTGCAAAGAACTGAATTCTGCCAACAATCCAAAAGATTTTAGAAGTGGATTCTCCCTTAAGGCCTCCAGCTAAGAGCCCATCCCCGCCAACACCTTGATTTCAATCTTGTGAGATCCAGAGGACTCAGACTTTGGAGCTACAGAGCTGTGAGATACACCTATGTGCTGTTTTAAGCAGATATGTGTATGGTAATTTGTTATGACAACAATAGAAAACGATTGCACCAATGAATCAATCCAAACTCTCCTTCTACTATTCAAGACCCATCAGAATCTAGGTCTACTCAACCAATCCCACCTAGTTTCCCTCTAGAAATAGAAACAGAGGCTTTCTATTTCTTCCAGGCCAGGTTTTGCTTTGTACAGAGGGCTTACATTCTTTGAAAAAGAAAAAAAGTGAGTAATGACTAAACAGTATAAATTGTAAAGTGTGCGGTCAACACAGAGAGGTGCTGTCCAGATCCTTCTTCAAGGAAGGACTTGCTTCCCAGCTGCAGGGAATGTGGTCAGCAGACAGCTCCAGCTATTATCTCTTTCAGGATCCACTCCAGCTGCAAAGAGCCACCTTTCTCAAGGTCGTACCTTTCTCAAGGAAGTCTGTACCTGGTAACTGAGTGGGGAAGAGGAGATGTAGAGACTCAGTCATTTTAGCTCACCAGAAGACACTCTGACAGGCAGTATTTGCTCCAGAGCTCCCCAAAGGGTTGATAAAAGCTACAGCAGGCCCACATTGCAGTTTGACTTCTTCCTCTGCCCAATCCTGCTTCCCACTTTCTTTCATAGGTTAATCCTAATAAACTCCATCTCAGCATCTGCTTCTGGAGAACTCACTAAACGATAAAGTAATAAGTACTAATAGGAAAATAAGGCAGGTTAAAGAGAGAGTGTCTGGAATATCAACCCAGAGGAGATACAATATGAAAAATTCCTCATGCTGCAAAGACTCAGAAAAGCCATATTAAAAAAAAAAAAAAAGACAAACTACTTTTAAAAGTATGGCTAAGCTTGTAAAAAGTAAGAGATACCCCAAAACTGAAGAAACAAAGGTGAAATTGAAAACTAAAATAGTAACAGTGCAAGCTGACATGGAACAAGATAAGGGTAGTTGGACCTGGATATAGGACTTGATAGCTAGGGGCTTTGGGTTTAATACACACAGAGGGACAGGAGAAAAGAGGATAGGCCCATATGAAGTAGAACTTGAATCTGAGACTCTGCATAAACCTGAAATCCTAAAAGAGCTGCATCCTCAGTGGAAGGAAGATTGGAAAAACTTAAGCCATCTGCCAATGAAAACTATAGGGAAGCTTGGTTCTGTCATGGGTAGGAAAAATAAATATCCCATATGCTCAAGATTGTACTACACATGAGTTTTGGGTTCCAGTTGAGTGGTATAATAATTTATAAGCTAAGAATTAAGGAAAGTACATTCTGAGCCAAAAGTATCTCTAGAGAATCAGGCAGCAGCAAATAAATCTTCCCTGTATTGCCTTAGAAAAAAATACCAGTGGAATATAAGTTCACAAAGTTATGACATGTTAGAAAACTTTCCAAGATGAGTGAGAGGTATACAAATTATAAAATAAACAATTAAAATGGTTAAAAAAGAGTATAGAAAACATAAGAAGAGATTAAGATACTGAAAAAGAGTATTATACAGATTTGAAAAACAAATATAACCTCTAAAACTGAAAAATGTAATCATTGAAAGTAAAAATTTGATGGTTAGGTTAAACAGAACTGAGGAAAGAATTAGCTTGAATATGGGTCTGAGATATTTTTCTAAGACTGTGGAAGCCATGGAGGTGTGCCACTCACATATCCTTTCAAGATAATTTGTTGAGAAGAGAATATTTAACTGACAGCCCCAGCTACTGAATCTTTGGACTATTTCCTTTACTCTCAGGTCTAGTCTCAGGGGTACCAGAGCCAGATCATTCTTGTCCAATATGAAATTCTTCTGGTGGGTAACGTTTGCTCAGAACTCCTCATTATCCTAACCAAAACCTTCTCAGAACTGCACTGAAGTCCAAGGTTCTTCCTGCTCAATTTCCTTCCATTTCTTCTTTCACCACTGTCAATCCTGCATGATGGCCTCAAGGCTCACCCTATCTACTCCTGCTCCCCCCCACCTTTATTTCCTCTAATAAATCTCTTGCATATCTAATCATGTCATGGCTTCTGCTTCTTAGAGAAACCAAACACACAAAAATAGAACTGACACAACCAAGCAATGTAATTATTGAATATGAGAGCAATCAACATTAGAACATCTAATAGCCCTTTTATTGATGATGGCAAAAAGTTTGCCAGAGAGTTTGATTACATTTATATTTTCTTAAGAATGCGTGTTAAAATTTTAAGGCAAAATCCTTAAAGATTATAATAAAGTGTATAATTAGAAACCCAGAAGAAAAGGATAAAGTTTTTTAATTTAATGGAAGCATAAAAGAAGACAAAGTAAAACAAGAAGAAGATAGGATAACTAAATTAAAAAGCACAATTTCAGATGGCAGAGAAATCCAAGTAAAGTAGTAACCAGAATAAAACTGTAATTTAAACTGAGGCTATTACATAGCTTATTAGAAATCCACCTATATATGGTAACAAGGAAAACACTCAACCCTAAGGTCCCCCCCAGAATAGAAACTAAAATTATGTAGAAAGTTATTCTAAGAAAATACTTGCTAGAAGTGGGATTACATTTTTGGCTGGGTATGGTGGCTCATGCCTGTAATCCTAGCACTCTGGGAGGCCAAGGCAGGCAGATCATGTGAGGTCAGGAATTCCAGACCAGCTTGACCAACATGGTGAATCCCCGTCTCTACTAAAAACATAAAATTTAGCTGGGCATGGTGACACGCACCTGTAGTCCCAGCTACCTGGAAGACTGAGGTGGGAGAATGAATCACTTGAACTTGTGAGACGGAGGTTGCAGTGAGCCAAGATCACGGCACCACTGCACTCCAGTCTCAGCAACAGGACCAGACCCTATCTTTAAAAAAAAAAAAAAAATGGAGTTACATTTTTAATATTAGGAAAAAAAGCTTTAAGATTGTTTAAAAGTATTACAGGGAAAAGGAGGGGCATTTGAAAATGATAAAAGGAATTCACTGTAAATGCTGAACCTGTAAGCACCTAATGAGACAGCTTGAAAATACATAAACAAAAACATGAGAAAAAAATGTTCAAGAGAAATAAAATAATCATAATGAGAGAATTTTATACAACTCTCTCAGAAAGTGAGAAATCAAATGTATAAAAAATTTGAAGACAGAAGATTTAAATATCACAATAGATTTATATAATATCCAGTACTATTAGAGAACATCTATTCTTTCTAACTAGACGTGGAAAATTTACAAAAACTAATCAAATAAAACACAACTCAGCAAAACTTAACAAACACCAAACACTGACATAATACAGACCTCATTCTCTGAGCAAAATAAAATTAAATTAGAAATCAGCAAAAAATAACCCCCAAATTCCATGCATTTGAAAATCTTAAAAGTTTTAAATATGTTATTCAAATATTAAAGCACAATGAAAATTTGAAAAAAAAATTGGAGTTGAATGGCAACTTTTAAAATACGATATATCAGAATTAGATACAGCTGGTGTCATACTTCAGAAGAATTCACAATCTTAAATTCACATATAGAGAGGGTAGAGGGATTGAAAATAATGAGTTAAGCATTCAACTCAAGAAGTCAGTATAAAATTTAAAAAGTAAACCCAAATGAAGTAAAAGTATATAACAGAGAAAAGAGGCTAAATAGGTGGTATGAAGTGGGTATTTTAGACAGGATGTTGAGAAATAGCTTCTCTAAGGAGATGACATTTGGACAGAAACTTGCAAGAAGGAAAAATTTAAGATATTTATAACATATCTTTGATAATCAATTATATGCACATTTGCCTTCTGCTGTGCCATAGAAGGGGACAGAAAATTTTCTTGCCAGCCTGCCATTCATAGCAGGTGCATATATATAGAGTGGAAAAATCATCTCCTGGCTCATGCATCCTCCCTAAGGGATAAAGTCATAGATGCTGTAAGTGTTAGGAGAATAGATCCCTGAAGGAAAGGATGATGACAGAGTGTGTGAAGGGATTTCTTGTCCTGAAAACTGGAGAAGCCCTCAGTTCTGTCACCCAGTTCACAGTGAGAATAAGCATCTGCATCTTGTGTCCCAGTCCATACAACACTGCATAAGAGGAGAGGAGGGTCATCCTGGCCTCTTCACAGCAAGTGGGACTGCCCTCACAGGTGCAACACCACAGGCCACTAAGAGGCTTGTGCTCCCAGCTCAAAGGTAACTTTTACTTATCCCCTTTGCCTTTCATACCCATTGATCATCCCATCCAGATTAGGTTGATTACTCACATTCTCCCAACAGATGATCCTCCCCCTAACTCCTCACAGTCACATCATTGTCACCAATGCAGGTCATCCACCATCACCCAGCCTTTTATGCCCCACAGTGCTCTAGCTCCACTAATGGGCTCCAACATTTCACACCTGCCAGCGTTCAGAAAATCCACCCATGCCCTACCTATCACATCACCCTGCTTCTCTATTAACAGATAGCCATTTATCAATCTGATCATTTTCTTGTTTATATAGTTTTATGTCTCTTCCCTGCCTCTACCATGGGAATATAATCTCCATGAGAGCAGGGATGTTCTCAATCTTGTTAACTACCATATGTTCAGGTCTCAGCAGTGCCTACCAGGTTGTGGGAACTCAATAAATATTTTTGAATAGTTGAACTGAGTAATGAATGAATTTCTCCCGATATGCCCAGGAAATCTTCTCTCCACATGAAGGTAAGAAGAAAGATCATTAACACGAATGTCCATTCTATAGTACGATCCTGCCATTTTAGAGTGTGTAAGTGACTGTAGAAATACTGTTGTACAGCTCCCTCATGTCCATCTTTCCCTGTCGCATGAGAATTATGTGCCTGCTATGCTGGCCCCATGCCCAGATTCAAAGGATTATATATTACATCGATTTTAGCTGGGGCAAGATGCCAGCCAAGGACCATTTGGGAAGAATTTCCCACAGTAGGCAGAAAGTGACACCTCAGATGCAAGCTTAAGCTGCTCTCAGCAGCAAGTGATGCTAAACAGTCTCCATTTGTGACTGCACTGTGGGAGAGTACACCTGGGCATTCTGGAACATGACATCAGCAGCCAAAACAGCTTTTTATTTAAACTCCAATGCAGGCAAACTTAGGAAATCCACTCACACAGCAAGAAACTTCTTGGACCTTGTTAGTAGCTGACAGTTTGCAGCCCCTAATTACTCCACGCCTCCTTAAAGGGTTCTCTCTGGCATTTGCTTACTTCAAAGTTGCCAAAAAGTTTAACAATCAGCAACACTCAGGTCACTTTATTCACAGAGGTGAGCTTTTGGTTTTTCAGCAAAGGTGTATGTAGAGCCAAAAAAATAAAATGGTAATCGAGAAAAAATGGCCATAGAATGGAAATGTTATCTTAACCAACAATTACCCAGCCAAATATTCAAACTATGGCAAAAAACTAATTCTAATACTTAATGAGTTATTTGGCAGAAATTGCTAAAGGCTGAATTTTAATAGGTAAAGCTATCAGAGTTCCAACCAATCCAGCTAACTTTTATTCAACAGCGTAAGACCAGTCATAAGAGGCTTAATGGTAATACCTGACCTAGCTTTTCCATCACCTTACATTTTGCTTCTTCCAGAAAGAAGAACCTGCTCTGACTCTTCCAAGACCAAATGTCCATGATATATTTTTAATGGAAATTGACTCTTGCTACTTTTTATTGAGGAACTCATTTGTTTCCTCAATAACATATAAGCCCCTTAAATATGAGGATCATATCTTGCTTTTCCATTATGTTCCTAGGGCTTAGCACATTTCCTGGGATAGAATGGGTGCTAAATAAGTGCATTTGGTTGAATGGATGGATGGATAAAAGGAGTAGTAAATGAATCAGAGTAAGCAAGATAGCAGCAAGAGGAAAAACCAAACTGTTTTCCCTCTACTCACACACCACTTAACAAAACACTTCTGACATCAGATGTGTGGAAGTATTTCCACGTACACCAACTAAGCAATTCTTCAGCAGACACCAGTAGGTTGTCCTCTAATTCAATCTGATTACGACACTACCTACTTAGAGATAGCATCAGATCCCACAGGTTATGGCCTCAGTCCTACAAGGCTGCCTCCACTTCAGATGCCAGTCACAAGTCCCAGGTTGTGACCTATGATGGGCTATAAATCCAGGATTCCCATAACCCTTTCCTGGATTAGACTAATTTGCTAGAGTGGCTCAGAGAACTCAGGGAAATACTTTATTCATACTTAGTTTATTAATAAAGAATATAATAAAAACCCAGGTTAACAGCCAGATGAGAAGATACATAGGGCAAGATCTTGAAGGATCCTGAGTGTGGAAGCTTCTGTCCCCACTGAGTGAGGTGCAGCACCTTCCTGGCACTCAGAAGTGTTCACTAACCTGGAAGCTCTCTGAATACCATAGTTCAGGAATCTTTATAGCAGTTTAATCACATAGGCATGATGGGTTATCAACCATTTCCAGCCCTTCTCTCTTCTCCAGAGAATAGGGGTGGGGCTGAAATCTCCAAACTTATAGTAATGGCTTCGCCTTTCTCATGAGAAGCTTCCATCTAGGAGCGCACCAAGAGTCTCTGCATTAGAGCAAAAGATGCTCCTATAACTCAGGAAATTCTGAGCTCTGTGTCAGTAACCAGAGCAGAGATTAAATATTAGAACAAAAGATACTTCTAGCACCCTTACTGCTTAGGAAACTCTAAGGGTTTTAGGAGCTCTGTGCCAGGAACTGGGGGCAGAGACCAAGATATATTTCCTATTATTTCATTGACAGACACCTCAAGTACCTTGTATCACAAACCACCTCTGATTTTAGGACAGCTGTGGTATATAATATATGAAAGCTTAGATGAAACCATCTCTCCTCACCCCACCTCAAACATAATCTGTGTTTTTCTGCTTAGAGCCTCTCTGATACTGCAGGAGCCTATTTTGTCTGCTTGGGTATAGTCCACAAGTGCAGGGGAGTTACCTTCTCAGAGAAATCCTCAGCCAAGAAGGGGCAAGGGCTAGTGGATGGATGCCCCAGCTTCCTGCCTGTCTTCCAGGCAAACAAATCTCAGGAGCATTCTGAGCATCAATCCCAGCAGAATTGAGCCCCTACTGTCTACAGCAATGCCCTTGATACCACAACCTTAGGCTGGCTTTCACTCTTCTCATTCCTGCATGCTACTTCCTGGGATTATCTCCCAAACAAACTGCCTGCACCCAGGTCCTTGTCTCAGACTTTACTTTCATGGAAACCCAATGTGTCATAATATGAGACTGTCAAGTTGAGAAGAATGTCCAAGGACCTAAATGATGTAAGACATGACAGGCTCAGGAAACGTACATGAGAACATATTGTATCACATATTCCACCACTGAATAAAATAACAAAGGGGCAAGCACTGAACATAGTGCTAGATCATAGCAAATGCTAAAGCAGTCCCTCTTTTTTGGTTAATTTCAATCCTTCCTGCATTGCTTCCTCTAGAGGCTGTGTGGGGACCCAATCAAAGACATTGGCCTCTAAGCTACTCCCACCAGTTTCATTCTTTTCAAAGGTCCCACACCAATAATCCTTTATCGGCACTAAGGCACCTTCATAAAAATCCAATTGTATTCCTAAGAAGGAGCCATTGTTTTCCTGCCACCCAAAAAAGAAACTGAAGAGGCAGACAGAAGAAAGGCCAGAGTTTGGATAGAGTTCATAATTGCATAAATCAGTGTTCTCCAGAGAGACAGAATCCATAGAATATAGGTATACAGATAGATATGGATACATGAGAGGGGATTTATTAGGGGAATCGGATGACATGATTCTGGTGGCTGAGAAGTCCCACAACAGGTCATCTGCAAGGTGGAGACCCTCAGGATGCAGGTACTGTGGCTCAGTCCAGGTCAGAAAGGTTCAGAACCAAGGAAGCTAGTGGTGAAACTCTCAGTATAAGGCTGAAGGCTTGAGAGTCGAGGTAGGAGGCAGGATACTACACTGATTCAAGTCCCAGAGTCCAAAGACCAAAGAAACTGGAGTTCTGATGTCCAAGCACAGGAGAAGAGTGTCCCAGCTCCAGGATAGAGAGAGGAAATTGCTTTTCCTCTGCCGTTTTTGTTCTGTCTTGGCTTCCAGCTGATTGAATGGTGCCCACCCCCCACTTCTCCCCCAGTCAAGGCAGATCTTCCCCACTCAGTCCACTGACTCACAAATACATCTCCTCTGGAAACACCCTTACAGACACACTCAGAAATAATGCTTTACCAGCTCTCTAGACATGCATTAATCCAGTCAAGTTGACACTAAAATTAACCATCTCAATAGCAGAAAGTACCTCTTAGGGCAGACGTGGGACCACTAAAGAACAGAGGATGGAAACTCTTTACTTCATTCTTTCACCCAAGAACAGCCTTACTACTGAATACACGGGCCTATGTTCTGAAGCTACAGTACGGTCTGGGCTGGGGAAATGCTCCTTATTGACAACATTAGGCTTATCAGGAAAGCTTTTCTGTGTGTCAGATCTCAGCTCCTCCTCCCCCACCACACACACACCTCCTTAAGCTGAAGAAGTTAATGAAGTTCACTCAATTCATAGGACTCTGGGAAAGCAACTGAGTGCATTGTGAAGTATCAATCCAGCCAAGAGAGCTACCAATCCACATTTAGTGTCCCATATCATTTTCCAGTGAAGTTTCAGCTGTGTATACATTAAACCACTTTAGTCATACAGCTAATCAACTAGTTGTAGTTACTCTATTCATCCTACATCCAAAAGGAATTTAAATTAGCTATAACGTAAGAGGCCTAAATACTATTTAATCAAGGATAAAAGCACATGAGACACGTGATAGAAAGACCCAGGCTAAGACCTTTAATAATTGAACAAAAGACTTAAGCTGCAAGTTTCCTGTAGCCAAGGCAAAAAAGAGAAATGATGGATTAGATAACCTTCATTATCAAATTTTGAAATGCTTAATCTAGAATGATAAACAGTTTTGTGTTCTGAACCACACAATAAGATTTTGTCTTCACATGTTTACATTTCCTATAAAGGTGTCCTTCATGTAGCCTTTTTATATCAACCTTCAAAAAGGCTTAGAGCATAAGTTTAATTATCGTTCCAAAGTGATATTGATGACAATTTAAGGAAAAATTATACTATTTTTGTTTTTTAAATGAAAATAGGTATAATCCCATGTTAATAAAATGTACAGATTATCCTTTTTTCAGAATAGAACCTAATCAGAATATGTAATGCTTACACTACTTTAAAAAAAAACTTTCCAGCATAAATTCCCTTAGTGAATGACTCCTCCCCACACAATGAGAAATTAATGAAATTATCAATAATTATACTATCAATAATTAAACTCCTTGACAATAGAGGTGGGTATCTAAACCAAACTAGAGTAATGAGGCTTAAACTCCTACAATTTGAATTTTAAGCAGAAACACACAGAGCTGAAGGAAATTGTGGCTGAATCCTTTGGAGAGCCGTACTAGACCCATAGAGACAGCTCCCATGCTCCTCCTGCCATCATTCTAGAAGCTTCCCTGTGTCTACACATCCCAGTGCCTAAGTGTTCACCCTTTCCAGCTCCATGAATCACCTATATAGGATCCAGTTTTTAAATTCTCCCTTTTATTGGCTTCAGTTGCTGAGTCAGTTTTCCTTTTTTATAAATAAAGATTGTTAACTGATAAAATTCTATTACTAGAAATCATGTTCCCATTCCAGTAAAAGTATGGGAAACTTCCCTAGAGTAATACCCCTGGTATTTCTCCACTCTCTCACTCAATCCTCCTGATGAAGTAAACGATCTGCCTGGTGATTCTGGGAGAAGGAACTGACATGCCCATCTCAGAGCTTCTGGGTCCCTCTCTCCTTCAGAGCCAGACAATCTGCAGTAAGTACTGCTGAAGAGAGACCTAGGTTTGTCTTAGCTCTACCAGTGTTTTTAATCCCTTCAATTTAGTGTTACCAAGCACATGTGGCTTCCATGAGTTTAGCATTCCTCTCCACTTTGTATCTGCATAATAAATCTGAGTCTTTTCTCTTCACGTCTCCTGTGACCCGCCGTCTCTTTCTCCTGTCCCCTCCTCTCTACGTGTACGTGTGTGGGGTGCGTGGGCATGTGGCACATCTCACATGGTGTGTTGTGTGTGTGTTCTAACTTAGATGGGAGGGAATAGTGTTATTAGGCACATCAAATCCCAAATAGAAAGCAGTGGCCATTTTTAATATGTGGAAAAATTTGGGAAATGAACTGAAAACTTCAGAAATGAATAATGATGGACTGGGAAATATACATAATATGTTCACATAGTGATTCTAAATTCAGTGTTTAGGGATCTAGGCAGAAAAAATATGACAAGTGGGAGATAAGCTTCAACTGCAAGTTAATTATACTTGTTTTGTGACTGTGAGCATGTCATGGTCACAATATCTCTCATTTTTTCTTCTGTTCTTGCTTATCAAAAGGAAGAGTGGTTATAAGAACTCAGACTTGATAGACAGTGTTCTCAGAATTGTAACTAAGACTGTTAAAAGAACAAACACTGTGTTATTATGTTGGTCGTTGTAAGATCTGTGAATGGATTTTGATAAATTCTAGATTGTGTATCTTCTGTGTAAATGTCCCAGAAGGGTTCTTATTCTAAAAACAAGACTCTTAGTGAGTAACTATATTTACATAGTGATCAAAAGTAGTGGTCAATAGAAGTTGCAATGGCTGATGTTTGGTGTAAAAAATGCAAATTTTACTCTAGTCTTGGTGTTTAGATCTTCCACTTTTACAGACAGTACTGATTAATATTATTGATGAAATGAATAAAATAAGAAACGATGTAACAAGTGCTGTAGTATAGTCTGTGCTGTCAATCATTCTTTTGCCTTTGCAAAGATTAGTTCCTTGATTTACAAAGTTAAATGTAGTTCCCGGGGTAGTCACATATGTACAAGTCTTATAAATTTGAGTCTGCAAAGTTAGTATAGATACTGCAATTTCTCCAGATTTTTTTTTAGTGATTAATCATTTTAGCAATTTTGTCGAAAAATATGAGATATCTTAGGGTTTTGGGTAGAATGTGTAACAAATGAAATATTTGGGGACAGAGTGACCTCAAGTCAAATCACATAAGTGCTTTGAGACCTTGGTCTGATGACTTCTAAAGTGTGTATCTTCTGTGCAAGATGCAAGATCTACCTTATTCCTGATGTACACTACTGTCCCTTTAAAATACCAACATAAAATATGAAAAAAAATAAGTGGCCTTTTAGAAAATATAAAAAAACTATAATCTTACTGTCTCTTCAACATAGAGTTAGAGAACCCTCGGCTTATCCAAGCATCCAGACTTAAAGTGAGCAAACATCACAGATCCTGCAAACATATTGTGTCTTAGGAAAAAAAAAAAAATCACAGCACGTGTATAACTCCAATATCACATTTGCAATTCTCAACTACTTTTCTCAAACACCTTGTTTCTGTGAAAAGAAAAATCTTTCCAAGTCAAGGAATTAGTGGTGAGTGAAATTGGCAACATTTGAATTCTTTACATGTCTATTCTTCACACTATATTTTAAACAAATTCTACTTAAAACAGAAATTCTAAATATATCTGGGACAGAATCTCTCTACAGTGGTGGCAAAAACAAATTGCAGCCCCACTACTGGCTCATCAATGTACTCAAAGCCCCCAATAAGCATACCAGTTAAGTAATAACATTGGACTTGCTATGCAAATGCAGCTTTAACACAAGTGCCATATTTTCATCAGCATCAAAGTCATCCCTATAAGCATGAAAACTGCACAAAAACAGTGGGCCTGCCATGCAAACATAACATTAATACCAACTCTAGCTCTTTCAATCAGATTGTTCTTCTAAGCCTGTTTTTATAGATACTCTGGGTCTACTACCATTTATCATTTAATTCTCTAAATTTTCTAAATAACCATATATAAGTAAATATAAATAAGTTTTGTCACCATAATCATAATGTAACAATAATATAAGAATCATAAAAATAACCATACTTGGCCAGTGATATATTTTGTGGTATTATTTTTAGTGCTTTATTTTCTATTTGAATCTTTCAGAAGAGTCACTTTAATTTAAATTTTTTTTTGTATGTGAGACAGGGTCTCACTCCATCGCCCAGGCTGGAGTACAGTGCCATGCATGATCACGGCTCACTGCAGCTTTGACTTCCAGGACTCAGATGATTCTCCCACCTCAGCCTCCTGAGTAGCTGGGACTACGGGTGTGTGCCACCACACCCAGCTAATTTTTGTATATTTAGTAGAGATGGGATTTCTGCCCTGTTGCCCAGGTTAGTCTTGAACTCCTGGGCTTATTTAAGTGATCCACCTGCCTCAGCCTCCCAAAGTACTGGGATTACAGGCAATTAAAATAGTTCAAAAATTATATTGTCAAAATAACAATTTAATAGCAACAGATTTGATGTAGGATTCAAACCAATTTTGTCAAGTGGACTTTCCAGTCAGTTAAATATACATTCTGATCTATTCCAAGATGCATATTTTTGCAACTTCAGCATTGGTTTTTCTACTTCAGCAAAGACAAAAAATATACTGAAGATTTTCATCTATGTTGGATGCTTTGCCAATCCCCAACACCCAGTGAGAATTAAACTTTGCTTCTCTATTCCCATTTACTAATAAGGAGGCCAAGGTTCAAAGTTGTTCAATAGCTTGTTTGAGATCGAAGTGACAAAGGCAGAACACAGAGAAACTTGAAAATCATGTAACAGTTGCTGCTGCAGACAAGCAAGTGTCAATGAATGATTTTGTTAAATCTCTCTCTCTCACACACACCCCTCATTGGAATTGGTGAATCGTAAGATGTTGTGATAAGCAGGTAGTATGCCTTGTTAGAAAGTGCTCTAGTAGTGGACTAGAAAACTTCCTTTGAAACCAGAGGTTATTAAAACTAATAAGAAATAAGATCATTGTCCAAGTGGAGAGAAGCAGGATCAAGGAGTAGACAAGAGATGCAGAACTTAAACAACTATAACTTCTGGTAGAACGTGGTAGTGCCTTTGGCTAAATAGAAGTCAATGTTTAGACAACAGGAAGTGGGAGTTAAGGAGCCATGTCTTGCCAGATGGTTGTTTAGTCCATGCCTGCCCACGAGTTTAACATAGTCATTAGGGAAGAAAAGAAGTGAAAATAACCTTTCTCTATATTCTTAGTAATGTACATTTAGCACAACTCATAATACAGAGGCTGAAGTGATGTATGGGTTTGATAAACAAAAATAAACTTCGTTACCTAGATAACTGTTTCAAAGAATACCTTCTCCAAGAGTCAAACTTCATTCATAATCAAGGGTAACAACTGTGCTCCGTGGTCGCCTCTTTTCAAGGTCAAAGAATGTGAAGGGTGCTGTGAGCACTATTTGTAAACAAGAGTCAGGAACTTTTTCCAGGTCACATACTTTCTTGTCCAAAGTCAATGCCAAAAGAGAGTGAAGGAACTGCCGCCACAGGAAAGCGATGCTTATGTCCTATTTCTGCCTGCTTTGTCAGTCTCCCCACTTGAGAGAAATTAATTACACTATCTAGAAAAATGAAAGTACGTAAGTGAGAGGCCCGAGGACAAGATTAAATGAAACAAAGGCTTCTTAGGGAGCTTGGAGGGGATGAAGTGTGGATAAACTGCAAAATTCTCATTCCTCAAGGCTGAAACATTAACAACAAAAAGGAACACAGACACATACACACACACACACACACACACACACACACACACACGCACATTGATGCTAAGAGCACTGCCATCCTACAGCTGCTGCAACCAAGCGGCATCTTAGAGGTTAATATTCCTCAGCCTCTTCAGCCTGCCCATCTCTTTTCACCCAGGAGTTTAATTTTAGCTCCGTATTAATTATACATTACAATTACACATAGATATGGGCATACACATATGCTGTAATGATGTCATCGCTATGGTGGACGCACCGCGGAACTTATTCAGGTCACCTCAGACCCTGTGGGGTACAATATTGTTTACTGTCTAGTACCTCAGACTTGATTTACACTAGAGATGGCTGCCCAGAGCCAAGCTCCCTTCAAAGTAGAAACTCCACCAAGGCCTTCCAGAGGGAAGAGGTTAGAGATTTCTGTGTCAGATGCCATGTGGTGATAAAATAAAAATGTATATGTGGTGACAAATATTAAAATTTTCCCACACTACATTGTAGGCAAGAGTTGCTTGACATGCGTGGAGAATCATGTATGTAGCAATGTCTTACAAAGGCAATCGGTTTGAGAAACATGGTTTTTAGGCTACACAGGAAATGGATGTTGAAGGCTTTTCCTGTCGTCGCTGCAGTTTTGATGATTTCAAGATGGGCTGGGGAACAAAGGCTCAGCAGAAATATCTCTGCACTTCCCTCAAGCCCAGCTGCTTGCCCTTGACATCTTGAAACTGGCACTTCAATGAGCTCTCAGCCTCTGAAAGCAATGCCTGAAATGTAAGACCAGAAGCAACTATTTATTAAGCTTGGTCACTAAATTAATCTTTGCCTCTGGCCAGCTATGAAGTGGAGTTAATGAGGATGAAGCAGAGGCTGAGCTGTGACATATTTAGCCACAGGCTGCACCTCAAGGCCTCATTCCCTGGCCAAAAAAAAAAAAAAAAAAAAAAAAAAATCAGGACAGCTCCCTCCTGCCATCAAAAGGGCATGAAGCAGACCTACAGGCAGAGAATTCAGGCAACTCTTACTCACCCCACCCCCACCTTTTTATCTATTACTGAAAGCCTGGCAGTGTGATTGCTCCAACACAAAGCTTGCCTCCCAGGACTGCAGCCTTTTCACAGCAGTTGCACTTCTTCATTTGTAAGTTGATCGCATATTTATTGAGTCCCTCCCAGTGTCTGAGCACTGTGCCATGCACTGAAAATATAGCAGTAAACAAAGCAAAGCTCCTTTTCTCAGAGACCTTACAGTGCATTGGGGTTAAACAGGCGAGGACCCAAGCAAATACACATATAGTTTCAGGCCATGACAAATGTCACGATAGCAGCTGTGGCATGGTTTAATAACAACCCCAGAGAGGTGGTCGGGGAAAGCTTCTCTGAGGAAGTGTCACTTCAGCTGAGCCCTGCCAAGCCTCGGCACCAAAAATACTCCCCAAAGAACATGAAAGAGGAGAAATGTCCAGAGAGTTCGATAAACCTGTGCTTTGATAAATGCTCTTGTGTCTTATCTCCCCAATATCTTAAGGTGAGGTATTTATGATTGAGGACACAGCTGTGGAATGGATTCAACTTGTTTGGGCACCAAAACCCCGGAAAGGCCACATGGTATAATGCAAAGAGAGAGAGATCCAAATTCCCAGCACCCCAATGGCTGTGTCACGTTGAGTGTATTATTTAACTTCTATAAGCCTCAGTTTTCTCACTGGGAAAAAGTAGGTTGATGTAGGTATGAAGTTGCAGAGCATATGAAAATTACCTGGCATGATTCTGGGCTCACAGTAGATACTCAAGGAGTGTTCATCAAAGCCATAACAACTGTGTGTGTGCACCAGGTATGAAATTATTTGCAGACTTCTAAAAATTTAACTAAAATTTAACTCTCCCAATGAAATAGATGCTATTGTTATCACCATCTTAAAGATGAAGAAACAGAAGCTGAGAGGCCCTAAGTAAATTGCTCCATTGGTAAAGTTGGTAAAAGAGTTGGTACTCAACCCAAATCTGGCTCCAAAGCCAAGCAATTAACTCACTCCACTAGCACAACATGCGTATGCGGGGAGTTCCTGAATCCAAGCCAATTCCCACCACCTCAGGATAAATCAGAAGCCATGTACCTTAATATTCCATTGCCATCTTACATTCCTTACAGAGGATCACAAAGGAAAAGGAGTGCCATTCCATTTTGACTTTTCTGTTTTATTTTCTCTCAACTAAAATGGCACAATCTGGAAGATCTTTTGCTTAACTCTATTTATTAAGAAAAAATAGACTGGAGTGAGCATAGCTTGGGTGGGATTCCTATTACTCTGTGCAGTAAGTGGTTTATCACACACAACCACACCGTGACAGATTAGTTCCGGTGATAGAAATGGCCCGCGAGCAGCATACCACTTTGTCACTTATCGCCAAAGAAAAGCTGTCTCCACAAAGATGATGTCTCCAAAGTGATGATGTACTTTGTCTGACAAATCAGCAAAGTGCAAAATGCAAAATGCAAAATAGCATAAGCTCAAAAAGACTGTCCATTAAAAAAAACTTCCATTATTATATATTCTATTTATAGGGAATTAGAATTTATAAGGAACATTACATATGTTTACATGTAAATTAGTTACCGATAAACAAAAGGGAAGATAAATCAATAATTATTTTAATAATAGCTGTGACGTCTATATTCTAGGAGAGTTGCAGGAATAGGAAAAAAAAATAAGTACATGAAGAAGCATTTTGAGAATTATGGCTGGGTACGGTGGCTCATGCCTGTAATCCCAGAACTTTGAGAGGCCAGGGAAGGCAGATTATTTGAGTTCAAGACCAGCCTAGGCAACATACAGAGACCCCCATCTCTACAGAAATTTTTTAAAAATTAGCCAGGTGCCATCGGGTATGCCTGTGGTCCCAGCTACTCAGGAGGCCTAAATGGGAGGATTGCTTCAGCCCAGGAGGTTAAAGATGCAGTAAGCCATGATCACACACTGCACTCCACCTTGGGTGACACAGGGAGACCCTGTCTCAATAAATAAGAAAATTATTTTTCATTCATTTATACCACAAAAAATTATTATGTGCATATTACATGCCTGGCACTATTCTAGGCACTGGGGATGCAGCAATAAGCAAAACAAATAAAAATATGTAACATCAAAACAGCAAATACCTTACCATCATGAAACTGGATACCCTTTTAATGCAAATATTGAATATGATACAAATATTAGTCATTTTTGTTTTCTTAGTTTTGGGATTTCACTCCTATTTAAATGACACTACGCTCCTTTAATTAATTACTTGGCCTTACCAATTTACCAGTTTCCTAAGAGTTCATTTTGATAAGAGAAGGGGGACATAAAAAGGAATATGTAAGGTGAAGGCACTGGGAGTCTGTGCCAGGTAAGATTGTGGAGTAGAAAGAGGAAGGAGGAGAGTGGTGTCTCTCACAATTTTGTCTACCAAAACAGTGGCATCACAAAAGAAATTTCACTATTAATACAGTCTAAGTAAACCACCTGCTACTGCTTTCAAAAAAAAATCACTCAACACATTTCAAAGTCAGATAGAAACAATGTGTCTGGTCTGAATTACTATTCCTTCCATTAGCATGGATAATCAAGAGTTTACTGTGTGTGTTCAATCAAAGCTAGCCTCAAGCGAGTCCTAAAATATAGCAATTACATGGTTTTCTCCCACTCCTGCCTTGCACAATGGATCCTGAAGGAGAAGAAAGCTTCAAACAGGCTGAAGCATAATTCTTAGTGCGTGGGTAAATCTGAAAAAGTACAGCATTTTAAAATAGGTAGGAGAAAGGAGCAGGGGTGTGTCCTACCCTAAAACATCAAGAATAGTCCCTTTTTAGAGGAAAGAAGATGAGGCCAGAGTGACAAAATGAGATCTAATTGGTTACTCTTTACTTCTAAAAGAAGATCCCAGGGTATTGAGACCATAGGCCAATCCAAAACAGTACTTAGCCGAAGCAGGCTACTGAAAGCTACTTAGTAATAAAAAGAGAAAAGAGAGAGAGAAAGAGAGAGAGAGAGAAAGACAGACAGAAAGAGAGGGGGCGATTGTCAGATCTCTGTGAGAAGGAATGGCACCATTATGCTTGCATTTTCAGAAGTGGCCCTCCTCTTATCCTAGTTTCAAAAGAAGCCCCCTCTATTCACCTTCTCATTAAAAACAGCCTCTCTAGAAAAAAATGCTGAGACCACACAAAGCAGGACATTCATCACTAGGGCAACCCGTGTACTCAATGAAAGCTAGAGAGCACAAAGGGCTCGCTTAAGGCTTTGCAGGGAAGCTGGTTCTCTCTGCCTCTCAAACCATATTTCAGATTTAATGGTAGACTCAGGTGTGAAACATGTTCTATTTTTTGTTTGTTTCTACTAGGGGTACTTATGAAGAATGAAATCGTCCCTTTAACTTTACTTTTTAAAGCAAGTAAGTTCTTGGGTGGCATTAAGCACCAATTTTTTATTTACTAAGACATCACCAGCTACATACCAACCCATTTTATGCCATCCCATTTGTAACATCTAAATTCAATGTGGGCAATTGTCTCCCAGGATGGCCTAGATATTAAATCTGCAAGGACAAGTCACATATACCTCTTCCCAGCTTTGCCCCTACCTGCCTCTTCCTCCCCACTGCCTTTCACCCATCCTCCCTGTTAAAGACTTCCCCAAACCCAGCCCCCTGCCCACACACACACAGAAACACACACACATTGCCTTAGGGCCGGCAGCAGCCTACCTAGCAATAGTACAAATATAATGTGTGAAATGACACCAGAATCTGGCTACAGCACTATTCACACATATAATGAAATTTGCTGCAAGTCATTGTCTTACGTAGTCTTTTTAAGGGCTTTGAGAGATTAAAATTCTAAAATACAAATCTCCATTCAATAGAGGCAAGGGGCAGACAGTCTTGCAGCAAAGCCATCACACACTCACTTTCAGGTCATGTGCATCCCTGATCAGCCCTGCTTTCCTCCTGGGCATACTTACAGATCTCTTCCTTTTCCTAGAGATGGAATAAAATCACTACATTTGGCCAGAATAATAATATTGTACCACAGCTTTATTTTAATTTGCTGTTGACAAAGCTTTTTTCTCAGTCACTTCTCAGAGAAATAACATCTCCTGAGAAATCATCTTTATCATATTAGAATCTCAAGCAGAAGTTCCATTGTGGACACCTGGGGCAATTTTCTCAGATATAGGACAGACTTCAGCTGGAGTGTGAAATTGGATCTTTTTTCTTTTTTGAGTATTCCTAAGGATGGAGTGAATTGGTTTTGTACTTGTTTCATAAACTATTCTTTCATTTTGTTTTAAATATACTCAAATCACCTAAAGGAGAATCTTAGAAGAAACTCAGCTGAAATACCAGCTAACTCTCACATTTACCAAAATAATTAGAGAGGACAGAAAAATGACCCTATAGAATTAATAATAACCAAAAAAAAAAAAGTATCAAGTTCTGAGTCAGGTTCCAGGGAGTTCAAGGTTAGTAACACATAAATTCTGCTCTTGTGATGTTTTCTCTTCAGTGAAAATAAATAGGACAGACTATCCATTTTGAAAATGTTCAGCATTTCAGAATAGGTAATGCCTTGTGAGTATCCACCTAAACAAGGGTTCTTTTAGGTCAATTTTCTTGAGTTTAAAGGGGTCCTGAGATCAAAATGTTTGAAAACCACTGTTTTAGCAGATTGAGAAGAAAGGAAACAGAGAGGTAAGGTAAGGTGCTGAAGATGAGGAGATGCTGGGAGCAGGGGAAGAGTAGGAGATTGGAGAAATGTGGGGAATATTTGAGTTAGTTCCTAAGGGGAATGTGAGGGATATGACGACTGAGAACAGGCAGAACTGCTAGGTAGCATCGAGAGTACTGCTAACTCAAGTTGAAGACCATCAATTTATAGTGAACCAAATCACTGGATTAAACATTTTATTAACTTTATTATGAAATGTAATATACATATTAAAATGTATGTACATATATATTTATGATTAACAGGCATAAAACAACCCCAATAAAAAGGGGGCAAAGGACATGAACAAACACTTTTCAAAAGAAGACATATATGCAGCGAATGTGAAAAAATTCTCAACATCACTATCATCAGAGAAATGAAAATCAAAACCATAATGAGATACCATCTCACACCAGTCAAAACAACTATTACTTAAAAGTCAAAAAATAACATGCTGGTGAGGCTATGGAGAAAAGAGAATGCTTATACACTGCTGTTGGGAGTGTAAATTAGTTCAGCCACTGTGGAAAGTAGTTCGGAGATTTCTCAAAGAACTTAAAACAGAACTACCATTTGACTCAGAAATCCTATTACTGAGTATATACACAAAGTAATATAGATCATTCTACCATAAAAACACATACAGGCTTATGTTCATCACAGCATTATTCACAATAGCAAAGACATGGAATCAACCTAAATGTCCATTAACAGTAGACTGAGTAAAGAAAAATGTGATACATATACACCATAGAATACTATGCAACCATAAAAAAGAATGAGATAATGTTCTTTGCAGCAACATGGATGGAGCTGGAGGCCTTTATCCTAAGCAAACTAACACAGAAACAGAAAACCAAACACCACAAGTTCTTACTTGTAAGTGGGAGCTAAATATTGAGTACACGAAAACACAAAGAAGGGAAAAACAGACACTGGGGCCTACTTGAGGATGGAGGCTGGGAGGAGGGAAAGGATCAAAAAACTACCTATTGGGTGCTATGCTTATTACCAGTGTGACAAAACAATATGTATGCCAAACACCCACAACATGTAATTTATCTATAGAACAAACCTGCGCATGTACCCCGAAACCAAAAGTTATAACTATTTAACGATAAATATGTATATTTTAAAGTTTATCAATACATTTACACTCGTGCCAGATAATGAAGGACCATAGAATGCTTTCACTGAGTTTTCTCATTTAACATGTCATTATTAATCATGTATTTTTATACTATGCTTTAACTCTACATTATTATCTACAGTAAGTGTTCATTTATATTTACCCTGTATTTATTACTTTCTTTATTCTTCATTTCTTCTTTCATTTTAGGTTTTTCACTTGGGCTCACCCTTTCCTAGTGTGAATTTCCTTTAGTGATGGTATGCTAGGGGTAATGTGCCCTATTTTTATTTGTCTAAAAATGATCTTATTTCATCTTTATTTTTTACAGATTTTTCTCTGGGTATAGAACTTTAACTTGGCAGGGTTTTTTTTCCCCCAAATATTTGGTAATATCATTCCAATGACTTCTGGTTTTCATTGCTGATTGTGGAAGTCAGCAATAGGGCTAAATATTGCTCCTTTGAAAGTACTGACATAATTCTCTAGCCACTTTGAAATGATTCTCTTTGGTGTTGTGAGGTTTTATTGTAAAATAACCAGGTATGACATTCATATTTAATCTACTTGGTTTTTGAATCTGATTGATTTTTGAATAATTGGGTTAGTTTATTTCGGTTGTGTAAAACTCTCAATCATTTCCTCAAAAATTGCCTTTGTCCTCATTTTCCCTCTCCTTATACCTTCTTCCATGAATTTTAACCTCTCCTTTTGTACCTTTCTCCTTTTTGTCTCCCCATTACTTATTTTATGTATTTTCTTTTCTTTTCATCTATATTTCCATTCACTTTCCCTCTAGTTGTAGATCCAGACATTGGGTTTAATTTGGGTTACCTTTTTTTTATGTCTAGAAATATTACTAGGCTCTTTTTCATGTCTAGTAGGTCAAGTTTTATAGTTTTGTGTTTGCTGCTTATTTCTTCAAATAGAGTAAGCATAGATGTTTACAATTTATACCCAATTATTTCGATATGTTAAATCTTTGTAGACCAATTGTTTCTGTTAGTCCTAATGTTTTCTACTTATGATTTTCTATTGCCGTATGTACTTGCCTTTATTTTTGACAATATAATTTTCATTTGTCCAGAAAAATATTTATGGGGATTCCCTGAGGTCTAGAATATAGTTACCTTCCTCCTAAGAGAATGTGAATTTACTTCTGTCTGGAAACCAAAGGCAATGCCAGGTTAGAACCACCCTGAAACAAATTCATGGCTTGAGATTTCCCTGGACCACCCAAAATATATGAACTCAGTCTGCAAATCTGCACAAAATTTAGCCTGTGTCCAAAACTTTCAAAGAGTAATTTTTCCTTTCCTTTATTTCTTCTCCACTGTATAGTTCCAAAGCAAACTTTCCAGCAGTTTCTTTCTGATTCCCCTTTTCCTTGACAGCCTAGCCTTTTGAGGTTATGGCTTAACATGGGGGCAGTGTTGAGTGCAGCAAAGCAGCTGTAGCCAGACTGCCTCTCTCTAGATTACTCCTCTCTGGGCAGGGCATCTCTGAAAGAAAGGCAGCAGCCCCAGTCTGGGGATTATACATAAAACTCCCATCTCCCTGGGACAGAGCACCTGGGGGAAGGGGTGGCTGTGGGTGCAGCTTCAGCAGACTTAAATGTTCCTGACTGCCAGCTCTGAAGACAGCAGTAGATTTCCCAGAACAGTGCTCAAGCTCTGCTAAGGGACAGACTGCCTCCTCAAGTGGGTCCCTGACTCCCGTGCCTCCTGACTGGGAGACATCTCCCAGCAGGGGTTGACAGACACCTCATACAGGCAGGTGCCCCCCTGAGACAAAGCTTCCAGAGGAAGGAGCAGGAAGCAATCTTTGCTGTTCTGCAGCCTCTGCTGGTGATACCCAGACAAAGAGAGTCTGGAGTGGACCTCCAGCAAACTCCAGCAGACCTGCAGAAGAGGGCCCTGACTGTTAGAAGGAAAACTAACAAACAGAAAGCAATAACATCAACATCAACAAAAAAGGATATCCAAGCAAAAACCCCATTCAAAGGTCATCAGCATCAAAGAACAAAGGTAGACAAATCCATGAAGATGAGGAAAAACCAGCACAAAAATGCTGAAAATTTCAAAAACCAGAATGCCTCTTCTCCTTCAAAGGATCACAATTCCTCACCAGCAAGGGAACAAAACTGGATGGAGAATGAGTTTGACAGAAGTAGGCTGCAGAAGGTGGGTAATAACAAACTCCTCTGAGCTAAAGGAGCATGTTCCAACCCAATGCAAGGAAGCTAAGAACCTTGATAAAAGGTTACAGGAACTGCTAACTAGAAGAACCAGTTTAGAGAAGAACATCAATGACCTGATGTAGCTGAAAAACACAGCACGAGAACTTTGTGATGCATACGCGAGTATCAATAGCTAAATCGATCAAGCAGAAGAAAGGATATCAGACACTGAAGATCAACTTAATGAAATAAAGCATGAAGACAAAATTAGAGAAAAAAGAATGAAAAGGAACCAACGAAGCCTCCAAGAAATATGGGACTATGTGAAAAGACCAAATCTACGATTGATTGGTGTACCTGAAAGTGACAGGGAGAATGGAACCAAGTTGGAAAACACCCTTAAGGACATTATCCAGGAGAACTTCCCCAACGTAGCAAGGCAGGCCAACATTCAAATTCAGGATATACAGAGAACACTACTAAGATACTCCTTGAGAAGAGCAATCCCAAGACACATAATTGTCAGATTCACAAAGGTTGAAATGAAGGAAAAATTGTTAAGGGCAGCCAGAGAGAAAGGTCAGGTTACCCACAAAGGGATGTCCATCAAACTAACAGCAGATCTCTCTGCAGAAACTCTACAAGCCAGAAAAGAGTGGGGACCAATATTCAACTTTCTCAAAGAAAAGAATTTTCAACCCAGAATTTCATATCCAGCCAAACTAAGCTTCCTAAGTGAAGGAGAAATAAAATCCTTTACAGACAAGCAAATGCTGAAAGATTCTGTCAACACCAGGCCTGCCTTGCAAGAGCTCCTGAAGGAAGCACTAAATATGAAAAGGAAAAACTGATACCAGCCACTGAAAAAAACATACCAAAATATAAAGGCCAATGACATTATGAAGAAACTCTATCAACTGATGTGCAAGATAACCAGCTAGCATCATGATAACAGGATCAAATGTACACATAACAATATTAACCTTAAATGTAAATGGGCTAAATGCCCCAATTAAAAGACACAGACTGGCACATTAGATAAAGAGTCAAGAACCATCAGCATGCTGTATTCAGGAGACCCATCTCATATGCAAAGACACACATAGGAGGAATATTTATCAAGCAAATGGAAAGCAAAAAAAAAAAAAGCAGGGGTTGCAATCCTAGTCTCTGATAAAACAGACTTTAAACCTTTAAACCAACAAAGATCAAAAAAGAGAAAGAAGGGCATTACATAATGGTAAAGGAATCAATGCAACAAGAAGACCTAACTATCTTAAATATATATGCACCCAATACAGGAGCACCCAGATTCTTAAAGCAAGTTCTTAGAGACCTACAGAGAGACTTAGGCTCCCACAAAACAATAATGGGAGACTTTAACACCCCACTGCCAATATTAATCAGATCAATGAGACAGAAAATGAACAAGGATATTCAGGACTTGAACTCAGCTCTGGACCAAGCAGACCCAACAGACATCTACAGAACTCTCCACCCCAAAAATCAACAGAACATACATTCTTCTCAGCACCACATAGCACTTACTCTAAAATTGACAACCTAATTGGAAGTGAAACACTCCTCAGCAAATGCAAAAGAATGGAAATAATAACAGTCTCTCGGATCACAGTGCAATCATTTAGAACTCAGAATTAAGAAACTCACTCAAAACTGCACAACTACATGGAAACTGAATAACCTACTCCTGAATGACTACTGGGTAAATAACAAAATTAAGACAGAAATAAAATTATTTGAAACCAATGAGAACAAAGACACAACGTACCAGAATCTCTGGGACACAGCTAAAGCAGTGTTTAGAGGGAAATTTATAGCACTAAATGCCCACAACAGAAAGTGGGAAAGATCTAAAATTGACACCCTAACATCACAATTAAAAGAACTAGAGAAGCAAGAGCAAACAAATTCAAGAGTTAGCGGAAGACAAGAAATAACTAAGATCAGAGCAGAACTGAAGGAGACAAACACTAAAACCCTTAAAAAAACAACAAAAAAAAAATCCATGAATCCAAGAGCTGGTTTTTTGAAAAGTTGAACAAAATAGACCACTAGCCAGACTAATAAAGAAGGAAAGAGAGAAGAATCAAATAGACACAATAAAAAATGGTAAAGGGGGCCAGGTGTTGTCACTCAGTCCTGTAACCCCAGCACTTTGGGAGGCCTAGGCGGGTGGATCACGAGGTCAGGAGTTCAACACCAGCCTGACCAATATGGTGAAACCTCATCTCTATTAAAAATACAAAAATTAGCCAGGCATGGTAGTGCATGCCTATAATCCCAGCTACTTAGGAGACTGAGGCAGGAGAATCGCTTGAACCTGGCAGGCAGAGGTTGCATGCATTGAGCTGAGATTGCACCACTGCACTCCAGCCTGGGCAACAGAGCAATACTCCATCTCAAAAACAAACAAACAAACAAACAAAAAAAGATAAAGGGGATATCACTATGGATCCCACAGAAATACAAACTACCATCAAAGAATACTATAAACACCTCTATGCAAATAAACTAGAAAATCTAGAAGAAATAGATAAATTCCTGGACACATACACCCTCTCAAGACCAAACCAGGAAGAAGCTGAATCCCATGAATAGACCAATATCAACTTCTGAAATTGAGGCAGTAATTAATAGCTAGCCTACCAACTAAAAAAGCCCAGGACCAGACTGATACACAGCCGACTTCTACCAGAGGTACAAAGAGGAGCTGGTACCATTCCTTCTGAAACTATTTCAAACTATAGAAAAAGAGGGAATCCTCCCTAACTCATTTTATGAGGCCAGCATCATCCCAATACCAAAACCTGGCAAAGATACAACAAAACAAAAATAATAATAAAAAAAAAGGAAAATCTCAGGCCAATATCCCTGATGAACATCAATCTAAAAATCCTCAATAAAATACTGGCAAACCAAATCCAGCAGCACATCAAAAACTTACCCACCATGATCAAGTTGGCTTCATCCTTGCCATGCAAGGCTGGTTCAACATACACAAATCAATAAACATAATCCATCACATAAACAGAACCAAGGACAAAAACCACATGATTATCTCAATAGATGCAGAAAAGGCCTGTGATAAAATTCAACAGCCCTTCATGCTAAAAACACTCAATAAACTCGGTATTGATGGAACGTATCTCAAAATAATGAGAGCTATTTATGACAAACCCACAGCCAATATCATACTGAACGGGAAAAAGGTGGAATCATTCCCTTTGAAAACCGGTACAAGACAAGGATGCCCTCTCTCACCACTCCTATTCAACACAGTATTGGAAGTTCTGACCAGGGCAGTCAGGCAAGAGAAAGAAATAAGGGGTATTCAAATTGGAAAAGAGGAAGTCAAATTGTCTGTTTGCAGATGACATGATTGTATATTTAGAAAGCCCCATAATCTCAGCCCCAAATCTCCTTAAGCTGATAAGTAACTTCAGCAAAGTCTCAGGATACAAAATCAATGTGCAAAAATCACAAGCATTCCTATACACCAATAATAGACAAACAGAATCAAATCATGAGTGAACTCCCACTCATGAGCAACTCCCACAATTGCTACAAAGAGAATAAAATAACTAGGTATACAACTTACAAGGGATGTAAAGGACCTCTCCAAGGAGAACTACAAACTACTGCTCAAGGAAATAAGAGAGGACACAGACAAATGGAAAAACCTTCCAAGCTCATGGATAGGAAGAATCAATATCATGAAAATGGCCATACTGCCAAAAGTAAATTATAGATTCAATGCTATTCCCATCAAGTTACCATTGACTTTCTTCACAGAATTGGAAAAAAAAAAAAAAACTACTTTAAATTTCGTATGGAACCAAAAAAGAGCCTGTATAGCCAGGACAATCCTAAGCAAAAAGAACAAAGCCAGAGGGATCACGCTACCTGACCAGACTATACTGCAAGGCTACTGTAACCAAAATAGCACGGTACCGGTACCAAAACAGAGATATAGACCAATGGAACAGAACAGAGGCCTCAGAAATAACACCACATATCTACAACCATCTGATCTTTGACAAACCTGACAAAAATAAGCAATGGGGAAAGGATTCCCTCTTTAATAAATGATGCTGGGAAAACTGGCTAGCCATATGCAGAAAACTGAAACTGGACCCCTTCCTTACACCTTATACAAAAGTTAACTCAAGATGGATTAACTATTTAAATGTAAGACCTAAAACCATAAAAACCCTAGAAGAAAACCTAGGCAATGCCATTCAGGACGTAGGTAGGGCAAAGACTTCATGACTAAAACACAAAAAGCAATTGCAACAAAAGCCAAAATTGAAAATGGGATCTAATTAAAGTAAAAAAACTTCTGCACAGCAAAAGACACTATCATCAGAGTGAACAGGCAACCTACAGAATGGGAGGAAATTTTTGCAATCTGTCCATCTGACAAAGGGCTAATATCCAGAATCTACAAGGAAGTTAAACAAATTTACAAGGAAAAAATAAAACCAACCCCATCAAAAAGCAGGTGAAGGAAATGAATAGACACTTCCCAAAAGAAGACATTTATGTGGCCAGCAAACATGAAAAAAAGCTCATCATCACTGATCATTAGAGAAATGCGAATCAAAACCACAATGAGCTATGAACTCATGCCAGTTAGAATGGTGATCACTAAAAAGTCAGGAAAAAACAGATGCTGGAGAGGATGTGGAGAAACAGGAACACTTTTACACTGTTAGTGGGAATGTAAATTAGATCAACCATTATGGAAGACAGTGTGGCTATTCCTCAAGGATCTAGAACCAGAAACACCTTTGACTCTGCAATCTTATTACTGGCTATATACCCAAAGGATTATAAATCATTCTACTATAAAGACATATGCACAAGTATGTTTACTGCAGGACTACTTACAATAGCAAAGCTTGGAACCAACCCAAATGTCCGTCAATAATAGACTGGATAAAGAAAATGTGGCACATATACACCATGGAATACTATGCAGCCATAAAAAATAATGAGTTCATGTCCTTTGCAGGGACATGGATGAAGCTGGAAACCATCATTCTCAGCAAACTAACACAGGAACAGAAAACCAAACACTGCACGTTGTCACTCATAAGTGGGAGTTGAATAATGAGAACACATGGATACAGGGAGGGGAACATCACACACTGAGGCCTGTCAGGGGTTGGGGGGCAGGGAGAAGGAGAGCATTAGGAGAAATACCCAATATAGATGACGAGTTGATGGGTACAGCAAACCACCATGGCACATGTATACCTATGTAACAAACCTGCATGTTCTGCACATGTATCCCAGAACTTAAAGTATCATATATACATATATATATATATTTAAGAATTGCGTAAAGGTCTCTTGGCAGTGATGGGAAGTGTGGCCAGTCAGCCTGGGTATGTGTGCTTCTCAAACCACATTCAACCTGTGCATAGTAGTAGGCAAGGAGTTGGGTTGAACTTAAGTGGGGTTTTACCAGGTAAGTATGACAAAGGGATGAAGCAAGGGAGTTGAGTTAATAACCCACTTGATGGGCTTATGATGTGGAATAATTAATGCAACTATTTCTAAGCATTTTGTAAATTCTGTTCCCAAGAATATTGTTTTACCAATCAGAATAGATTAAGTTGCACTCCCTTAGAAGTAGAACTAGCCCATGACTAGCTTCATTATTGATATAAAGCACATATGTATGTATATGTGTGTGTATGTGTGTGTGTGTGTGTGTGTGTGTGTGTGTGTGTGTGTATGGAACAGGGTTAGTCTCTTATTAAATTTTTCTACTTGAGTTGGCTCTGGACCTTAAATTATGATCCCTTACCCAATGAGGCTACCAAAACCAAAGTGTAATTTTTACCATGTTATAAAATACCTCTGGAGCACATGGCTTCAGTGCTCAGATTCTTTTTTGAGTTATTTTTCCCTAAATTTTGGTTTGGTAATTCCTTAATGTATTTTTAATTCCTCAATGTTTTAAAAGAGACATTTTTATATTATATTCAGCATTTCTTGTCATTTTCAGCAGGAGGAATGCGTCCAAATAATCTAGTCGACCATTAGCAAAGTGGAAATCATGATATTTCTTCAGGAACTCTCTCATCAGCACAGATATGGAAGTAGAAAAAAATAGGCATTTTGTTTCATCGAGGACTGAGGTTTTGCCAAGTTAGAATAGTAGAAAGAGGATGTGGCAAGTCAGCTTAGGGTATTAGTACAGCAGTGTTTGAAGTCTTGAATTATAAAACATGAGAAGGATAAGAAGAGAATAAAAGTATGAGAAATGTTTGAAACATTGAAAATAGAGGGTAAAGAGAATGGAGGTTTCAGTGAGGTCAAAGGATTGGTATATCAGCAACAGCTTAGTAAGTAACCTAAATGGACAGGAAGTTGTGGTCAAAAGGAAGAAAATCTAGTTTTTTGATTTTCAAGATGGAGAAGTTTTTTGTGTCTATGGAACTATACAATGGTTGACAAGGTTATTTTGAAGATGAAAAAGCCAGAAATCTGAGATTTTGAAGTCACCCAAGATGAGGTCAGAACTAAAAGTAGAACAAAAGACCATGGCAGACCCAGAGCCTTTAGAGACTGAATGGGAATGATTATTCCAAGGGTAGATTTCAGGGACAAGGTAACAGAGAAGGTATACCAATGTCATCTGCCTCAAGACAAGAGGAATTTGCATGAAGGGGCAAGAATAATCATCTAGAATAGCTTGAAGGGATAAGGTGATGCAGATTTTACATCCAATTTTGAGGAATGTTGGAAGTAGGACAATTGTGATAAGTTATATTTAGAAAACAACCAAATAAGATTTCTAGATATGAAATGATTCTTGGCTTTCATCATGTCTCTGTGGATCCCAGGGAGACTGTAAGATTCACTTTTCTTCCTTCAATAAGCAAGAAATAAAAAGTAAGAAGAGATTCCAGAAAGTTACAGACAATTTAACATCAAAGCATTAGTTTTATTAATAGTCCAGGCAAATTTTCAATAACCTCTAACATTGAAGGATCTCTGGGTATAGATGGTATGGCAAACATGATTTAGAACAACTCTCTAGCTGTATGGTACACTATGTACCCTGAACACCACATAAAAATACTCAAAGAATTTCCACAGAAAATACCCAAGGAACCTGAGTTCACCACTAGAAACAATACAAAGCTCACAAGTACACCAGTACCTTGTAATTCAATGAGGATAAAACAGCAGAATCAAACCTACAATAGCTTCATATACTAGAATTAATTGCATAGAATTTAAAGTAAATATCCTTGATATGTTTAAAGAAGCAAAAGAGGAGATATGAAAATACAAATAAGATGACTAGGCAGATTTGAAAAAAAGCTAAATAGGACTTCTAGATCTGGAAAAAAGGAAGGAAATAGCCGGGCATGGTGGCTTACGCTTGTAATCCCAGCACTTTGGGAGGCCTAGGCAGGCAGATCACGAGGTCAGGAGATTGAGACCATCCTGGTTAACACAGTGAAACCCCATCTCTACTAAAAATATAAAAATTAGCCGGGTGTGGTGGCAGGCGCCTGTAGTCCCAGCTACTCGGAAGGCTGAGGCAGGAGAATTGCTTGAACCTGGGAGGCAGAGGTTGCAGCAAGTGAGACAAGATCACGCCACTGCACTCCAGCCTGGGCAACAGAGCAAGACTGTCAAAAAAAAAAAAAAAAAAAAAAAAAAGGAAGAAAATGACAAAGATAAGAGATGAAATAAATGAAATTGAGACTAGAAAAGCCACAGAAAAGACCAACAACACTAAACATTGGTTTTTGGAAAACAAAATTGACAAACCTTTAGTTACACTAAGAAAAAAAAGAGGGAAGACCCAAATAAAATCAGAAATAAAAAAGCCAACTGATACCACAGAAATACACAGAGTCTAAACAGACTACTATGAACAATTGTACACAAATTGGATAACCTAGAAGAAATGAATAAAGCCCTAGAAACTTACACATCTACCAAGATTGAATCACGAAGAAATAGAAAATCTTAACTGATAATAAGTAAGGAAATTGAATCAGAAAACAGATCTGTAGAAATACCCAGGATGCAGCACAGAGATCCTATGTGACGAAAAATAGAGTTAAGAAAAATGGAGACTAGAATGAGAGATTCTAAGAAATTCAACCAGAGTTTCAAGAGCAGAGAAGATATGGGGAGAGACAATATTCAGAGTTTATGGCTAATAATTGATGAAAGAACAACAAATCTCAAGCAGGAAAAATAAAAAGAAATTCACATCTAAATTTATTTGAGCAACATTAAAGAACACCAAAGACCAAGAGAAGATCTTAGCAACAGATTACCTACAATGAACTACAGCAGGGATCAGGAAACTTTTTCCCATACAGGACCAAATAGTAAATATTTTATGTTTTGCAGGTCTTAGGGTTCGCTTTTGCAGCTATTCAACTCTGCTGTTTTCATGCAGAAGAATCCACAGACAATATGCAGACAAATAACCATGTTTGTGTTCTGATAAAACTTTATTTACAGAAACAAGCAGCAAGACAGATTTTTTTGCTCAAGTCATAGTTTGCCAACCCATGAACTACAAAATAACCCCAACTTTTCAACAGCAACAAAGGCAGCCAAAGAAAAAGGTTTAGTCCTGAAGTCAAGTGGTTGTCTTCTACTACCTCCCCAAGTTCCTCATTGCCCACTCAACCTGAGCAACCCAGTGTAGCCTGAGAAACCAGCATTGAGAAGCTGCTAGTCTATCTATCTCAATGAACCTTGAACTGCAAGGCAAGCCTACTGATAAATGCAGCCTAATGACTACAGGTCTCGCCAATCAGAAAACTGCTCTCCACCTCTTCAACAATATCCTCTACTAAAGTTGCTCAATATAACCAATGTAAACAAAATATTTAACCAAGGAGCTCACTGGAGGGATCTAGAATCTGTTTTTAATCTCCCCAGCCCTCACATTACCCCCCATCCCCCAGTCAAACAGGGAAAGGTCCATGTACATATCAACATAGGCTCATCATTTTTACAATGATTACCAATATTTCATCCAAGGAGCTAAATAACAGATCAGCTTACGGAAGGATTACGGCCACAGACTTCTGTGAATACATCAAAACAATAATGCCAGGAAGATGAATATTCCTCTAGGAATGCAATTGTGGATACTAAGATGACCAGGTGAGAAAAAGGGTGTTTCTGGGGATTTCTTTTCATCTTCTCATGTTAGTGCTCAAAACAGGGCCAATAGACAGTAACAAGGACTGCAAGCAAAACTGCATCAGGCTCCAGAGACAAAACAAAAGGCAATGTTGCAAACACCAACACACCCTGACAAGCATGTTCAGGCAGGGGTCCCAGAAGTTCAGGTTAGCATTAATCGTTGTTCCTAACTGCTGTCAGTTAACTCTCCCAAGCCCTCTCCAGGCCAAGCCATCATCCTATGAAACATGTTGTCTTCCCTTATAATGCATTTTCTGTCTTGCCAGTAACAGAATCTGTGGCTTTGGTGTTCTTTTACAGAAACACTGATCAAATTACTCTAAGACCTTTTTGTGTGCTCTGGGTTACTGGGCAGAATTCCAGAAACAAATGCTTACATTATCCTCAAATAGAATACCTTACTTTCCAAGTCTTCTCAGAAGTAGCTGTTTCTCAGTCATTTTAAGCTTGGCTATTGATAAAGGTACACACACTTGACATCCCAGCCTCTGGCCGCTAGGTGACACAGGCCATTATGTAATCTCATAACCTCTAAAATAATTCCAATAAAGGTCCATTATTGCTACAGCATCCAATACTCTACAGTAGAAATGTAAACAGGTCAATTTTCTTTTAATCTAGTCCCTTCACATTGCAGGCTTCTTTCCTAACCTTAAAAGTCTATTTGTGATTTTCATTCCATTTGTTTAAGAAACTGATACCTATTCTATTATTTAAGTGCTCAGAAGAAAAAAAAAACACACATTATTTTTTTTTTCCTAATATGTTTCAGTGTTTTGCAACACTTTGAAAGTTCTTTCTAATTGCATCTAGAAAAGCTATCACTTAGAATAGGAATAAGAATAAAAGATAATTATGTAATTCATTCTAATTTTACAGTTGGGAAAATTGAGGTATATCATTTAAATGATTTGTCAGAAACTGACAATGTCAGAATTGAGTGCAGTATTCATTCTACTGATTTTCTCACTATACCATATATATCTTAACATTTGAACTGTTTTATTTGCTCTATGACCCCAGGATTTCTATAACTTTTTATTTTCCTACAAACACTACTGATTACATGCTTTGCCTGTATCTTTACAGAAAATACATAGGATTAACAGAGGCTGACAATGAATATTTATCGTGCCAATTTGACTTTCATTTGACCTTGAAGTGCCATTGTTACTTAATGTGAAGATATCAAGATGATAGCACCGCAGATGCTGCCAAATGAAAATTTTGCTGCAATGAGCTTTTTATGAAATATCGAGGCTAAGCAGAGAACCAGTTCCTCTGACTAAAATAATCTCAGTCACTCCCTTCCCTAAATCACAGTGTGGAGGCTGCTGGCACTCTGGGCTTTCCATTGCCAGCAACGACACCCTGAATGTGCTTTGCTAGGAAACATCCAAGATCAAGAGATGGTCCTTTTTACTGCAGATTGTGAGTATTCATTTCCATAGGTTTACATTCAAAACAAAGGTTTTGTTTATGTGGGTATTTTAAAATATCATGGTTTTCAACAACCTCATTTGTATGAAGGTAAAAAATATCTCACTCTGAACAGGAAAGGAAATGGTGTACTTTCCATCTAAGCAGCATGTCACTCACATCTTCGAGGTGCACTGCATTCTCTCTCCTCTGTTGCAGCCCTACTCAGCCCCCATCCTCCCTTTGGGTGGAAAACCTAACAGCCCACACTGTACCTGAACAGGAAAAGAGTTTATTATTCACTTGACACCTTTGACTTTCCACTAAGTGAGGTCAACCTAGCTTACGTTTAGAGAAAGAAAAGGAAATCACAATGAGAGATGCTCTAAGTGGGACAACTAGGATGTGCTGTGCATAAGGAATGCAACAGTACAGACGACCCGAGGTGTTTTCAGCTCTCATTGTGTCACCTGGCTGAGGCACTCTGTATCACGTGATATTTACTGAGCCGCTGGGAGAGACTGAGATCACATTTACTGTTCTACTGAGAAACTCCAAGGGCAGGCAGCTTTCTGCAGGGACAGGTTTAGGAGATAAGAGGCATGCTGCATTCCTCCATGGGTACAGAAAGCCAAAGGCTTCTCCATTCAGTAGCATGAAGCAGTGGCTGAGGTGGAAAGAGAAATATGGTCCAGCCATAGTTCAAGAAAACTCCCTGACAACGCCATGGTAACCTTTCATTCTACTGACTGCAATGGCCCCACTGTTCTGTTCCTGGCACGATGCTCAGTGCTAGCCAGGATTCATTTATCCCTATTCGGCTCAAGTTGTAGTCACATAATAGAATGCACAGTGACAAGATTTCTTGAGGCTTTCAGGTGCATTCAGCCTGGCAGGCTATGGGTTGCTACCTTTCTAGGTCCAATGGTTAAATGAAGGCACCTATTGCTTCCAGACTCTAGTAGGAAACCAAACAGATGCTATCTAGTATTAGTCACTTAGGAGACAATTAAAGATCATTTCATGGGCCAAGCGCGGTGGCTCACGCCTGTAATCCCAGCACTTTGGGAGGCCAAGGCAGGTGGATCATCTGAAGTCAGGAGTTCAAGACCAGCCCGGCCAACATGGTGAAACCCCATCTCTACTAAAAAAAAATACAAAAATTACCCAGGTGTGGTGGCGGGCACCTGTAATCCCAGCTACTAAGGAGGCTGAGGCAGGAGAATCGCTTGAACCTGGGAGGTGGAGGTTACAGTGAGCCAAGATTGTGCCACTGCATTTCAGCCTGGGCAACAAGAGTGAAACTTCATCTCAAAAAAAAAATATATATATATATACACGTATATACGCATGTGTATATATATATATACACACACACACGTGTATATATATATATATATATATATCATTTCATTCATTTATACAACCAAATATTTTAGAGTACCAGCTATGTCCCAGGCATTATACCTAGCTCTGCCTGATACAAATATAAATAAAACATAGCCTGGAGGAACTCACAGGTAAGTAAGGAAGGGAGAGAAGTATGCATATAACACAATATGGTGAGTGCACGATTAGAGATGAGTACAGGGTCTTGAGAGACAGAATGAAATGGGTAAAAATACTTCAAGGAAGTGATGCCTGGGAAAGAAAAGGGGGTGATAAATGGAAGAGCATTTCAAGCAAAAGGAAAAATATAAGCAAAGGTAAAATCATGAAGTAAAATGCTATGTGTGTGCGTGGCTTGCTAGTGCTGGAACATAAAATGTGTGTGCATCACAGTAATGGCAACCAGACAGCAGGGAGCCAGGCAGAGGCCAGGTCAAGGAAGGCTCTATGACCTCTGCTAAGGAGCGTTATTCTGCAAACACGGGAGGGCGATTGAAAGCTCTGAGCAAGAGAGAGACAATCAATTTCCACTCTGGCAACAGTGTGGGAGAGCGGGCTCATGGGACCCAGACTAAAGGGAGGGAAAACAGAAGTATATTTCAAAAGCAAGGTAAATAATGATGAGGGCCTGTTTCTGCGCCCTCAGATAGTTGACCATCCAGTCTGGAAACCCCAGCATCTCCATTTGTGCATAGTGCACAATCAACCTTTAACCCACTGTAATGAATTCACCATGTAGTATTGCAAAATGTGCCAGACCTAACCTTGGAATGTCCCCCTAAAGCAGATGGAAGCTAGAAGAGAAAAAGCTCGGAAGTTCCATCCATCCCCCACCCTCTGCCCATTGCCTCCCCAATTGCCTAAGTGTGCTTCCTGAAAACACTTTCTGAATGCCCAGACCAACCCATATCTGGCTATGCTCTGGAACCAGCTTGCTTCTCTGGCCTTGGGTGGCTCTGCCACGCTATGTCCATTGCTCATTTTTCCTGCCTCTGCCCACTTCTGAGGGCTTGCCTGTTATCTGTTTTATGATTACTGTCATTTCTGCCCACTTTCTAAGTAAACCTGCAGAGTTGGCCTCCTGCACACCAGCTCAGCATTGCAGCTACTCAGATTCAATGTAATATCATGCTTGATGGGGTAAACAGTAAATTGTAGATCCATTCCCAAAGGTATGCACTGTTTCCTTCTTTCCAGTAAGATAACATCCAGGCTCCTTTTAGTCCTTCCAAGAGAAAGACTCATCCTCTCTTCACACCTGAGAGGTATTGTCACTCAAAATTTTCAAGCAGCAAAACTGACATGGTCCACAATTAACCCCCATCCTGCCAAGAGGAGCCTGTGCCAATGCTGTCAATTCCTGAACTGGACATTGCTGAGGAGAAGGTCTTCCTGGATTGGAGACTCTCCCTTCCTAAGTCACAGCCACTGTCACACTGCCAGCACCTCTGCTTTCCACTGCTGATGATAAAACCTTTCCTTTTCTGCTTTTATTAGAAAAGCAAAGAGAAAACAGTTGCCTGGGCACACTCTTATACATTTTCAGCTCTCTTCTCACTTCTCAGCTTTCAAGACGACAAAAAAATAAAAAAATAAAAATAAAAAAACAAAACAGGGATACACATTGCCACCCTTCCCATTCCCTACTATGAAATCTCGGCATTGCTTTCTGGATACCAGCATGAGGGGGTGGTATCTGAGGCAGGCAGCCTGTGCTTTCTCCCCTTCTGTCACAGTGTCACATGACATTAAAACTGCTGCTTACTTTTCTGCTTCCCCTTAGACTATAAACTCTCTGAAGAGACTGTGAATGTTTCCCCAATGTCCTCAGTTCTATCAGAGTATCTGAGAGTCTGTGGTTATTCCATTTATGTTGGCTGAATAAATAAATAGTCCCTGTTCCCAACTGCATGAGCAAATGGCCATTCAGTTAAGGCATGCCCCAGGCATTCTGAGGGCTGTACCTCTGAGATATCCATGACCTACAGGCTGCACCTGTACTGCACTTGAGAACACCCAGGCTTTGAAGCAAATATTTATCCTTTCAGGGGAGTTGTGATCCTAGGCTGGTGTCCTTGAATAATAGATGTTTAAAAAAATTATCAAAGAACAGAAAATTCTGCACAACTACTGAAAAACAAGAATAAAGAAACATGCATATTCTGTAAAAAGAAGTCAACACACATTTGAGAAGTAGCATCCATGCTGACTTCAAGTGACAAGGACTGAGTTGATGTTGGACAAAACTGTAAAAGGCAGTCTACTCTTATCCCTCTCTCTTCCCTACTGGCATCATCCCTACAGGCAGTAATTAAAATTAAAACCACAGTTCCTGCCAAGGGCTCATGACATGGGAAGACATTCATAGCAATATGTAACTTTTTGGGAGGTCAGAACTGTCAGGTCATGTCACATGTGGCATGAGACCAAGCATCTGGATCTGGGACTAGAGGTAATGTTCTAGATGTGTGCAGTCAGATCCCATGGTGTCCAAAGTGCACAATTAATTTTAGGCATCATTTAGACAACAACTGGCATTGATTAAAATCTATTGTAGAGGACATAGACTTCTGGCATAGCAGAGTGAGGAGCTCTGCTGATCTGCTCCCCAGTAATACTGGAGAAAATTATTTTTAGAAAAACAACCACTTAAAGTCTTAGAATGTTTTCCTAGGCACAAACAGCAAATGAAAACAAATATATGTATGTGTGTGTATATATATATATATATATATATATATATATATATGTATATGTATATATGTGTGTGTATATATGTATATGTGTATATATGTGTGTGTATATATATGTATATGTGTATATATGTATATGTGTATATATATGTATATGTGTATATATGTATATGTATATATATGTGTATATATGTATATGTATATATATGTGTATATATATGTATATGTATATATATGTGTATATATATGTATATGTGTATATATATATATATATAGAGAGAGAGAGAGAGAGAGAGAGAGAGAACAAAAACTATAAAAAATTAGTAAGAAAAATGAGAATCTGTGGAATATAAGCCAAGACCATTCCCTCCCTTCCTGCTCCCAGTTCACTGAGGCAGAGACTCCACTCCAGGCTGCTACAGCCACAAACCCAGAGTTCCCTCCGCCACCACCCCTGCTCCTACCTAGTCAGAGGGTTTTCTTCCCACGAAGAACAGGACTTCAGTATTTCTCATCCTACCCCAGCTACCTGTTGCCATGGCTAAGTCCCAGGTGAGAGCAGTTGAGCAATGAGGCTACCTTCTGCAAAGTGCCCACTTATGGAATGAGTGCAACAGACTAAGAATACTGGGACCCTGATTGCCATCCCCTGGCTTTTGAGGCAGTGGCTCCACTTCAGAAGAGGCAAGCTGAGAGGACCTCAGATCTCTATCTCTCTCCTTTACTGAGTACTAAGCTCCTGGAGCAGGGTTGTCACACAAAGGAAAGCTTGCTATTTTTCCCACCCCCAGTTTTACAGCCTTGATTTAGAGATTTTGCTTGAGGGGAGAAGCAGGCTTTAAAGCAGATAGTGTTGAATAGCTTCCCCAAAGGAATTAATTTCATTTGCAATAGAGCATGGAGAAGTTCAAGTTTAAGTGCTCTCTCAAGAACAGTGAAGGTTATGGTGAAAGGCAATTTGGAGATTTGTGGACCTAATAAAGATACAGCCTAGACTGTAGGTCAGCTAGTTTACAGGAGGGAACCAGGGGGATAGGATAACAGAGAGGAGCTCTCCTGGGGTCAGAACAAATATCAGCCATGGACTTCAGAAAATATTCCATCAAAAGAGCCACAGTTTGATTGGATTAGTTTGTGGAGCAATTTAAATTCCAGAGTATTGTTGGATAACAATAGAGAAACCAGCAGGCAATTAGTGTAGCTTCAGTGCTAAATGAGTTCAGAGAAATAGACTTTCTTGAAAGCCCTACTAATACTACTGTTATCTCAGGGTGACTGTAGGCAGACCCAAAACTACACCTCCTTGGGGCACAACAGCAGAGGCTTAACACTATAGGTAGAAAATACACTTTCCTAAAAGAATCAGCCAGTGGCAAAAAAATTTTTAAAAGCAGCAAGTAACAATAACAAACTTCAGGGTGGGAGGAAACAGCCCAGAGTTGGTATATTATCTAAAATGCCCAGGTTTCAAAAAAAAAAATTGTAAAACATGCAAAGAAACAAGCATAACCCATACACAAAAAATAGCAGGCAACAGAGGTTGACTTAACAGAAAAAGACTCCAAAATAGCCATTATAAACTTATAAATGTGTTCACAGAACTAAAGGAAGGCATCATGAACAAAGTAAAGAAAATTTACATCAAAGCAACTATCAGTAAAGAGACAGAACTTATTTTAAAAACACACCTGAGAATTCTGGAATTGAAAAGCATAATAACTGAAATAAAAAATTACTAGAAGGACTCAAAAATATATGTTACCAGGCAGAAGAAAGATTGGTGAACTTGAGGACAGATAAATATGCAAATCAAGGGACAGAGAGAAAAAAAGAATGAAGAAAAATGAACAAAAACTCCGAGAAATATATGTCACCATCAAGAGCACGAATACATGCATAAGTGGGATAACCAGGAGGAGAGGGGAGAGAAAAGGAAGCAGAAAAAATATTCAAAGAAACAATAGCTACAAACTTCCCAAATTTGTTGAAAGCAAAAACCTGCACATCAGGAAGCTCAATAACCTCTAAGTAGAATACAAGCAAAGATATTTACAAACAGACACATGATAGTAAAAGTACTGAAAGTCAAAGACAAGGAGAAAATCTTGAAAGCGGCAAGAGAAAAATGACTGCTCTTTACAAGAGACCCCAATAACATTAACAGTGATTTCTCAGAAGAAACAATGGAGGCCAGGAGGTAGTGGGACAACATATTCATGCTCAAAGAAGGGAAACTTTCAACCAAAAACCCTATGGCCAGCAAAACTATTTTTTAAAACTGAAGGTGAAATACTGTATTAGTCTGTTTACATATTGCTGTAAATAACTGCCTGAGACAGGATACTTTATAAAGGAAAGATGTTTAATTCACTCACAGTTCAGCATGGCTGAGGAGGTCTCAGGAAACTTACAATCGTGGCAGAAGGTGAAGGAGAAGCAGGCACCTTCACAAGGCAGCAAGAAGAACTTCCAAGCAAAGGGGGAAGAGCCCTCTCATAAAACCATCAGAACTCTGAGAACTCACTCACTATCATGAGAACAGCCTGGGTGTAACCACCCACGTGATTCAATTACCTCCACCTGGTCTCTTCCTTGATGGATGGGAATTATAGGGATTACAATTCAAGATGAGATTTAGGTGGGGACACAAAACCTAACCAAATCATATACTTTCCCAGACAAACCAAAACTGAGAGAATTTGTTGTTAACATACCCCCTTTATAAGAAATACTAAAGGAAGCTCTTTAGACTGAAAGCGTGTAATCTCAGGCAGTAATTAAAATCCATACACAAAAAAACAAAGAGAACTAGTAAAGGTAGTTTATGAAAAGCAGTGTAAGTGCATATCTTTCTCCTTATATATATAATAACTGATTTTAAAAAGCATTGTATAAAATAATGCACATATAATTGTAAGGTACATGGATGTGCTTTGGTCAAGGAATAGGCCAAGGTGGACATCCAGGCCAGAGTGAGTCAGTAAGTTGAGGGTGCAGGCGCATACACCACTTGTTATATAATCTGTTTGTGTAAGTTCATACTTGGCTCTGAGCCACTATTGTCTGTAAAAGGTATAACTGCCCTGCTGACACTGTGCATGGGGAACATGGCTCAGCTCAGCTCTTGGGTATGGCTCGACTTGGTTCTTGCACTCGTGCCCAGAGAAAGAGAGGGAGTACCAGAGCTGTCCATCTTGCAGATGGACAGAGGGGAGCCAGGGCACAGCACGGCTGGACAAGGCTCATGCTCGTGCTCAGAGAAAGAGTTAAGCTGCTGACCCTGAAGGCAAGGGAGAGGTGGCCTTGCTCAGGCTGGTGGTGCAGCTGTGTGTGGGAGCAGCTGGAGCCAGTGAGCCGGTTGCTGAGAGGATCCGCAGAGCCGCAGCAGACAGCCAAGATAAAGGCAGACAGTGTTGAGAGAGCTGCTAATGAGAGAGCTGCTGAATAAAACTACATTTCACCTGCCTATGCTCCTCCATCCGTAGTGTTCTTTCAGCTATCACCCATCCACCCACTCCCCTCGGACCTCAGCATGGCCCCGAACCTGACCCTGAGTGTGACATTTGGTGTAGTCATGGCCCTGGACCTGTTAATAATATAATGCTATATTATGTTCTATGACATAGAAATAAAATATATGTATATTTATCGGCCGGGCGTAGTGGCTCACACCTGTAATCCCAGCACTTTGGGAGGTCGAGGTGGGTGGATCACCTGAGGTCAGGAGTTCAAGACCAGCTGGTCGACATGGCAAAACCTCGTCTCTATTAAAAATAGAAAAATTAGCTGGGCATGGTGGCGGGCACCTGCAATCCCAGCTACTCAGGAGGCTGAAACAGGAGAATCGTTTGAACCCGGGAGGCAGAGGTTGCAGTGAGCCGAGATCCTGCCACTGCATTCCAGCCTGGGTGGCAGAGTCAGGCTCTGCCTCAAAAAATAAAATAAAATAAAATGAATATTTAATATGTATATATATATGTCAATAACAGCAGAAAGGAGTTGAAACAAAGTTGTATTGGTCTTAGGAAATTACTACAGATTATAAAGTAATAATTATAACAATATATTTTGGGTCTTTAACATAAATAGATATAATATGTATAACAATACCACCAAAAGTGGGGAAAGGGGATAGAGATATATAGGACTAATGTTTCTATATGTCATTGGAATTAAACTAGTATAAATATAAAGCTGATTCTGATAAATTAAAACATATAGAGTGTTATGGACTGAATATTTTGGTCTCCCTTACTCCCTAGCAAATGTTGAGAGCCTAACCACCAATGTGATCATATTAGGAGGCTGAGCTTTGGGGAGGTGATTAGATCATAATCCCTTAAGATGGAATTAGAGGCTTTATTAAAGAGACCCCGGAGAGCTCCCTGGACCCTTCTGTCCAGTGAGGACACAGCAAGGAGATGACCATCTATGAACCAGGAAGTGGGCTGTCACCGGCACCTTGGTATTGGAACCCTCAGCCTCCAGAAATCACGAGAAAGAAATAAACATTTATTGTTTAAACCATCTAGTCTATGGTATTTTAGATATGGCAGCCTGAATTGGGTCATAAAGTAAACCCTAAAACATTAAGAATATATATAAAAAGAATAAATATGTATATTAAGAATATATATATATTTCCATGTATATGTATGGAAAAACATTAAAGAGATTAAAATGTTACAAATCTAGTATGAGATCACAGAGTTACCTTCGGAATCAATTGAGCTACTGGGCATCATCCCTTTGACAAAAATTGTTACCACCAGGTGCAGTGAAATGAGCAAAAATTCAGACCTGGGGGCAGTATGGAATAGGCAGGAAGGAAAGAGGACTCATGTGCACACATGTACCAGCCCTGCTTGCCTAGTGGATGAATGGAGTGCTGGTCTAGCCTTAGCCCTGTCATTTGTCCAGAAGAGCCCTAAAACAGAGTATAACAAAGAGGAACCTAGAGACATAGATCCAAGCTGAAGTGCTCAAACTTTAGCATGAATCAGGAAAACCTGGAGGGCTCGTTCACAGATCGCTGGTCCCACCCCCAGAGTTTCTTATCCAGCAGATCTGGTATAGGGCCCAAGAATTAGTATTTCTAATGAGTTCCCAGGTAATATTGATGGTGCTAGTCCACACTACAATGTATGAGCCACTGACTGCCCTAATATGTGGAGCTTATAGTGGATAAATGTAATTAAAGCCAGTTGGGAATTTAGATCATAGCCCTAAGTACCGAAACTACTTCTAGATGAATGGGGACAGTGAGCACACTAGAAGAATATGCAGCATGTTTAGGGAACATGTAGTTGTTTTACCACCCAAATCAATTCATTCTTCTGGCTACTATACCCCAGTATTCCTCTGGGAAACACCTTGCTCCCTCACTTTTAGTCCATATGCTTTGGAAGGGTTTGATGACCCACATCTGCCTCCATGGAGTGGCTGTGACTCAGGCCTAGATAATCAGGGCTTCACATTATCTTAGCCATAGCGATTGGTTCAGAGATGGGTAATCAGGATGAAAAGAGATAATGATACTTTTTCTGAGACACTAGAGAGAGACAGAAATACTGTTTTTCTGTTAGATTTTATCTGAAAAGACAGGTCTGGAGCTGCTGCCTTGCCACCATGTGAAGCCTAAAACCAAAGCCAATTTTATGGTAAGCCAGGAATTAGAAAATTAGCAGATCATGTTGTTATCATTTGAGCCCTGGATCAAACATACCTGAAACTTGTGTTGCTCTGTGAACCAATTAAAGTTTCCTTTCATTTAAATCACTTACATTTTTCAAATGTTTTATTATGACATGTTAGCAACCATGTGAATAGATAAAGCAGAACAAGATATATGAAATATTATGAGAATGGGCATTTCTGGAAGCAAAGTCTGTGCACAGTTATGAAGGGAGACATTTAACACGCTAATGTGGCAGATGCTCCTGAGAGGCACTGGACCAAGATTGTCAAGACTTGAGTGTGACCAAATGAGTGCAAAGGCAGAAGTCCAGGTGTGAGGATTCAGCCAAATCTAGTGTGCAGAAGAGTTGTGAAGGTAAATTAGAAGGCAGGATCCTGGAACCTACAAGGGCCCTGAGGAGTAGCCTAGAAGGGGCCTGAGACCGAGATTGGATTGATAGCAAGGTGACTCACAGATCAGCTTACACATCTGCCCTCTTTGTCTTGCCTCATTGCTTACTCTCTGACTCCATGTCCTACCACTCCCTCTCTGCTGACTCCACTATAGACATAGTAGACTTCATGCTTGTCTTCAAATACATCAACCGTGCTCCCACCTTCAGACTCCTGTACTTATCTCCCATAAGTACAGGAAATATATCTTATATGGGGCAAGAGCCTTCCAAGCATAGGAAATACATGATATAAGTGATATGATGTAAATGGCTGTTTCCCTCATTTCCTTCAGGCCTCTGCGCAAATGTCCCATTATTAGAGAGGTCTTCCTGGACTATTCTATATAATTAGCAAGTCCCCACCCCTACCCTGGCTCATCCTAAACTCCTTTCCTGCTTTATATTTCTCCATTGCGCTTCTTGCCATCTAACATACTATGTATGTACTTGTTTGTTAATTGTCTCTCCTCAATAGAAGGTAAGCTCTGTGAGGGCACAGGCTTGGGGTTTTTTGGTACTATGGTTATGGTACCTAGAATAGTCTAAACCACAGTATGTGCTTAATAAAATATTGTTGAATAAATGAATGAACCAGAGTTCAGCAACCAGAATTGGGCCACTGAATCCTAAGTTTGTGTGAATATTCCTATTATGATCACCACTTAAGCAACAGCTTATGGCGAAAGTCAATGCTTTCTTCCTTAAGGGTCCCACACTTTGCGCCTCCCCACCCACCCCATTTCCACTCAATAGGCATTGCTTTCAGCTGTCACTGAACCCCCTGCTAAAATAATTAAGTTGTTAATTGGTAGGTTTAAGGTATAATTCAGTTTAGATATCTCTGCATCTTTATTTGTATTCAGTAAGGATTTGCTAAGTGCCTAGTATATATATATTATATGATTGTTCTAAGAGCTGTCTTAGCTACCAATATTAGAATAATGTACATGCTTCCTGATGAAATTTACAATCTCATTTACAATGTCAAAAAAGTACTGTTGGAGATTTTAAAGCCTTCAAAAGTCAAAGAAATGCAATTATGGGAAAATGAGAGGTGGTGAAAGTTATCCCCACATCTACTGGTACACTAGAGCTGGCTTAGCTCATAAAAGCCAATTAAACACAACCATAAAAATTAAGTTATTTAAACTTCAAATCAATCAATCAAGGTTAAACATAGTGAAACTATGTAAAACTCATCACTTCCTTAAGATTTGATTACATTTTACTATTATTTATGCTTTCAGGGTTGTTTATATCTATTATTATGATGGGAATATCCTATAATGGTGAGCTACTGAGCATCTCTTCCTGATTCCACAGTTACACTGGAGGCATAAAAAAGGATGAGTTCATGTCCTTTGCAGGGACACAGATGAAGGTGGAAACCATCATTCTCAGCAAACTATCACAAGATCAGAAAACCAATCACCACATGTTCTTACTCATAAGTGGGAGTTGAACAATGAGAACACATGGACACAGGGAGGGGAACATCACACACCGGGGCCTGTTGCGGGGGTGGGGAGCTAGGGGAGAGATAACATTAGGAGAAATACCTAATGTAGGTGACGGGTTGATGGGTGCAGCAAACTACCAGGGCACATGTATACCTATGTAACAAAACTGCACGTTCTGCACATGTAACCCAGAACTTAACGTATTTATAAATAAAAAATAAAAATAAAAATAAGATTCTTCTGGCCTAGTTCATTATAGATGCTTCTTTTTTAACATCCTAGATGTGCACTTCGAGGCCCACATCAGTTGAGCAATCTAGGGTCATTATTCTATATACTTTGGGAGATACTCCAAGAAATAAGACTTTGTAGGAATTAATCCTTCCTTCTTGTCTACACTACTCATCTGGCCTCTGTGACTCACTGGGAAGACATTCCGTGAGTTCAAACAACTGGTTAGTAATAATTATTAATTGACCAATACTTAAGTCCAACAAATTGACTAGCTTGAGCATGCACAGCTGGCCGCATGAACTCTCCCAAAGGAAGTTTCCCTGTTGGATTTTCCAAAAATTTAAGGCATTTTTCTGGAGAGAACCATGTGTCTGGAGTTTATTTTCTCCACCATTTCAACAAAGCCTATATCTGCTAGACTTCTGGGCAACAAGAATACAGTATCTTTCCATGCGTCTGTGTCTGTCCAATGTGATTCAGGGATGAACATGGCTCTGGAATGTCTCTTCATCTGTGTCTCCATGATGACAACAGCTGAAGTAAGACATTAAGTCAATCAGCTGATTGTTTTATTTAAACAACCTGAGTGATTTGGGCAGATTTTTCTTCCTCCTTGCCTTGCTGATTGTTTGGAGACTGTTTCAGTAAAGACTTCACGAAATGCAAAATTAAGAATTATAGATGTGATTAGCTTTAATATGATTGTGAAAGTCTAGCTAAAACTGAACTAAACATTACAAACAGTATTTGAATAAACATAACACCAAAATGATTACTATAGAAAGTGTACTAAAAAGGAGAAAAACCATATCGATGAGACTATTTTGTGTCTAGTCTTCCATGTAACATCTTTTAAAATTATCTAACTGTGCTCACTTCTCATGGGTGGCTGTTTGACTGTTAAGGTGGTAGTCCAGTAAAAGGGCTACCAACTTTACCGGCCCACTCTAGGCACCACAATCTTATCTGTATTCACAGACATCCAATTATTCATTGAGGAAAAAATAAACTTCATTGAGAAAACTCTATTGACTATATCTAATGATGGTGATGATCATGAAAATTATTATGTTGGTTAATTTTATGTGCCACCTTGACTGGGCCATGAGGTACCCAGATATTTGGTCAGACATTACTCTGGGTGTTTCTGAGACTGTGGGATGAGATTAACATTTAAATCAGTAGACTGATTAAAGCAGATTGGCCTCCAAAATGTAGGTAGGCCTCGTTCAATCAGATGAAGGCCTGAACAGAATAAAAGGCTGGCCCTCCCACAGGAAAATCCTCCTACCTGGGTGCCCTTAAACTAAAATATCATCTCTTCCTGATTCTACAGCAGCTCCTGGCCTTCAGACGCAAAACTACAGATTTTGGACTTTCTAGCTTCCATAATTGTGTGAGCCAATTCCATAGATAGATAGATAGATCCTATTAATTCTGTTTATCTCAAGAACCCTGACTAATGTGATAGCTATCCTATATTGAGTACTTATTGTGTGCCCACTACTGTGTTATAATCATTACTTCTACCATCTCACTTAATACAACAACATATGAGTTGTATTTCACTCACTATACCCATTTTATACATGATGAAACTGATTCAAAACAGGGAAATTACATTATCAAGTTTGTTGAACTAAGTATAGAGCCAGAGCCTGAAAGCAAATACATTGCTCCCAATGTTTTATTTTTATATATTTATTATTATCCTTTTTATTGTGACAGAAATTAGTAATCCTCATCAAAGATCCATATGCTCCTCTACATTTCCAAGCCTTCTTTGTAGTTAAATTGAGCCATGTGAATAGTGCTGCCCAATGAAATGTGAGCATATGTGACATGTGACCTTATGGCCCAAGGCAATTTAAGAGCTGGAGTGCCTCCATCATTTCTCTTCTGCCTGCTCAACCCTGGAGGACACCTCTTCCATCTGGAATAGGAAAAGCTGAAAGAAGCCCAGGTTTCAGAGTCATGCCTTGGATGAGAGCCACACAGCAAAGTCATTTGAGCCACATCAAACTTTAATTATGAAATAAACTTTTATTGGGCCAACCCACTGATATTTTAGGGTTGTTAGTTAGCATGGCATATGGTATACCTATTAAACTTTATACAAACATGAAATAATGTTTCAGTGATAAGCAATTGAAACATACAGATAAATTTGTGAACAAAATGTAGCATAGCAAGGCTTTGGAAGCAGGCTACAAAATTCAAATTCAAATTCCGGTAAGATTAGAACTTGGCCAAGTGACCGACCTTAGAGGAGTTACCTAGCCACTCTGTGCTTCTCACGTGCAAAACAGAGATTATTAATAATAGAGCAAGTGGTTGCGATGGTCAAAGGAGTAAACATGCCTAAGGCTATATGATGATATATATTAAGCATGTAAAAATATGAACTATGTATATTCAAAATAATTATCATTTGTCAATATAAAACAAATGTTTTTATTATTCACTAAAGTTCATTAAATAAAGAATGAACATGTTTAATGATACTATACAGCCAACACAAAATTAGATTCTGGGAATACAAAGATGAATGAAACATGGTTCTATTTTCAGGGAGTTCACAACCCGTTAAAGTATTGAGCCATGTTAATGTGATTAAAATTTAATAAGCACCATAAAGAACCATTTTCTGAGGTTTCATAACTATGTATTGTTCATGAAAAGTATTTCATTTCTGGTGCCTTTCAGACTGCTATTTGAAAACTTTTGGCATGAATAACCTAGTCAACATTACTGATGTGGAAGAAAGGACATCGGTCTCCCAGTTCACTCCCTAGCTCCTGTTTGTCCTCTCTCCAAGCCATCCCCTAGGCTGCCTCATAGATCTGATTAAGTCATTGTACTACTTGAAAATCTTTGTTCTATCTCTATTGCCTATAGAATAAAGTATTGTATAGACTCACCTGCATGCCCCAAATTATCTGCAGCTAGCATCTTCTTATGTAGAAAAAGAATGGGTGAGATGAGGTAGAAAGAGAACTGGGGTGGAAACCCTGAATACAGTCCTGCTTCTTAATGTCTTTGTAACCTTGTGGGGGAAACTTCTCTGAGTCTCAGATTCCCCATCTATAAAAAGGAAATGTGTCTGCTCTTTGTATCTAACAATTTTGCTGTGAGAGTCAAATGACAGCATAAGTGTGTAAGTGATTTATCATTTATAAAGTATTAAGCACTGTATATAAGGTAAGGCAATCCTTCTCAAACTTTAGTGTAGGGAAAATTTCTCCTGGGGAAGTTGCTAAACACATATTCACCCAGGTGCTTTCCTCAGAGAGACTCTTTATTCACTAGGTCCAGGATAGAGACAGGTGATTTGACTTTATTACCAAACACCCCAAGTGGTTCGGATATAGGCCATCTGTGGGCCACACTTTGAAAACTGCTGATGTAAAGCATCACAAATTCCAAAAGGAAGAGTCCTAACGTAAATGTCTTGACCCAAGAAAGATATATTTTTATCGGTATCTACCCTTCTATTTTTATTGTCATTCTAAAAATGGAAATTGTTGTCAGACTACTAGAAAACTGGAAACAGACATATTTATTGAGAGGCTCAGAAACATTTGCTGAGAGGCCCAGAAAATTTCACAGGCTTTCATCTTCTCATTTTAGTCCTTGGAAAAAAGTAAAAATACATAGCTTTACTCCAAATTTAATGATAAGGAGACTGAGGCTCAGATGTTGTAGAAACAAGTTTCAAATCACTGGTGCCATCTGGAATGGAATTTGAGAACTTTTAAAGTCTGAGTATAAACCCCTCTATTTTCCATTCCTTATGATTGCCTTCCAGACAGAGCTAGAGTTGGCCAGAAGCCAAACTCTGTGAAAGCTTCGTGGGGTGTAAAGGTGGCTGTTATCAGTCCTGATGAGCTTCAACTCACAAATCAATATTTTCCCATTACCAGCTCTGTCTCCACACATTTTTGTATCTGAAACATTGAAAATATCACCTCTGTTAAAGTGATTCCTCCTCTATATTGACCACACATGACCCAAGGCAGCTCACATGTGGTGGAATGATGGCTGCAGCTGGCCCTAAGAGAGCTATCCCAGTAGGAAATTAAGAGGAAACTGATGGTGATAATATTCAGTCACCTCCTTTAGCAGAAATTCCAAATAAAGCTCCATTCTATCTCAATAGTGAGAAATGTAAATAAGGAACTGAGTGTGTGTGTGTGTGCGCGCGTGTGTGCGAGTGTGCGCACACTTCAAAGCATTTACTGAAAGCCCTTTGGCAAAGACAAAATTAAGCAATCTAAAAATCTTAACTTTTGTCACCCAACTAGCTTGCTCATTGTTCTTGGTTTTTGTTTATTTGTTTCGAACTACTAATAAAGGAAATGACACAGGATGATATGGTTTTCTGACCAAAAACACAGATGTCTTAACAAAAAGAGAGCAAAATTTACATCTCGAAACTAGCTTATCTTAATATTGCAATTAATAGCTCTCATAAATCACTCTAAAACTCAGAGGTGCATGATATAGAAAAAATAATTTTTATATACAAAAATCATAAGGGCAAGATATTTTAAGTCCCAATAAACCTTTATTTAAGCCAAGCATTCATACTTTTATTTACTCTTTGGTGCCTGCTTGGAGCCAATCACTTAGTATGCATTAATAGAAAAACTTTCAGGAAATGAGGCAAAGGAAATGAAAGTAATGAATGAATGAAAAGGAAATACAGAAAATACGTTAAATATAGGGAAAAAAAACCGTACACCATGCTATAGCCCACTATCCACAGATTTAAAAAAAAAAAACAAAGCTACAACAGATGTGCAGAAGAAACAGAAATTTTTACTTGCGCTAATCTGAGCTGACAGCTGCTATTAGGGCTGACTCTGTAATACTTCTGTCATCACTTCTAAAAATTTGCTTTTCAAATGTAGAAAGGGGAATTTGAAAATATGAGAGGGAAACTTTAGGGATATAAATTTGGCTGCTGTTGGTCCTGATTTCATCACCTTTTAAACTCTCAATATTTTTCCATTATTGAGGGGCTGCCTCCAGACATTTTTGTATGGAACCTTTGAAAATATCACTTCTATTGTGGTTATTTCTCTTCACTATATTGACCACATTTTTGAAGGAACTCATATGGAATTTTGAAATTCTTGTGGTGCAGGTAACTTCAAATGAATATATTTCAACATGTAAAAGGTCTGTTGACTCCAACAAAGGGAAATATAATGAGAAAATAAATAACACAGGCACTACAGTGAGAGATAGTCCCGACTTAAATAACACTCCCATCACTTTGTGACCTTGGACAAATAATTTAATATCTTTGATCCTCTATTTCCTTCTTTGCAAAATGGGGGTAACTATAGCATCTACCAACATCAAGGGTTAAAGACTATACGCATATGTGTGTGGATATATGTAGATATGGATATATAATGTGCATGTTTGTGTCTGCATGTATATACGTATATGAATGGCTTAGAACGGTACCTAGCATATCATACACATTCTTTAAGTGTTAGATACTGTTGTTACTGTTATTTATTATTAATATTATTACAAAGCTACCATACAACTTAGCCTACGGAACAGACTGGGGCACTGATTAATTCAAAATCTGTGTCTATGGAAAACTTATGAGAAAAGCCCAATTAAGAACATTTCATTTTTTTGCACTGAGGATTGTTTTGAGGAAGTTTAATGTACTGAATGGACTGTTTGGTGTTGAGTGCACACATGGGAAATATGACCATGACTCACCTTGAAGCTGTTCTATCAAAGTCAGTTCCAGCCACAAATCAAACGACATCAAAAATTTTCACAATTTCACATTCTATTTGTGCCAGTCAGGGGGATTTGGTTGGGTTAATTACTTTAATGACACATTTTAATTTGTGCTCATCTAGTATTTAAGCATAAGAGAGGATTCTTTGCTGCATTTTTTGGTGAAGCTTCTTCAGAGGCTGAGGCTAACAGGTGTGGTTTTTCAAAAACTAGAAGGATTGTGTTTTTAGCCATTTTTCTAGAAACCAAAGAGCCATTTTTTTTATCATGAGTAATCTAATTTCATTTTTGTTTTTACTAATGAAAATAGGCATAGGAAGTAAGCACAGCAACAGGAGTGCTATTCATTCTTTCCTCAAAAAAAAAAAAAAACCCTCAACTCTAACACGCCCTCCTCTAAATAGGTCTAACTCTGTCCTTTCTCATTTGTTAAACATTGATTTTTTTCAGCATTTAATGGAATGAAAATTAAGAGGGTCATGTAGTATTTTTTTAAAAAATCTCCACTTTCAGCTCCTTATTTTGATAAAATATGTTTTCAGACTTCAACATTAGCAATTATGTCAGCTCTAGCCTGGGAAGAAATATTGTTTTTCATTACCTCCATGTAAGTCCACAGGGGAAGGACTAAGTATAAGCTTTTATAGAGACTACCAATTGTGTGAATTCTTGTATAGCTTTTTACATTTTTCAGAAACTCAATGGTAAATTTTCCCGATAAATATTTTGAAGCAGGAAAGCCATATCTTTAAATCGAGTGTAGATAGTATTGAGGTTAAAATTTTAACAGTGACCCTTCATTTGCCTTGTCATTTTAGATATCTCAACAATGCATTAATTTAAATTCATTAACAAAAACGCAACTGAAATGCACAGGATAATAATAAGGGAACTGATAGCATTCTTCCTGCCAGATAAACGTGCCTCACAGAAGGCTTAACTGTCACATACCTACAGTTTCAGCTGTTTGAGAGAGTTTTGATAATAGCATGAATGTCAAAATTCAGCTGCCAACACTAAGCTGTCAGCTTTCAAAATGCTCTATATAGTGTTTGTCCCTTAGGACATAAATTCCAAGAAGCAACTGAGCTGCCTTACAACTTGACAGCTTATCCTAGTTCCAAGAGAGCCTTGGATCTGTGCAAATCTAGGAAATGTAACTGCAGCTCTGAGATGAGGAGATGTGATTGGAGCAAAACCTCTTAGAAAATAGCACAGAGGCCATTTGGGTGCTAGATATTCAAACGGCTTTTGAGGCCTCTGGATAATGGAACTAACTTGAGCTACTCTAGTTGGATCACAGCTGGGCAGCAAGCACTTACTGCTTCTGCCAAGATTCTCAAGGTGGAAAATGACATCCAGGGACCAGCTCCTTCCTCCACTGGTGACCCTGGTAAGTAGAAGCAATTTCCCCAATTATGACTGCAATTTCTCATCAAGCATTACATAACCCATATCATTTCATCTTCCTAAAATAAATTATTCATGTCATTTGGGAATTCATCTGGGAGCTGCAGGTCAAATACCACATTTGTTGCTAAATTACTGTTAACTTTTTTTTTCTGATTAGCTGTTTACACAGAATATTGCTTGGATATAACACATTTTCCTCAGTGTAGTTTTTCTGAAAAAAATAAATAAATAAAACACATCTGTATTTTCTTTTGAATCCCCAAGGTCAAGTTAAGGATTATCAGTTGCCCTAAAAAAAGTGCCATCCTCAAAAAATCACATCATATACAAAAAATTCCTCAACTGATATGATCCCACCAAAGTCTCAACTACATGAAATGGCTATTCTATGAAGACAGTATCCACAGTGTGATGGAAAGCAGTCTGACTATGACATTTGTATCCCAGTTCCTCTACTTCCTAGCTGCATGACAAGAGGTAAATTATTTTCTTCTCTTGGCCTAACTGGTTTCGTCTCGAACATAAACATATTGTTAGCGCCAATCTTGTGGACTATTGTAAAAAGTAAATTAATACACATAGAGTGTTCAGGCCAGTGCTAAACATCCAGTAAATGCTTGCTAAATATTAACTTATTTTTTACATTTCTAAAATAATTGTTGCATTATTCTGATTTGATCTTTTGGAAATTCATTATTTTTTGAAAAATGATTAATAAAGAAAGTGAGTCAGCCAACAGTGCAATTAATTACATTACTCCTAGAATGTGTCTCGTTAATCTAACCACGGAATGCAGCCAGTCAAGAGTTGGTAAACTAGATGTCCATGCATGTGCCTAGGAAACGGAGAAGTTGGTAGCTTGCTAGGGGAAGAAAAATATTTGAAAAGCATCGCAAACTGCTGAGTTCCAGGTCCTACCTACCCAGCTACATATCCTCTGAGGGCCTGACCCAACCATCCTATCTCAAGTAGCTCCTGTCATTTTTGTTATATCACTTATTTTCTTCAAAACATGCATAAGTATCTAAGATTATCACTTTTAAAATTGCATTTGTTTAGTCCTTTATTTACTGACTCCCTCACATATTTTTCACGCATTTCTATTTCTACTTCTCTTTCTCATTCACCAAATTCACAGCAAAACATTCCTAGTGCCAATTTGTTTCTCACCACTTTGCAAAAAAGCAGCAATGCATGCAGCATACCTTTGCAGTGTTCTCCTGCTTCCCATGTGAAGCATCAATGCGAATATGCATGTGACATCAGAAGATATAGGCTCTTATCACAGGAACCAGAACTGTTACAGTTGTCAAACATCATTGTCAAACTCCACCCTTATGAGCCCACCATTGTATAAATGGAAGGATAGTTGTAAAAATGGTAATTTCAGTTTTTGTCTCTTCTTTTCAGGTGTTGAGAAATAAAAATGTACAGTCTAAAATAAAACTATATTTTATGATATCCAATTGGGACATTTATCCTTAATAAATTAATTAATAAAAGTTACAGGCAAAAGAGTAAATATTGGCTCTTTAAACATAAGAATCTCTAAGCATACTGGTCCCAATTCAAGAAATCTAGCGATGCCTCTGTGTCATGGGTGCCTGTATTTTCCATCTGCCACAGACTGGCTTCCTCTTTCTTACACTAGAGGATAGGATGACTGTAAGCATAAAAGATAATCTTTGCCCTTAGATTAAGATGCAATTATTCCATGACAACTGTGACAACCAAAATGAGGTCTAGTTTGTTGGTTCACACAGAGCATTCTCATTTTGAGTATAGATGCATTCAGGCAGTTCTTTGCATTGAAATTACTGATAGCTTTTATTTGCAAGAGATCAAATCTAGAAAATGTTTCTATAAGTATCACCTTCCACTTGGGATCAGCAAAGATCCCTTGGTGGTGTTAAGGTGGCAGATGAAAGATCCCAAATGGGTTTAGTCACATGTCCGGTGCCTTAACAAGGATGGCTGAAAGGGGACTGTTAACCAAATCACCTACAAATAGCCTCTCCAGCATGGCAGTCTCAGGGTAGTAGACTTCTCACATAACAGCTCAGAGGTCCTATAGACTATTCCAAGAGATAGAAAGTGGAAGTTACCAATATCGAGGACAGCCTCACTTCTGCCATACTCTTTTGGTCAAAGCACACAGAAAGCCCTCCCAGATTCAAAAAAGGGGGACATTGATATCATACTCCCACCTCTCAATGGGAAGAGTGTCAAAGAATTTGGGGGTGTCTTTACTCTCCTATATAATCATTTCCATAGTTTAAAAAACAACTAGACAGTACCCGCTAGTAAATCAGTGAAATATGCCTCTTTTGGCATATGTAGTTACATAACTTTATTTACTTACTTATTTAGAGACAGGGTCTCACTCTAACTCTGCTGCCCAGGCTGGGATGCAGTGGCGTGATCACGGTTCACTGTAGCCTTGACCTCCCCAAGCTCACTCAGGTGATCCTCCCGTCTCAGCCTCCCAAGTAGCTGGGACTACAGTTGCGCAGCACCACTCCTTGCTAATTTTAAATCATTTTTTGTAGAGACGGGGTTTTGGCATGTTGCCCAGGTTGGTCTCAAACTCCTGAGCTCAAGCAATCTGCCTGCCTCAGTCCCCCAAAGTGCTAGGATTACAGATATGAGCCACTGCACCTGGCCCATAATTTTATTAATAAAAATATGCCTATGATAAAATATGTGCATTTTGAAACAAAATTGAATGGAAAACATGATGATATTAGAGAACTTATTTTTCAGTCAATAAACAGAAATTAAAATTTTTAAGAAGAGTGGTTTTGTGATTGTTATAGACTGGTACTCCCAGATCACATCATTTCTTAGTTTTCTTCTTGCCCTTGTAGTTGTTTTTAGAAAAAGGTTTTACATACTCCTCTTCAAATGATCATCCTTTAAAAGTCAGTGTGCCCCATACATTTGTAATTGGTAATCTTCTCCTTCCTTTCTATAAACACTCCCTGAATGATCTCATATATTCTCAAGGTTTTAGCTATTTTCCATGTGCTGAAGACTCTAAAACATTTATTTCCAGCCCCGCTATTTCCCTATTCGGCAGACCCAAATATCCAAATGATAATTGAATCTCTGAGTGTTCCACTGGCCCTTCAAAGTCAAAAAGTCCAAAGATTCATTCGTCATCAGTCTCCTAAGATCTGCCCCTCCACCTTATTCATCAATATTGTGGATAATCCAGTTGTACAATCAGCCACCCAAGCAGAAAAACTGAAATCATCCTTGACTCCTTTCTTTTCCTCACCCCACACATACAATCAGTTCTCAGAGCATGAGTCCTCTTCATTCTTAGTATCTTTTGAGTCTATTCCTTTATGTGTAGATATAGACACAGAGATATATAGATAGACATATGTAGATATTCTTATTTCTAGTGCTTGAGTTCTGGCTCTCATACTGTATCATCTAAGTTATTTTAACTACTTCTTACTAGATGTCCTTTCTCCTGCCTTTGCACTGGTCCTAATTCATCCTCCACATGTGTCACCAAAGTGTTCATTCTAAAAGGGAACTCATATCAAACTTCTTTCTTGTTTAGAATCCTTTAATGGTGTTACATGGAACTACACCCAGTTCTACGTAAAGTCCAAATTTCCTAACATGGCATTCAGGTCACTTTCTTTATTCTCTTGAATAATTCCTGCTCGTTACTTCAAAACACACTTTGGATGTCACTTCACTCAGAATGCTTTCTGACCCACTTCATAATCTGACTTCCCAACTCCCTCCAGTTTTTATCCTATGTTACACAGTTCCTACCTTTACTATAGTACTTTCACACGCTTTTATAAGCATGCATTTATTGATCTCTCATGCAGGAAACTGTGCACTCCCAGAGAAAAGCTAGAGGATTTTATTTAATATCCTGGGCACGTAGTTTCCATTTGACATATATTTTCTAAATGAATGAATGAATGTGGTTTATCGTATTAATAAAATTTCCATTGGAATTCTCAACTAAGCTTTAAGAAAGAATAACAATGTGTCTCTATTTCAGTGCCCTGAAATAGAAACCTGGAACCAAAGGAAACATTTCCCAATGGAAACTATGTCCATACAAAGTAGGAGACCCACTAGTTTGAAGAGCAGTCCTTGAAGGTCCTGCTCATTTGCTGACTCTTAAAGAAAACCTGTCCAGAAGATGACTGAATGGCAGTAATTTAAAGAGTCATTACCTGCGCACAGCACTGGAAACATTTCTGGCTGCTGAGGAGGGACATAAGGATGCTCTTAAAAGAAAGACACTGAGTTGGCAGCAAATGACTGAACACATGTGAAGGCAATTAAGTCTTGGGATCATGACTCTAATATTCAGTGTAATAATCAAGTTCAGAATCACATGGCATATTTTATAAACTTAATAGTATTAGAGGACAAAAAATAGTTTTAACACATAAACCAACTGTACTTATTGGAATATATTTAACTCCCTAAAATAAGTACATTATTTGACAACATAATGGACATAAATCTCAGTCCAAAATTCTAGGTATATTTTTTTAAAGTCTATTGTCTATAGTGGCTTCAAACTTAAAGCACCATTTCACTGAGATGGTGGAAAACTTAATATTAGCTCTCTTGGGGTTCCCCGCTTTCTTTAATAGGGTTCTGTTAAAGTTCTAGGATGTTCTATTAAGCTAAGGTATAGTGAGAGAGGGTAGAGAGTAGAGTATCCTCTTTTTAGTCATCATTCATAAAGGTTGTCTTTGAGGTATATCCTCCTTTTCTTTTTACTTTTAAGTTCAGGGGTACTAGTGCAAGTTTGTTACATAGGCAAACTTATGTCACGGGGGTTTATTGTACAGATTAGTTCATCACCCAGGTATTAAGCCTTGTACCCATTCATTATTTTTCCTGATCCTCTTCCTCCTCCCACCCTCCACCCTCCAAAAGACCCTAGTGTGTGTCATTCCCTTCTATGTGATACATGCACACGTATGTTCATTGCATCAATATTCACAATAACAAAGACATGGAACCAATCTAAATGCCCATCAATGATAGGCTGGATAAAGAAAATGTGGTACATATACACCACAGAATACTATGCAGCCATAACAAAGAATGAGATTATGTCCTTTGCAGGGACATGGATGGAGCTGGAGGCCATTATCCTTAGCAAACTAACACAGGAACAGAAAGCCAAATACCACATGTTCTCACTTTTAAGTAGGAGCTGAATGATGAGAACACATACACAAGTGTTTTCAACAAGTCTTTTCAAGCCAGTTGTCTTTGCTGCTTCTTTTAAAGGGCTGACTCTGATTCTCTCTGCTCAGACCCAACAGAAATCTTTATTCCCAGAGGATACCAAAAGTGAAACATGGGTGTTTTTTCACTGTCATTGTCTCTTCTTCTCCTCAGACTGAGTGCATCTCTTTATCAGCTGTGAACACACACAAGACCTTTTATCTAAACACATTAATCTTCTGCCTGAACTGAGGTTTTTTAATAGGAGAAATGATTTTAAAATGGATATTTCATGAATAGATCACTTTTTCTGGTCATTTGCCACCTATGAGAAATGAAGCTATTTATTGTTGTTTAAGTAGTCAAGTCCAGATTACCAGGACTCTTGACCCCTTTGAAATAATTCTATAACAATTGGCACATGCCTACAGCAGCCAGACTGATAGGGTAGTAAGTGGAGTCTACTGATTGGAGAATGTGGGATCTGTCTAAAGCGGTTGCTGTGCCCCACTCTAGACCCATGGTCAGAGCATCCAAATTTCAAGAGATGCTAAAAGTACAGATTTTTGTGTGAAAACTCTTGAATTTTTCAATTGCAGCTCAATTGTTGTAAAACACAATGTTCATACACAATGCAGGCTAAAGAAAAGTTAGATAGATGAGTTACCAATTTGTGTAATCTAGAAATAGTTTATCAGTTGGTCAAAGAACCAGCCTTACTGTACCAAACACTATACAGGAAAGATTTCTTTCAATCAGGGATCCTATGAAAATGTTCTACATCTCTTTTTACATTGTATAATCAAACTCAAATTTCTACTGCTAAAAGGGCAGGTTATGAGATTTCCTCTATATTATTATTAGGAAATTTGGTATCTCTCGCTCTTTTGACATTACAGACACAAGCAAAGGGATAAAGATAAGGAATCTATTGTCTTGGGCTTCTCCTCCCCTTTCCTATTATTGACAGTTTCTGAACCCCTTCACAACACCACAGGCTAAACTCAGTTCCTACTCAGAAAACAGAGCCCCCTTCCCTCAAACCCTTTCAGTAAGTGTTAGTAACTTCTATGATCCACAAAATAATTTAGAATTCGAGTACAAACTTGCACCATTTACACAAGGACATTATGACTGTCACTTCTTTTCCCATAAGCCACGGGTTCATACATATAAAATGTTCTTTTTAGTTATAGTTACACAAACTACTTAAAGCACTATTTGCCATTTTATTTCACTGAGTGTAATTTTCATAAGTTTACTTTTTTGCATAGAACAGCAACTCCTTGTTTGTGGTTTCTTCATTGGCTAAATACTGAAGAGGAACTCTCCAAAACTCAACATGAAACCTTATTAGTATTTGCTAACTTATTAACACATCATTTAATTTAGTCATCTATCTCATTAAGGCATAAAAATGGTTCCAAAGACTATCAGGATTTTGCTCATGTTAGATTAGTTACCTGTTGCTGTATAACAAACCACCTAAACATAGTGTCTTGAAACAACGATTTAGTATTTCTCACGATTCTGTGGCTTGGCTGTGCAGTGACCTCTAGTTTTGCCTCGACTTTCTTCTATGACTGCATTGAGAGAGAGGGGCTGCCAGAATGGTGGATTCACCATAGCCTTATTGACATGCTGGGAGTGGGTGCTGGCCATCAGTGGGGGTTCCCCAGTTCTCCTCCATATGGCCTCTCATCCTACAATAGGCTAGAACGACCTCCCTCAATGTTGGCCTCAGTGTGGACAATAAAGGCAGAAGCTGCACAACCACTTAAGGCTCAGGTCCCAGAATTCGCAAAACATCACTTCTGCCTTGTTCTGTTAGTCAAAGGAAGTCACAAGGCTAGCTCCAGTGGTGCACCTTCTCTTATACAGACACTCATAAGCTAGTTATCTGCTGGTCCAGGTTCAAAAGGGTGGACTGAAGAAACAGACCCCCACCTTCTGAATAGGAGGAGTATATACATCAGAATAACATGAATTTGCAGCAGCCACATTGTGCAATCCTCTCTACATGTGGACTCACTCGTAAAATTTTTGCAAACATTATTCTATTCATATAGAAAGTAAAGACTCTAAAAATCCTCTGTAAAACTTCTGAAGAAGCACTTAGCCAAGGATATCAGTTACCTCCTATATGCCACTATATGTCCTCTGAGTCTTACTTTTCTGTTGTTCTAGCTGCAGCTACTGCAGTGAACTTTGAATGACTCCAGCCTACCTCACACAGGCAGGGTTTCCCTAGGGTATGTGAAGTCGCAGGCAAATATTTTAACAGGGTCCCTGACTATACAAACAATATGAGTCACCTGAAATCAGCATGTCAGTGCCATTCTGGAGACATAATCTCACACCATCCCACAAAAGAAATACTGCTCTGACAATCCACCCCACAGCTTCCCTGTTCCCCGAGGCATCAGATAATGTATGTCACATCTCTCTGGCCCACCTCTGTTGTGGGCAGTTGCACACAAGCACAGACTCATGCTGATATCTCAATGTCTCTGCTTTTCAAGCTAGGAGCCTTCTCCAAAATCCCAGATGTCCATGTAAGCATGTGAATGCATATTTAAGCACTTCCCAGAAAGGGAAAAGACTTATAGCCCCTACAGGCAACTCTCAATAAGTGGGGGATGGGAGATAGTGGATTAATGCCCCAGCCTCCCATCCTATGAATGTACAATTCTGAGAAGAATTCTGTACTGGAATGAAGCCCCTATTGCTTACTGTAGGAACCTCAATAATGCACTTTTACATTGTATTTTTCTCTTTCACTCTTCCTCCCAACTCCCTTACTCCTGCTTCCTGGATCACCATTTTAATAAACTATCTGCACCTGCACCAAACCCTTATTCATGCCCTGCTTCCAGGCAAACCAAAACTAAGACACCATAAGACCTTTTTTTTTAAACAACATGTGTGCAACCCAGAAATGTAGGGGAAGGGAGATAAACCATGGAGTGAAATTTTGATGAATGGAAGACTGAGACATCAGATAGTCTTAAGTCCCACCTCCACCCCACAGACTATTCTGAAAAATAATTGTTTATATAATCTTTTCAAAGTCTTCTTGAAAATGAACAGTCAATTGAATTCAATACCAGGAAGTGGCCAGTTTCATAGCACACAATATTGGCTCTCCTTTCCTTATCTCATTCCCTTTTTTTCTCCTTCTTGCTTGCTGGAATTGAACTTCCTGCTAAAATAATAGCACATAAAGCTTTAACTCAGACTTTCCTTCTTGAAGAACCCAGGCTAAGACACCACACAGCACAGAATTCAATTTGATAAATAACCAGTGGGAAGACATGAGGCATAATGGTTATCAAGAGTTTAGACAGACTTCTGTTTCCCCAGCAAGTAAAGAGATTAGAAGTCACAACTCCATCATAACAAATAAAAAGCTGAACATACTGAAAAATAAACAACTCTTCTTAGATCCCTCAGAGAATTGAGGTCACAGGGCAAACCGCTGCCCCAAAAATTGGAAAGACAGACAATCGAGTATAGAGAATCGTGACTTACTAGAGCAGGAACCTCCATGACAAACTGTAATTGACAAATTACCAGAGGCTCAGGGCAGACAACTCTGAGCGTTAAAAATTCCAGGGGGAATCAGCCATAGGGGGCCCTCCACATTTTTGTGAGTTTTACCTCCAGGAGCTTGAGCAGGTTCTCACAGTAGGTATTAGAGGAAAATCCCTTGCTTCTGGCCGGGGGCGGGGAAAAGGAAACTTCTTAAAACATACCGGAGCATTCCGTTCTTAATGAGGCCTCTCTCAGGTGAAACTAGTTTACTAGAGCCTCACCGGCAAGAGTTTCAGCAGAGCCTAACTTATCTAGAGGAAGGGAAATACCCGAACCTAGCCCCCTTTAGCCATCCTGTCCCACTTAATGGAGGAAAAATAACTGACAAGTACAGGTAAAATTTAGGGACACAGGTTCATCAAAAGACTGAAACGAATCACAGGATATAGAATGCTTCCCCTACTCCATACCTTAACACCATACCATTGAAGGCCTACTTACCACAGTTCTTTTTTTTCATTACATTATGTCCACCTTTCAACAAAAAATTACAAGATACACTAAAAGGCAAAAAACACTGTTTGAAGAGACTGAATAAGCATTCGAGTCAGATATGGCAGAAATGTTGCAATTATCAGATCCGGAATTTAAGAAAAATATGATGAATATGCTAAGGGCGTATTAATGGAAAAAACAGACAACATGCAAAAACAGATGGATAATGGAAGCAGAGAGATGGAAATTCTAAGAAAGAATAAAAAGGAAAGGTTAGTGATGGGAAACACTATAATAAAAATAAAGAATCTTTGATGAGCTCATTAGTAGACTATACAAGGCTGAGGAAAGAATCTCTGAGCTTAAGAATATGGCAATAGAAACTTCCAAAACTGAAAAACAAAGAGAAAAAAAGACTGAAAAAACTCAAACGGTGGAAAAACTACAAAAGGTATGATATACCCATAACTAGAATACCAGAAGAGGAAGAAAAAGAAAAAGGAACAGAAGCAATATTTGAAGCAGTAATGACTCAGAATGTCGCCCAACTAATAAAAGACACCAAACCATCGATGTAGGAAGCAAAGAGAATAGCAAGCAGGACAAGTGCAAAAAACAAAAACAAAACTACACTTAGGCATATATCTTAGTTTAACTTGCTATAATAAAATGCCACAAACCAGGTAGTTTAAAGAACAAACATTTATTTTTTATAGTTCTGGTTGTTGAAAGTGAGATAAGGGTGACAGCATGGGCAGATTCCAGCGAAGGCCCTCTCCAGATTGCAGACTGCCATCTTCTCATTATATCCTCACATAGCGGAAGAAAGCTAGCTGCTAGCTAGTTCCCTGGCCTCTTCTTATGAGGACACCAATATTATTTGCGAGCATTCAAACCTTATGATCAAATTACCCCAACCTTCCCACATCCAAATACCTAATATATTGAGATTAGGGTTTCAGAATATGAATTTTGGAGGGACACATTCCGTCTATTGCAGCATATTATATTGAAGCTTTAAAAAAGACAAAAATAAAGACCAAATCTTGAAAGAAACCAGAGATAAAATAAAACACCTTACATATAGAATAGCAAAGATGAGAGCTACATCAGACTTCTCTTCACATACCATGCAAGCAAGAAGGGAGCAGAGTGAAATATTTGGAATGTTGAGAGAAAAAAAACATCAACTTGGAATTCTGTACTAATTGACTAGATATAATCTACCTCTATAGACTACTTCATCCAACAAGTGAAGAATACAGCATTCTTCTCAAGCTCACATGGAGCATTCACCAAGATAGACCACATTCTAGACCATAAAACACAATTAAAAGGAAAAGAATTTAATGTTTAATTTAATTAATGTAAAAAATAGAAATTATGTAATGTATGGTCTCAGATCATCATAGAATTAAATTAGAAATCAATAACAGAAAGATAAATGGAAAATCTCAAAATACTAAGAAACAACACACTTCTAAAGAACACATGAATCAAAAAGGAAATTTTAAAATATTTTGAACTAAATGAGAACACAACTTATCAAAATTTGTGTGATGCAGTGAAAGAAGTGCTAAGAAGGAAATATATAGCATCTAATGTATATATTAGAAAATAAGAAAGATCCAAAAACCAGTAACCTAAGTTTCCACCTTATGAAACTAAAAAAAGAACAAGCTAAATCTGAAGTAAGCAAAAAAAAGAAGTAATAAAAATTAGAGCAGAAATTGATGGAATGTAAAACAAGACATTAATAATAAAAATCAACAAAACCAAAAGCTCTTTTTTTAAAGATTAATAAAATTAATAATCTCTAGCTAGGCTAACTAAGAAAAAAAGAGAGAAGACACAAATTGCTAATATCAGAAATGAAAGAGGATACATCACTGAAGAGTCCAAAGGACGCTAACAGGACAATTAAGGAATAGTACGAACAACTCTATGCCCACAAATTTGACAACCTAGATGAAATGAACCAGTTTCTAAAAGACACAATACATCAACACTCACACAAGAAGAAATCAACAATTTGAATAGACCTATATTTTTAATGAAATTGAATGAATAATTATTAATAACCTCCCAAAATAGAAAGCATGAGGCTCATAAGACTTCACCAGTAAATTCTACCAAACATTTATGGAAGAAAGTATACCAGTTTTCTACCATCTCTTCCAGAAAATACAAGCAAAGAGAATACTTTCTAATTCATCCCATAAGGCAGACATTCCCCTAATACTGAAATCAGACAAAGACATTACAAGAAAAGAAAACTACAGACAAATATCTCTCATGAACATAGATGCAAACATCCTCAGCAAAATATTAGCACATTGAATTCAACAATGTATGAAAAGGATTATACATCATGACCAAGTGACATTTAACCCAGACATGCAAGGCAACATTCAATCATCAATTAATATAACACATCATATCAACAGGCTGAAGAAGAAAAATCACATGATCATATCAATAGGTGCAGAAAAATGTTTGGTAAATCTAATACCCAGTCATGACAAAACCTCTCAGCACACTAAAAATGCAGGGGAATTTCCTCAATTTGGTAAAGAACATTACCAAAAAACAACCTACAGCTAACATCACTTAATGGTGAGAGACTCTTAAGCTTTCCTAGTAAGATCAGAACAAGGCAAGTATGTCCCTTTCACCTTATTTTCAAAATCATACTGGAAGTTCTAGCAAATGCAAAAAAAGTAAAGGAAATAAAAGGTATACAGATTAAGAAGAAAGAAATAAAACTGTCTTTGTTCACAGACGACTTCATCATCTATAGAAAAATTTCAAAAGAACAACAAAAATCCTTCTGAAACTGAAAAACAAGTATAGCAAGTTTGCAGAACACAAGATTAACACACAAAAGTCAATCACTTTTCCATATACACTAACAAGGAACAAGTAAAATTTGAAATTTACAACACATTATCATTTACATTAACTCCTCCCCAAATTTAAATATTTAGATCTAAATTTAACAGAGTATGTACAAGGTCTATGTGAGAAAGACTACAAAACTCTGATGAAAGAAATCAAATAACTAAATAAATAGAGCTATCCCATGTTTATAAATAGGAAGATTCAATATTGTCAAGATGTCAGTTCTTCCCAAATTGATATATAGATTCGATGCAATTCTAATCAAAATCACTGCAAGTTATATTGTGAATATCAATAAATTGATTCTAAAGTTTGTTCCAGAGGCAAAAGACCCAGAGTAGCCAACATAATATTGAAGGAGGAGAACAGAGTTGGAAGTCTGAGACTACCCAACCTCCAGGCTTACTATAAAGCTACAGTAATCAAGACAGTGTTGTATTGGTGAAAGAATAAAACACATGGATTAATGGAACAGAATAGATAGCCCAGAAATAGACCTGAATAAATATAGTCAAAGAACCTTTGACAAAGGAGCAAAGACAATACAATGGAGCAAAGATAGTCTTTTCAACAAGTGGTTGAAAACTGGACATCCAAACATGAAAAAATCAATCGAGACATAGACCTTATACCCTTCAAAGAAATTAACTCAAAATAAATAATAGACCTAAGTGTAAAACACAAAACTATAAAACTCCTGAAAGATAACATAGGACAAAATCTAGATGACCTTGGACATGGCAATAACATTTTAGATACGACACCAAAGGCATAATCTATGAAGAAAGAATTAATAAGTTGTGTTTCATTAAATTTTAAAAGTTCTGCTCTGCAAAATACAATGTCAAGAGAATAAGAAGACAAGCCTCAGACTGGGAGAAGATATTTGCAAAAGACACATCTGATAAAGGAATCTTATCCAAAATATGCAAAAATCTCTTAAAACTCAACAATAAAAAAATGAACAACCTGGTTAAAAAATAGGCCAAAGACCTGAATAGATACCACAGAAGATATACAAATGACTAATAAACATATGAAAAGATGTTCAACATCATGTCATTAGGGATCCACAGGTTAAAACAAGATACCATTACACACATCTAAGAATGGCCAAAATCTAAAACACTGACAACACCAAATGCTGACAAGGATGTGGAGCAACAGGAACTCTCATTCATTGCTGATGGCAATGCAAAATAGAACAGTTTAGCAGTTTGTTATAGAACTAAATATAACTCTGACCATATGATCCAGCAATCTCACCTCTTGGTATTTACCCAGAAAACATAAAAATGTATGTCCACACAAATCTTGTACCTGGGTGTTTATAGCAGCTTTGTTCATAATTATCAAGACTTGGATGCATCCAAGATGTCCTTCAGTAGGTAAGTGAATAAATGAACTGTAGTACGTCGAGGCAATGAAATATTATTTAACACTAGATAGAAATAAGTTATGAAGCCATGAAAACACATGGCAAAAACTTAAATGCATATTACTAACTGGAGGAAACTATCTTAAAAGGCTACATACTGTATGAGTCCAACTACATGACAATCTGGAAGAATTCAGGCACACAGACCAATCCTAGCTGCATCATTTAACTAGCTGTATGCCTTTGGGCAAGTGACCTAAGCTCTCTTTTCCTTAAGTTACTCATCTGTGAAATAGGACTAAACCTCATGGAGTTATTCTGAGAATTAAAATAAGAATAATAATAATAATGCATATAAAGAGTTTAGCACAGTATCAGACAGAAAATAAGCATTTGCCAAATATCTCATTTATAAGAAACATCCTGCAGTACATTCTTAAAGATATAAAGAAAATAATCAATATTCTTCAGGAGTTCATAATCTAGGAGAGACCATGAAACTATAGTGATACTAGTTCATAATAAATTTTGTCATAATGAGAAATGTGATTAAATCAGGAGTTAAGAGCCTTAAAGGGGAATTCCACTGCAATCTATTGTAAAAATAAAAACCTCCAGACACCATGACAAGTATAAAGACTGTCTCAGATATGTTGCTCCCATATAGTTCTCTGCGGAGCTCAAATCCTGGTATTAGTCAGCATTCTAGCGTCGACGAATATCACAAACAGGAAGCCACTAAATGCTTTGTCAGGGCTATATTTGCTGCTGGTTTAGCCCTTACTTAGAGAATCCTATTTTGTATTGATCTTCTTACCTCAGACATGATATAGCTACCCTTGGGAAAGTGAAAATATACAGAGCTATGTGAGCTAAGCTTAGCTCCGAGATTTATGTCTGTGAGATATAAAATGCTAAATAGGTAAGGAAGGTCAAGAATATATTTTCATCAAAAAGGCATAGAGACTTGTAGTCACTGCTATACAAACACTTCCTAGCAACCATACTGAAAAATATGACCACAAAAAAACACACAATGTATTAGAGGTGTTATAATAATTTTAAAATATTGACACACTTGACCCAAAACCCACAGAAACCTCCAACAAGCTTCACTGGACATAGCATAATTCAGTACAAGGGAGAATACTAGGATTAAGATTTCCCCTTCATCACAAACCAACTACCATACTTAACGCTTTTAACAATAATAAAATATTTTTGGTGTGACACTAGCATGATTTACAATAAGGTTCTGATTAATTACATGGAATAATTTTAAGCATCGCACAGCAGAAACATATTAAAAGTAGAATTTTACCAAATGCAGTGAGTGAAACAGTTAAAGAGTCAATATCAAGACTCCTAAAGAAATACAATTTAATGCAATGTCAAATCAGATCTTTTGAACCAAACCAGAAATTCTGATTTAATAAAAATTAACATGGTTTTTTAAAAAATTAAAAATATTCATGATACTTTCTGGCAATTTAATTATATTGTCATTTAAAAAAAGAAAGTGCAGAATAGTGCATTTATCTCCCATCATAATTCAAATAAACGCAATTTTTAATCCAAAATTGCCTAGCTGGCAAGTTTCCAACTTCTGTTTTTACAAAACATCTATTTGCACAGAATATCTGGGGTCCCAAAGCATTCTTTAAAGAGAAAATGTTAAGCATTGTTTCATTGGTTTTTAAAATCTAAAACAAGCATAGGAGAAACATATGTGGTTACAGAAAGGAACGTAAATGCTAACCTTGATAATGTAATAGCAAAAGTATAGCTGATAGGCGGATGTAGAAGCAGGAAAGGAAAAATGAGAAAAGAGTAGGGGTTGTACTTTTACATAGACGTACTCATTTTACAAAGAAAGAGATCAAGAAATTCTGTCAAAACAATGGAGTTTTGGCCAGGAGCAGTGGCTCACGCCTGTAATCCCAGCACTTTGGGAGGCCAAGGTGGGTGGATCACCTGAGGTCAGGAGTTCAAGAACAGCCTGACTAATATGGTGAAACCCCATCTCTACTAAAAATACAAAAATTAGCCGGGTGTGGTGGCATGCACCTGTAGTCCCAGCTACGTGGGAGGCTGAGACAGGAGAATCGCTTGAACCCAGGAGGCGGAGGTTGCAGTGAGCCAAAATTGCGCCACTGCACTCCAGCCTAGGCGACAGAGTGAGACTCCATCTCCAAAAACAAACAGCAACAACAAAAAAAATAGAATTTTATATTATTTAAAGTTACAAAGATTTAGAAAAACTAAATATACGTATCTAACTTAGACATGGAAGATAGAGATATAAGAGTAAGGTAAATGAGTTAAAAGTCTTGACTTTCTTAATAGGAAGTCTATGGGTATAATCTATTGATTTATGGAGGAGTACAGGAATAAGCACATTATCTAAATTATCAAGGTAATCTTCAAAAACAATTTTAAAGTAACAGCTTAAAGATGTTTTCTTTGGAAAACATAATTCGGAATGGAGAAGAGTGGGTAAGAAATTTTTCATCTCATCTGTATTATTTGATTACCATATTCATATGTTACTCTCAAATACAGAATTTATAACAAAATATTACTATGTATCTATATTGGCACTACTATTAATAAATATTTAGAGAAAAATATTTAGATGTAATAATACGTAACTTCAAAAGAAAACATTTACAGAATATTTTTATCATAAATCAAACACAATAATAAAAATATCTTTATTCTGAAAAGCTCAGTATTTTCCAGCTCATTAACATTTCCCCAGTGAAATAGGTCCATTATAGAAAATATTATTCTTATTTAACAGCTGACAACCCACTGAACAGTGTAATAGGCAGAGGAACAAACAAAACTACACTTCCAGGCATTGCCAGGAGTATCTGTGTGACACTGGGAAAGCCATATCATTTAATCTATTGAGGCCTTAATTTCCTCTTCCACTGAATGACAGAGTTAGGCAAAAAGGCCTTGAAGCCTGCTTCGGACTTGGTATTATATGATCTTCAACAAAGAACTTCATTTGATATAACTAGAATCAAAGATTTCGAAAATTTGAAAAGATCTTAGGAGTTAGCCAGTCTGACCCTCTCATTCTGCAGAAAGGCAAGTGGGGTCTCTTGAAACTTTTAGAGCCACAAGAGCTAAAGGTGGTAGAATCAGAACTAGAGACCGAATCCACAGATGCTCATAAGCATGTCTTGTCTTAGTCTGTTCGGGCTGCCATAACAAAATACCATTAGACTGTGTAACTTAAGCAACAGAAATTTATTTTCTTACAGATCTGGAGGCTAAGAGTCCAAGATCTGTGTTTTGGCATGGTCAGGTTCTGGTGAGGGCTCCCTTTCTGGCTTGCAGTCAGCAGCCTTCTCACAGTGTGCTCACTTGGCTTTTTTTCTGCATGTGCTCAAGGAAAGAAAGATCTTCTTATAAGGCCACCAACCTTATCAGATATGTCCATACCCTTATGATCTCATTTAACATCAATTATTATACTTCCTGAAAGCCAGATCTCCAAATGCTGTCACAATGGGGGTCAGGGCTTGAACGTATGAATTTTGTTGGGGACACAATTAAGCTCATGGCATCTTCTTTTGTAAAATGCATGACAATTTTTTCATGTCTCTCCCCCCTGACAACATAACACAAGTCTTGTTCCTATACGTCAACATTTCAATTTGAGGGAAATAATACACTGGATAAAGGAAAAGAAAAAGAATTCAAAGCTTGACATTGTTTCTTATTTCTCAGTGATGACTTATATAAGAGACTAGCTACATAAAGATTTGCATGTGATACATTTTGCACTTTCTCCACATCAAAGTGCAAATTCAAAGACATAAATGTTAAAGTGCTAAGTTGTCTATTGATAACCTTTCATACACATTTATCATCAACTGCTCTAACAGGTCTGCTTGTGTAGTCTTCTCTCAGCAAAATTTCCAAGAGTAAAAACTACAAACTCATGCCCATGAAAGCTAATAGATTCCTAGAAAGAAAATATTTTGCTCTTAGTTGGACACTTCCTTTGCAGTCCACTTCCACAAGATGATATCCCATCTCTTTCTTTCAAACTGACCGAAGCAAACAATGCATTCAATGACTGGAAAAGTAAGAATGGGATTTTCAGTTTGGGGTTAAGAAAAAGAACTTTGCTAAAGGCAAAAAGCACTTGGAGCAACTGAAATTTGGAAATAAGGAGCTTAGTATGGGAAACTCAGTCTTGAAGGAAACCGCCACTTAATTACAACATATCTAGAAATGGGAAGAGACACACAAACCCCACAAAGTTGCCGACAGTATAACTGTTTAATAACAAGAATACAAAAAAACACGTTAAGACAGAAGGGTGCACAATACAGATCAAGTAGAACATACTTTAGAAGAGGTTTTAGAGACGAAGGGCCAAAAGGGGGCACTTCATCCTCACAGGCCATGTGAGGGGAGATGGTGAAGTTATTCCATAAAACCTCTCCTCAGCCTCCCCCACCTCTACCACCTACCTTGACAAGACAGTCAGCTCCTCTGTGGCTCCCAGAGCACCCAGAGTCAATAGCTTTATTGCAACCCTTACATGTTGTCTTTCAGTGTTCTCAAAGTGTAGTTCTCACATCTTTTGCATCAACTCACCACCGTTCTCTGGCACATCCTCAACTCCCCCACATCTAAGGATGGGCTAAAGAATTTAGCCTTCCAGTTGATTAATGTCTTTGCTATATTTTGAGAATTGCTGCTATATATTAACTGTTATCTTGTCTCTTGCCAAACTATGAGTGTGTCTGATGACAGGTACTATAATTTATTCACCTCCTTATCACCAATGACAAGCTCAAGTTGGTCCTCAATAAATATGTGTTGACTAAGACCCTGGGGAGCACCATTACATAAACAGAAGACAGAGAAGTGAAGCCATTCAGTCTGAATGACTTAGTTGAATCTAAAGAACGGGATTAAATTAAAAATGCCATTTTCAAAGTTGAGAGGAAATGTTAGAAATAATATGGGAACTTGATTCTGAATTGACTCAATACTTCACAAACTGTTTCTGAAAACATTTGCTTATCTTACTCTGAGGGAAACTGAGTGAGGTCTGGTTTAGCTTCCAAGGAGTTCTGTCATGTGAGTGCAGTGACTCAGGAAAAATGTAGTGATAGGATTTTTTGATGCCAGCGAGGAGCAGTGGGTGACATGAACATTGAAGAAGACAAGAAATTGCTTACCTGTAGGATCTCTACAAGCTGGGGATTGTAGAAAGAGACTTGCTGCTGAAATTGAGGTTGAGATCAATTCAGAATGAGAAACATGATATCAAAATGTGGCATCTTAGAGCTGCACACAGAAAGACCCATACGAGGGGCTGACCATAGGTTGATTCCTAACTTGAACCACATTTGAAATAGTAGAGATCAGGATTGGAGGCAATTTTTCCAATCCTGAAAGCAGAATACTGAGATGACAGTTGGACAGTGGGAAACAAAAAGGTCAATAATGTGATCTTGATTTAAAGCTGTGACATCTTGCCTCTCACTTGAGTAGATAGGAGCGAGGGGGTAGGGTTAGACTTGGCAACTTCTGTCTTGCCATAAGGGAACATTCAGCCTTCTAGAAGCAGAATACACAACCTGCCCAAGGAGACAAGCTATAAAATGTAATATACATACTAGGTCATGCCCAGCTTTGGTGGTCATACTAGTGTGGGGGTCAATCTGACTATGATGCTAATATCAAAACATTAAAATGGGCAGTATTTCAAATGGGATTTCCAGTAATAACATGTTTAAACACATTTGTTGTTGTTGTTGTTTATTTCTTGTAATTTGTACAGGTGGAAAATTTCTTTACAAAATAAAAGATATCAGCCCCAGGTACATTCTGCCTATGATGAGGCTTAAATCCAGAGCAGAAGGCAGCTGAGAGCTCACAAGCTTATCAGAATGGAAAAGGCTAGGTAGACATCTTCTATATTTAGGTAACTGAGAGCTCTTGGAAAACACTACGCAACTTGTGCCTTCTGATGGCCTGCATTTCCTTCCATGTTCTATTCTGCTCCTGCTCACAATTCCATATATTATTCTCTTCATAAGTCCCTTACCCCACCACTCTCCCTATCACTTTTGCCTGGTGACCTCATAATGTACCTCACGGAACAAATAAGATGCCGTAACTGAGCTTCTTCACCTTCCTGCCCATCCTCTCTCCCTACCCGGAAAAGGAACTTAGTCACACCCATCCTCACCTTCTTTCCCCCATCTCAGTGGAAGGAGCAGGAAGGTCTCCCTAAACCCATCCAACCCCAGACCCTCCACCTGGCCTCAGAGTCCCTTCCCTTCACAGCCATTCCAGTTATTACCCCTTCTCCTCTGTTTATTTAATCTATTTCCAAGGAGCTTGTCCCTCAGACATACTTGAGTCCTTCTGATCATAACAAAAAAGCTGCTTAACCTGTCATAGCCATACTTCTTTAAAGAATAATCTATAGTTGCTGTATCCACATCTTAACGTCCTATTTGCATGTAAACTCCTCATTACGCTGTAATTCATCTCTTCACCAAAACTGTTCTCACCATGATTTCTGAATACTTACAACCACCAAACCCAGTAGTAACTACTTAGCCTTAACCTCACTTGAACTCTGGGGAGCACCTAACACTACGAATCACTTACCTACTCCCTCCTTCTGATTGGCTCTTTCCTCTCAGATCCATGATCTCTCTCTCTCTCTCTCTCTCTCTCTCTCTCTCTCTCTCTCTCTCTCTCTCTCGCTCTCTCTTTCTCTCTTTCTCTCTCCCTACCTACCTACCTATCTGGACATATCTTCCTAGTCTCAAAGTGAGGTTCCACTTCTCTGTTTTTTTGAAATGTTCCTCAGAGTCCTAACTGTGTCGTCTTTTCTTACACTCTGCCCCGCTCTCCCAGGGTCTCATCTACATCACCATCTGGATATATTCCAATGACTCACTGGTATATTTTAATGACTCCCCATCTCCAGCACAGAACCTTCTCTTGAGTTCCAAAACCATATGTCCAACTGTCTGCAACACTTCAGGCTCAGCATGTAAAACCTAAAATAATCCTTTCTGCCTCCCCCCGCCCATTCCCTATCTACTCTTTTTTCCTGGATTGTCTACTTTGTTTAAGGACACAATCATTGGCCTGCTTACACAAAAAAATCAGGAAATCTTTGTTTATTTATCTGTTTCTCAGATATAATTAGCACCCTCTCCCCATTCCCCACACATAGTACCCAAAGTCAACTACACCAGTTTCTAAATGAAATAACATACTCTGGAGTAAGCAGTAGGGCATATATTTTATTTGTTGATGTTTACAGCAATATATGGTTTTTCTGGTCATTTACCTGCAAATATACTAGCTAATTTGGAGAAGAAAAAAATATGGCTCACAAATCCAACAGATTGAAATAAAATATCCATTAGTTTATCAATATGACCACAGTATGGAAATGCTATATATTATTGAAGCAGTGCATGTGATGAGGTTTTCATGTTATTCAAATTATAACTGTTTTGCAAAATAAGGCATATTATAACTCCTCTACACTGCATAAAGAACAATAGGAGCAACATTTTACCTCATATTTTATTCTGAAAATTATCAGTCTTATAGAAAAATTGAAAGAATTATATAGTGAATACCCATAAACCCACCACATAGATTCTACATCTATCATTTGTGCTGTGCTTGCTTTATCACATATCAATCCATCTAGCCTTCTATTAATCCATCTTATTTCAAAGTAGTTTGTAGTCATCAGTTCACTTCACCTCTCAACACTGAGCATAGCTATTATTAACTACAGTTATTTGGGTGAAGGGAATTTACATAGAGTAAAATGCACAAATCTTCAGTGTAGCATTTAAAATGCTACTTCTTCTTGACCCTTCCTTCTCCCTCCTCACTCCTCTCATATCTAATCACCCCTGTATTGCTCAACTCCCTCTCCTCTCCTTCAGCCCCACAGCTCTGGTTCAGACTTTTGTCACTTCTCTCCTGAATTACTGGAAAGTCATCCAGCTTTTTCATTTTAATTCATTTCAACAGCACTGTCAAAGTGATATTTCTAAACCGTAATCTGATGGAATTTCTTGTTTACATTCTTTCTAAGGTTCTTCTTCAAACATTTTGGGGAAGGTTTAGGACACAGTTCAATCTTTTGAACATGGCATACAAGATCAGACCCTGACTATTTGTCAGGCCTCATTTCTTGCCACTTCCCCCACTTTCCTATCCTCTGCCCAGTTCCTTCTCATACAAATACTACTTACCAAAGATACGAAATTATTTGCAGTATTTTATGCCCCCTCTCCAGATGCTTTGCATTTTTTTTAGATGTTGCTCCTTCTGTCTGCAATGCCCTGCTCTCCTTTCTTCATCTAGCTATTCCTTACAAACTCTTCCTTCAGACAATACGTCTGGTGAGCCCTGCATGTCTGCTCTCTACCCCAACTCCAGAATTGGCTGGATATCCTTTCCTGGATTTCCTAAACATCATGTGCAGACATCTTTCTCAGAATTGTTGCCCAGTATTTGCTTGTCACTTATCCCAACCAGTCTGCATGTCCTTGAGGGCAGAGAGCAAAGCCTGCTTCTCATTCCTCTGTCTAGTCTCAGATACACCAATGCTTGATAAATGTTCATAGAAAGAAATTGAACAGGAGGAAGGCAGGGATATTTACTAGATGTTTGAGACTCTTCAACATTAACGTGAGTGGTAGAATGCAGTTAATTTAAGACAACCTTTAATATAAATTTAAAACCAAATGAACAATTTTAGCCTACATAGGCACTTGCCTGTGGCTTCAGGAAAACCACAGGTAAGAAAAAGATCACAAGCCACTTTTATTATTTTTAAAAAGAATTATGGTAAAATGCACATAGCATAAAATTTACCACCTGAAGCATTTTAAGTGTACAGTTCAATAGTGTTAAGTATATTCACATTGTTGTACATAAGTCACTTCTAATTGTATAAACTAGTGTTATGTCTTTTTTTTAATAAAAAGAACACGTAAAGGCATTAGGAAAGCTCTAACTTAAGGAGGCCATATTCTTGCCTAAATTACATGTAACAGCTATGCAGGGGCTACCCTAAGGATGTACCACTAATTACCTGGCCACAGCTTCTAGAGCTGAAGGCAGAGCTATCAAATCATAGTAACAGGAGGGTGCTTTCTTCCAAAGGAAGTGTTAACCCCATGGGCTTTACAGCTGACAGAGACAGCCAGTCTACTTTAGGTCTGGCCCTGTTTATCCAATTGACTTTTTATACCAAGTGACTGTAGGGCATTTAATTTAGAGGAGCAATGGAGATCTAAACTATACCTTTAATTAAACAGCACATCCCACATCTTCCCCATTAAAATGAATCTTCATCTAGCCCTACGTTTTTCTGCACTAGATTATTTTGCACTTCTCCACAGAAGATGAGTAAAAAAAGAGATAAGAAATTTGATATATACTGATGGTATCTGAATTCAGGTAATTGATAGATTTATTGCACCAATTCTAACAGGCATTTAGAAGCACAGACCAGATCAATACCCACCTAGAAACCAGAAATGTATTACCCAACAATACAAGGTTTGTGCCACATGAAAGACGGGAAAAGAAGTAAAAATGAATCAATTTTTGCTATTTAGTGAAAGCTAATTGTGGACCAGTACTGTATTGTTAAAATTAGCATATTTGGCTTCCATATTTCAGAAGAATTTCAGAAGTAAAACTTTCAAACTATAGAAAATCTGATCAGAAGTAATATAAACTGGGAAATAAAAATGTCGCATTTGCTTCTTCAAAACTTGGGAAGAGTGTAAACTGGTGGGAAAATCTACAATTGACTACAAAGACAATCTAGAAATGAAGAAATGAAAAGATCTGGGATGATTATTCAGAATTGAATGATTCTCAAGATTAATTGATTGCTTGATTTGATCTAGGATGTATTTTGATTGCAATAAACAGAAACTTTCAATGTATCTTAAGTGAATAGTGGTATTTACTAGAAAGATATATGGATATTCCATGTAACCCAAGGGCAGAAAATATACCTGGACTGCACCAGAGATTGAAGCAAGGAATTGGGAATTAGGGGCGGTGGTTAACTTATCACTACCTTAGGAGTGAAGAGGCTCCCTTTTCTACTTCTCTTGATTTGTCTGTTTTATTTGTATCCTTCTCTGCAGATGAGCTTTCTCTGTCTTGGGGTACACATGGCCTACATATGACAACTCTCACCCCAACCCTGTTTTTCTATCCCCTCACACTTCACGGGGATGAACTAGAGCCTCTGAGACCTAAATCCAAACTCTTAAGTGAAAAAACTGACTCAGAAAGCTGAAGTCAAGAATCTACTCACAGCCGTTTGATGCCTAGAAATTTTCCAGAAAACCCTACTTCCTAGGACTCCAAATATAATACCATATGTTGATGCTCTACTCATCGGATTGCAAAAATGCTGCAGCACTTACAACACCATTTTGATTCAGCCAGTAACCAAGTGAGATATAGACATGTGAAATGAGAACATTGAGTCAAATTCTTTTAAAAAATACTGAATTGACAATTGAAGATTGCATATATTCAAATTATACAAGGTGATGATTTGATATACGTATACATTATGTAATAATTGTCACAATCTAATTAATTAACACATTCATCACCACTCATGCTATACCTTAGATTCCCAGAATTTGTTCATCTTGTAACTAGAAGTTGGGCCATTTGATCAACATCTCCCTATTTCCTCCATCCCTAATCCCTGGTCATGACTGTTCTATTCTGTTTCTATGAGTTTGATGTTTTTAGATTTCACAAATAAGTGACATCATCCTGTATCTGTGTTTCTGTGACTGAGTTGTTTCACTTAACAATGTCTTCCAGGTTCATTCATGTTCTCAAAAATGGTAGATTTTCTTCTTTTTTATGGCCAAATAATATTCGTGTGTGTGCACTACATTTTTTTAATTCATTCATCTGTTGACACTTGGATTGTTTTCATATCGTGGCTATTGTGAATAAGGCTGCAGTGAACATGGGGGTGCAGATATCTCTTAGAGACACTGATTTCATGTCCTTTGGTTGTATACCCAGCAGTGGAATTGCTGGGCTATATGGTAGGTCTGTTTTTAATTTTTTTGAGGAACCTCCATACACTCTTCTATAATGGCTGTACAAATTTACATTCCCAACAACAATTTACGAATGTTCCCTTTCCCCCAGACATTTGCCAACACTTGCCTCTTGTCCTTTTGACAGTAGCCCTCCCTAACAGGTGTAATTTGATATCTCATTGCTGTTTTAATATGCATTTCTCTGCTGATTGGTGATGTTGAGCACCTTTTCATATAACTGTTGGCCATTTGTATGTCTTCTTTGGAAAAATCTCTATTCAAGTATTTTGCTTGTTTTTTTCAATTGGGTTTTTTTTTCATGCTATGGAGTTGTATAAGTCAGTATCAAATTCTTAAGTTACCAGATTTATTTTGTTGGTTTTCTTCCCACCCAACGAAAAGAACATAAACTTTTGTGTAAAGTGAAGAGCTTCAAGCACTTCCTTAGGATATTCAATTTCTAGTGTGCTTTTTTTTTTATTGTTGTCCAAAATAGGTAAACTCATCTTGACCAGAAAAAAACAGTTTGTGGAGTTATTCTCATCACTAATGTGGGAGCCTCTATCTGGAAGGCTAAGCAGTTATTGACTTCTAAGACTGTGGCAACACACAGATGGAGAGCATAAACCACCACTTCTCTCCACAGATGCTTTGTCTTACAGAATAGGATCTGTGCTTGATAACAAATGCTGGAATGCACTGAAGTACCAATTACTAACTATTTAAGGACAATGCCATCTCCAGAATGGAATATGCCTTGCACTGATGAAACAAGTTGATTCTGTTGCAGGAGTTGAGTACTTCCACACTCTCTCTAGCAAGCCTTTATAATCTGCATTAATCACAAGTTTCTTTCGGGATTCTTGTCTAGGGATAGGTGTAAACCATTAATTAAGTCACTGTCTATGTGATGCTGGAGTTGTTCCCTCCTTGTTTGTAATACGTACTTGTCTACTGGTCCAAATGAGGAGAATGGGTGCAGATGCCCGAGCTGCCTGCCTCTGCAGAACCCAGACAGTGAAGTGTTGCCTCATTACAAGCTGAATTGTGTCCCTCCTCCATATTCATATGTTGAAGCCCTAACCCCCCAGCACCTCACAACATGACTATACTTGGAGACAGAACCTTTAAAGAGAGTTATTAAGATAAACCATTAGAGTAGAGCCTAATCCAGTCTGACTGGTGTCCTGAGTAGAGGACATTTGGACACACAAAGGGACTCCAGGGATGCATGAGTACAAGAAAAGACCATGTGAGGACACAGTGAGAAGGTGGCCGTCTGCCAGCCAAAGAGAGAGGTCTCAGGAGAAACCAAACCTGCCGACAACTTGATAGTAGACTTTTAGCCTCCAGAACCGTGAGAAAGTAAATTTCTGTCATTGTAAGCTACCCAGTTTGTGGTATTTTATTATGACAGCCCTAGGAAACAAAAATGTGCTTCTACAAGGAGTTTTAATATTAGAAGTTTCCCTAATTCTTTTATTCAAGATGACCCCTTCACAAGTTTAACCATATGTGAGCCCAACTTAGTCTGTTTATTATGCTAGATATAGAAAGAAACCATATGAGAAATTTTATCTTAAAAATCAGATGTTCCTGCAACACAGGGCCCTCACTGCCTCATGGTAACTGACAAGGGAGACTGGCAGCTGCCTCCTTTACATAAGAGATACACTCTCCAATTTCACACAGTCTCTCATATTTCCTATTGTCATATGCCTAATTGCTCCACTTATTTATAATACCTGTCTGACCCCTGTAAGCATTTTAAATCAAGAGCCCCTGAGAAGGTCTGCTCAGAACAAGGCTGCTGAAGTCGCAGTGCCTCTATCACTGGTGCAGAGACATTGATCAAGCATCCTGAGCAGACTTGGCAGCAGCAGACCCATTAAAAACATTTATTCTAAAGCCAGCTGACATTGATTTTTTTTTGGATACACCTTCTGAGGACAAAACAGAGTCACAGAATCAAGGAAGCAATAATTCTTCTCTGGCCATTGCAATTATTGAAGTAGAGTCACCTTGTATATACAACAGATAATGAGTAGTGAAGATACTCTCCCCTTTTCCATTTGATTCTTTTAAAAGTTATAAGAGCTAAGGAAGGGAGGCTATTATGTGTCCAAAAGGGGATATTAGGGCTTAGTATGAATCAAGTCTTTTTAGTCAAAGAGTTGAAAAGATTAATTTTGTCCCAGATAAAGTTGGTGGGATGGCTGTCTTTTGCTGGTTTGTGATATCACCCAGGACATTAGTCCTCAGCTAATTTATAGAAGTTGCAAATAATCAGAGAGGCACCACTAGAGATATTCTTGTTAGCCTTGGGAACCCAGCCGACTCTGATGGTAAAAGAGAACCTCATTTGGAAAAAGCCAAGATCATGCTAGGGTTGTCAGTGTTGCACAGAGTTCCATAGAGAGGATGTCTCTCTTGTTCTCTGTCTCTCCGTAATCCTCTTTTCCTCTCCCTCCCATTTTTTCTCATTCTCACTCCATTCTCATCATTCACTTTCTCCTCCTAAAGAAGGTTGAAAAGATTTTCAACTAGGAGGATCTCCCCTAGTTGAAAGGGCAGCTTCTTTTAAAGAAGGCTAAGCTCAAGGGCAGCTGCTTTTAGAGAAGGTTCAGGACTTCATCAAGGACTGCTATAAAATCTCACTAGAACAAACACTGGCCAGCAATAAAGACTGTAAAGCAAATAGCCAGTATCTCAGCATTGATCTGTGCTTCCCCATAAACTAAGGATGCTAAAGATTCATTTGTTCAAATGGCCAGATATTAATTCAGTGGCCTACCTGGCAGAAGTTAAACCCACACTCCCTATCAACCACACACACACACACACACATACACACCACCAAGTATACACACCATCAGCTACCACACACACAACCAGCCACCATTCACACACACATATTTACCAACAACCACACACATCACCAACCACCACACATACACAAACACCCCACCAACTGCTATTCACAAACATACATACTTAGTCCTGGAAGCTAGAGAAAGATACCACAGACTGGGTGGCTTAAACAATAAAAATGTAGTTCTGAAGCCTGATAAGTCCAAGGTGAGGGTACCAGCAGATCCAGTGTCTGGTGAGGACCCTCTTCCTGTTTTGCAGACAGCCCAGAGTGAGAGCTCTAGTCTCTTTCTCTCCTTTTAAGGACACTAATGCCATCATAATGGCCCTACCCTCATGACTTTATCTAAACCTAATTACCTCCCAAAGGCCCCACCACCTAATACCATTCATCAGGGTTAGAGTTTCAACACAGGAATCTTGGGGCGATGCAAATATGCAGTTCATAACATATACCAACAATAAACAGCATGCACATACAACACCAACCAGACACAAACAAACACACACACACACACACACACACACACACACCATTTCAGAATAGGCACATTACAAAAGACCTTTACAAAAATGCAGCCCTCATAAATGAGTTGAAAGGAATGTGAACAGAAAAACAAGACTCATCAACAAATCATCTTTATTTTCTATCCTTCTCCTTATTTCAGAATCCCTGTCTCTGATTTACAATGAACCCTGATTTTACATTTACTTTTGATGGGGAATGTCTAGTACATTTCCCATACATGTCTAGTACATTTCTTTTCCTGTTTATATGGCTTGGTGTCATCTGAGTATAAACCAGTTTGAAGAAAACAGTCCATTGCAGTACTCTTTCCTACTGTGTACTCAAGAGGCAAAGTCATAGCTGCGTTGTATATAAGTACCAGACCACATTCTCTAATCTTCTCTGCCTTCCTGCTCAAAGGCAATGAAAACCTCATTGCTAATGGAATAATTTAGTGTAAGAAATCAGGCAGTTTTGGAAGCGTAGGGATTGCATATTGTGGGGCTTGATGGGGGTGTTTAGTTTTTTCCAAAGTAAAATTTGGACACTGAATCCTCATTTAATTTGGAAAGGGATTATTCAAATGCAGTCAATTTACGATTATGCTAAGCCTAACATGGTAGCAGATCATCTTGAGCCCTTCTTTTCCCTTCTTCTGCCTATGCTTTCCGTTTCACTGCTCATTATCTTCATCAGTATGTAGAGAGAAAGGTCATGGTGATATATAAGTCAATCCCTTTTGTTTTATTTTTGTATCTCTGCAAAGGAGTTGGAAGGAGAATAAGCTGAAACACATATGAGACCTAAGGATCACCTAGGTATTTTAATTAGCTCTGTGCTTTTTGCCTCTCCCCCAATTTGTACAGTTAATTTACAGTTGGTCATATAAACCTTTGCATGAGATAAATGTGGCTTTATTTCTTTTTCTTTGGCCCAATACTAGAAATACTCAAACAAGCAACTTGAAAGTGAATAATAAAAGCCACTCCAAAGAGCTTGTTAACCCAAACTATGATCTGCACAGCATTCTTTTACCAAATTCTAGGTCATCCGTATTGAAGTTCTCAAAGCTCAGTATCTCTTGGCATATAAGTGAATTGCATTTGAATTGCCTGGATGACTCTGTAATGCAATAGTTGCACAAAGAATTTGTTATATCTGACCACTAATAAATTCTGTTTGACATAACGAAAATTACCTAAATTTTACGAACTTCAGTAAATGCATCTACAGTAGATTCATCCCTTAACTTCATAGTGACAGGATTGTGAGTTGTACATGTGGGCTTTTCCAAATGTTCAAGAAGAGTCTTAACACTGCATTCTTTGAGAGTGATTCATGATTAATCAATTATTAATGCAATTAGTACTATATTGCACATTGTATAAATTGTAAATGGACAATAAGAAAGAGTATTAATTGAGGATACTTTGCACTTATGTAGATAGACATTTCTTTGTTAGGTGCATAATAAATTGGGCTATATTGCATAGAATGTATTGACTACCAATTAACTTCTATGATATTTATTCCATTGTTCAAATATAAAGCATTCAAACTAATCACTACGAAATTTCCTGAGGCTGTGTTGTTTTAATCAATATTTGCCTACTCTATATTGCAATACTTTGGAAATCCTTTCAAGCTTGACCAAGCCTATTGACTCTTAATTAACCTACAGTTTTTAAAAAACCAAAAATGTTATCATTTTCCTAATATTGTAAGGCCACTATGTTGTGAGTAATTGTTGTTGTTTGTGGTGTAATGATTCCACGCTAATTAGCATGGCAAAAACAGCTATTTTTTTCTATTATTAGAGATCATTAGAAGTCAAAATGCATAATGGTTGGGAGGTTCAGAGTTTAGGTATATGTGTAAGGGAACTTGCTATCCCATACTTTTTCTAAGAATATGTTCCGATTCTGATAATTCTAGCAAAGAATTGGGTCAAGGCAGTTTGACAGCTTTAAATTAATAGATTTACTTTGTGCACTGGGTAGAAGTCTGAAGTTAGATTTGTAATTACTTATAATTATGATTTAATGTATATTAACAGCCACTGGTTGGAGTCATCAAAAATTAACATTAGTGAATGAGCAAGCAGTTTTGGACAAACAAAAAGCAGACATTCATATTTTGCATATAGAATACCACTGGTAATAACTCATTAATGAGAACAAATAATAATAATAACTAACATTATTTGAGCCCTTTATAAGTCCTTGATGCTATTCTAAGTGTTTTATATAGATTATGTCATTGAATCCTCCAACAATTCTTCACAAACCCATGTTGTGAAATTGAGATGTACAGAGGTTGAGTGACTTGTTCAAGGTCATACAGTTAGTCATTAAAAGGGCAGAGAATGGATCTAAACTGAAGCATTCTCACTCTAGATCTCCTGGTTTAAACTAGTATGTTTTACAGCCTGTAAACTGAATTATAAATCACATCTCTACACAGCCATGAATCTGTTTGAGGTTAGCTCCAAAAGAGCAACGTCCTATGATGCCACTAAACTGTTTTCTTTTCCTCCACTCTTCAACATGTAAAAAGCACAGGGGATATGCAACCTCCTTTTGAATTCCCTAATCTTATCACAGCTAGAGTCAAATTCTTTACTTGCTAATATTAATTAGAAGACAACAGCATACACAAGGTCCTTATGATACAGCTTTTCCTTTAAAGAGAATAAGGAATCTACTAAATGACTATTTGTTAGCCATCCAGTATGTGTTCTTTGTATTGGTGTATGCACAGATATATGTGGAAGAAAGTCAAGAGGAAGTTATTATCTTAGATAGAGCACATTACCCAGAGGCCAGGGACCAAAAGGTTTCTGAGTCGGTACACTCATCTACAAAGGCTCAGAAAGATTTGCCTCTTGGTGTCAATGATATAGTCCTTCAACAAATGGGTATTGAATGATACCATATATTAGGCCTGGCTGGAGTCAGGGATACACAGAGGTTTACAACCCAATATGGGATTAGAAATGTTAAAACAAATTCTGACATTTCCATTGATAAGTGCTAAAGAGAGGTATTTACAGAGTGTTTTTGGAAATGCAGAGGAAGGAGAAATTGTCTACCGTCAAGGAAGAGGGATTCTGGAAGTCAATTGGGGTGGCTTCATTTGATTAGGGTAAAAAGGGGTACTGGGGCACAGAGTTGGCATTTCAAGCAAAGAAACAACACAAGCTGGGCACGGTGGCTCACGCCTGTAATCCCAGTGCTTTGGGAGGCTGAGATGGGTGTATCACTTGAGGTCAGGAGTTCGAGACCAGCCCGGCTAATATGGTGATACCCCATTTCTACTAAAAATACAAAAATTAGCTGGGCATGGGGGCGGGCACCTGTAATCCCAGCTACTCGTGAGGCTGAAGCAGGAGAATCGCTTGAACCTGGGAGGCAGAGGTTGCAGTGAGCCGAGATCACACCACTGCACTCCAGCCTGGGTGACAGAGCAAGACTCTGTCTCAAAAGAAAGAAAAGAAACGGTACAAACAACACCTCAGAGATGTATCCATGCATACCATATTCAAGAAACATCTAACTCTTTTCCACGAGCCTAGAACATTGCATGGATGGTAGAGAATGGCAGGGATCAGACTGAAAAAAAGATTGGGCAAGATGGTAAGATCTTGCCATCTAAGGATTTTAACATCTTAAAATCCTTCCTTCAGAGATTTGTCTTTGTCCTGGAGCAGCATCTAACCTGATACACAATAAAATACGTGGGCAATTTCTGGGTTTCAGAATTCACTTTGGCCACAGTGAAGATAATGAAATGGAGTAGAAATAAACTGGAAGCAAGTGAGGCCAGTCAGGAAGCTATTAAAACAGTAAGGATGAGAGACAAAGAGAAGGCGATGGCAGGGAACGGAATGGAATGGATGGAGTGCAGAAAGAGTTAAGAGGTAAAATCACTGGCCTTGAATACAAGTGGTTCAGAGGCAGAACATTCAGACAGAAATGATGGAAATTTTCCACTGGGTGGATCAAGGTGCACAGGAAAGAAGTTCCTTGTAGAAGCCAAAAGCAAGTTGGGAGTTGAAGTTAACTGATGCCGACTCAGTCATGAAAACAAAAATGAAGATGGTGTCAAGAAGTTTATAGTATTATTTTCTTTACCTCTGGATGTTTCATGTCACCCTACCCTCATCTCAGACATTCCTCTGCATACCCCAGTCTATTCATCATCTTATGCCCACCACTTAATATTTTTCCAAGAAATGCCAAGGATCTGTAACCCACTTCTCCCTCAAAACCACTAAGCTATTCTTTGCCATTGATAAGGCTTGTATGTTTGTCTCCTCCAAATCTCATTTTGAAATGTGATTCACAATGTTAGAGGTGAAGCCTGGTGGGAGGAAGTTGGATCATGGGGGCAGATTCCTCATGAATGGTTTAGTACCATCCCTTGGTGATTAAGTGATAAGTGAGTTCTCACTCAGTTAGTTCACATGAGATCTGGTCGTTTAAGTCTGGGACCTCATGACCCCTTGCTCTCTTGCTCCCATTCTCACCATGTAACATGCCCAGTCCCACTTCGCCCTTCACCATGATTGTGAGCTTCTTGAGGCCCTCACCAGAGCTCAGCCGATATTAGTGCCAGGCTTGTACAGTGAGCCAAGTAAGTCTCTTTTCTTTATAACTGTGAGCCAATTAAGTCACCTTTCTTTATAAATTACCTAGTCTCAGGTTTTCCTTTATAGCAATGCAAAAACAGCCTAATAAAGCCATTAATTTTAAATTGACTGAAATGTCATTTTTTCCATAAATCCATTCAAAATTGATTATTGGAAAGCTATGTCTCAGCTTCTTCATCCAGAATATTTGAGTTCAATAGCGACTCTTCCCAAATCCTAATCAATTAGTATCCACCTACGTATATACTCTTCAATTGCATATATTCTCAATCTTATGTTTGTTGTAAATTTTCTATCTAACCTTTCTATTAGATTTGTATATTTTCCAACACCATTCAAAAGTATCTTCTCTTCAATAGCCACTAAACCATATTACCATAATGTGGGGGTGAGGAATCTTCACATTTTTGTCAGTATAAAGAACCCCTCCTAATAAAAATTGTTAACACCTTTGATCAAGAAGTGCATAGACTGATGGGTTGAATTTTTGAATATTTTAAGATACACTATTATTTCTTGGATATTGTCTAGCTATGTCACACTATTGATTGTGTTTGCCAGGGTGAAAGTGCTAACACCCACATTCACACACACATTTTCTTCACACTAGATAGCTCAATTTCGGTGTACATCAATTTGCTTTACACAGAGTAGCAAACTGAATGACAATGTGATAGTTTCTTAATAACACCAAACACTACTGACAGGCTTTTAATTCCTTTGCTACCCAGCTAAATGCTTTATTGTTACTTATTAAGAAAAATTATGTAGACAAAAGCACCTTTTTTTTTTTTTTTTGAGATGGAGTCTTGCACTATCACCCAGGCTGGAATGCAGTGGCATAATCTTGGCTCTCTGCAACCTCTGCCTCCGGGGTTCAAGCAATTTTCCTGCCTCAGCCTCCCCAGTAGCTGGAACTACAGGTGCAGAGCACCACACCTGGCTAATTTTTGTATTTTTAGTAGAGATGGGGTTTCATCATGTTGGCCAGGCTGGTCTTGAACTCCTGACCTTGTGATCCACCCGCCTCGGCCTCCCAAAGTGCTGGGATTATAGGCATGAGCCACCGCACCCGGCCAAAAGCACTTCTTGTTCTAAAATTTATTTGCTCTACCCCTCAAAAGTCTTAAGTAAGAAGCATACATTTCCTGATATGAAATATAATTTGGGAAGTGTCACCTGTTTCTTTCTAATGCAACAAATATAGCTTATAATCTTGAAGGTAAAAAAACAGATGACACATGAAAAGCTGACTAGTAAGACAAGATGTCATATAAACAACAGAAAATGTGAATAGTGGAGACAGCAAGTGGAATCAGAGAAGATGGCATCAGTACAGATATGTTGCAAAAGTTAGGAAAACATCTCAAAATGGCTAAACAGGTGAAGGGAATGATTCACATGACTCAAAGGCTCAGAGGCTGATCAAGCTTCAGGCAATATCATTTGCTATCACATCAAGACTAGATGCGATTCTCTGCAATGCTCTCAGTTCTTCATTCTACCTATCAGTCCACAGAATGACTCCCCCATGTAAACAAAAATGAGGCTGGGCGCGGTGGCTCACGCCTGTAATCCCAGCACTTTGGGAGGCCGAGGCGGGTGGATCACGTGGTCAGGAGATCGAGACCATCCTGCCTAACATGGTGAAACCTCGTCTCTACTAAAAGCACAAAAAAAAAAATTAGCCAGACATGGTGGTGGGCGCCTGTAGTCCCAGCTACTCGGGAGGCTGAGGCAGGAGAATGGCGTGAACCCAGGAGGCGGAGCTTGCAGGGAGCCGAGATCGGGCCACCGCACTCCAGCCTGGGCGACAGAACGAGACTCCGTCTCAAAAAAAAAAAAAAAAAAAAAAAAAAAAAAATGGCTGCAGTAGTTCGAGGATAGGCCCTTACACACTGGAGAAGAGCATCTGTGTCCTTCCTAGCGTTCCTGGGAAAAGTCCTAAATTCTTTCCGATTGGACCAGCTCAGGCCACCTGGGAACATGTTACTACATCTGGGAAAATGGACTTCCCTAATTGAATTAGATCAAACCTGACTTATAACCCCTGGAGCCATCCATGGTGTTACCTTTTCATATCTACATGGTTCCCAAATGGAAATCAAGGCTACTGTGGGTGCCAAAGGGAGAAATTGGCAGGCAACAAATAGATAACTACTGTAACTTGTTTTACTGTTGGTTTTTCTCTTCTATACATGTGAGAATTTTCACTGTACAATTAATTATATTAAGCTAAATTTATTTATCATCTCTGGTCTTATATACAATGTTTAAATCCCAGGGTTTAAAATCTATGAAAGCCATTGATAACTAAATGATGGTGACAAATCAGTCAAAAACTTCTGTCTACATGTAATGGTGCTCAGTGTTTCGAAGTCAAATAAAACTGGGTTTATTCTCAGTTCTGCCACCACATAACCCTAGACAAGCTGCAGCCCACTGTACCCCTCAGCTTCCTCATCTGTAAACTGGATATAATATAACTTTAGAGTATTGCTTGCAGATATTTGTGTTAACAAAGGGAAGCACTCAAAGAAGCTATTGTTGTTGTTGATATCCTCATTATTACCATCGACATCATCATCCCAACCCTGAACAGAGGAATTAGTCACAGGTGGATAGACCTTTAAGTTAAGAAAACTGCCTTAGAAATAAAATAATCAGTGGAAGCCTGTAGTAGAATATCACCTTTCAGCCTGTTCAGTATAGGATTAAGGTTCTCTCCTTTAAATGTCTCTGAAAGTGATGCTATAGTTTGACCGTTAACTAGCTGTGCAATCTAAGGCAAGTTAGTTAACCTTTCTAAAATTAGTTTTCTCATCTGAGAATAGAGATACCTAAAATATTCATTTCACAGCATTAGCTGAATTAATATATAGGATACATCCCATAAAAGATAGCAAGTGTTTTTACCATTATCATTATAACCGTTACAAAGATGTTCCCACTAAATAATCAGGGGAACGCTGATCTCCAAACTGAAAGTGATACCTGATACTGTTTGTTGTTTTTGTTAAGGTTTTGTTTATCTTTTTTTTTCTTGCATTCTCCTTGAGACATGGTTTAGAAGAAAGAGTTAGGAAAGCCACCTATGAGTTTCAGGACACTGAAAATTACAAGATGATGCTTTTTCACTCATCAGTACATATCTTTGTGCCTCAACATGAATGAGCTTGCTCTAGAGTGTCTCTCATGCTGATTAAGCAAAGGGTACAATAAAGAGCCAGTTTTGTCAGGAAAGAATGAAGGCAAAGACATCTTGTTCTTTCTTTACAGTGAAATGAAGAGTTCCATTTAAAAGGCAAATCCTTCATTTCAATGTTTTAACGGTAAAATATTTAGCAAATAATTCTAAGTTTAATTTAAAGAAACTGAAAATTTCCACAAAATAGAATGTTCTTGAACATTTATTTTATTTAGATCTGTTAAATTTTCATTCACTATTAGCCACTGCCTCTAAATTTTTAGTTCTAAGATAGTTGATATAAAAGTGAATGCATTTATGGTTCAAAGGACACTATCATGAAAATGGAAAAATACACAGAATGGGAGAAAATATTGGTAGATTATCTCTGATAAGGTACTAGTATCCATAACATAGGGAGAACTCATACAATTCAACATTAAAAAACAAATAACCCAACTTCAAAATGGGCAAGGAACCTAAATAGACATTTGTATTAGTCCGTTCTCACGCTGCTAATAAAGACATACCCAAGACTGGGTAATTTATAAAGGAAAGAGGCTTAATTGACTCACAGTTCCACATGGCTTGGGGAGGCCTCACAATCACAGTGGAAGGCAAAGGGGAGCAAGACATGTCTTACATGGTAGCAGACGAGAGATTGAGAATGAGAGTCAGGCAATAGGGGTTCACTACCACAAGAACAGTATGGGGGAACCACCCCCCATGATTCAATTATCTCCCACTGGGTCCCTCCCACAACACATAGGAATTATGGGAGCTACAATTCAAGATGAGACTTGGGTGGGGACAGAGACAAACCATATCAACATTTATTGAAAGAAAACAGGCAAATAAGCCAGGCATGTTGGCTTACGCCTGTAATCCCAGAACTTTGGGGGGCCAAGGTGGGCAGATCACCTGAGGTCAGGAGCTCGAAACCAGCCTAGCCAACATAGTGAAACCCCATCTCTACTAAAAATACAAAAATTAGCCGGGTGTGGTGGCAGGTGCCTGTAGTCTCAGCTACTTGGGAGGCTGAGGCAGGAGAATTCCTTGAACCTGGGAGGCAGAGGTTGCAGTGAGCCAAGATTGCGCCACTGAACTCCAGTCTGGGTGACAGAGCAAGACTCCATCTCAAAAAAATAAATAAATAAAATAAAATAAAATAAAATAGGCAAATAGACAATAAGCACAGGAAAAATGCTCAACATCATTAGCCATTAGGGAAATGCCACAATGAGATAACATTTCCCACTCTGTAGCTGGCTAAAATAAAAAAGACAGACAAAATCAAGTGTTGTCCAGGATATGTAGAAATTGGAACCTACTTACATTACTAATAAGAAGGTAAAAGTGTGCAACCACTTTAGAAAGCAGTTTGGAAGTTTGTCAAAAAGTTAAGCATAGAATTACCATATCTAGCAATTCCACTCTTAGATTTATACCCAAGAGAACTGAAAACTTATGTCTACACAAACACTTGTATAGAGATGTTCACAGCAGCATTATTCATAACTGTCAGCAAGTGGAAGCAACCCATAAAAAATGTTGGATATATATAGAATGGAATATTATTCAGCCATTAAAAGGAAAAAGTATTGATACATGCATAGATGAACTTTGAAAACATTATGCTAGTGGAAGAAGCCAGGCACAAAAGGCCATATATGGTATGATTCCATTTATATGAAATGTCCAGAATAGGCAAATCCATACAGACAGAAAGATTAGTGGTTGCCAGATTCTGGGGATAGAGAGAAAGTGTAAGTGATTGCTAATGTGTATGGGGTTTCTTTTTAGATGAAAATATCTGGAATCAGATTTTGGTAATGGTGGCATAACCTTGTTAATGTACTAAAAACCACTGGATTGTATGTTTTAAGAGAACGTATTTTATGGTATGTGAAATTTTTAAGTCAATTTAAAAATGCAGGTTCTACAGTATTCTTCACTTAAATGAGGTAAACACTCATGTAACTCTTTGGATGGCCTATTCTTCACTGAAACACTTTTATTAAATAATTGTTAAAGTAATATTGGAATTTAGCAATATCATTTTGCACATTTGTACATCAACCCTGCCCTTCTAATATACTGCCCTTTCCATTTTGAAGAACTACAGTTTTAACAGGGGCCTTTTAGAATCAATGCTTTAACCATCCATAGAACTCTAATGATTGGAATTTTCCATTGTTGTAAGAGATGATTTTTATCAGGTGAAGCCTTTTGTCATCTTGATAGGCGACCACTGTAACTGTGACTGAAGCTCTGCTGGTTCCTATAGTTGCTTAACATGCTTTCCACAATTCTTTAAGGCCCTTTGCTGTGATCTAGTGCATGCACTCTGGAAAATGTTGGTGGAATCAGCACCTTGGGGAGGCAGGTAGGCAAAGTTCAATGAGCACTGGTGATGGTTTCTCCATACAATTGCATGTCTGAGTATCCCCACTCCTGCTACCCTAAATAAATCTCTAAAGTTTTTTCCTGCTCTATTATTTAAAAAATACAACTCTTAAAAATGTATAATAAATGTGCCTGGCTCTTAAACAGTTTTAAAATATAATTCACTTCAGGGCTTATGACAACTCTTCATATGCTAAGGTGAGGTGTGAACCTCAAAGGAGGAATATATTATGCAACATTAATAGAAGACCTAGTAACATTTGTTACAACCGTCTGGGAAATGTTGCTGTAAGACTATGCCATTAATTGGGAATTCCACCAGACCAAAAACACAAGAGTCGAGAGAGCATTCAAGTTTGCTCTGAATATGAGAGCTGATATTAGCAAGTCCCACAATATTTTATATTTTATTATGAAATATTTATGTTCTCTGTTTAACAAATTGTACCTCCTCACCAGAATGGGGATGAGGGAAAGAAGCTACAGTATTAATTAAGTCACTCTCTCTAAGCCTCAATTTCTTGGTCTGAAAATACATTTGCTGAACTAGATGATCTATAAGTCCCTACTAAAAGAAGATTATGTTTGGATCTATGACCCTAATATTAATATATCACAAATGTGCTATAACTTGATGATGCTAAGAAATCTCCTCCATTTGGCTGTTATCCTCAAAAATATTTTGAAAACAATAATGTACCTTTTTTTTCTAAATATGCTGACAAAAACAGAACATGTTTCCTTTTTTCCCAGAAGTGGCCACGGTAAACCAGTCTGGAAGAATAACTTCTTGTTCCTGAACCAGTAAAATTTCCAGGCTGAAAGTAGGTTCCTGGAGACAGTGGTCCTGGGAAATGGGATATAAAATCTCAAATGAATTTCAAAACTCAGAAAATGTTTATGTTTAGTTTAGTTTCACCTAAACTTTTTAATCTACCCAATACTTTTATTTGCTATATATTCATTTTTCTCTAGATTTCCATTCATTTAGCAGTTCAGAATATTGGCTAAAATGACAGTAAAATGAGGATGTCTTTTTTTAACCTACTTTCTGGTAAGAAAAGTGACATACATATTATAGGGACATTGGAAAATACAGAATAGTATAGAAAAGACCTTCTTACCACCTAACTACTACAGCTTTTATTTATTATCCTTAAAAATATTCCTTTAGAACTTATGATAGCATTGAATTTCATCTCCTCTGACTTTCATAGGAAATTTAAATAATAGATTATTTCTTCTCTTTCTTGTTTTTCAAATTTCTCTCTGTCTTTCTCACACACACACGCGCACACACACACACACACACACACACTCTTAATCCATCCTTCCCAATGACTGTCAATTAAAATAATAATAATAATAACTTCCTTTTACCCCCACATCACCATTTAGATATCTTCCTTACTCGCTGTTCCTCTTACGTCCCACTCACACGTTACCAAATAGCTCCTGTTAAAGTCATCAAAGGCTTTCAGTATCTAAACCCAAAAAATATTTTCAGTTGTCACTTTACATGGCTTACCAGCACTTTTGACATGGTTGACCTCTCTCTGCTGGTTTGCATGGTAACCTTTTAACCAGTTTCCTTACTACTTCTCTACTTTCTGTGTCCTTCACCTCCTTCAAAGTCATTAAATAGAGGATTTTCTAAGGGGCTTTTTAATGTCATCTTATCTTCTCATTCTATCCTCTGCTCTTAGGAATTTTATCCAATAGGATATCAGTTATCAATCATAGCCAATGACCCCCAAATTTATTTATCCAGTCCATTCATTCATTCATTCTACAAATATGTATTGGACACTCAAAATGTGCCAGGCACTAGGGATAAGATAATGAATAGACTCTGACTTTTCTGAGTTTGAGAACCACATATCCAACTGACTTCTATTATCCCCACTTGAATATCTTAAAGGTAACTCATATTAACAAATCCTAAGCCAAACACATTACCTCCCTTCTCAAGCCTGATCCTCTCCCCTATCCCTATATCAATGATTGGCACCATGTTCCAACCAGCTGCTCAAGCTAAATCTAGAAGGCATCTTCAGTTTCCCCTGCTCCTTTACACCTGTGTATAACCCATCATCAAGTCAATTTCATTGTTACCTCCTAAGTACATCTTGAATTCTTTCACTCGACTCTCCATCCCCAACTTCATCACCTTAATCCAATGTAACATCACCACTCACCTGTCCTACTGCTAAAATCCCCCAGCATGGTTCCCTGATTCTGCTTCTCTTCCTCCCAATTTCTTTTCCATGTTGCAGAAGAATGAAACGTTAAAAACAAAATCTTATATCACTCTCCCCAAGCCCTCTTCCCACATCACAACACTCGGCTTCTTTCAATTCTTTAAACATACCATGCTCCATCCTAGTATGGGGGATTTACAATACTATTCCTGTCCCCCAGGCATCAGCTTAAATCTCTTACCCAGACATCAGATTTTAGTTCATTCATCAGTTCCTCAGTGAACTAAACCCCATATTATGCTAGATTCCCTACTGTATTCTCTCATAGTCACCTTCCTTCTTAGCACTTATCATGGGTATAATTTTACATTTATTTGTGTGATTTTTTATTAATATATATCTTCCCCCCTAAATTGGTAGCATGATGATGACAGAGGCCATTTAATTTTTGTTCCACATTGAATGTGCAGCTCTAGTATTGTGTCTATTACATGTTAGATTCTCAATAAAGACTTGCTGAAAGAATGAATGAAAGAATAGACAGGGAAGAAAACAAATCACCCAAAATTCCATTGCCCCAAAATACGCAGTATATTTTGACGTATTTCCTTCCAATAATTTTAATGCAAACATAATTTGAGATTTTTAAAATTTGAATAGACACTGTACATGTAATTTTTATTATAATCTTTATATCAAACCCTGAGAATTTCCTGAAGTGTTAACTATTCCTCAAAAAATTCATTTTAATAGCTACATAATATTCTAACCTAGGAGTCTAGTCTAATTCATTTAAGTCCCCTCCTATTATTAAATATTTAAGATTTTTCCAATATTTTGCTTTTATAAATAACGTTACAGTGACCATTTTTGTATCATTTGTGCATCCAAATTTATGACTAGTTATAAGAGACAAATTCCTAAAATAGGATAAATCCTAGGGTTAAAATGTATATATTTTTAAAGCTGAGGAATACCTGTATATAAAATGTATATATTTTTAAAGCTGAGGAATACTAAGAGCAGTGAATGATGCTGTAGCATTTTATACATGTCTAGATTAAAACAAGATTCAGATTTAGATTGCAAGGGAGGGATAAACTAATTCATTTATTGCCTTAATTTACTGATATTTTAAAACTATATTTTGTATATAGACTACTCCAGGGAAAAGTTGACAAAATATTTCACAGGATGGACTTATTTCTCAGCACTTTATCATAATTTCCCAAAAAGAAACTCTTTCAAGAAAATCGCTTCTCAGTTTGGGAGGTGTTTTGTTTTGTTTTGTTTTGTTTTGTTTTTTTTGTTTTGTTTTGTTTTCATTTTTGTTTCCTGCTTTACAAGTCAGGCAACACTATGGAAATTCAATAGGGACCTTGTTCAATAAGAATATGTTCCAAGATGAGCATAAACACATCCTAAAGTCAATGATAATTATATATGCTTAAAAGTTGTTCCAAATAATTCTTTGAATAAGTTAATTGAGGTTCTGTGTCCTGGGATAAGGTATGAGATCAATTAAAGCATTAGGGGCAAGGGCTTCAGGAAGATGAAATTATCTGGCATGCTGTACATTTCCTTGCTGCTTTCACCAATTATAGGATTTCCCTCTGGGAGATTTCCACACAAGGGTCTCAATTAGAAGAATCTGTTAACAAAAACAGTCTTCTAGACAACTGTTTTTTGCAAGAATATTACCTTCAAAACAACTGCAGCAATACTTTCAACACATTTCTATTTCTGATGTTCAATAGAGATGTCAGAATCATCCATTTTTCATTCCGAGAACTGAATTCACAATCTACTAGGTAAGCGCACATCAAGCTACGAAAAGAAATCTATGCACAGCATGACCTACTTTTGATGTACTGAGTTTTTTTCTCAGAAAGAATTAAAAGCTATTATTAAAAAGTCAGACAGAACTGCATTAATACAATGGAGGTAAAAGCATATTTCAGCATAGTAAGAATTAGTTGTCCTTTTCATGAGGCTCTAAAACCAATAATTTTTAGCAATATTTTGATGTTATATATATGGATATAAATGCACTTAATTCTGAGAATGTATTTAAATTCAACATTATATACTCAGTTGCTTGTTTTGGTATGTAGTTTTTTTTTTGTAAAGGAAAGAACCACCTTTAGCAAAGTAGACTAAATTTTGATACTATAACTATTCATATTTTTGTCATGCCATTATCATGTTTTCTGCTTAGGCATACTCAGAAATACCCTTGCCTCTCTAGTAGAATTTTATTTTTATTACCTAATTATTCCTTTTTGGTTATAAAATGCATTAGAAGTTCATTTTCTCTAACATACACAACAACTTTATGATATACATGCATGTATACACATTTTACAGATGAGAATTTTGAGTTTCACAAGTATTAAATAACCTCAATAACTAGAAAAGGGTGGAGGCAGAATTTAAACCAAGTTCTTTCTGGCTCTACACCTCTGCTCTTTCCACTACATCAAGGTGACAGATGATACAACTGTGCTACAAGTAGTTGTGAGCATCAGAGATAATATCATTTTTGTCTTTTTGTTGGCATTCAGTGAAGACATCTACTTACTGTCATCATCATTGTTTTTTATAGTGTTATCTAGCTATGAGCAATCTTTTGCTAGACAAATACCTTATTTAACAAGTCTCTTGCAATCAAAGCATATTCGTTTCCCCACCTGTGTGCATCATTTAGACATGGGACTTAGGGTAGATAATTCAATTGAAAGAGTAAAACCATCTTCACAATATATCCCTTTGACTGAACTTCCTCCTGTCTCTTGCCCTATATAATCTACTGAAGTTCAGGCTCTTTAATCTGCACACTAAATATCATTCCTCATTTTCTTCTCCAAATACACAAGTTGAAGACTGTAATACAGCAGAAGGAACAGAGGCTTTTGAATCAGACAGGTCTGCATCTGACTCTCAATACCACCACTTATCAGTTAAATAACCATGGGCAAGTTACGTGACTACTCTGAGATGAAGATTTTCTATCTGTAAATGGAATAATAATGCTGATCTCATAAGGTTGTGTAGAGTAGAAATAATGTATGCACATAGTAGGTAACCAGTAAATAATTGCTCTCCTTGTTATTATCATCCTTTTAAATTACATTTCAGACAAATCAGACCACATGCCCCTCTACCCCCAGATAGTATCTGTGCCTTGCCACACTATCGGCCCGTAATTATTCTCTTCCCATCCCACTGTCATCTGATCCATTCACAGCCGAATTCTACCGGAGGTACAAAGAGGAGCTGGTACCAATCCTTCTGAAACTATTCCAATCAATAGAAAAAGAGGGACTCCTCCCTAACTCATTTTATGAGGCCAGCATCATCCTGATACCAAAGCCTGGCAGAGACACAACCAAAAAAGAGAATTCTAGACCAATATCCTTGATGAACATTAATGCAAAAATCCTCAATAAAATACTGGCAAACCGAATCCAGCAGCACATCAAAAAGCTTATCCACCATGTTCAAGTGGGCTTCATCCCTGGGATGCAAGACTGGTTCAACATACGCAAATCAATAAATGTAATCCAGCATATAAACAGAACCAAAGACAAAAACCACATGATTATCTCAGTAGATGCAGAAAAGGCCTTTGACAAAATTCAACAACCCTTCATGCTAAAAACTCTCGATAAATTAGGTATTGATGGGATGTATCTCAAAATAATAAGAGCTATCTATGACAAACCCACAGCCAATATCATACTGAATGGGCAAAAACTGGAAGCATTCCCTTTGAAAACGAGCACAAGACAGGGATGCCCTCACTCACCACTCCTATTCAACGTAGTGTTGGAAGTTCTGGCCAGGGCAATCAGGCAGGAGAAGGAAATATAGGGTATTCAATTAGGAAAAGAGGAAGTCAAATTGCCCCTGTTTGCAGATGACATGATTGTATATCTAGAAAACCCCATAGTCTCAGCCCAAAATCTCCTCAAGCTGATAAGCAACTTCAGCAAAGTCTCAGGATACAAAATCAATGTGCAAAAATCACAAGCATTCTTATACACCAATAACAGACAGAGAGCCAAATCATGAGTGAACTCCCATTCACAATTGCTTCAAAGAGAATAAAATACCTAGGAATCCAACTTACAAGGGACGTGAAGGACCTCTTCAAGGAGAACTACAAATCACTGCTCAATGAAATAAAAGAGGATACAAACAAATGGAAGAACATTCCATGCTCATGGGTAGGAAGAACCAATATCGTGAAAATGGCCATATTGCCCGAGGTAATTTACAGATTCAATGCCATCCCCATCAAGCTACCAATGACTTTCTTCACAGAATTGGAAAAAACTACTTTAAAGTTCATATGGAACCAAAAAAGAGCCCGCATCGCCAAGCCAATCCTAAGTCAAAAGAACAAAGCTGGAGGCATCATGCTACCCGACTTCAAGCTATGCTACAAGGCTACAGTAACCAAAACAGCATGGTACTGGTACCAAAACAGAGATATAGATCAATGGAACAGAACAGAGCCCTCAGAAATAATGCCGCATATCTACAACTATCTGATCTTTGACAAAACATGACAAAAACAAGAAATGGGGAAAGGATTCCCTATTTACTAAATGGTGCTGGGAAAACTGGCTAGCCATAGGTAGAAAGCTGAAACTGGATCCCTTCCTTACACCTTACATGAAAATTAATTCAAGATGGATTAAAGACTTAAACGTTAGACCTAAAACTATAAAAACCCTAGAAGAAAACCTAGGCAATACCATTCAGGACACAGGCATGGGCAAGGACTTCATGACTAAAACACCAAAAGCAATGGCAACAAAAGCCAAAATGGACAAATGGGATCTAATTAAACTAAAGAGCTTCTGCACAGCAAAAGAAACTACTATCAGAGTGAACAGGCAACCTACAGAATGGGAGAAAATTTTTGCAACCTACTCATCTGACAAAGGGCTAATATCCAGAATCTACAATGAACTCAAACAAATTTACAAGAAAAAAACAAACAACCCCATCAAAAAGTGGGTGAAGGATATGAACAGACACTTCTCAAAAGAAGACATTTATGCAGCCAAAAAACATATGAAAAAATGCTCATCATCACTGGCCATCAGAGAAATGCAAATCAAAACCACAATGAGATAGCATCTCACACCAGTTAGAATGGTGATCATTAAAAGTCAGGAAACAACAGGTGCTGGAGAGGATGTGGAGAAATAGAAACACTTTTACACTGTTGGTGGGACGGTAAACTAGTTCAACCATTGTGGAAGTCGGTGTGGCGATTCCTCAGGGATCTAGAACTAGAAATACAATTTGACCCAGCCATCCCATTACTGGGTATATACCCAAAGGATTATAAATCATGCTGCTATAAAGACACATGCACATGTATGTTTATAGCAGCACTATTCACAATAGCAAAGACTTGGAACCAACCCAAATGTCCAACAATGATAGACTGGATTAAGAAAATGTGGCACATATACACCATGGAATACTGTGCAGCCATAAAAATTGATGAGTTCATGTCCTTTGTAGGGACATGGATGAAATTGGAAATCATCATTCTCAGTAAACTATCGCAAGGACAAAAAACCAAACACCATATGTTCTCACTCATAGGTGGGAATTGAACAATGAGAACACATGGACACAGGAAGGGGAACATCACACACCGGGGCCTGTTGTGGGGTCGGGGGAGGGGGAAAGGATAGCATTAGGAGATATACCTAATGCTAAATGATGAGTTAATGGGTGCAGCACACCAACATGGCACATGTATACATATGTAACAAACCTGCACATTGTGCACATGTACCCTAAAACTTAAAGTATAATAATAATAAAAACAACTACAAAAAAAAAGTCACTGCTAACAAGTTTCACAGATCCTACTAACCAAAAGGAACCTCTCCCTTATCTGAACTGCTGTAGCACTTGGAACTTATTTAACCCACTGTACCCTGTACCATAAAATGTTTATTTTTGTCTGTGTCATCAAACTGTAACAACCTCAAGGACACGGACAACTTATTCATCTCTGCTTTCGCCACAGCATCTAGCTCAGTACTTAGCACAAGATAAATGGATGAAGAAATCAACAAATATATAAATAAAGTATTTATGGAATCTGTATTCTCTTTTTAATATTCTCAAATCCTCTTAATTTAAAACGTGCAGGAGTTCCCAAGTTAACAGTTTCAGAAATATGACCCATTTCTAAAGTGATTAAGTCACATATGCCACTCCTCGACCCTTCCTCAGAGAACATCCTTACCAGGATAGATATGAATAAACTAGAATTTTCAAAAAGGCCCTTAGGAGGAGGCAGGGGCACTGCAGAAATGTGGCTGGAAACAAAAAGAATACGAAGATTGGTGATGCAGTGAGCTCAAAAGAAGTAATGTGGAAAATTAGATTTTTAAAAATGCTTCTAATGAGAATGAACATCTTTTGGTCAAGAAAACTTCTTAATGTATTTTTGAGAACTCAGTTTGATATCATTAGTAACCCTCAAGTTTAAAAAGATGTAAGCTTGGTGAAAATAAGAAAATTAGGCAATACAGACAAGGGTAGTTCACAAATCATTACCCTGTTGCTGAACACAGCCAACGATGCGCAGACCAACCACTGCTGGAAGGCCCTGGTCAAGGGACAAAGTACTGAAACGCAGTAGGTACTCTGCTCACCAAGCTGTGCCCAATTGGCCTGGGGCTGCCTGCCCCAAGAGGAAGGAGACATTTTTAGAGAGGCCATCAACCTGAAGGGATGTAATGGAAGACCTGAAAGGTCGTTCCAAATTATCTCCTATGGTCAACTACAGACTGCCCATAAACCTTTTTGGCGTTCTGATGAAAGGCTACATCTTCTTTTTCTTAGCAGGTATGCATCCCTTAAAACTGCCTGCTCATACACTGAAACTATAATGCTAAAAGGTTCAAAAATATTCAATCTGGCAAGACCTCACCTGTGCTTTCACTCTATACAAATTATCTTAGGGCAAGAAATAACTCCTTCAAGTATAGATAGCACTTTGATGAATCTTTGAAGATAAGCGTGAATCTTTGAAGATAAATGTGCTTTCAATCTATTGTTTTATTTGAAAATAACAGAGTCTTAAGTGGAAATACCACTATTTATGCAAAAGACATCAGATAAAAACTTGTCACATGTGATCCAGAGAGAGAAACCTTCTCTCCCACTACTGTTCTCACGTCTAAAAAGGCACTCTCTCAAGCATGTCTCTTTAAAAGCTTTAGAAAGTAGGAGGAAGAAAGAAGGAAGACAACGTCACTCCATGTGACAGCAGCAGCATACAATGAAAACTCCTCTGTCACTCACTTAAGTGTATTTCATTCTACTGAGACAAATTCTGAATCTCTGCAATCTTGACTTCAAGCTATTAATAAAACCATAATTATGGGATTGCATCCTGGCTTGTTTGTAGCCTCCCTCCTACACAAGCCATAGAAACAGCAGCGTCAAGGAGCCTTAAGTAGTAAGATCACTGTGTGGGACAGTGGGAGGACAGAGGAGAAGGGTGCTGAACAGAGGTGGGGGGAGGGTGTCTTCATTCTGTGGCTTCACTGAACCCCAGACAGGTAATGGGAGAAGCATCCCTTCCCCTAGAAGCTGGAACAATGACAATGAAGAGACAATTATACAAGTGGGAATGCTGGACAAAATTAGGCCAGGAGGGGCACCATGCAGTTCTCTCTGCTTGGAGGGCTCTTCCCTGCCCCTCCCTTTAGGAGAATTCTTTCTGCCTTGAAGGATCAGTTCAGTAAATATTCCTCCAGGAATCCTTTCATAATCCACCTTTTTCTATCTGTCTCCCTTCTTCTTCTCCTTCTCCACCAGCAGGTGCTCAGAATTCATCTTGACTTCCTCTGTGATGTCAACTGATATTGCAGTTACTCCTCATCATCAGTGCAGATGCTCCTGACTTACTATGTGTCTGATAAAACCATTGCAAGGCCGGGCGCCGTGGCTCATACCTGTAATCCTAGCACTTTTGGAGGCCAAGACAGGCAGATTGCTTGAGTCTAGGAGTTCAAGACCAACCTGGGCAACATAGTAAAACCCCATCTCTACTAAAAATACAAAAATTAGCCAGGCATGGTGGTGCACACCTGTAGTCCCAGCTACTCTGGAGGCTGAGGTGGGAGAATCACCTGAGCCCAAGAAGTCAAGGCTACAGTGAGCCCAGATGGTGCCACTGCACTCCAGCCTGGGCAACCAGGAAAAAAAAAGACATTGCAAGTTGAAAATATTGTAAGTGGAATATGCATTTAATACACCTAACCTCGCAAACATCATAGCTTAGCCTAGCCTACCTTAAATGTACTCAGAACACTTACATTAGCCTACAGCTGGGCATAATCATCAGGCAGTACAGTATACTGTGGAGTACTGGTTGGTCACCCTCATGGTCACATGGTTGACAGGGAGCTGTGGCTCTCTACCACTGTCCAGCATCACTAGAGAGTATCTTACCACATATGACTAGCCCTGGAAAAGATCAAAATTCATAATTCAAAGTATGGTTTCTACTGAATGTGTATTGCCTCCACAACTTCATAAAATTGACAAATCAGAAGTTGAACCGTTGTAAGCCGAAGACTGTATTTAAGTGTCTTTGTTTATTGTTGTTTGTCTCCCACATAGACCAAGACAATATGAGGTTGAAGACCAACCTCCTTCACCCCTATGTAGCACCAGTACTAGGCACAGTGCCTCATTCAGAGCGTAGAGCAAGTCTTCATGCATACTCTTCCATCTCCCTCAAACACTTCCTATTTTTCCAATGACCTACTTCCCTTAACCTAGTTTACTCCTACTTGTTAAGATGGAAACAGCAGTCTCCCTACCCTGTTCACGAGGCACTCCCATAGTGACATTTATCACCTTTTGTCCCACTCTGACTCACTCCTCTGTCCTAGGACAAGGAGTATCTTATTTGATTGAAGTGTTTGCGAGAAAGTGTAAGCATGCCCAGTCCAGTCCTTATCTCACTCCTATTATCTCAATACGAGTCATACTTTGGATTATAACAAATATATCATTTCCTTGGAAACTCTTCCCTGACCATAGAAACTTGGTTGGGTCCTCCCATACATTATATAGGTTTTTATTTTTCCTTCATGGCACTTATTCAATAACATATTTGTTTGTAAAATTGCCTTCTTAAGCTTGTTATCATAGAAAATTTCAAATATATACAGAGGTCGATAATAGAGTATGAATCCCCCACATATCCATCAACCAGCTTTATCAGTTACCAACCTGTGCCCAATTTGATTTCATCTCTACCCCACCCCACCTCTACAAACCCAAACAACTTTGAAAAAAAAAATCCCAGACATCACATTATTTTATATGTAAATATTCAAGCATATATTTTTAATAGATAATCACCTCTTTTAGTTTTTTACTTAACCCATTTGTGACACTTTTTTATTTTAATGATTATTTCTACACACACTCACTTCTTCCCTGAGATTATAAACTATGCGTCAGAGAATGCTATAGTTTGAAGGTGTCCCACAAAATTCATGTGTTAGTAACTTAATCCCCAATGCAACAGTGTTGGGAGGTGGAGCCTAACTGGAGGTGTTTAGGTCATGAGGGCTCCACCCTCATGAATGAATTAAAGCCACTATAAAAAGGGGTTGTACGAGTGAATTCTTTCTTCTGCTCTTCTGCCATATGAGGACATAATATTTCTTCTCTCTGGAAGATGCAGCAATGAGGCACCATCTTGGAACCAGAGACCAAACCTGCTGGTGCCTTGATCTTGGACTTCCCAGCCTCCAGAACTGTGAAAGAATAAATGTCTGTCTTTATGAATTACCGAGTCTTAGGATTCTGTTACAGCAGTGCAAAAGAGACTAAGACAGAGACATTGTCTGTTTTGCTCTGATTGCATATAGGCACATATTAAGTGCTTAATAAATCAAATGAACAGGGAAATTAAAGGCAATACAGAAAACCATTTGCAACTTGGGGGCCAGCTGGCTTCCATTCCCCTTCTTTTGATAATAATACTGAGAATTTTCCTCAACTTTCCCTGTGATTCAAGAATGGCAGCCTCCATCCCTGGCTCCAGGAGTATGGCACATGGCTCAGGTTTGATAAATAAGAGCAGGGCAACATCCTAGCCAACATAATTGGCTTAGTAATGGACACATGATTCAATCAAAGAACAATGCAATACAGGGAGACTTGCTGGGCAGATAGGAAGGAGGCAAGCACTTTCTCCAATTAGACGTGAACCTGGAGAAGGAGAGGCTAATGTCACTGTAAGGGCAGAGTGTATTTAAAAATGAACCTGACATAGAGAAAGCAGAACAAACAGATGGAGAAAGAAATCAGGCCCTGCAGAAGGTACTTGAGTACCTGAGTCAAACCTTGCTGGAGTCAAACCTACCCGTGAATTTTTAGTTATATTGCTCAACAAAAACCCTGTTGGCTTAAATGAGTTTGAATTACATTTTCCAAGATTTTCAATGGAAGTTTCCTGTATGACTACAGGGGAAGGGGGAGGGGGGGAAAGCATAATTAGAAACTCCAACATCACTTGAATGATAAATGAAATATTTCTTGGTCTAATGCTTAATCTAATACTTAATATATCTTGAGTTCTCATGGCAGATCAAGCCTCTAGGCCTCAGATTCCTCATTTATAAAATAAGAGCAATAAGTGGTCTCTAAATCCCCTTTGACCAGGAAATTATGTGTTTAGTATAGAAAGCCAGAGTGATGGATCTGGACGTTCTTGCTGGAAATAGCACCTGCTTACTAGCCTATCTTCGTTTTTGTTTTAATTAATTTTAAAAGCATTTTGCGTCTTTCAGGAAGAAAATAACTTCCAAAATGAGAAAGACTCCTGCTCAGTATTTCTCTGTTGCACAGTAGATACTCTGTAGGAAAAGTAAGTCTTTCCTCATTCACCGTGGCCCAAGGTTGTAATATCAGCATTACGAAAACACATTCACATATTAGGCATGATCAACAGAGAGCCAGAGATAAGCATTTTTAAATTTTCTCCAGCAGAAACTTTGCCCTCTCCAAGAATAAGCTCACTCTAACTGCCATGGAAATCACTTGTTTCCTCTTAAATACGCTTATGTCTTTATTTCACGCTCCTCATTTTGAAATAGCATAACAATGTTCACCTGGTTGACAGACAAATCTCAGAATAATACATAAAGAAAACAAAATTCAGCTATATTTAGATGTCTCTTGGCTTTAAAATCTGACATCATTCTTAAATTCTGTTAGGTAAAAATATATTTATGGAAAGGCAACTGAGAATTTACTTTTATTGAAGGTGGTCAGAATAAACTGGGGTGGGAAAAGAAAATGGCCTCAGGAAACATGGGGATAGGTCCTTTGATGATTGTCCTCCCATTTTCTACCTACCCTCCCACCATGTCAGAAAGGAATACACCTAGACAATTAAATAGTCTACTTCCCTTTTCTATTTCTTCCACAGGAAGATGCATGGGCTGGAAATATTGGTCATTGGAAAGACACCTTCTCTGGTCTCACTGAATCTGTTTTATCTAAATTTTTAGTTGTAAAGATTCATACAATATACATAAGTGGCAATTGGAAAATATAGATATCAAAATCTTAAAAGTAGGCACGCTCTTTGTGTTAGACAGCACACCCAAGATTTCTCCAAATGATCCTTGCCTCTTGGTATTCATCCCTTCTTACTGTTCTCTCCCACAGTGAATTATGTACCTGTGACTGCATTAGTGTCCTATTGCTGCTATAACAAACTATCACAAACTTAGTGGCTTAAAACAACACAAATTTATCCACTTAGAGTTCTGAGGTCATACATTCAAAATGGGTCACTCTGGGCTATAATCAAGGTGTCAACAGGAGTGTGCTTTCTCTGGATTGTCTAATAATCTGTTTCTCTTCCCTATTCCAACTTTTAGATGCTGTTTGCATTCCTGGCCTGGCTGCCTCCTCCAGCAAGCAGTCATTCTGTTATCAGTTCTGTAGCCACATCTTCATCTCTGACTCAAATTCCTCTGCTCCATCTTTTACGTATAAGGACCTCTGTGATGACATCGGACCTACCAGGATAATGGAGGATAATCTCTCCATCTCAAAATTCTAATGTAATTATACCTGCAAATTCCCTTTTGCCATATAAGATAATGAATTCACAAGTTCCATGTTTTAGGACATAGGCATCTTTAAGGGGTCATTTTACCTTCCACAGTGACTGATAAAATATGGCAGAAGGAACAATGTGTGATTTCCTTTGCATTGCAACTTCTGTTTTGCTTTCTGGAATGTTTTGTTCTGGGGAAGTTAGCTGCCAAGTTTGAGGACGCTCAAGCAGCCCTGTGGAGAGACCATACAGGGAAAAACAAAGACTTCTCTGCCACAGACAGCACCAACTTGCCAGTCATGTACGTGAGACTCCATGGAGTGGGTCCTCCAGTCTTAGTCAGATCTTCTGACAAACACAGCTCCAGCCAGCATCTGACAGCAACCTCATGAAAGACCCTGCCTAGACACTCCTGAACTCTGACACAACAAGAAAGGATTATTTTTTAGTCCACTAAATTTTGAAATTATTTACTATGTAGCATTACAACTAATATACTCTTTTACTCAGCTATTCCAGTGCAAAGAACAGTCAGTTGCATATAGAAAGAATCCTGAGGAAAGAATCAGTTATATTGCACAAATCAATTACATATAAGCACCAAAAATTCTGAATAGAGAAGCTCATCATAGTTGTTTATTTAGCGAAACATTAAAAGCAACCTGAATATTTAGCTATGAAAGATTGTTTAAATACAGTAAGACACATCAATATAATGGATAATCATGTATCACTAAAAATCATGGCAGGGTGCGGTGGCTCATGCCTGTAATCCCAGTACTTTGGGAGGCTGAGGCAGGAGAATTGCTTGAGCCTAGGAGTTCAAGGACAGTCTGTAGTCCTAGCTATTTGGGAAGCTGAGGCTGGAGGATTACTGGAGCCCAGCACTTCGAGGCTGCAGTGAGCTATGATGGTGTCACTGCACTCCAGCCTGGGCAACAGAGTGAGGCCCTGTCTCTTAAAAAACAAAAAACAGTAATGTTGTAGAACAGTGGGTTTTCAAACTTTTTCTGGGTAGAAACTTTTGTTTAAATAAAAAGTTAATAAAAACCAGTATAAATAAAAGCATTCTTTCAGGTGGATGCTCTGGTTGAAGTATGTTTAGCTTCCCAGAGCCAAGCCCTGGCAATGTTGTACTCCAGGACACCTAGGATTCTGAGAGCACCATTTGAAAGCCTGTGTTAAGAGAATCCTTAATGACACCTGAATCAAAATACCAACTGAAAAAGCAGGTTATTGAGAGCACAAGATCCCATTTTTGTAATACATTCGTCTGCTTTGCCGGCTTCATCTTCGCCACTCTGCCCTTGATATCTATGCTCTGGCTTTCTGGTTTTTTTCAGGTCTCAGCTCAAATGACATTTCCTCAGTAAAAACTGACTTGCCCACCCCTTCTCTTCTCCCAGCCCCACCACACGAACCCAGACTGGATCAGGTCCTCCTGTTTGATGACCTCACACTCTCTGTAGTTTTCCCCCCACCACTTATCACCATCATTATTTCATTAATGGCTTTTTCTCACATGAGACTGCCAATATCCAATAGATGGGGTTTGTGTGTGTGTGTGTGTGTGTGTGTGTGTGTGTGGTAGTTCTAACAGACTAATACAAAGTTATAGACAGGATAGCTTAAACAACAGAAATGCTCTGGAGGTTAGAAGTCCAAGATCAAGATGTCATCAGGTTTAGCTTCTTCTAAAGCCTCTCTTCTTGGCTTCTTGCTAAGGTTCTCAGTCTAGGTATGTTTGTGTCTTAATCTCCTCTTCATATAAGGACACCATTCATATTGTATTAGGGCTGTTATGGACTGAATGTTTGTGTCTCCTCCGAATTCATGTTGAAGCTCTAATGCCCAATGTCATAGTATTTAGAAGTTGGGCCTTTGGGAGGTGATTAGGTTTATATAGGTCATGAGGGTAGGGCCCTCAAGATGGGATTAGTGTCTTTACAAGAAGAAGAGATCAGAGCTTTCTCTCTTCCCACTATGTGAGGACACAGCAAGAAGGCAGCCATCTGCCAGCTAGAATGAGGGCCCTCGCCAGGAAACGAGTTTGCTAGCACCTTGATCTTGGACTTTCCAGCTTCAAAAACTGTGAGAAATAACTGCATTGTTTAAGCCACCCAGTTCACATCATCTTGTAGCACCAGAAAGTGAAGAAGTGCTAAAACAACAGCAATTAAAAAAAATGGGGCTACAGCAAAGGAGCACCGAATCTGCCCTGAAGGAGCTCCCAATTGCCAAAGGTGGAACAATTTGAGCAACAAAATAAAGCAGTATTGGATTATAACCCAAAGTATAAAATAAATATAAGAGAATCCATACTGATGTAACTAAATTGTTGCAAAAATAAACTGAGTAGAAGAGACAAATCTTCCTTATAGAAGAATTCTCAATAGTGTATGTAGATATACCTCTCCCTTTAGGAAGTGGAGTTTGATTTCCACCACCCCCTGTTTAGTATTGGCTAGATATAAGAGACTCCTTTTCAAATAATAGAGTAGAGAAAAGGAAGATAGCAATTTTGCAGTGGAAGCCTGGCAGACACCACCTTAACCAAGTGATGAAGACTAATGTAACCAGTGATGGTATGTGGATATCATCTATCCCTGATATGATGTGACAAGAAGGCACTTTGCCTCAGTGGTGGTCTTTACAAAAACCCATCATCCCAGTCTAATCATGAAAAAAGAATCAGACAACCCCAGATTTGGGACATTCTATTGGGTACCTGGCAAATATTCTTCAAGACTGTTAAAGTCTTAGAAAAGGAAAAAAAAAAAAAAAAAAAAAGGAAAGACTGAGGAACTGTCACAGACCAGAGAAGATTAGTGAGAGAGGATAATTAAATTCAATGTGATACTCTGTATTGGATCCTGGAACAGAAAGAGGACATTAATGGAAATCTGGTGAAATTCAAATAAAGTCTGGAGTTCACTTAAAAAAAGAAAAAAATGTCCATCAAGAATAGAAACTTTATTCCCACGTGTAACTCAAAAAAATTTTTAAACTCACAATTCCCTAGAATCAAGTAATTTATCTGCTCAATATACCAATGGGAAGAAGGGGTAATAACCTCACCAAACCCACAGGCAGTCCCTATTACAATCCAAAGTAACTTGTTGGAAAATTCAGCTCTTATGCTATGTGCATTAGAATCCTCCTGATAGTTCTTGTGTAAGATACAATTTTAAAAAATGCATTCCTTGCCATTCTCCCTTATACATGCCACAACCAGAACGCCAGTACAGTCTGAAGCTGTATTATATTAAGAAACTATATTATTTACTTAAAAAAAAACTTAAAGCTTCAAGTTGAATTAACTGAGATCTAAAACCATTCAGCTAATATACTCAACATTAGCATAGCTTTAATCCCTCTAAAGGACATAGTCAAGAAGTACAAAACTTCTAAGACAAAAATGAGTAAATGATTTTTTTAAAAAAGAAAAAGTCGCATATAATCTTGCACAATTCTATCAAGAGAGGTCTTCTGTAAATTTACACTAATAAGCAGGCCAATATTCTTTCATTTCCATGGTACTATAAAAAGCCTCCAAATTTAGAAACTTTTAGAGGACTATTTCAGGGAGGGAGATACTAAAAAAAAAAAAAAAAAGTTCGTATATTGTCTTTTGCTCAGAAAATCCTTTATGTTGTCCAAGCTGCTGTTCCCATTTTCTGGGCCTTTCCTTTCGTAATTCCTTAAATCTATCTTTCTCCTCCTTGTAAGATCTCAGAGCATAATTAGAGGGCATATGTGGCCCCACCTTTTATGGAAATAGCTATATTCCTTATTTGCATGTGTTTGGACCCATTGCCAGCTGTCCATAAAAGCAGGAGGGTGACCATATCTCCTTGTTATCCAGACAGATTTTGTTCAAAGCCAAAGATTAGGAACAGTGCAAATGGTAGAAAATAGCTTTTTTTCTCTGAAAAAATACAAAAGCAGTTTAAAGTGAATGGAAATTAGTGGATCAGTGAACTGGAAGGAAACGTTATAGCCTCTGAAATAGCTTTGCTCCCACCCAACTTTGCATAACAATATTCAATTTGCTAGTAGGCAGCGCGACTTCCAGTTGGCTTCCCAGTCCAAATCAGTAGAGTTCCCCCTCTGCAGTTAGATTTGTGGGAATGAAATGCACCATGCAACCAAACATAGTTAAACCTTCCAGAGAGGATTTAAAAAAAAAAATCCTAGCAATTATTTCTGCCATTGACAGGTGTAAAATGTCTTCCAACAAGAAAGTGAAAAACCACAAATGTGCTTTTGAAATATGCATCACAAGTTGCATGTAAATAAGATATACTAGGAGTGTATTTGCTTCAATTTTATAAAGCAGATATCTGCTGTCCTAAGCAAATAGTTCAAGTTGTTTCCAAAATACTGAGGCAAAATGCAGTAGAGGTAGCATTTACACACTCATTAGTTAGAGAGGAAATGCATCTGCTTTGGAAATTGCTGTTCACTAAAAAGCAAGTTTCCCTAGCAACAGCTACATCGCACAACTCTTAGACCACTTCCAAGCTATGAAAAAAATTATAGGGAGTTATATAAAAAGATTTTTATCAAATATTTTTTATTTTTGTCATGGGAACATTTCCTTTAAAGCTGAGATATGCCTAGGGAAATTGAAACTTGCCTCACACATCCCACTTGTACTTCTGAAAATTGGATGTATCTAAAATTACTCCTCCTTTGGTAAAGGCAAATCAATGTCTAAGAGATAAAAAGCCATTCATTGTATATCATCAGATGACAAAGGGAGAGGAAAAGAGAGAGGAAAAAGAGGGAGAGAGATGCTATGTAAAAACAAAGAAATAAATGGGGAAGGGATACCCACCTCTGGCACCATCTCAGTATAGGATATGATTGGCTTGGTCACCCCTGACTCCAAACTTTTCTTTGTGGCTTTTCTTACTTCCTTCTTTAACTGAAGAATTGTTACAAATGAAAGAATTCCCAATTGGATAATAACAGAGTCAATAGATAGAGACTCTAAATCCCATAATTCTGCTTACAGTTAGTTAATCTCACTCCCCATGCCTCTTAGCTGCAAGGGGTAACATCAAGGGAGGAGGTGGGCATTTCTCTTGCCATTCCTCTGTCTGAAGGCTCTCATTATTCTGACAGGCATTTAAAATTCTCTCAAAGTTCATCCAAACCCCTTGGGGAATACCTTTATTTTCCCAGGAAATAAAAAAGCTCTAAAATATGTATTTCAGTCATGAGTATTAAAATATGCCTAAAAATAAGGGGGAACATCTGAACTTGCTGGCATTTCTGGATTGTTCTGATATGTGTGTGTTGTTTTAACTGAAATGCTGCTTGAGAACAGAGCATATTTTTTCTTAGTGAATGGTTACTTGGGAATACCATATTTGAACTTATTTCATTGCTGACTTCTGTCTTAATCCCATAAATAATAGCTTGTTTGAGATGTCTCTTAATTATACCAGGTATCATTCAATACAGCTTATCTCTTCCTGAAGGATCATTTTCAGTCCAGGACCTCAAGCAGCAGGCATGAGAGAGCCAAGACAGTAGGAACAGTCTTCAGCCTACCATTTTTATGGTATTATGGAATGAAAAAGAAAAAGAAAAAGAAACAAAGCAACAAATATATAGATTTAAATTCAAATACACCATTTTGAAAAAACCAAGATGATATTAGCAGAGGAAGAGGGAGCTAAGACATTCCCAGGTCTTGTTCTGTGCATTGTACCTATATTCTCTCTTTGGTCCTCACATCAACTGCCTAAGAAATTATTACAAGCCTTTTTCAAATGAGGGTTTTGAAACTCAGAGAAGTAGTGGTTTAGTTAGCATCACATAGGAGTGGTGCAGTAAAGTCTGTCTGAAATCAAAGCTGTGTGCTTTCTGTGTATCTCTCTGTCCCTTCAATGGCAGGGGTTGTAGTAGTCAGCTGTTCATTTTTTCAACTGGACTTTCCCTTGGCAGAACTCACAAACTGTTGAGTCTTTGTTCTCTTTAGCCAAATTAGTTTTTTAAAGATGTAAATTAATTGCCAAATTTAAAGCCAGAAGTTTTCATATAAAATCCTAACTTCAGGATTCTCCTTAAAAATAAAAACATAAAAGGATCTGACGGCAGCAGGAATCCCTCATGGTATCTGTCAACCAGAGCCGAGGTAGGAATGTGCTCTTCCTTCAGGGTTGCTAGTGCCCAGGTCACCCCAGCCTGTCACACACATTAACTGCCTGGCTCCCGTAGGCATGTGAGCTTGCATCCCTGGATAAACAGTATCAAATGAAGCTACCTAGTTTTCACTGGACATTGTCTACCAGCAGGGCCAGTGCCTTACAACTTGGAAATGGGCACAGTGGGTATGACCAGGAGCCATAAACAGAAGGAAGGACATGGAACTGAGGAGCAAAATTGAACCTGGGGGGTTGTTTATATTTGCTCATCGTCTAACCAAGAAAGATAATGGGCTAAGATGTTTGAAAATTAACCATAAAGCACTTAAAAACCCATCTTCCACTGAATTATGATCTTCTAAACATTTCAGCTAAGGAGATAGTAAGAGCACAGGCCCAAGAGTCCAAAAACCCAAATTCACATCTTCACTCAGTAATTAGCTTACCTTGCCCTCTGTATGCATCACTAAGCCGTGGTGGGCTTCCAGTCCCATATCTATAAATGGAAAGAACTGGGATATCGTACGGTCAGGAGCTGTGCCAGTAATATAAATAAAGGCAGACAGTGATGGGGGCTGGGTCTAACCAGAGGACACCAGGGGGCAGCTGCTCCACTCCAGACCATTGTCACCTGGGAGATCTGGGCTTTGTGTTGCCAGATTGCCCCACTTTCACTGTAGCCAGAAATATGTATGAGTCTGTGTTTTATATTTTAATTTGAAATATCTGACATTTGAAACCATTAAAAACTAATTCAAAATTTTAAAATCACCACTTGTGCCAACCCTGGGCAGGTGAAACAAAATGTCTCTGGCTGGACTGGCCCCCAGGTTCCCAGTTTCCTACCTCGGGCCTAAACTCTAGCAGTAGGATTCTGTGATTTTAAGTACTGAGTAATCATCTTTGGGAAGAAGAGAGGGGTGTAGGTGGGTATGTTTTCAGTGGGAAGGCTCAAGAAGATGAAATGTGTGGCATTCGCTAAGTGGCCCATCTTGCCATCCTCCTTTGAATCTTGCATTTCATGATCACGAAGCAAGAGATGTGGGCAGATGCACTGTTTGAGCATCACTTACAGAGACTGAGTGAGGAGACGTTGTTGGAAAGGAGAAAAAGAAGCAGAAGGTGGAAATTACTCTTGAAAGAAGTATGAGAATGCCACAAAGAAGGAAGAACATTTTTAAAACAGGTACTATGCGCTAAGTGCTTTATATATCTCATTTAGTCCCTAAATCTTTTGTTTAGTGCTGGCATTCCCCATCGTTATAACAACAACAATTTACCATGCATTTTTATGTACCAGGCACAGTACAAAGTAATTTAGCTCATGCCTTATCTTACCAGTGCTGTAACAGGAATTTTTTTATGGCCAATATACAGATGAGAAAATTAAGACTTTGATAGCAATTCAGGAATATGGCCCCAAATCTATAGCTAATTAATTAGCAGAAGGATTTCGTGGGAAGTCTCTGCTTACACAGCATTTGCTCTTCACTGTTTTCTACTTCTCTAAGAAGTCAGGGGACTGATTGAAGGTCGCATTGCCAGGAAGCAGAGTCCAGATTCCATTGCAACGTTGAGTGCTCACAAGTCTGGTTACCTTTTCTGCTGTCTCTTCCCTGGTAGCCCCATGCCAGACACAAGTCCCCAGGGTGCAATGCACTTGAAAACCGTTCCCTCAAATTCTTTACTGAATTCACAACCCCATCCTTTTTTTCTCCTTTCTGGAACGCAGTGTACACAGTGTACATATCCCTGGCTCCCCTTGAGTGAAAACAACACCAGGCTAAGGTAATTAGACAACATTTAATAATCACTGTTTCTCTTTCTCTAATAAGACAAGAATAACACAGTACTTAATTAAAAAAAAAAACAGAGAGAGAGCATCTGTAAAAGAATGCAAGTACATTAAACGTCGTTTCTATTCAGTTTGCCATTTGCTTCTCATGTGAAAAAAAATATATAGACACTATTTTCAAATACAAACAAATCCAAAAACAAGTAAATCATAGAAACTGTTTTGGGCTAGGTAGTGCCCACACCAGCACTGCAACTGATGAGTACATTCCACATTCCAGGCACTGTCCTAAGCACTTTGTATGTGTTTTTTCATTTCATTCTCACAACAACTCAAGTTTTCAGATGTGGACACTGAGATACAAAAATACTAAGGAATATGCCTAAAGTGACACAGTTCGTAAGTGGCACAGCCAGCATTCAAGCCCAGGCATGTGCTCCCAACAAGCTAGTAACAGCCTCTAGAAATTGGCAAGGGACAGAAAGCATGGCCTAATTTGACCAAGTACATCACGTGTAGGATTTGAAGATTTCTCTCTTTTTTTTTTTCAGTTCTTTCCCATTCTTCAAAAGCACATGATACTGTACTCTTAGTGTTTAAACTATTCCAGTAGAATCTCCTTAATATGTATTAATTCTTACAAATCAGTAGGGCCTATTAAATACAGTGAATTGTTTGATAGATTATCAAACAGATACTGAAAATCATAGACTCTTTGGACATTAGGGTACTTGGAATTGCATATTTAACAAAGTAAGTGTTAACAAACCAAGATATGTATTTATATGAGGCACGGCACACAGTATCTGCTTAATAAATGTCTGTTGAACGAATAACAGCTGGGTCTCTTTAAATTCAATTTATTCATTCAACAAATATTTATTATTCAGTGCCAACTATGTGCCTGGCACTGTTCTAGGTCAACACCACAGTGAGCAGAACAAACATTCCTGCTCTCATGGAGTTTACATTCTGATAAAAGAAACAGGAAATAAACACAGTAAGCAAGATATTTAATACATTAGGTAGTCCCAGAAACTAAGAAAAAACAAAGAAAGTTTATAGGGAAAGTTGGGGGTGGTTTGCAATGTTAGATAAGGTGGCAAAATAGGACATCCTCGACATGCTTTTAAAATGGTGACTTTGGCAAACATTTGTAAACATCACTATTAAACATTCAAAATTTTAGTTCTTCTATGTGTACAGGAATATATATTCAGTTAACCATTGTTGGGTATTTTTAATACCCAACAATGTGTGATTTTTCTGAACTCTACCAGAATAAATTGTAGAAAGTCACAACGCATGATAGAAAAATAGAATACGTCTCACAAATCACTAAAGACAGCTCTTGATCACTATTGTTTTGCTTTTCTATATCAATGTCTGACAAATGGGCTACCATTTCAAAACTGGATATATCTTCAAATGAACTCTAAATAAATAAGTGAAATTCCATCTGAAGCCTCCTTAAAAATAATATACTCTTGCAGATTCCTGTTGTCCTTGCTTGACCCCTATGCAGCCTGAGTAGCATTTGAGGTGGAGACTGCATGACACGGTCTGTCACTCACACACAACAGTCCTCAGAGTCAGCAAAGCAAATCATGATGCAAAGCACTATGGCCACCAAGAAGATAAATTAGTTTTGATATTTTTTCTCTCTAAAATGTGAAGACTCACTAGTGAAACAGTTTAGGAATAACTTCACACTATGAAGGCCTTGAAAGTAGATAGTATGGAATTGAGGTTAAAATTCAGTTTATCACTACACAACTATCTGGGGCTTATACTATATAAATGAGAAAAAACCCTAATCACCTTCCCAAGGTTCACCAACCTTACCAGTGCTAAGTACAATGAAATTGCACACTGGGCTCAGCAAAAACGTTTAAAGGTTCTTTTTCTCAATTTTTGTTATTTTATTTCTCCACAAACTTTTATCAAGCTTTCAGTCCGTGACTTTGTCTTCATTTGTTCGTTGCTTCCTACAACGTGCATCCTTTTTAAAAATAAATAAATATTTGGAATTGTTTTGCTTTTCTAAAACCTGCTAAGCATGGGCCAATGTCTACCCCCTTTGTCACGTATTTCAGTTATTTACCTGAAAGACACAATATACTCATTTTCACACACAATATATGGCTGCATTCTGATAACTGAAAATGTCCAACTTACACATTTAAAAATATATCCCAGGCCGGGTGCGGTGGCTCATGCTTGTAATCCCAGCACTTTGGGAGGCCGAGACGGCGGATCACGAGGTCAGGAGATCGAGACCATCCTGGCTAACACAGTGAAACCCCGTCTCTACTAAAAATACAAAAAATTAGCCGGGCGTGGTGGTGGGCGCCTGGAGTCCCAGCTACTCGGGAGGCTGAGGCAGGAGAATGGCGTGAACCCGGGAGGCGGAGCTTGCAGTGAGCAGAGATGGCGCCACTGCACTCCAGCCTGGGCAACAGAGCGAGACTCCATCTCAAAAAAATAAAAAATAAAAAATAAAAATAAAAATATATCCCAAATTTACTTATCTGACCATTAAGCCTTCTAAATCCATTTAAATAAAGATCACATATTTACTATCTATAAAGTTCTTAATTATAATCAGGCACAAATGCATTAAAAGTGAAACCACTCAAGTATTCGGCCCTCACTCCTTCAGTGCTATCCAAGATGCTTCACGCCAGCCTAACAGCTAAATGTCACAGTTCCATGCCAAATACATCAAGGACTTTCCTGGCCCCAATGTGCCTTTTTCAGAATGAGCAATATTTCAGCATCATCAGAATTAACCATCCACTAAATTCAATTTAATAAGGCTGCATCTTCCTCAGTGTTTCACCTTCATGCACAATTTATTATAATTTCATATGAAAAGCTACACGCTCAGAGTATATATTCGCTATCATACTCTTCAAAAGAAAGTCCTTCTCTGGAGCAGTTTTAGACTCTGGATAGCAATTGTTGTTGGGTGTCTTCTCAGAGCATCTGACAGAGTTCACATTGAGGAAGAGATTAAAAACAAAATGTCAGGGTTTACCAGTTGTGAGAAATCTCCAAATTCTCCTTCAGGCCTTCAGCGATGAGATGAGAAGCCTCAAATAAAGACTCCCAGGGCCTTTCTGAATGCAGTCACTGTCCCCGGTTCTCCAGAGCTCCCCACACAAACTGACAGAGGCAGGGAAGACAGCCACTTCCCTGTGTAATTTCAAGGTTGGACTGGAAATGCACCTAGCTTGCATGTATATCTTTTCTTCACTTTTTTTTTTATAACTTTCTTCTGGTTTATAAGAAAAATATGATACTACAGTTGTATCTGCTTTTTCACATAAAAAGTGAACAAGAAAGAAGTAAACTGTAAGTGGAAACTCTCAGGTAAAACCTAATATAGGTATTAGATATAGTAACAAGGATGTTAGGCTGCTCCTCTACATCATTTTCTTGGTCTATGATTAAAATGGTGCATCTCAGGTTGTTTTAAATTCAGGATAAAAGCTAGCCTGAGACTTCATAGGCTAGTCTTAGTTAGACGGAGATGGTACAGATACAAAGCTCCCACGTTTAAAAAACACAAGAGCCTTAGGGATGGAGGCGGGGAACTGAATCATCTCCATGCTGGTCTAATTCATTAGGTCCATCACTTGTCACAAACTAAATATGCTGGCTGTGTTCTCATCTTATAAAAAGGCTTATGTGTTTCACTGGAAAAGCAGAAATCAACTACAGGAGTGTTACTTTTCAACAGTAAGTGTGCAAACAGGTATGTACAGTGGGCCAAGGCAGTGCCCCATCCAGCCAGGTTCCCATAAGTGTTGCTATGATGTTATGGTACCCTCCCTAGTCTCACACATTGAACAATAACTCGAATACATCACAAGATCACTTGTCAATCCTCCTTGGTTAAATGGGTCTTTATTTTTAGAGAACAATGGGGATTATAGGAAACTGGAGGCCTTCCATCACAAAACTATAAATAGTTGCTGTTAAATGCAGCCCTATGTTTTTGGTTTTCAATTTTAAAATGAAGAGGATATTTGAGAGGGGTTATTCGTTTGTTGGACAGTTTATGATGCCCCAGTGATGTCATCTTATCTAGGTGATTAAGGACTTATTTAGTTTTCCAATCAGACAAATCGCTAGCTCTCAACAGGAATTTTAATCAGAAGGATTGTTAGCTGTGCTGAGATTGTCCCCAGTGAACAGAATATGACTGACCTTTCCTCCACAAGAAATTTAAATTTGTATCATTTGGCTGGTTAGGAGTTCTGCCATTTCCCTGTGGATCAAGATTAGAGATGAACTTTCAGGTTCAGTCATACATTAAAAACACAAACACATAAGCTGTGAAAAGCCAGAAGCAGAATGATGTCTTTCCCCTGATGCAAAGGTCACTGCTGTTTTCTCTCATTCATTCCAGCTGACCATAGGTTTCTATGCTTACTGCCCCCATTTACCAAGCTGAAATTGGAAAATAGTCACGCTTTTGGGTCCTCAGCATGGTCACTGCATTAATATTATCTACTATATTTAACTTTTCTCTCTCATTTGTATGTCAAAGGAAAAATGATTTCCCTTGTGACAGAATAGACCTTCAATGACTTTTTTTTAAAATGTGTAAATGAGGTTATATTTATCAGAACAGTTCTGGTTTAATCTAGAAAGTTCCTGGCTTGTCTCATGAATAAAAAGGAAAAAAAGTCCTCAGTAAATATTTCTTAGAGAAACCTGATGTTTGAAAAATAAGCAATTTCAGGGCACAAACTCATACAACTCCTGTATCAGGTATTAATTAAGTAGATTAGGGAATCACACAGAAAACAGATCCCTTACCCCAATACAGTCAATTAAAAAAAAAACTTAGAAAATAACAGGAAAGTTAGTTACCATGATCTCTAATATTAAATTCACAATTGCTTTTATATTTCCAAAACTGGATTCATAAATTGATGTAATTATGAAACACAGCATCTATTTAATGATCCACACCACATCCTGACTTGGGACTGAGAAGGGAGAAGATGGAAGGTCTCAGCCTAGAATCATACCAAAACATGAAGCAGATTTAATAACTAAAAGACTTAAAATTAAAGCTTTATTATACCTTATTTAAAAGGTAATGCCTGAAACCAAAGTAAGGCTACATTTTCACCTCAACATTTAATCGCTAACTTACTTTTCAATTTAATTTATTTAGCTAAACTACATCTGATTCCAAAAGGATATGCACTTAATTATCACTACATATCAAGAAACATTAAAAAATACTGTAAAAGTCTAACTGGTTGTAACTAACCTATACATTTAGACCTGGAAGCAATTTAGAAATGCTTTTTAACATTTATATATATAAATTATGTAATTTTATTATTTCACAATCTGAGTAAAGGATGCTTTGTAGTTTAGCCATGGAAGGACAGGGTGTTTTTGTTTGTTTGTTATCAAAGAAATTTAAATTAGTGGGCTAAAGGTTGTTCTACCTTGATAGGTTTGATTATGCATTATTTTTATAAATTGCCTTCACCATTAAAATGAAGTACAAATATGAAAGAGAGAAAACTTACTTCAAAATTCAGCTAGAAGCAAACGCACAATGAATAGACACTCTTCTTGGAAACTCAATTTAGATTTGACATCAGCCACATCACTTCTATTGCACAATATTAAATATAAAAGATATCCTGAAATAACTTGTTCTTTAAAGCAAGAAAGAAATGCCCCAAATTGTTTATAAACTGAGTTTTCATGGTCAATGACATGCCATGGCATTTTTTCATGATAAAAAAATGAAAATTCAATTAAAATGAATGATGCAAATATCCTTTATTACTTGTCAAAGGTGAATGGATGTCTGTTCCTTTATCCTAAGTAAGCTGGAAAAAAAAAAGGATTCCACCACTGTGCTATGCAGTTACATGTAAACCTAGCCCACATTCTCAATGATTAAAAGAAACAAAAACAAACAAACAAACAAAAAACAACTGGGTCTCAAAGACAGTAGCTCAAGGTGATACAGCTAAAAATGTCAGCACCAGGGTTCAAGCCCAGAATTCAAACCCAGGTTTGGTCTGATTTCAAGGCGCATGTTCTTTCAGTTGCATATTCTGCTTGGTTTCAGATTGTCCTGGCTCCTTCTTGTCATGGAGCTTTCAATGTGATAACCAACCTTTGCAGTGCTGAATAGCAGAAATGCATGCAGAACAAAGATAATTGCTTCCCTAAATTCATATTGCTCTTTCTTGGGTGGTTTTCTTGCACAGCCCTACTCTGGGAATTCTGGGAAGGACTTTCTGGTTTCTCTCGGAGGAATTACAAGACGTGCCCAAGCTAAAAGTGCATGCAAAGAGATTTTAAAGTCATTCAGCATAATTGTCCTAATCCACAAAATCCAACTACAACACAATCAAATTTTCGAAAAGAAAAGATTGTGTGGGAGATAAACAAATTAAAGCATAAGGTCAGGCTTTTATAAGGTGCTCCAGATCCTATCACCTTGCTCTAATTTCTTGCATATTTCAGCAGTCGCTTTTTTGTGTGACTTCACAGAAATAACAAGACATTAAAAAAATCCCGAGATGGTTACAAAAGCACTGTTAACACACACTGTGCATCCACGTTGACCCCACAGTGCTGAGAACATTGAGATAAACTTGGAAGTCTGCAATTGAAAAGCTATTTTTAAATCTAAACCAGGTGATAATTTTCTTTAAAAAAAAAAAAAAAAAAAGGAGGAGGTGAGTGTTACTGAACGAACTCATATTTTTTTCTCAGTTTCCATATTGTTTGAATTGCTCCTTTCATTTCTGACACTACCAGTTTTGTAAGGGTTTGAACAAATCTAGAACAATTATCTCCAAACCCTCATACATAGGTTAATTGTGCAGAGATCTTTTGTCCACATACTTTAAAAATATTAAGTGAAATTATTTATTTGTAAAGATTATCTCTTTTTAGAACAATAATTTCGGTTTCTTCCTTGAATCATACATTAATAATAGTACATAACTAGTATCAAATTGTCAAACTGATGATAAAGCTATCGTGACAACCCAACTCCATAATACCTTTGGTTATATTTACACAAAATAAAAAGCATGCAATATTTAACTCAAGGAAAACAGGTATGCTTCTGACCATTTACTCTCATCTTGAAGAGCCATCTACTACCTAATATGGTTTAGTGCCCAAAGCGTTCTATGCATACCATAGGTTCTTAATATATCATTTGAATAAAACTAAGTACTTTTAATATAGGAAATGGTCAAAGGAAAAATATGTATACTCTATAATAGTAACTGATTTCAAAACAAAGCACTGATAGGATCAGTATGATGCATGGCACCTATTATCAGCAGGCCTTAGGAGGGGAAAAACAAGACTTCCCGGGTATGCTAATACAAAGACTATGAATGGGCAGCTATTTATTATACAGCCCACATAAAGAAACTTGTTAGTACAAATTTTTGATGGAGCCACCAACTGCATCCAAGGTTGTTATAAACTGTGATTGCATAGCTAAATTGTATGAATGGAATGCTGCTTTGAAAAGCCTTTAGGTACAAAATGTTTTGTGAAAACTTCTGTAATTCCAAAAAGATCCAATCACACGCTCACAAAGCCCTCCTCTGCCCCAATTTTCCATTGCCACCACCGTTTTTATTAAAACTAACAGCTACAGAGGTGTAGTGAATGAAGATTTAACAGACAGGCTATTTGGCTTTTTTTTATTTGCAACCAGATAAATAGTGATTGTGTGTGTGTGTGTGTGTGTGTGTGTGTGATTTCTCCATCTTTTAGATACATCATGACACCTTAAAGGGAAGAATTAATCTCATTTTGAGGCTTTGCCACAAAATGAAGAATTCTACAGTTGTGCATAAAAAAGACAAATTTGTTTTTACTTCAGAAGCAATGAAAAAGTAAGCGGCACCAGTCACAAGAGATTTTTGGAAAAAAATATCAAAAGATAGTTAATATATTTCTTTATGAAAAACAAAGACAAGCTGAATTCCCAGCAGTCTTTGTCAAAGTCGGTTTACACAGTGGCTAGACAACAAATAGGGGCATTGTTGACAACTCAAGAAAATTTCAGCAGAAATAATTGAAAATATCCCCCCTGGGTTCTCTATTTACCCTAGGCAAAAACAAAAAAATACACACTAGAAACCAGATCAGGCATTGAGATGACAGCAAAACAAGTCTAATGGGGAGATGTAAACACATAGGTTATGATACGTAGACTAAAAAAGAAAAAGGAAATATTTTCTTCTTTATAAGGACAGTAAGGAAATAATGAAAATGGATCCCTTTTCATATTATGTAAAAGTAACGTGTAATTGTGCCTTGCAGCAAGTTGGCTGTAGTTAACTATAGCAAAGTTAACTACAGCAAATAATTATTTCTGGGGTACTACCTAGTTTGATGAGAGCCAGCTGGTACTAAAGATGAGGAGCAGAATGTATGGGTTACCGGAAAATAGCTCCCTGGACCACATCTAACCCAGTGCCTTAAATGCTGTGATCCAGCAGCCTGGGCCGAGAGGGTTGGGTCAACTTTGTCTCTTAGAAGTTGTGGCAGCCATCAGGAAACAGACAGGAGGAGTAAAAAAAAGGTGAGGGAGAAGGGAAGGAGGAAGCCACTTTCTAGACATACTTTCGTCATTCATGTTATTTACGCTTTGGTTGCCAAAATTGCTGACAACAAAGTGTATCAGAACACAGTCTTTGGTTTTACTGCCCCCTCCCCCTAGTATAGTATGCATAGTATAGTATAGTGTAGTATAGTATAGTATGTATAGAAACTATATGAACCTTTTACCTGTCAGTGCAAGAGAATCAACCTCTGGAGACATATTATGTATGGGTGTCATGGGCCAAAGAATAAGATTAGGAATTCTGCTAATCCTCTTTAAAAAGGGTGTTTAAATAATCAAAGAAATGTGGATAAGTAGGAAGCTCTGCTGAGTAAAGAGGTATCACGCTCTAAAAAGACATGACTAAAAAAACCATTGCCAAGAACACGACCTCACTCCAGGCACAAATAATGGATTCTGCAAATGGGATATTCAGTAAATGTTTCACTGCATGGTTCAAGAAGTCCCCAACAAGAAATACAATGAGTGCCGAAGAAAAGGTTCACAGATGCAAACCTCAGACACCTATTGAGACAGGTGGGTTCTGTTCTAGTATCTTTTATTTCCCAACATACCAAGTCCTCAGATTTGGAACCAAAAGCAAATCCAAACAATTAAAGAACCACTGCACATGATAGAAAATTACTAGCAAAGATATGTAGAATAAGAATAAAAATAAAACTGTCCATAAATATCTAAAAATGGTCACTTTTAAAATCTTGCTAAATCTCAAACCTATGTTCAAACATTAAATAAGATAAAATTCCAAGAAGGTAAATTGGACTCAACGAGAAGGACTTTCATGTTATAATGGATTATTGCCAAGGCAGGAGATCTCTTGAGTCTAGGAGTTTGAGGTTACAGTGAGCTATGATTGCACCATTGCACTCCAGCCTGGGTGACAGAGCAAGACCCTGTCTCTAATTTAAAAATAAAATATAACTTAAAATGATTTGTCATAAGTGTTATGTTTATGTTATAAATGGCCATTTAGACCAGTGGTTGTGAAGCTCTTATGAGATTTTTTTTTTAGTTTAAAACATTGAGTTAATATCTCCAATATATGTTATTTATGTATTTTATGTATTTACTACTATACTAGCTAACTACATAATGTACACATAAAATAAAAATTTTAAAAGGATAAAACAATTTTATAAGCACATCTAATATTTTCTTTCCATACCCAATTGGATCATCTCTACACCCCCTGGCATGTCAACACACACTCAGAAAACACAATTTTAGTTCATTAATTAGGTATGAGGGACAACATATATTCACACATCATACACGTATACACATTTCATTTTATCTTTAAAATGCTTAAATTTAAATATAGTGCTTTTATTTTACTATCTAGAATTTTTTAAAAGCAGTTATGAGAATAAAAACATGGCAAATTAAGGGTTTCAGATTCTGTTTTTATTACTACAAATGGTTGCTCTTTATTTGGCAACTATTACGTCACAGATATTTTATATTACGTATACCTAATTCTCATAAGAACTGGGAAGTAGAAATTATTTTTCCCATTTTATGAACAAATAAAATTAAGGCTTATGTTGATTAGCCGTATCTTGCAAAAAAAAAAAAAAAAAAAGTGGTGGAGCCAGAGTGGATGAGACTTTATCTTTAAAAGCACAAAATCTAAGCTAGGCACGGTGACATGTGCCAATAGTCCCAGCTATTTGGGAGGCTGAGGTGGGAGGATCTCTTGAGCCCAGGAGTTCAAGGCCAGCCAAGGCAACACAGCGAGATCCTATCTCTAAATAAATATACAAAACCACAATCAAAATGGTCACAACTATCGGACATTTTATATGAAGGTTCTAGCATTTTAATATTTATAAGTACCTTTATTTGTAGCTGGCCCCTTAAAGAGAGAAAAATTGAGCTGCTGGCTTCTAAAAATTACTTTTAGATTAAAAAAATAAAAACAGCCCCCAAGTATTTCCACTTGCTGCTTTCTTTCCCCTACCCCCGCAGCAAAATTATCTTTTTACATCTTCAAAAGAGGCCTGCAGAGAATTCTGGAGGTAATGACAGTGGTTAGACACACTCAGCCCAGGGTTAAGAGAAACCTTAGAGCCTCAAGAGCACTGTTCCGCAGAACAACATCCTCTAATCTTAAAAGAGAACTTGTGGAGTTTGGGAGCTTGCAGAGCAGGGCATTCTACTCCACACTGGGAAAGAACAAAGGCAGTGGAGAAAAAGAAAACTGGATTCCCTCCCCTCTTCTCACCAGGTGAATTTTGCAGTGGAGCACCTCTGACTTTCTCTCGGGGCCCAGAGTTGCCAGTTATGTCCCCAAATAGGGCCCAAAACTGGCTACCTGGTCCAAAAGCTTGTCTTCCAAAGACAGCAAAAAACTATTATCTGTGCAAATTCTGGAGCACCAGAGACCCACAAAAGATGAGAGGCTCTTTGAGGCTGGGAAGTCACTTGAAGGTGAAAAGGTTGTTGGATTAAGAGAAATGCTGACTGCAAAATTTTATTTGGCAGTTTGAATACCATGATTGGAAATTTCACCACTGCTAAGTTCTTCAGATAACAAGGGTCAAGCTGTATTTCCTGTTTTGGAGATTTTTAGAAATATAAGTGACAGACAGACTTCTGTCCAGGTTGTTTGGATAGTAGGCAAAGTAGAATGGAGTTGTGTGTTCCGATATAGGCATTCTTTTCTGCCTGGTAGGCCCCCACCCCTCCTACCCACCTTGCAAACTCCTCTTCATTTTCCAGGCTCAAGCATAGTTCCCTGGTGAAGCCTTACCCACACATGAGGTGAAATTAGCAACTTTCTCCTCTCCTCAAAAGTCGTAAAGTTGTAAGTCTATGTTTATTGAGAAGCACTTGTTTAAAAATGTAACTATTTACTCTTGACTATGGGTTTTGGATCTTACTCCTGCACTATTCCCATGACTTATGCCTGAGGCTGGCACATAAAAATATATCACAATAAATATTTGGTGGATGAGTAAATAAAGGTTGAATCCATGGACTTTAAAGAGCATCAGTCCCCACAGATAACTTGCTGTAGTTTAGTCTTGGTGGTTCTTGAAAACGATGACTTGTTTGTATACATTTTTATATAAAATCCATCACAGCCCTCTGAACATTCCATTTATAACTTTCTAATATCACTTCATCTAGTTGTCAATAAACAAAGAAAACTTATCTCGTTACTAATTGGGTTGTATATCTAGCATAACACAAATGAGGTATCTCATATCTTTTCTATTCATAAATTAGGAAACATTATAATCTGTAGCATTTCCTACGGTCTCTGCAGAAAGTCATGCTTTCAATGTTTATTCTCTGGTATCTACCCTGGTCAAAAGTTTCCTCTAAAAAATTCAAGGAAAGGCCAGGCGCGGTGGCTCACGCCTGTAATCCCAACACTTTGGGAGGCTGAGGCAGGCGGATCACAGGGTCAGGAGATCGAGACCATCCTGGCTAACAGGGTGAAACCGCGTCTCTACTAAAAATACAAAAAAATTAGCTGGGCATGGTGGCAGGCGCCTGTAGTCCCAGCTACTTGGGAGGCTGAGACAGGAGAATGGCGTGAACCCGGGAGGCGGGGCTTGCAGTGAGTCGAGATCGAGCCACTGTACTCCAACCTGGGCGACAGAGCAAGAATCCGTCTTAAAAAAAAAAAAAAAAAATCAAGTTAAGATTTAAAGAAAATTGAAGAAAAAAAATACAATCCCCATCTCTTTCACTTTGAGAGCCTGTCCCAGAAAACATTTAAGAAATGTACTTCTAGGGAGTGGGGGGAAGGTGACCAGGCAATGTTATACCAGATGCAATATAATAGGTCATTTTCTCCTAATAAAAAAAGTCAATTCATACTATTTAATGAATATCTTTTTGAACTGACTAGATTACCTTATATTGCCTACCCCTAAACAGTATTTCAATCCTATAAATATCCTGATCCCTTAAAAATGTTTCCACGTAAATGCATTAAAATCTTAGATCAGCATGACACTGAAAATATATGCAAAAACTAAGAAAAGAAAAAAAGCCCAAATTGTGTTTTTAAAAATGCCCAATTGAAAATAAAATACATAAATCCACCAACTAATTCAGGGTTCTATTTGATCATTTCAAAAGATAATCTACATTAGGAAACTTTTTGAGCAAAATACTTTCCATATAATTTTCTTATACAAATTATATCAAAAATATACATTTTTAAATGTGCTTCTGACACTAATTAATTAAATAAACCTCTCTCTGTCACTCTCACCCCACCTTGCCCCAGAAAAAAAGGGAAGGGTAATGCAAAGGGAAAAAATATCACTTAAGTATCCATTTATTTATTCATTCTCTCACAGCTCTTGCCTTCCCTGCCTGCTAGCTCCAAGGCTTCAGTTCTTTAACACTACCTCTCCACCTTAACTCTTCTCTTCTAGTTCTCTTCAGTTCATCTCCGCAGCCTACTGAGGAGACGGGGAGTTAACACCTGAACATCACTAGCATTCCCTGGTGCTCCTCAGATTCAATTATTTTGTTAAGATGCTGATTTTCCCGTATTTGTCATCTCCCCAGGCTTTCCAATGAAGGTACTTTCAAGAAATATATCTTTACATGTCAACTTTTATACAGATCAGCAATGTAAGTTAACACATCCAATCAGCCAGCCAGGCAGAGAGAAAAATAAACAAGATTGTTCTTTCTTAAGACTTCAGCTCCATGGGATTTAAGCTCCCCTCTCTTAAATTGTTAGTCTACAAAATATGTGCTTGGGGTGCCTCTTATGCTATCTTTCCGCTTTCCCAATAATAAGCACGTTCTTGAAGGTAAAAACTGTCTTAAGCCCTTCTCTTCCCAAAGTACTGGCATGTGCTCAGTAGATGCCTTATGGGTCACAGTGTGGGACCATTCTCATCTGTTCTCTGGTTAGAGGACAGGATCCAGAATGGTCTACAGATTGGTCTACTCCAAAAGCTTCAGACTATTTTTTAAATTTACCTTGTAACCCACTGCAAGGGGTGTGGAGATGTGATAGGCAAAACTCTTATGTAATGCTGATCAGTTCAGTAGCAGCTGCCTAAAGTGCTAAGAAAGATAATGCATCCACATCTGGACTCTAGGGGGACTGTGCTCTGATAGATTAGTGATGTCTGCCACATGCATAAGCGAGGAGCACGGTGGTCGGCATGCTCAGTATTTGCCATCCCAGCTCCAACCCCTTAGCCAAAACCTGAACTTCTTTAAGTTCAAAAACTTCTTACTGTGTAAGTTCCTTTCCCTAACTGAGGCATTAGGCCAGGGACAAAAGATGATTCAAAGTCTTCCAAATATATATTTAATGCGTAATCCTTTTACATGAAAGTTTGGTGAAGAATAGTTTTCCTGGCCAATCAGGCTAAAGGTCACTATCATGAACCCAGCGTTCCCTCCTCTTTCCACCGGATCACCATAAGAATCCTCTCTTGAGAACATTCAGAAGGAACTTTCAAAGTGCAGGTGGCTTTTTCACAAAAGCAAAAGCATCAAAGCTCTTCTCTCCAGAAGCGACTCCAGCCAGGATCACTTAAGGATTCCACCAACTGCAGCTACTCTCTTCCAATCTAATAGATGCTGAGTTCCCTTTTCTCCTTCTGTGCTTTCCCATACATCTATACATCAAGCACAACCCCACGGTCAGGGGTGACAACATTCAGACTTGGTTTCAGACTTTCTCTCTGAAACCATTTAATAAAACGTTGCACAGCCGGGCACGGTGGCTCAAGCCTGTAATCCCAGCACTTTAGGAGGCTGAGGCAGGAGGATCACCTGAGGTAAGGAGTTTCAGACCAGCCTGGCCAACATGGCAAAACCCCATCTTTACTAAAAATACAAAAACTAGCCAGGTTTGGTAGCGGGTGCCTGTAATCCCAGCTACTTGGGAGGCTGAGGGAGGAGAATCACTTGAACCCAGGAGGTGAAGGCTGCAGTGAGCCAAGATCATACCACTGCACTCCAGCCTGGGCGACAGAGCAAAACTCTGTTTCAAAAAAAAAAAAAAAAAAAAAGGAAGAAGAAGAAGAAAAAAAAAATCTTGCACAAAGTCATTTCACAATGGCAAGAATACAAATTCAACATCTCTCCAGGCTAAAGAAAGAAGTGTCCTTGGGGGCTCAGCAAACTCAAAATAACAAATCAAGCTCATTCTTCTTTTCTTCTGTTTCCAGTCTTCTCAGCCAGAAAAATCCTTAACTTTTTTCCAATGTAAAATATCACAGAAGTCCATTTCATAATTCTTATCTAAAGACGTATATTACAAAGTGAAGTGCATCATTAAGTGCTGACAGCCTCCACTTCCAGCTTCATAATCACACTTATTATATTTCCAAGGCAATCTTCCTCATCAATTTCCATTTCTCTAATCAAATTACATTGTTTAAAAAGGCAATTTTACTTAATACTTGCTGTCCTCTCTGCATTACAGTAATGTACATGCTTGCTCTCTTTCAACCCCAACTCTTCTAGAGCATTTATGCCATTTATAAACTGTGACAGTCTCCCCTCCTCTGTTCACTGAATGAGAACCACTTAGACCAGGGTCACTTAAAAGTTCCTTTAAAAAAGTTCAATGATTATAATAGAATAAAAGCCTTTCTGAGACAAATATATGCTAGAATAAAAAACTAATAAAAAAATAGGTTGCTTAAGATTTGAAGAAATATTTTCTTTAGTGGAAGACTTATTTGCCTCTAAAACTTAACTCAGAATCCTCAAAAAGCTTCTCAAACCTCAAATATTGAAATCACCTAAATAAAGTATCCCAGGGAAGGAAAAAGACACAGTGATCACAGATGGGCATTATAGGGCATAAGAAGCAATGGACAGGACATGATGGCTCTGGAACAATAGCCCAGCTGGGCTGGAGTCCAGAAGATCTGGGGGTTCTGAACTGGTTTTTACATGTTAAATCCATCCCCATAGAGCCTCTTCTTCCATGACTACTGACTATGGGAGCCCTGCACCCAGAGGTGTAAAATGCAACCAAATGGAAGTCAGAAGAGCAAAAGAAGCTCACCTCAGATTGAGGCAAGGAATGAAATTTTACTGCAACTTTATGCATCATCTGAGCTTCAAACAAACGGTACTTTTGCAAAAGAAGAAAAAAATTAAAGTTATATAGTGCTGCAATGTTTAAGGGCAAGAACAGTAAGATAATATCATCAGGTATATTCTGGCCAAGTGTGCCCCATTTAGTGTGGAATATTAAATTGAATAAAAAATGAAAAAGTTAAAAAATAGAAACCATGTCAAAAGGGATTGTTTTTCAACTAAAAGAGATCCAGCCTACCCTTTTTTTAAAAAAATTGGTTCTTACCTACCATAGGCTACAATTCCATGGGGTGCAGAGAAAGTAAGACTGAACTAATAAAGGGGTTCTGCAAACACATTGTGAAAATTACTGGCCTAGAGTTTTGAAACTTTCTTTCTAGAAAACCAAATTTAAAATTATATATCTTTACTAATCAAAAAAGAGTAAGTATGCCATATCTTATACTATTAACCCCCCTATTTTTGCCACAGAGTTTCACCTGTCTTTCAGGAAAAAACAAAACAAAACAAAAAAAGCTACAAATTTTTATTTAGCTATTATTAAGGAACGTAGGCACACGGACAGAACAGGTCTCATAGGTAACCAGTTGTGTTTCCTAATAGGGTGAATACATATCATTGCCATGAATACATCTTTTATCATAAAATGCCAATGAGCATCAAAAGTAAATGGTTTGATTGTTGTTGTCACTGTTTTGTTTAAGAAAAATAGGGCCTTAAAATAAGTGCTTCAGTGGAATTCTTGAACAGTAAGTAGCCTGTTGATAGTGGACCTAGTTTAAAGCACCACACAACAATGTGTGTTTACATCACCCCTTTATTTCATAGTTAGAAATAATACAGTTCCACAGGGTAAATTGTCAATAAATAATGGTGTTTAATCATTAAACATAAAAATCCCACTCTTTGGCATCTGACAGGATTCTATTTCTTGTCAAACTAATGACTGTATAGATATAGCTAATCTTAGTGATCATTCGTCAATACAATATGTTACAAAGGTGCAATTTACTTTAAAATATACAACAGCGAAACATTTCCAGCCCAACGAGAAATCTGATCAACTTAGTAAGATATGGGCCAACTTCCCCAAGGCTCTTTCACGTAGTTTGCCTTAATGAAAGTGTAATAAACGTTGATTAAGAGTTCCTAGGGTTTTCTAATACTTACTTTGCTCTAAATAGAGTTTGCCATTCATTCTGGCTAAAGAAAAATCACAATTGCACCAGGAATGACCCACTCATTAATTAAAAGGTGTTCTTATTTTATAAGCAAGATTGCTAATACCTAAGAAACTCACAGACCCCAAAATAAAAAGCAGTTCTGTGCTGCCAGAAATCCCAATTCAGTAATAAATTGCACCTTTAAGAGTCAAAAATGAGGGAAAAAAGAAATGGAACGTTTACAAAAGGTAAGTTACATACATTTTTTTTTCAAAATATATTCAAGAATAGTTGAGCTGTATTTGTTACTAAACCCAGGGCATTATTTCTTTAGCAACAAATTAAACCAGTGCAATTGACATAAATTGTTAAGTAATCCAGGATTAACCCATTAAAACAGTAGAAGCACGTTAGGCTCCTACACTAATCCTAGAAACTGGAATTTCAGTGAGTGCTTGTGTTACACAGAACTAAAACTGCAATGACCTGATGCCATGCTGAATGGTATCACTTCATACTTAGTTTAATCATTCAATAGTACAAATCATGAGTTCCTCTATTAAACTATTATTCACTTACAGAAAATTCAGATGCAAACAGTATTATGCCTATAATCCACAATTAAAAGAATCCTTTCCCATTTAAAGTTCCAGGTGAATTTTAAGTTAGAAAATAAGCACTAAGGAGAGTTTTTTCAACTTATGAAAACGTCATATTGGAAACTTTCTGGAAAAGTTTCCCCCGCCCACCCATTGTAAAATAAATACTTTGTATCCCAAATTTAATTTTATTAAGACACACTTTAATAACGCTATAAAGAAATATTTTACAGCCATAGAGATCAATAACTTTCCATGCGGAAATAAAAAATTCATTGCTCAATAACATTATTGAGGCAAGTGAAGAAAGATTACTCTCTTGTCAATCTGAAATGTTAATTTTTTCAGTGCAAAACCAGTTATAAAATATTTAAACTCAATATTTAAAAATAAAAAGTGGTCCAATTCAGCAATGTTCAAGTTCTAAATTTCATAAAACAAATCATTACATACATTTTATAGTAAAATACAGAGATTCAAGAAGTACTTGAGTACTGAAGATATAAATTTCTAATGAATCATATCAAGTCAGCAACAACCAAGCAGGTAACATTCCCAATTTGAGTGTCAGAATCATAAAGATGAAATTACTGTACCAAAGCCTTTTTTTCCTAGCTAAAAAGCTATACAAACTAACAGTCAACATTCTGTTTTCTTTGCAGTTGCGTGCTCTAGAATGATATCCCCCCCCCAAGTACCTGTGATTTCATTCCTGTATTCAAATTTGACCCAAACAATTTTTATGTTCCAGGAACACTTAGCTGATATAACCATCTATAGTGTGAAGAGTCATGTACAGAGTACAGCAGTGGGTTTTTTCTAGCCAAGCGTAGGCTGACCTAAATTGGTTTAAGCTCTCTCCAAGTCATTCATGTATTATTCCTAGCAAACACACGGTCCCCTCGGAGGGTTAGGTGTTGAAGCTGGTACTGTAGCACTTCTGTATCAGCTGGCTCCTTGATCATTTTATCTAGATTGAGGTAGTCCAGAGATTTGGAGTGAGCCCTCTTACCTTTAAGAAGACAAAGAGGCAGAGGCCCATGGAGGGCCTTGTAAGGTTCATAAGGTAAAGATTTAGTGCACTTGTCTCCTGAGCTTGGCATCCGCCTTCGCCTCCTGCCATTGACAGCTGGAATCTCGTATGGCTGGTAGTACCTACTTCTGGTTTTATACAAACGAGAGGAACGGGCAAGTCCTGCATCTAGCTGTTTGGAGCGTAAGGATGGCATGGCTTCTGCTTTGCTCTCTTCACCTCCTGTGCACTTCTGAGCTAACTTCAGGAGTTCCTCGCCAGTCGTGAAGCCAACCAAATAGTTAGAGTCCATGTGTAGGATCTGGTAGCCTGACACGGTCCTCCGCATCGGGGAGCAGGGTGTGCTGGAGCAGCGGGGCTTCTCTGCCTCCGCCTTTCCCGGGGAGTTGGCCTCAGCCCCAGGGAAGGGCAAGGTGGTCAGGGTACTTCTAGACTCTCCATTAATATCGACTTCCATTTTAAGCACCAGTCTGCACAATCCTAAAAGTAAACAGACTTAGATTAGAAGAATATAATGCACAGAGACTTGGGCCAGGCCAGGTCCTTTTAGAAGGCTCAGGGAGCATGAAGTAACACTTGCCTGAAAGACAGTCAATGTACCACTGACATGTAACTATGTCTACTAAACGTTTCAGAGCGGGCATGAAATGACAATACCTCTCTGCCTTTAAGAACTGAAAGGCAAGTTAAATTAAAGTCTGATGTACTACCAAAAAGTTCAGATGGAGAAGCAAACAGAAAACAACAACAACAATACTTCTCTAAATTCCGCACTCTATTCAATCACATAAAGTTTATTCCTTAATGCAATATCAAGCGAGTCAAATACAGATCTCAGCATTAAGCAAATGAAAGCCATCATACATAGTTTCATAAGAACACACAAAATATTTCTGGCTTGAAAGTTAAATTTTTCCATTATTTAATTTAAAGTAAGTGCTTAGCTCTTGACACCTGCAATTCTTTTCAATTTGTCTTTAAGGAACATATAATAAAGTTGATTGAGCTGACGAATTTCTGCAAGGAATCCAATTTAGACCTAAAAAACTATTCTTAGAGTATGAGGAGTCTTAGGGGAAGGTTCCCCCAAACCTTGTAAATGTTCTTCCTTCCATATCCCCAATGAATTAAAGAATATCATTTTGTAGTTTAAAAGTAATCCTAAATCCAATATATCACATAATTTTTAATACTAAAAATGTATAAAACATCAGATGTCATTTTAATTGACTACTTAATCATAAAATACACCACAGGCTTGACATTCTGTTTTTCAATACCCAAGACGTTGTACTTTTCAATAGTTTCATAAATGGCAGAATAATTCACAATGAATAGTAATATTGTTCCTTACGATTATTACATTACATAGTTTGGAAATCTCCATTGACAAGAAATAGAACAAATGGCGGCTAGGTTCCTGAAAGCTACAGATAGATCAAATTTGGGAAGCTAAAATACTAAGGGAAATAGTGACAGTTTCATTTCTGAGAAACTATTTGTACTTGCTTTTTAATTGGAAGTAGATAACACGGTTTTAAGTATCTCAGATTGCTAATCAAAATGACATCAACTGATTTTAAGATGAAAAATTTACTTAAAAATTAAATAACTCTTACGAATCTTCTCACTAGACAAATAACCACTTCCTATTGAAGTATTTCTTAAAGTTTGGGTATTCATTTAAAATCCAAGCAATTAGAAAGCTTTAAAAAAAAAAAACAGCACTTTATTCCACCACATGCATGTTCTAATTTCCTTCATTAGGAGATTGTGAAGTTACCAGATACCACGCTGTCCTTCCTATGATCCCCACTGAAAACAAACATTTATTACAATATTTGAGATAAAGCAAATGCCAAAGGATCTATATAGTATTACTCACTATTTATTCTCAACCTTAGACTATTTGCCATTTTTATTTCACCAAAATACTCTAGTCCCTGAACCCTTTTAGATTTAAAGTAATCAGCTTTATTATATTTTTAATGTAAATATTTTTATTTATATTATTTATATAAAATAAATTATATTTGAGGAATTTATTTCTCTGTTGATAGTACTGGAATATCAGGTGACTACCAGCTACTCTGATATGCATATAAGACTTCTTAGCTAATAAACTTTAGAGAGCCATGTGAAGCCTCAACAAATTTTTATGCTAAACAAACAAATATTTACTCGGAGTCGAATGACAAATTTATCCTTCCTTTCTCACTAATTTTGTAACCCAGAAAGAATGCAAGAGGACATAGCCAAGGCCTCCAACCTACGTAACCTGACTGGCAGCTACAGGTAGTAGCTGTTTCTCTGATATTTCATCCTGAGAAGGAAAGGAGGGTCAGTGAGGCAAAAAAAATAACCAGGGCCATTGAGGAAAGGGCACACACTCACACCAAGACTGGGCACCACACTCAAGGAGAGTCACCAAGGCAGTGACACTCAAGCAGTCTGTCTACTCTGAGACTCTGGTCTAGGTCTCTTTCAAATCTGGCACTCCATGACAACTCTTGGAGTCCCACCACGCAGCTTACTGCATTCTCATTTAGTATATTACAAATTTCTTTAAATCTATGACTTCAGACCCCACACATTCCAAATTGGGTAATAATTCATACAGAGGTGAGGCTAAAATTCATCTTTTTTGTCTACGAGGGAAAAAATTTGCTAAGTAAGTTAATAATGCACAAAGTTACAGTAATGAGGAGGAGGCACAGGCTTCTGAGGGCAACAGAATCATCAAAAGTTTTTCCCCATACTAAGCCAATCCTGCTGCATCAAGGTAAACTGTCAGAAATTCTGAGAATCCTTGGGGGTTGAAGATAAAGCCTAGAAGGAGACAACGGTTTAGAGAAATAGGCAGAAATAATATATTAGCTAGAAAATACCTGGAAGTACCTGCAAAATTAGAAATGTGAAGACTTGTGTAAAGGTCAAAATCTGATTTGATAAGAAATAGACACTATTGTTAGACAAGTAACTCATCAGTTAAGTTTCCAACAGCCAATAACACCATAAAAAAAAAAAAATCAATTGGCTTGGGAAGAGAACAATCCAAACAGGATCTTCACACATCAACCTGGTAGACAATGATTTAACCTAGGTTGTTAAGTAGAAGATACAGATGTGGTTTAAGAGCTCTGGAAATTTCAACCAGGCAGTCTGGTGTATGAAATCTACCATATTTTACTGAGGTAGACAAAACATTCACTATGGAAAACAGAATCTAATCAGAAAGTTGAAAGAATAAGCATTTCTAATATCCTCCAACACAAATACTCAGTGGAGCAACTAAAGCCAATGCAAAACAGGTCAGTATTCTAGGGAGATTCCTGCGGGAGAGTCTCAAGGCGCAGGAACATGAAAAGGCTGACTTTAAATATATATAGCTGCTATGTGCTGAACTTCTGATGAGCAATTCTCAGAGCTGGAAAACTGTTTGCACTTTTTGGCTATCAAACATCAGTATTTTTGCTCCAAACTACAAATAGTGTATTCTCAAAACTAACAGCTCATTGGGTGGTTCATTGGTCTCTGCAATATACTGCCACATGTACAAGAACAACTTCAGGTCTCGATATTCACGTAGGAACATGAACGCTGGAAACAAGACTCTCACAAACGGCTTCTGTTTTTCTAAAGGATTCGTTTTACTTATATATTGCCCTTCTACACACATCTACTATGCTGCACCAAGAAAGCTAGGTAGAGGCTGGATTTCAGAAAAGACAGCCCTCAATGTCAAATATTTCATTTGTAGTTGGGCTGAATGCTGAATAAGCAGCATACCTCCCATTCTTCTGTGTGACAGAAAACAAAACTTCTTATGCTACTACATTCCTGAGAATTTCTTGACTAGATTTACATATTGAAGCAAGATCCTGAGAACAGTTACAGAATCAACTTGCTCAGGTTATTTTTACAATGGGCAGAAGCTCTTTAGACACTGTCCCATCTGCAGAGGAAGAAGTCTGGGTACCTCCTAACTCCAGAATTCTGGAAAAAAAAAAAAAGACACTAAAGACAGTAAAAACTGAACAGTCTCAAAGTCAACCTATCTTGATATACAGATGTCCAACATTTTCCACAGCAAAATTTCTTACTGAAAGACATCCATCAGGAAACTCAGCTATGGTGACTATAACTAGAGATGGCCTGTGTTTAGCAGTATATTCTTCAGGTTTTACCATGAAAAAAACTGCTTACAGACTTGTTATTTTTAATAAGTCTATGCATGACTCAGCATTTTGTTTCATATTGTCAAATAAACCTTGTATCCAAAAAGCTTGCTGCCAAGATAAACAATTACAAAGCACTCTCACAAATTACCACTACAGGTACCATGCAACAGGTGCCACACTTCCCACTACATCAATAAGAATAACCTGTGAGTCAAGAAATCAGGTCTAATGCCAACTGCTTCATTCCAGAGCACTAAAACCCAGAGATCAAAGATACCTTTCTTGCTTCCATTAATGCCTTTCATATATAATTTAAAGCAAAAATAGACTGTAAATAGAAAATAGAAAAAGTATTAATTTTATAATTACAGAAGCAGCAAAATGTGGAGAGAAGAAGCTAAAACAGAAAATGAAACAAGAATAGAAACGTCAACTTGTAATTGAACAATGCTTTTGAAATTGAGCTTCTTAAAAAGTACCAGGAACAATACAATTTTTCAAATGACACCTAAGGTCTTCAATATCTAATTCCCTCACAATCCAACCAGTAACAATAGCACCAATGTATTTATAAAACATGAAAGATTTGGCAACGTTTATAGATGCTTCTATATTGCTGAAATTTACGTGGATCCAACTAGATGACATCAGACAAAGGTAACAATAATTCTTTAAAAATGTACACAGTACATTTTTAAAGCATTGGGTACAGAATGAAATTGTAAATTTTGGCTAAAACTAAAGCAAATAGGTCCAAATCACAACACATGTATAGGAGAACCTGGTGCACCAGGATAAGCACGTTCAAAAGCCTGTAACCCTTATAGAATCTGCATAGGTCTGAATACTCTCTGAGAGGCCAAACCTAAATTTGGAGCATAAATACCAATACTTTCAAAATATAACCTAAATGCCCTTGGCTCCTTAGACCAGCTTTGAAAACAGGTGGTAAATTTGACAAATGGTATAGAAAGAATTCTTTTTGAGAAACACCGTATCCTAATACCTGTATTTCATTTAAGAAACTCAAAAAATTAATTGCTTCATTAGCTTTCCTATATATAGAGTTCATTTATACATCAGCAGCATGCCTGTTAAAAAAAATTCCAACTCCCCAAACCTTTAGCTGAGATGTCAAAGGCATGAAATTCTATTGTTAGACTCATTCCGCCAAGTTTAATATTGCTCTTTTTTGCTGTCTTCTCTTAAAACACCTTTATTTTTCTCTATTACAGACTGAATTAGTTTATCAAACATATTTTTCATGATAGGAGGGATATGGTAAAGGTAGGGTACAATGTAATTCTCATGGAGAGAAAGAAAAGCAAAGGTTCCAAAAAGCTGAGAATGTGACTTAACACCAAGATACATCCAGATATTGCCCACAGTCAGCTCCTATGCTATAGGGTGTCTGAGTCAGTGACACACTCCTAGAAACAAAAATTATTTCACTAGGCTCTAAGCCTGGGGCACCATCCTACTTGCTAATTTCTTTAACCATACACAGAGATATCTCAAAGAGGTCTTAGAGTCCATGAACATTTTTTATAACCACCTTTCCCTTCCAGAAGATACTTTCTATCTTTTTCTTACCTCAATAACCTGCTCAAGTGATTGTTTTTCCTTGTTATTGTTTTGAAACCGATAAAAGCAATGCATGCAAACTGAAAGCTCTCCAGTCCAAATAATTCATATTGATGTACTATAAATGGCAAAATCATTCTTCATCCCCTACCAATGCCGGACATATCTTGAGGAAACCCCTATTAATATTTTGGTATATCCTTCCTTTTTCCGCGTATTTACAAATGTAAGAGTGAGTGATTACTTCTTTCTACAATGAAAACATGCAAGAGTACACATAGGCACACATGAATATTTCTGCAGGAAATTCCAGAAGTAAAAATGCTGAGTCAAAGAACATGTACTTTTTAGATTTTTATAGCAAGCACCACAAAACCTTATTAATAATGTTTCTGGTTTTTATATGGATATTCTTTTATATAACTAAAAATTAATGTAAACACTTTTAAAGAGTATCATCTATACACTCACCAGAACAGTGCCTGTTTCTCCTCTTATTGCTTAGAAACAGGAATTATCAAAAGAAGAAAGGAGATGATGTACTTCCTTTTGTTTGATGTGTTTGATTTTTCCAAGAAGAAAAAGATAAATGAAAGGGACATGACTGCCATTCTTTGACCTCAAATCTCCTGATATTATTCTCACTTAAAACACTTAGATACCTCTTTAAAGAAATTTACAAACTAAATGTAAACTTTCCTTCAAAAAAGGAAAGATAACATTTCATTCATTTATATATATTACAAAAATATATACAGTGTACATTTCAAAAGCATTAGGTACAGCATTCAATACCCCAATACCAGTATTCTGGCTGAGACTAAAGCAAACAGGTCCAAACCATAACACACGTGAGTGGAACCCCGTGCACCAAGAAGAACAGTCAAGAAAGTAGACCTGTATAAAATCTGCACAGCTTTGAACACTCTTCAAGAGGCCAAGCTTCCTATCTATTTGGCACAAAGAGCAACATTTTGAAAATATGATCTAGATGCCTTAGCTCCTTAGACCAGCTCTGAAAATAGCTAATAAATTTCAGAACTGCTATACGAAGAATTCTTTTTGAAATTGCATTCTGAGAATTTTTAAAAATAAGATTATAAAAAAAATTCACTCCCAGTAATCAAAACACTGCTCCATATGCTTTCACTGTTTTTTTTAGCAACATACAGCAATACCATATAAGAGAAAACAGATATCAACATAACCATTTTAAATATGCAGAATAAAAATGTCATCATGTTAAGAAAATCCTTTTCAAGAAGTACTTGAATCAAACCATTTCTTATAGAGCCATTTTTGGGGAAACAGGGTCTCCTAAGCATGGCTAATACCAGTCTAGTGATATCATGATATCTAGAGCCACCTATTTTTGTGTTTTTTGTTTGTTTGTTTGTTTGTTTAGACACAGGGTCTTGCTCTGTCACCCATGCTGGAGTGCAGTAGGGCAATGATAGCTCACTGCAGCCTCAAACTCCTGGTCTCAAGCGATCCTCCCACGTCAGCCTCCCAAGTAGCTGGGACATAGGTGTGCATCACCAAATCTGGTTAATTATTTCTTTTATACTTTTAGAGATGAGGTCTCACTATGTTGTCCAGGCTGGTCTCAAGCAATCCTCCCTCCTTAATGTCCCAAGTAGCTAGAATTACAGGTGCGAGCCACCGCCCCTGGCTAGAGTGGTATAGTTTTAATGCCAGAATCATCTTGGACATAACCTACCTGGAACATCCACCTTGAAATATAGAGAAGACACTGAAACCACCAAGACAGGGTCCTGCCCAGAGCCACATAGATAGTTAATGCCCATAATTACAACCCAGGCCCCCTGGCTCCAAGTCCATGTTGTGCTTCTAGCATGTGGTTCCCAAACTTGTCTACACCAGAATCATGCAAGGAGCTTCAAAAACTGCTGATGTCTGTTTTCCATCCCAGATTTGTGATTTAACTGATCTGGGGTGTAGCCTGGGTTCTGCAAGTTGTAAAAGATTCCCAGGTGATTCTAATATGCATATAGGTTTGGGAACTTGTCAGATAGAACTTATCAGATAGAAGAGTTTCACTCTTTTAAGTCCCTCCTTTGTTTTTAATCAGTAATTACTGTATAGTCATGTTGGTGAACATAATTTTTGGCTGCTTATAATTGCTAACAACCTACCCCTAGGCCTTCTAATTTACTGTTCCTAATCCTCTGTGGGCTGGAAATATCTGCTAACCAAACGTGTTAAAACTGCATATAAAATAAAAATAAATCTGTGCTGAATGAGAATCGGGCTCCTTCATCTGCACACACTTTGGCGTAGTTATTTTAGCTACTTAGAAGCCTTTGTCAGGTGCAGCTACGTTAGAGAACAGTTTGGCATTTACTTATAAAATTGAATAAATGTTCATTAAACAACACAGCCACCATACTCATAGATATCTAACCCAAGAAAAATGAAAATACACGTCCATACAAACACCTGAATGTGAATATTTATGACAGCTTCATTCACAAACACCGAAACTGGAAACAATCCAAATATCCATCAACAGGGAAAGAGATAAACAAACTGCAGTCCATCCCTACAATGGATACCACTCAGCAATGAAGTGGAACAATCTGGGGAAACATTAAGTGAAAGAAGCAGACATTACACCTATATACTACATGTTTCTACTTACGTGGCATTCTGGAAAAGGCAAAACTATTTGCCAGAATCAATCATTAATTGCCAAGGCCTAGGGTGGGGAGAGGGGATAACTACAAAGGGGAAAAAGGGAATTTTGGGGGGTGATGAAAATGTTCTATTTGTTGACTGTAGTGGTCATTACATAACTGGATACATTTGTCAAAATGCATCAAACCGTACACTTTAAAAGGACGGATTTTACTAAGTTATAATAAACCTGACATTAAAAATAAATGAACTCTTTGTCACATATTTCCACGTTTCAGATGGTCCTCCAAATTTTAAATTTTTTTGTACCGTATAATTTTGGAATCAAAAGGAATCTTAATAGTTTCCCAGTGTATGTTTGAACACCTTCAGTGACAGGCAACTCACTGCCTCCCAAGATGACTCATTTCACCTTGTGCAGCTCTGCTAGAATGTCGATTTATTTACACATATATCTGTATGTACATGCATATATACAGTCAACCCTGTCTCCACGGGTTCTGCATCCATGGATTCAACCAATCACAGAGAGAAAATATTTGAAAAAGCAAAAAATTACATCTACACTGAATATGTATAGACTGTTTTCTTGTCATTATTCCCTAAATAATACAGTACAGCCACTATTTATGTAACATTTACATTGTAATAGGTATTATAAGTAATCTACAGATTATTTAAAGTATACAAGAGGATGTGCATAGGTTATAGGCAAATACTATACCATTTTTGTATCAGAGACTTACGTATCATCAGATTTTGGTACCTGGGGGAAGTCCTGGAACCAATCCCCCAAGGATGCCAAGGGACAACTGTATAAATATAGGTATATACAGAGATAGATGGATAGACATAGATACACATACATTCCTGTAGTTTCTACCCATTGCTCTAGTTTTGTGCTTTATTTCTATTAGCTGAGTCAGTGACCAGGCCACATTGTTTTTTATTCAATATCCTCTCCAAGTACTTTGTACTATGGTTTTCAAACTTCTTACTCTTTTCCTCAAAACTGAAAATTTTAGTAACGTTTCCAATTTTCCAATGTTCGAAAATGCATTTTCATAAATGTAATAGGTTTTATCTACTTAATGAGATTAAAGTATTTGTTTTTCCCTACCATTCCTTTGAATCATTCTGCTGCTGACTAGAAATTTAGAAATCACTTATTATGAAACTCCGCTTTCTCTAAGGATTATGATCTCTTTACATAATTCAAGGCAAGGATGCACAAAGATAATGGCCAAGTAGAATGACACACCAAAGCATGAAGTCACACTAATATAGTCTTAAGGATGCTAAAGAGCTACCATAGCTCATTATGAATTTCTTTTTTCCCTTCAAAGACTTCGAGACACATGGACAACTATGTCAGCAAAGATACACAGATGACACACTGAAAAAAGACAACTAAAGGAAGAAAACAGCATTGCATATTTTTAACCGTTTAAATTCAGGGTGTGATAAAAAGAATGTCACATTTTCAGTGAACTGCTGTACGACTAAGTGAAAATAATGCTCCTTTCAGACACCTGTTGGCTCATTCTTTATGTATGATAATATATAACCAGAATTTTTTGCAAATTATTTCAGCAATGTTTGGAGATTAATGTTTTTACTAAAATTTGCCCCAAATTGGAACAGTTACCTCTAACTACTATACTTTGAAATATTATTTCATAAGATCTTTACGTTGAAGAAATTTAAAGGAAGGAAAACTTAGCCAAACATTTCAAATAAAATAATGTTTGCATATTGCAACAATAAGTTCATTTCTCACCATTAAAAATTTGTAATTATAGTATACATATTTGCAATAATACACCAACATTTCACATTCACTTGATTAACTGACATTTCACATTCACTTGTTTATTTATGTAGTCTTTAAAAAACACATTATGGTATTGTGTTCATACAACTGTTAACGAACGGAAAAAGCAAAATATAACTTACCAGACTAAATCCCAGAAGATGTCACTGTACAATTTCCAATGAGTCCCAAGGGAACACAGACATAATAATTTTTCTGTTCTACTCCAGGTACTAAACATGAAATACAAAAATAAACCTTTAATTTAACAAGTAACACAACTTATAACATGATATCAATTCTAACTGCAAAAGAGAATAAAACTAGCAGGAGGTAGTAACATCAAGTATAGGTTATATAGGACCCAATAATTAATTAATTCAATTGATGTTGAGTTTGTTCACCTAAATGCATCCTCAAACATTTTATCATGTGTATTTCTCTGTACTCTGTTACTTAAATTCTACCTAGAGACTAGGAGTACCTAACTGGGCTAAATAAAGAGACAAGAAAAAGTAAGGTAATAAGTATTGGTTTCACCATCCTAGTCCTATTCATGTGTTCAACCGATTCACAGTACTCTATGGAAAAAAAATAATGCTTAGGCTAGGATCAAAAGCACAGGCCATAGTTCCTAGCTCTGGCCTTGCCAAGAACTCTGCCTCTTGACCCTGCATAAATATCAATCTCTAAAATGTGGACCGTAATAACCCCCCTTCCTCCCTAATACAGTTGTTAGATGGATCAAATGAAATGAGGTAGGTGAATGCTTTACATGCTGCAAAGCTCTTTACAACGTGTGATGCTATTATTATGCAATTAATTTTTGGTATCGACTCATTGTAGCCATAAAGCAGCAACAATGTAAATCTTTCATAAGACTGATGCGAGGCAAATGATTAGAAGTCTCTTGGATAACACAACAAAAAAAGAGAGTGACTGAAAAAGCACTTTTTTATAGTTACCACCTTACTTAAGGTTTCTAGCATCTCCTCTGTGCCTTCCCTCTCTTACCTGGGAAGTTAATGTGTAAGAGAATCTATCTTTATCTCCTACCTCCCTAGTTAATAGGGTTAATTTGCTGAGACGAGGAAAACCCTCCAAAGTCCTTTTCCACCTGTAAAAGTTTCTTTGGTTGTTGGTTTTCTGTTGGGTTAAACAACAGAAGCAGTTGGAGGGGTGTCAAATGAAGCGAGTAGATTCATTTTATCTATGTAGGTGCACAGAGCCCAAGAAGTGTCAACAGTACAATACCTTATCAAACAAAAGACAAACTGCAAGAAAAAAGGCAAGGAGTTTGTAACTTTATTACTTTCCCTACCAGTACAGGAGAGTTTTATCCAAAGGAAATAGATAATTACTGAGTTTAATATGTGCTTCTTTAGCTTGAGAAACTGGAAGGAGCCAATGCACCAAGAACTGTCACTCCAAGAAACTAGCATGTTTATCAGCCTTTGCAACTTCTTCAGATGTAGATAACAGAAACACTCCCTTTCATGTATTTTGCCACCAACTATTCTCAAATTGGGGAACCAAAAAATCTTGAAAAGTAAGCCTTGATTCTACCCCACCAATGAAGCCTCTGGTTTTAACACACAGTAAATTGTAACAAAAATTGTTACCTACAGACAAAATGTTTATTTAATATAATTATCCCAAAGAATTTCCCCAATACTAATAACATTCATCTGCATTTCTTATTTAATGGATTTTTAATGGGAAAGAGGAGTTCTAAAAACGAACATTTCTTTAGCATCTTCCTTATGTCAAAAGTGATATACAATTTATATCATTTAATCTTAACTACTCCATGAAGAAAATATTATTATCCCATTTTTAAAGTACTCTTTAGTAGTAGCCCTATTTTAAAGTACTCTTTTAAGTGATACTACATGAGAGTCACAGCAGGAATTGGAACCCCAATTGGTCTGACTCCAAAGATCATTTACTTTACACTCTGGCCTCTGTTCAATGATAAGACAACATGTATAGCCTTTTACACAATAATCATGATCCCGCAAAATGTATATCAAGTAATTTCTATAAGTGAAAATCTATTTTAAGTGTATGGGTAGGCACTTTATCTAAAAGCTTTATTGCCTCATTTGTGAAATGGTTGGGGGAACTACTTAGCTGCATGGTTATTTCCAACTTGAAAAATATTAAGATTTGGTGGCACATCGTGGAAAGTCTTATACAAAATCCTTCTGAATCATGGACTCTTTCTCCTATGAGCTTCTATTTTCTAAAATCATAAATTATGCGACAGAAAAAAAGGTATCAACCAATACCGTCTGGTTATATGGTTGGATATCAAATACAGTTATATATTTCCGCTTTATTTCTCAAGACTACATCTATCACAAAGTGGGATAGATTTCATTTATACTTTTATAAATGTCAATTTAAAACAAGCAGGAGGAACATTAGAAATATCTGAATGTCTTAATCCTAAAGAATAGTTTTGACAGTCTTAAATCTCATTCAAACTTTCATATAATTTGCCTCATGTATTTGGTGACATATTCTTCTTTTTAAGCTTTTAAATGCATTAGAAAAATATTTACACTTTCAAAGAGTTTCTTTTTCAACATCAAAAGAAAGAAATCAACTAAAACTTTAGTCTGGATTTGAAAGCAGAGGAGCCTTGAAGACATTACCCAACTCTTGCACTGGAGCTGATGTGTAAATCTAGGAAATGATCGGTAATTTCATAGTAAACAAAGAGTAGTAACTGATTATTCCTATTATGCCAGTGCCAAGCCAAAAATAGAATATAAACACAATGTCCAAGGGAGCAACACAAGAAAACCAAGGTGCAGAAGCTCCATTACATTCTCACTTTTTCTAATTTTGACTCTGCTTCCTGCTTTGTGGGAGGAGGAGGAAGAGCAGGAGGAGGAGGAGGAAGAGCAGGAGGAGGAGGAGGAGGAGGAGGAGGTATATGGTGAAAAAGAGGGAAAAATAAATAAAAAGAACAAGACCAGAAACTAACTAGTATAAGATTATACGTTTTCTTTAAGACATAACCCATAAAGAAATCTACTACAAAATTACAGTAAGGGTTCTACCCCCATCTCCCACTTATAACAATTAAAAGATTGTAATATAAAAATTCCCAAAACATGTACCTTTCAAATAACACACATTTTTAGAATACTTTAAAAATCTATAATTCTCTAACGCTTGCAACTGATTTTGGCCAATGTTCTAAACACTGAAGGCTTGGAAAGATATCAACAGATTTCCTCTCCAAAACAGTCAGCAAGAGGAAAAGGAATCCATGTGAAATTCTTAGAAGATAGACTAAATGCTGCATAAAAACAAAGACTGAAGTAAATAGAGCAAAGGCTACAAGATATAATAAATGCTTCCAGTTATAAGAAGCTGAAACAGAATGCAGTGGGACATTATCCCATAAGCAATAAAAATAGGAAAAAACCAAGCAGTGGCCAAGAGCTGCCCACAGACTTCTGGATAAGAAAGTCATGGGTGACTAAGCAAAAGACACCCAACATTTCACTGCAAGTGGAGCTTCTACAAATAGAAAAGTTTGCAAACATTAACTACCAAATGTATCGAATTTCTCAGGTGATAGTTATTATCACAGGTAAATAAGAATGCCTTTCAAAAGAAGAGTGACTATATATCTCAATTCATAGTCAATACCCTGGCATAATTATTGAAAGCAACCCCCTTTAACTCTCAAAAGTGTCTCAGTTTGGCTGTTTCATTTGTTATCCTACTCAAAAGCAACATGGAAAGGCAATGACTTTTTTAAAAAGGGAAACACCCTTCTGCTTGAACGGTGAATTCCCATACAGGTCTGAGTTCTTTCTTCGGGTGTACCCACTTAGATATTCACTTATTCAGTCATTCAACAATGTTTCTTAAGTCTTATTATATATCCCCACACTATGCAGGCACTGGTGCACATATAAAGAGATGGCCTGAGACTGGGTCAGAGGGGAGGGCAGACATGGAAATAAATCCTTCTAATAACAGTAAACCTGAATGGCACTAGGAACCCAAAAAAGGGAGTGCCTTTCCCAAAAATATACAAAGCTCCATTTGGAAATGTTTATGTCCATACAAAATTCGTAAACACACAAAAAAGTCGTGAATCTCAAGCTTCAGCACAGATCACTAACAAAACAGCAGTAAGAAAAAATTTAACAACATTGATCACAAATCATAAGACTATAAATATGAGGACCAGCACATAGCCCTTTCAAATATTGGTAAATAAAAATCACATTCATCATTAAAGTTTATATTATGAAAGGACAAATTTTAGGCAGAGAAATTGGTACAGTAGAAGCTGTGAGTTCTAATTCTAGCTATCAAAACATTTATTTTCATTTTTTTCATGGCCCTAACCTGAAGCCCACCAAAACATTTTCAAGAAAGAAAAGAAAGAAAGAAAGAAAGAAAGGAAGAAAGAAAGAAAGAAAGAAAGAAAGAAAGAAAGAAAGAAAGAAAGAAAGAAAGAAAGAAAGAAAAAGAAAAACAGGTAGTATTTTCAGAGTGGCTATTTAAGAAGAGACCACTAATGGAAAAGCACTTGGAAAAAAAACATCAATTTTTAAAAATTCTTTCAAAATAGTGAAAATATTTTGTAACCACTAATCTCAAAGACCACTAAAAACAAGTAAAAGATGAACCAAAACATCTCTGGAGGAATACTAACTGAACACTAAGCAGAAATAAAATGGCTTAACTGTCAAAGTACAACACAACAATGAAAACAAAATGTTTAGCTGCACCTAGATGCTCATCTTAGAGGCTTCTTTCAAATATTCTTACTTTACCATTTGCAACTTGCAAAAAGTAAGTCATCAATACTCTTTAAGAAGAGTTAACTAGGGTGTGACTTTTCTGAAACCATCCTTGACCTTACAAACAAACCATTAACCTTGCCAACTTTGTAAGATAACCCATAATTCGTTCAGTAAGACAAAAATGTGTTTCTCTTTCTAGTATCAGTTCTTTTAATAGCAATCCACCCCCTTAAAGTGCAGCACTCATTATCTTTCCATTTCTGCTAGTAAAAATTAAACCTAGGTTACTAATATCTTCTTATCACGTGGTGTCATCCTTCTACTTTTAGAAAAATACTCAGTTTCACTGCAAATATGACCGACAGTAAGTGGAACTAAAGGTCAACATGCAGCCTTTACAAGAAATTTGTCTCTTAGGAAGTATCATCAAAATGGAACAGGTGTACACTGTGGAATTGGCTAATCTTTGGGAAGGCTTAAAACCAGGTACTCATTTTGATAGGCTGGTGACAAAATCAAAGTTCTCTCTGGAGGAAAGGAGCTGATCCCCCACCTCACCCCCAGCTACAAATCAGCAAAGAAATTTTAAACCCTGTACATAAAGCTTTATTACTCTAACCATATTAAGTACTTTTGAGTTAATTTTATAATAGCTCTCTAAAATACACAGAAATATACAAAGAAAATAAGCAAATTCATTGACTGTTATATAATATCAATAAATATATCTTATACACTGAAATAATTACTAACACTTTCATTTGCAATTAAATAAACTGTTAGCAAAAGCATATTCTATACATCAATTATTATCAAATTAACAGGTCTCTGTATTCATTAACTCTTATATTCCATCCTGTTCATTTTACTTTTCAGTTTATAATGCATTCACAGTTACATAATTAAAACACTGAGGATTCTGTGACACATTCATTAAACTTAATAGTGTAATCATAAATCGCGGCCAAAAGCTTCTGCCGTAATAACCAATACTATATTTTGAAATGACTGGGAAAATAAACTTTGCAAAAGGGTCATTTCTACCTCTATAGTGTCAATCCAGCATTACAGGATTTGAGAAAATAAAACAACTAACAACCCTAAATTGTAGGTTGGCTCTTCGGAAAAAAAAAAAAAAGGAAAATGAGTCTAGTAACATCAGAAATATGCAAGAATTGTTCTTTCAGCTAGGAGCGGCAAGCACACTGTAAAATGCCTCCATTCTTCCTGCTCAAATAAAAAGTTCCCAGCTCCAGCTTTACCTGTGCACCACACACACACAAACACACACACACACACACACACACACGGAAATCTTGGTTCCACCCAAATCAGTAACCCACTGGGTTGAAAACTGAGGTGGAAGGAGAGGCAGGGAGTCCCTAAGCGTGTGGAACACTAGCAAGGGGAAAAGGACGGGGCCATCATTCCCTTCGCGTTCCCATCTCCTTTCTGGCGGAGACCTGCAGATTCCACCACTAGAGAGAGTTTGGCAGCTTCACAATGGGGCCGCGTTGCTGGAGGTCTGACTGCCACCCGCCTCGAAACCCCTCTCCTCCGCTTCCCACCTGCCCCAAAGTCCACCCGCGACAGGTGGGGCGAGGGTGGCAATGCCCGACATCTGCCGCTTAAGCTTCTGGCTCGGACCGGGCCCCAATCCACACGCGCACACACGGCCACAGCCGGCCAGTCCACCCCCACTGCACCGGCAGACACTCGGAGGGCGCGGGCGGCCTCGCACGCGGGTTGCAACCAGGACGAGGAGGGTCGGCGAGATCAGACCGCCGGGGCTCGCCCTGAGGTGCTATCTGACCCGGGCAGTCGCACCCTGAGCGCGGCCGGGCACGCAGCCAAAGGTGCCGCCGGCCGGGGAAAGCTACTTCTCAAAGGGGCCTCCAGGCCCGCTGCCCCGCGGTGCGGGAACAGCGGCCAAGGGAGGGAGCGAGCGAGCGTGCGCGCCAACGCGCCCCGACTTCCGCACCGCGGCACCGCGGGAGAGGCGCTCCGGGTCGCCGAGTCCCCGCACCTCCCCAGCGAGCGCACGACGCGCGCACACGGGGGCGCACGCCCCCGCACACTCACACGCGCTGCACACTCACGGCGTCTGCGGCCCCACCCCTGTGCCAGGGAACCGCAAGCTCCCCGCACCCCGCGCGGGCCCCACCCAGTTTACCAGACCCCAGTCCCCTTCGGGTGCCTGGGAACCGGTCCACCAAGGCCAAGGGACGCTGGGGCCGCCCCGCCGCCCATCGCAGAAGCTGGTCCGGCCGGGTTTCCCCAGCACCGCGGGCATCGTGCGCCCGGCCCAGACACGAGGCGGAGAGGAAGGGGCGGCGCCGCGATTAGGGCTGGCACTGGGGATCGGAGCCTGGGGCAAACCCACTCCCCCAAGCCCCCCATAACCACCACCTTTTCTGCAGCACAAAAGGTTACAGACGGAGCCGTCGTCCCCGTGCAACCTACCGATGGCCCAGGGCTCCGCTGCCTCCGCCGTGCCCGGGGCTGCGGAGCGGGAGACAGGGGCGGGAGAGGCGCAGGACTGCGGCGCCGAGATCCAGGCAGAGGCCGCCAGCCGAGCCAGCCGGGTACCCTCTCCTCTCCCACCGCGCTCGGCGCCAGCTACCGCCCTGCTTAGTCCCCGCCCCCTCCTCCGCCTCCTCCTCCGCCTCCTCCTCCGCCCGCCTTCCCGCCTCCTCCCTCTGGCTGCAGAGGCGCAGCCCGTCAGCGCTGAGCCCGCCTCCTGCGCCCAGCTCTCAGACACCCGGAGGAAGGGCGGGCCGGCTGGCTGCAGAAAGGCGCTAAGAGGCCAGAAGAAGTTGGCGGGGGTGGGCGGGGTTGTTGACTGGTGGTGGGGAGGAGGAGTCGCAACACCCGCTCTCTAGTCTAAACCCAGCACTCCAACTAAAGAGCTCCAACTTGCGGACCTGGGAACACTCCGGCTTCCTCAGTTAAGTGGTGTGCTGATATTTGTCACTTGTGAGTCTCTGCTTAAAGGGCTCAGCACTAAGCAAAAGTACAGAAAACTAGAAGGCCATGAAATTAAAAATTATAGGATCAGTCTACGAAAACTCGTAATACCCAGTGAAGGTGGCGGGGTGGGGCGGGGGGGGGAGTTCAAATTCAGATTCTGATTGGATTAACTATTTTTTAATTTGCACAAATGTTGATCTTGTCTATTATTGTAATAAATTATTTTCTTTGATGAAGATTTGCTTCTCTCAATTCATGTACATTTCTGCCGAACTGGTTAAGCTCAGCAATAAGAATATTTACTGGCATGCATATCCAAATTTACATCTCTCAATAACCATTCTGTGAGGAAGTAACCAATTATGATCCACATTTTAAAAATGCAGAAAGTTTAGGTCATATGCCTACTGAGTGGCTAAGGCTGAATGTGTACGCAGTCGGTGAACCCCAAAATTGTTTATAAGTGTTATAAATTTCGGTACCAGTGTCCAATCAAGAGAGTTTTATTTTTTAAAAGACAAAATGCTTTATCTTAACATAAAAGACATAAATCTGGAGTAGATTAATATAAGTTTAAACGAGTCTTGATTCACACTTGTTCCAGAATCTACATATGTTCCTGATAATATAAAGGCAAAAAATATATAAACACCTCTAGTCCAACAGAACCACTCCCGGAGGCCGCTCAGCTATAAGCCATTTTATGCTACTGCTTATGTGCCCTAAAATAAGTAAAGGAAGGTAGAGGGAAGAATAAGTTTTAAGGAATGTTCCCTAAACAATTTTACAAAACATCAGTTACTTTTTTTCCCGACATAGATTTGCATGTAATTTCAAAAATATAGAAGCTAGCACAACATAATATGAATAAATAAATGAAGAAACTTTTTTTGCATCAGTACATTAGGAGAATACACCGAGAATTATTTCCGATTATAATCTGTTTGACACAATAGTGTATTGTCCTGATGATCATTCTCATAAAACCACCTCCAAAACATTGTATATTTTATATTAAGAGACTTAATTTCATTTCTTCCTGTCTGAAATCTTATAACTTTTTCAGAAGAATGTCTTGTACTTGCCCTTTGCGCTGAGAGTTTGGCAGTGTGCTTTGGCCAAAAGCAATAAAGTTCCCCTCTTAGTTTATTAGGCTCAAGGCTAGCTCTCTTGAGGGCATTGTCTCCAAATTGCCTCCCTCCCTGGGTGGTGTTCTATGCTCCCATCCTAACCCTGAATCTTCACCCAATCAGAACCTAAGTCAGTTCTTGAGTGTCACAAAGAACACCTAATAAACCAATTCACCATGCAGTAATGGTTGATAATAGCTTTATGTGTGGCTCCATCAAGGATATGTTTATGCCACCTAGAGATACTGACTGGGTATTGTCTTCACTCGGATTGGATGTGGGTTGCAAGTGCCGTGGCTGAGGGGCATATAAGAGGTGCAAGTTAATGCAGAATCCCTTCCCAGAGCTTTTTAGTGTTTTAGGAAGATCTCTTCAACCTATAAAGAAAAATGGCATTCATATAAAGGGTTAGGCCCAAATGTAGAATAGACCCAGAGCCCTGAAAGGCCTTCTGAATTTGGGGACTCAGAAGCTCCATCTCACACACTCCTTGTGTAAGTTATGTCTTTGCCTCAAGGCATCCTTTCCAGAAAATCCCTTTAAAATGACTTTAAAATGTCAGCTGCCTGGGAAATATTATACTACGTTGATGTAAATGATGTCGGCTAGCAAACAACCAGCTTGAGAGAACAGAATAGGTGAATTTGATAACAACATAATGATGTAAAACAGAATCTACAAAGACAGGTGTGCAAGAAATACCACATTACCTTCTTTTCTATAAACTCATTTGTTTCAAGCAGGGTCTAACCAGGAAAACAGAAACCATTTTGAGTATCTACAGAAGTAATTGAATGCAAGAAATTGGTAACGTAGGTGATAGGAAAAGTCAGAAGCTAATCAGGAGATGGCACAGTAATCCAGAAACTAGCAACTGCGACCTCTAGCTGGAGAAATAAGAGAAGAGGCAGGGTTATTGGAGTCCAGGGCCCAGGCAGCATGGCCAGCCTGGTGAGAGCTGCGGCCATAGAGGAGAAACAACCACTGCCAAAGAAGCAATCTAGGGAGGGAGAAGGGGGAAATGTACTATACGTTCTCCTCTCCTGCCCTCCAATCTCCTTCCAGTGCCTTGCATTGGCCAAGTCTGATACACCTGCCATGGGAGCCAGGGAAACAGCCTACGGGGATCAGCCCTTTGAGACACTGAGGAGACTAGGAGAAGAACATAGAACGTGAATCTGCACTTGATTTTATTTCTCTTTAAAGGCCTTACTCTTTTGTAAAGTTCTTCCCTCATTCCCTCGAGCAGGGTCAAAGTTCCAAGAGCATATGCCAGACCAGACCATGAATGGGTGATGATGGCAGGGAGTGGAGGGGAGGTCCTTCGGATTGCAGTCATCTGTCCACAGAGGTTTCCTTTGTTCCTTCCTGGAGCTGCCACCTATGGTTCCATGATACAGTGCACAACCTGCCTATAGACGAGACGGCCCTGCCCTATACACTGGTTCCCTCCCTTTGGCTCCGGCACCACACCTGAGGCCAGAGGAATTTCCTAGATCTGGGACCATCCTGCTAAGCCTCACACATCCTCGGTCATTTATGTTTAGGGTATTATGGTGGTCCAAGTTCAGGGCTCAAATCCCACTGCCTTGGGACATACTGACTTCTATCCTCTTCTTTCCAGATACAAGGGAATCACTTCTTAAGGAAAATCCTTCCTCTTCATTTTTTTTTTCCCAGACACTCTGCCATTGCCAGCAAACTCTATTCTGTCTCTGGGGGCTCAGGTTGTTTTCAGTAAGAGCCAGAATGAAAAAATGATCTGCAGGCAACTCCTCTCTACCCTGCCACATCTCTCCCGAAGGCAACAAGGGGGTAAATACAAGTTGGAAAAAAAATCATAAATTAGTATCTCAAAATATTATCCAGCCATAGAAGTAAGAGACGGTTAGTATTGTGGACCAAGCTGAGGAGGAGAAAGGTGGAAGGAGCTTACTTTGGAATATGTTGAATTTGGTGACTCTGTGGCACATCCTCATGGAGGTGTCAAGCAGAAGGCCAGATATGTGGAGTGGGCGCTCAGGAGGGAAATTCAGGCTGCCCTTCAGCTCTTGCTAGACCACTTCTAACTCCACACTCACATTCTGCTTATTCATTATTTAAGCCTGTACATAATTGTTTCCTGTGGAGCATTCTTCTCCACCCCTCCCTCTCAGTCTAATTCTTTGCCATTCCTCAGATTTCATGTAGATGTCACCACCTCTAAGAAGAGTTTTCTGATTCCTACTGATATTTCTCATTTCCCTGGCCTAATACCACACAGTGCTGAAATATACTATCTCCCCCTCTAAACTATACATTCCCTGAGGTCTCAGACTATGTCTAACCCCCAAAGAAAGCCCAGAGACTGACATATAACAGGTGCTCAGTAAATATTTAGCCTATTTTTACTGCGAGGAGTGGGAGAAGAACCTGTAGTAAGGTCTGCTGAAGCCAGCTTGTATCTTGTATCTGGCTCAGAAGTACTGATTGCTAAATTTTCAGGAACTTTGCAAACTGGTTGTTAAATCATCAGTAGCTTGAAATCAGCTATGGTAGGAGTATTTACACCATAGAAATTGGCAAATTCTATAAACAGGGCTTCCCATTTCTCTCTAATCTCCCCACCCCCCAGAAAGCCAGTTTACCAGCATACCATTTGATAATCTTCAAAGGGCCCCTCCTGTGTGCGGAGGAGGACAGCAGTTCAGAGAATTAAAATCTGTGCTTTTAGAAATATTCTTTCATAGAAAGAAAATGTAATTAAATTCCATAATTTGCATAGAAAAGCCTATTTAACTCAATTATATCAATAAAAAAAGAAGATAGAAAATAGAGGAAACAAAAATATAACAGCATTATAAACAACAGAGAAATCACTTCTCAGTTCCAGCTTGCTGTGGGACCTCCGGTTGGTCACTAAATTATAAGCTTCTTAAGAAACTTGAGTTGTGTTTATACGTGTATCCTTTACAATATCTAGACTGGCACAGAACAGGTACTCATAAACTACCACTTGAATCTGGGCAAATTAAACTTTACTTCTGTTGGCCTCAGCCCCTTCATTCATAAATTAAGAGGTGAGAGAAATGGTTTTCAAGAGGGCCCAAGTAGCACCCCCTTTCCTGCCCCATTCCAAACAAATTGAGAAATAAAAGGCATAAAGGTGGCGCCAATTGTTTCTGTAACATTGGAGGACATAGTTTAATGTACAATTACAGTGGTTCTATTTTTTAAATCCCATAATTAGACTGATATACCTACCCAATAAGAGGCAAAACCGGGCCAGGCAGGCCTCCTCACATCAAAGCCTGCCAAGGTAAGACTTAGGTTTTAAGGAACAGAGAACACCTACTCCCACGCAGGCACTTTATTGCCAAGAAGGTAATGAAAACAGCTAGGTTGAGCATGCCCAGTTTAATTCTCCAATGAGATACTCTCCTCCTGCCTTGGGAAGGATATAGTGGAAAGGAGGTAGATCAGGTATGTAATTACCAGTGATACTTTCTCCATTAAGAATGAAACATTAGGAGTGAGGAAGAAGTCCTCCCCCTAACAATAGTCTTCAAGGTCCCTTCCAATTCTTATTTTTTAAGACATACTATGTGCCACACCTGTGTTAGAGTCTGGGAACCCATAGACAAGAGAAGATACAATCCTGTACTCAAGGACTTTAAGACTAAGTGAATAGGCAGACAAGTAATTATGCAATTACAATGTGATGTCACAATATTTCATGATTCTCTGAAGACAATTCTATGGGAAATTGAAGTCTAAGATGTCAAACAATTGATGCACAAACTTAATCAAGGTATACCAAGACCTCTGGCTTCTTCCCAGAAAGCTGCTAAATATCAGCAAGGACATGGCTAGAGATCTTGATTCTCGCTTTTTTTGATGTTTCTATGAAAGAACCAAGAGAGATTTCTTCAGCAGACAGTGTTTCCAATGAGGTAAGAAAATTACATTTGTATATCAGCCTTGGCCTATGATTTCTTTCTTGGGAAAAGCTAAAAAAAACAAGTCAGTACCCCTCACCCTCAAACTTACCTTCTGCAATTCATAAACACACACACACACACACACACACACACACACACACACCATCCTATACAGACATTAGCCAACTCAGGTCTACAAAAGCTGGGCAGGCAGTAAAGACTGGGCACCAACCCTTGTCCATGAGCCGAACCAATTCAGGATTCTAGAACCATTTAGAGAATCGAAGAATTTTTCCTTCAGGCAGAAGCCTAGAACAGTTAACATCAGGATATTCCTTGTCATAGCATGAGATGGGAATAGAGACCAGGCTCTATCTGTAGGAGTCCTGTAACTTCCATTTTATTGCCATAAAATAGAAACAGAATATGGTAATTTCAGTGGCTCTCAAAAAAGCCCCCTGTATTGCTAACTTGCTATACTGCATATAGCTGTGTGTAATATTCTGTAAATTTTTATTGAAATCACTGCAACAAAATAACACATGCAAGGTTATTCATTACATTATTATAAGAGAAACAACTTAAAATTCGTTAATTGGAAACTGATTAAAGAAATAATGATACAACTACTTAATAAAATATCATGCAAATATTTTAAAATGAAGAGGCTTTTTATAAACTGATACAAAGTGATCTCTAAAATATAATAGTAAATAAAAGTATGATGTAGAGCAAAGCGTTTTGCATGCTATAATTGTACAAAAAATGTGATGAAAAGAGTTCAATATGTCGAAATTAAATGGGGAGACTTCTCCTGGAAAGGAGTAGATATACTTTTCCCTATTCCTCCTGCAAAGTACAACCAAGAGTTGAGAAAATTGAGTTTATAATTTTAAAACTTCCAGAAAAGCAATTTCTGGGCCTAGATGGTTTCATTGAAGAATTCTACCATACATTTAAAAAAGAATTAACACCAATTCTGCACAATCTCTTCCAGAAAATACAAGATGCATGAACACTTCCCAGGTCATTTTATTAAGCTAGTCTTATTCTGATACCAAAACCACAAAAAGAGAAAAATCTAAAGAACATTATTTCTTGTGAGTGTAGAGGCAAAACGCCTCACAAAATATCAGCAAACAGAATTCAGCAATAAATAAAAAAGAAATATACATTATGACCAGGTGAAGTTTATTTCAGGAATCCAAGGGTGGGTCAATATTCAAAAGTCATTCATTGTTACCCACCATAGTTGCAGACTAAAGAAGAAAAACTACATGATCTTATAATTTACAGAAAAGCATTTAACAAAATTCAACACCCATTCATGATTTTTTAAAAACTCATAGAAAAATGAGAATGAAGAGGAAGTTCCTCAATTTCATAAAGAGTATCAACAAAAATCCTCAGCAGACATTATATTTAATGGTGAAAGAGTGTTTTCCCCCTAAGATTCCAGAAAAAAACGAAGTTGTTTGTTCTCACCACTCTTATTCAGCATAGTGTTGGAAGTTCTAGCCAGTACAGTGAACAATAAAGCAAGAAAATGAAATACAAGGCATACAGATTGGAATGGAAGAATAAAACTGCCACTGCTTGCAGATGATACGATAGTCTATATGAAAATCCCAAGGAATCTAAAAAAAAAAGTAAATAAAAATAAAAAAACATAAAAATACCTAAAACTAAAGTGAGTTCTGCAAAGTTACAAGAGACAAGGTAAACATACAACAATCTAATTATGATAAAAATGATTATCATTTATAATCACTCAAAAAAAGATAAATAGGCTGGACACTGTTGCTCATGCCTGTAATCGCAACACTTTGGGAGGCCATGGTGGGAGGATTGCCTGAGCTCAAGAGTTCGAGAACAACTAAAAATCAAAAAAATTAGCTGAGCATGGTGGTGTGCACCTATAGTCCCAGCTACTTAGGATGCTGAGGCAGGAAGATTCCTTGAGCCAGAGAAATGAAGGCTGCAATGAGCTATGATCACACCACTGCACTGTAGGCTGGGCAACAGAGTGAGACTTTGTCTCAAAATAAATAAATAAATACTCAGGTGTAAATCTAATCAAAGATGTACAAGATTTGTGTGCTGAAAACTACAAAACCTGGATTAAAGAAATAAAAGAAGATCTAAATCTAAATAAATTGGGAGATATGTCATGTTCATGGATTGGAGACTCATTTAGTAAAAACATCAGTTCCATAATTTATATAGAAAGGCACAATTCCTATAATGGCTAAAATAATCTTGGCAAAGGAAAATAAAGTGAGAGGAGTCAGTCTACCCTATTTCAAGACTTACATACCTATCATAACTAGGTGTTAATAGAGGAATAGACATATAGATAAAGGAAAGAAAATAGAGAACACAGACTCATGCAAATATGAAAAATTGCTTTTTGACACAGGTGCAAAAGCAATTCAATGGAGGAAAGATAGACTTTGCAACAAATAGTGCTAGAAGAACTAGAAATCTATAGGCAAAAAAAAAAATTGAACCTTAACCCAAGTCTTACACCTTATAACAAAAATTAACTCAAAATGAACCAAGAACTTAAATTTAAAATATAAAACTATAAAATTTTAGGGAAAAAATAGAAAACCTTGGGATCTAGGGCTAGACAAACCGTTCTTAAACATAACACAAAAAGCATGATTCATAAAAGGAAAAATTGATAAATTGGACTTCATAAAAAATAAAAATCATTTGCTTTACTAAAGACCCTGTTAAGAGAATAAAAAGACAAGCTAAGCTAAGGGCAAGGCATAGTATCTCACGCCTTTAATCCAAGTGCTTTGGGAGGCTGAGGCAGGAGGTTCACATGAGACCAGGAGTTCAATACCAGCCTGGGCAACATTGCAAGACTCCATTTCTACAAAAAAAAAAAAGAAAGAAAAATTAACCGGACATGGTGGGATATGCCTGTAGTCCTAGCTACTGATGAGGCTGAGGTGGGAGGACTGTTTGACTCCAGGAGTTCAAAGCTGAAGCGAGTTATAATTTTGCCACTGCATTCCAGCTGGGAAACAGAGTGAGATCTGGTCTCTTAAAAAAAAAAAAAAAAGACAATCTGACTGAGAGAAAACATTTGCAGAACACATATTAAACAAAGTAGTAGTATCTAGAATTTATAATTAATGGCTTCAAATTCAAGTTAAAAAAGCAAATAATACAACTTGAAAATGAGGCAAAGATACAAGGAGATTTCATCAAAGAAGATAGATCAATGGCAAATAAGCATATGAAAAGATTTTCAAGATCATCAGCCATTAAGGAAATGCAAAGTAAAACCACAATGAGATACCACTATACAACTATCATAATGGCTAAAATAATAAAAATAATGACAACAACAAATGCTGATGAGGATGTGGAGAAACTGAATCACTCATACATTGCTAGTAAGAATATAAAATTGTTCAGCCACTCTGGAAGATACTTTAGACAAGCAATCTGGAAAAAAATTAATATGCAACCACATACAACCTAGCAATCACACCCTTGATCATTTTTCCTAGGGAAAGAAAAACTTAAATTCACCCAACAACCTGTACACAAATGCTTAGAACATTTAGCCTTATTCATAATATACAAAAATTGGGAAAAAAACAGATGTCTTTCAACAAGTGAATGACTAAACTATGGTGCATACACACCATGGAATACTGCTCAGCAATTTAAGAAAACAAACTATACATGTAACAACCTGGATGAATCTCCAGTGAATTACAGTGAAAGAAAAAACCCCAATCTTGCAAGGCTAAAAACTGTATGATTTCATTATAACATTATTCCATTATAACATTATAGCATCACTGAAATGACAAAATTATAGAAATGCAGAACAGATTAGTGTTTGCCAGGGTTTAAGAAGGGAGTAGGGGTGGAAAGGAAGTGGATGTGGCTATAATAGGGCAACATGTGGGATTCTTGTGATTCCATAAATATTCTGTGTCTTGGCTGTATCAATGTTAATATCCTGGTTGTGATGTTGTACTATGATTTTGATATTGTACCATAATATTAACACAGTATCATATAGTCCTATACTATAAGTTACCTTTGGGGGAAGCTGGGTAAAGGGTATATAGAATCCTATTATTTCCTGTAACTGTATGTGAATATACAGTTATCTCAAAATAAAATGTTTTTTAAAACTGAAGAAAGATAAAAGCAACACATATGCGTATTTAGAACATATCTCTAGAAGCATAACCAAAAAATGGACAATATAATTTTTTGTTTTTTTTTAATCGAGCTGGAAGTGACAGAGGCTGTTGGAAAGGATTTGGGGGTTTACCATGTCTCCACAAAATCTAAGAAGGAGGTGATGTGGTACAACAGGAAATAGGCACAGATGGCCATTGACTTTTAAAAAATATTTTTCTTCCATCTTTTGTTTTAGATTCAGAGGGTACATGTGCAGATTTGTTATATGGGTAAATTGCGTGTCGCTGGGGTTTGGTGTACAAATGATTCTGTCACCCAGGTAGTGAGCATAATACCTAATAGGTAGGTTTTCAATCCTCACCTTTCTCCAACCCTCCACCTTCAAATAGCCCCCGGATCTATTGTCCCACTCTTCGTGTCCATGTGTACTCAATGTTTACTCACTTCTAAGTGAAAACACAAGGTATTTGATTTTCCATTCCTGTATTAATTTATTTAGGATGATGGCCTCCAGCTGCATCCATGTTGCTACAAAGGACATGATTTCATTCTTTTAATGGCTGTGTAGTATTCCGTGGTGTATATGTACTGTGTATTCTTTATGCAGTCTACCATTAATGGGCATCTAGGCTGATTCCATGTCTTTGCTATTGCAAAAAGTGCTATGATGAACATACATACGATTGTGACTTTATGGCAGAATGATTTATATTCCTTTGGATGTATACCCAGTAATGGGATTGCTGGGCCAAATGGTAGTTCTAAGTTCTTTGAAAAATCTCCAAACTGTTTCTGCAGTGGCTAAAATAATTTACATTCCCACCAGCAGTGTGTAAGCATTCTCTTTTCTTCCCAACCTTGCCAGCATCTGTTATTTTTCAACTTTTTAACAATAGCCATTCTGACTGGTATGAGATGGTATAGAAGAATCAATATTCTTAAAATGGCCATACTGTCCAAAGCAATTTACAAATTCAATGCTGTTCCTATGAAACTACCGATGTTATTTTTCACAGAATTAGAGAAGACTATTCTAAAATATATGTGGAATCAAAATGAGCCCAAATCACCAAAGCAATCCTAGGCAAAAAGAACAAAGCCAGAGGCATCACACAACCCAACTTCAAACTATACTATAAGGCTACAGTAACCAAAACAGCATGATAGTGGTACAAAAACAAATACATAGACCAATGGAAACAGGTTAGAGATCCCAGAAATAAAGCCACACACCTACAATCACCTAATCATCAACAAAATCAACAATAAGAAGCAATGGTGGAAGGACTCCTTATTCAGTAAATAGTGCTGGGATCATTGGCTAGCCATATGCAGAAGATTGAAACTGGACTCCTTCCTTTCACCATATACAAAAATCCATGCAAAATGGATTAACTACTTAAACATAAAACCTAAAATTACAAAAACCCTAGAAGAAAACCTAGGAAATACCATTCTGGACATAGGCCTTGGTAAAGATTTCATGATGAAGACTCCAAAAGCAATTTGCAACAAAAACAAAAATTGACCAATGGGACCTACCTAAACTAAAGAGCTTCTGCACAGCCAAAGAAACTATCAACAGAGTAAACAGGCAACCTACAGAACAGGAGAAAATATTTGCAAACTATGCATCCAACAAATACATAATATCCAGAATCTAAAAGGAGACCTAATAAATTAACAAGCAAAAAACAACCCCATTAAAAAGTGGGCAAAGGACATGAACAGACACTTTGCAAAAGAAGACATACGCATGGCCAACAAGCACATGAAAAAATGCTCAACATCACTCATCATTAGAGAAATGCAAATCAAAACCACAATGAGAAGTGGAAAATATTAGTTATCTTTAGGGAGAAACAGCTGATGGCCTGGGGACAGGGTTGGGAGGTAAACTTTTCATTATACATTCTTTTGTATGTTTTGAATTTTGATTATGTAAAATAAATGCCCATTTTAAAAAATTAAAATTTTAAATGTCAATGAAACATTCTCAACCAAAGCTTGAGACTTTCCAATTGCTAACAGTCTTGATTAATCTGTTAACTTTCTAGTCAGAAATTATATGAAGTTTTTTAGCTTTCTAATAATGAAGCTACTACAGTATTGCAACTTGTTACTCTTCCCAAGCACTTAGCCAAAACCTTTATCTTTTGAAATTATGATTTCAAAAGATCTCTATACTCATCTCTATACTCATTCTTTTCCTGAAAAAAGGAAGTTAACAGAAAAAAAAAGCTTTGTTCCTATTGCTGTAAAATATTTGCACATTTATGGGTCAGTTGAAGCAGCCTTGACATCTTATCATGTCACTCAATTACTTTACAAGATACAATGTGATACAAATCTCAGATGATAGCATGGACTTTGAAAGCATACAATCTAGGATTTCTAGACATGTGACATTGTTCAAATTATCTGACCTATCTAACACTGTTTCCTTATCTAGAAAACTAATATTCATTTTTCCAGATTGCTTTCAGTATTAATATAACTTATATACCTGAAATGTGGGAGAGGCTTAAGGAGAGCTAAAATTATAGAAAGCAAAAGGCTTAGTTCTAAAAAACAGAGACCCACCAAGACAACTAATAGTGGGAAGGCTTTATGGACACATACGTCAGAAAACAAGGGCACCTGTGAGGTAAGCTAGGGAGAACAGACATGGCTCTATACAGCAATGTAAAGTGTGTCCCATCTTTCCATATTATACTGCAGTTAAGAAATAGTTTATGTTCCTTAACATGAATTTAGACTAGAGAAACAAACATATTTAGGGTACAATTTAAAAGGGTTTTCCCCTCTCTGTTGTAGTGAATTTTCTTTAATAACTCCAAATTCTTCAGGGAAAACTTCCACCCACACAGCAGTGATGACTGCTGGTGCTCTGAGGGAATTACGGCACATAGTAATAAAAGATGTATAGAATTTCTACATCAGCAACGTGAAGTCCAGCCCAGCACCCTAGTATGGAGAACAGATGGAGTTCCAGAAGGTAGAAGCCCATACCGGAACTGGGGGCAGTGGAGGGGATGCCATGTGGAAAATTGGTTGCCAAACTGAGGCCTCAGAAATGAATGTGAAATAAACCTTCTCCTTCACAAATATTGTAGAGAGAGTAGAGCCTATGAAGTTGGAGGAGGTTGCCACACGGATTATACTCAGTAGACACAAAGCATCTCAACTTACTACAGGAAAACCACCTTTAATGAAAGCAACCACAGTTCCCACATTCACCTCTCCCCTTCTTTTCTTGGGTGCTTTCATTAATTGCAAGTAAACTTTCAAAGTCAGAGAACTATCAGCCGTATAGCCACCTAACGAAATAAGACAACAAATAAATGTGAATTCATTTTAACAAGTGAATGCCTATTAAATCAGTAGATCAACACTGGCAAAATGCTGTATCTATAGTGCTCCCACTTTAATTGAGGATGGCACCAACAGAGCCCCAGTTCCTCAAGACATCAAGTGAGTGTACATAAAACCAAACTTATGAACATATAAGTGACATTTCCTTAATATTTCATATTTCCATATTGCTTCAACAGCCACATGTTAGATGTGTTTCTGAAATAATGTTGGTAAAGAAGAATTATTCAAAATAAATATTTTACCATAAGTTTCCAGTTGCTATTTAAAACTCCCCACAATAACATATAATAACTTGAACATTCACGTCTCAAAGTATTCTGCCTTTGTCAATGCATAATTTACATGCACTAAAGTTCAAACTATAATTTAGTTGAAAGGACAAACCCAGAACTTTCACATACACATTTAATAACAGTACACATAATGTACGCTACAAGGTGATTATCATATCTCAGACTTCTTCCAGTTCTGAGAGACTTTTATATTTAAGCGATCATCCTACCTAAGCTTTCAACAGAATTCATGACTAGAAGACTCACAGGGACATAATGGTACGGATCCTGATGTTCACTAATCTCAATCTCGCTACAGTTATTTATGAATAAGATAGTCGTATTACCTTCTTCTGTTACACGAGACAAAGGCTTGGAAGTGTTAAGAGGTATGCAATTAGGAAAGATGAACTAGTGTTCAAAATCACCTTGCAGTTTCTTTTCTCTCTCATCCTAGGCTACTGTTTGTGATTGTCTAAATAAAAGGATTCATCCACGCATTCCCTGGAAAAATTTACTACCCAAGTTCACACAGGACAAATTTGGAGTAGAAAATCCATTTAATTACTTCTCTTGGGAAATATCGCTTCTGGCAGAGAAACTAATGTGATATTAGAAGGCTGCTTATTCGGAATTTGTGTAAGAACTACACATACCACGTTGGGTTTGAGCAAATTATCAGGGTCTCTTTGTTGGCCCACTGGAGTCCTTTTTCCTGGGAAATGCTGAAGACAAGAGTCCTAAACTGTTCCCAAGCCCAGGTTTTCTCTCCTCCAAGTTACCCTTTCTGTTCTTTGAACATCTAAATATTTACTCAAAAAAGACTCCTTACTGTCTTACAGAGAGAGACTCTGTATTAACCTCTTTTAACATCTGACAGCTTCTAGCCTTTTAAGGAAGTGATACCTCCACCTATCACAATTTAGCAAGTTTAATCTATTATACAAGTTATCATGTTAACTACCATTAGCAAACAGTAGGACAACTGTGACTTCCTTACAAGGCATTGTGATTTTTGTACTATCACCTTACTGATTACTCTTGAAATGTAAGCCCATCTTTAATACTTAACATCCACAACATCCACAAGTTATAAAACTGCTTTTTGGTTCATGTGTTCTTCAGTAACAGTAAGTAAAAAACTGTCTTTAGAGACACTCTACATATTTTTCAACCCTTTTGTCATCACCAGGAAAACCTTTGCAAAATGAAAACCTTTGTTTCTCAGTGGTAAATCATCATAGACAGAAAGAGTTGGTTCTTGAAATCACACTGTGTGTGCTTTAGGTTGGTCCTTAACTCAAACCTGGTGTGTATTTGCGCATGTGTGTGTGTGTGTGTGTGTGTGTGTGTGTGTGTGTGTGTTGGGGGGGCTGGGCGAGAGAGAGAGAGAGAGACAGAGACAGAGAGAGACAGAACAAAACAGAAAGACAGACATAGAGAAACAGGCAGAGAGACAAAGAGACAAGAGATAGTGCTACATTCCTGGAGTGTAAACATCTTTTCTTCCTTTAACCTAGCGTAGCTTTATCATATCTCTTTAGTCACAGTTTTTGTTCTTGCCTTTCCGTTGCTGCAAATCCTGGACTGGCAATTTTCTTTCTTCCCACAACCTGGTCAGATACAGCCAATAGCTTTGTGGTCAGATTCTTTGCTCCCTGAAATCTCCTAACCCTCAAGATATTCAGCACAGGCCTGATAAGCATTGAATCACTGCTCAGCAATCCTCCAGGTCTTGTGAAAAGCATAGGTCTGGGACCATAGCTTTTTTTTCCTTTCTTTCATCCACAATATTATTCTGTGCTAGTACATAGTAAAGTGCTCAATAACTGTTGAGAGAAGGAAAGGAGGAGGGAAAGAAGGAAAGCGAGCACATTTGGCAAGTGATTTGACAAAAACCAAAAATCTGGGTACTTACATTTTAAGACATGGTATAAGAAAGTTGATAGAAAGAAAATTCTGATACTTAGGCAATCCGATCCAAAACTTTGCTGTTTTGTGTATTTGTGTGTGTGTGTGTGTGTGTGTGTGCGGTGTGTGAGAGACAGAGGGAAATACTAACACCAGTTCCGGGGTGGTGGTGATGATGATGATGATGATGATGAAAATGATAATTCTTTCTTAACTGAATTTTAATAGGAGTACCAAAAAATGAGAAGAGAACAAAAATTGTGGCTGGCTGTAATATACTACTTACCATCATCTACATGAACTGCTTGCTGTCTGAGCCAGGTTACTTTGCAATATAATTATCATGATAAACACACTTACATCTTCCATATCCCTCCTAAATGTGTTTCACAAGGTTCAATTTCCAGTCTTATGCTGTTTTTAAAACATATATTGTTTTTCTTGGAGATTTAAGAATCAACCATGATAGTGCCTCTCAAAGTTCCTTAAGTATACAAGTTTAGTAAATATTGAATGTTTGATGAACTAATTAAATATAAGCTCAAGGCTAAATGGTGATTTTGGAAATTACATATTTAGTATGCATATTTAGTGTAATCTTTCAAACTTAAATAGTAGAAACCTTCATTATTCTACCTCCTCTTTTTCATACTTCTTTCCTCTCCATTTTTTAAAGCTTACATCTTAACTTTACTATTAAAAAAATTAACTGTAATCCCAGCACTTTGGGAGGCTGAGGCGGGTGGATCACTTGAAGTCAGGAGTTCGAGACCAGGCTGGGTGACATGGTAAAATCCCATCTCTACTAAAAATACAAAAAATTAGCTAGGCATGGTGGGGCATGCCTGTAATCTCAGCTACTCAGAAGGCTGAGGCAGGAGAATCGCTTGAACACTGGAGGCGGAGTTGCAGTGAGCCGAGGTCTCACCATTGCACTCCAGCCTGGGCAACGAGAGTGAAACTCCGTCTCCAAAAAAATAAAAATAAAAATAAACTCTGCAGTGAGCTCAGTCCTCTGATAAACCAGAGTTTGTGAGTAATAACAGCATGATATTTAAATTATGAAAAAGTAGATAAGAGATAGGATTATTTTTTATTTCCTGATATTAAATCATTAAACTTGTCTTAGTCCATTTTATGTTGCTGTAACAGAATGCCTGAGACTTGATAGTTTATAAGAAAATAATTTTAGTTAGCTCATGGTTCTGTAGGCTGGGAAGTTCAAGAACATGGCTGTGGTTTCTGGTGAGGACTTTTGTGCTGCCTCATAACATGATGGAGAGGAAGCAAATATGTAGAAAGAGAGAATACTTGAGGGATGCCCTGGCTTATAACAAACCACTCTCTCAGGAACATTTCTGTGAGAACTAATCAGTCTTGTCAGATGGAGAACTCACTCACTACCAGGAAAATAGACACCAAGCCATTCATGGGGGATCTGCCTCCATGACCCAAACACCTTCCATTAGGCTCCATCTCCCAGCACCACCATATTGGGAATCAAATTTCAACATTAGTTTTGGTGGGGACAAACAACCCATATCCAAACTGTATCAGTGACTAACTTTATTTTTAGTTGTCTCTAATTAGTGTTACACAAATAATGCTAACTTCAATGACAAGATAATTTTGGAAATAGAATTTATTTTATTTAGCATTTTCAACTAGAGACTATACAAAGAGTGGTGATTTTCATAAATAGCAGCAACTTTCTGGCTATGGGATCAAAACCAACTTTTTTAAATATTGGAAGTTATTTTCATTAAAAGGCTTTTACATGAATATATAAATAATTTGAGAAACAAGATTGTGCATGGATTCATCTTTTAAAAATATTCCTTGAACAATAACTGTTTCATGTACCTTGTTAATAAATTAACTTTGAAATCTCTACCTTTTAGATACCATGAATAGATTCTTCAAAATAAATCTAATCCACTTAGATGGATATAAAATCCCTGTAATAATACTGTATGAATGTATATATACATATATGCAGTGGTCTTTTAACATTTTGGGCACCAGGGACTGGTTTTGTGGAAGACAATTTTTCCACAGATGAGGTGTGGTGGGGGGATGGTTTCGGGATGAAACCGTTCCACCTCAGACCATCAGGCATTAGTTAGATTCTCATAAAGAGTGTGCAACCTAGATCCCTATTATGTGCAGTTCACTATAGGGTTCTTGCTCCTATGAGAATCTAATGCTGCTGCTGATCTGACAGGAGGGGCAGCTCAGGTGGTAGTGCTTGCTTGCTGGCTGCTCACCTCCTGCTGTGTAGCCCAGTTTCTAACAGGAATACACATATCCAGGGGTTGAGGACACCTGCACATATGTATATTGAGTATATATAGAGGGAGAGAGAGAGAGGGACAGAGAGAGAGAGAGGTATGATTGTGGCTACTGTTCTTACTGTTTTTGTCATTGGGTTCCACGTGTAAGAAAGCCTTTTGACCAGGTATTTTTTTGTTTAGTCCAAACATGTATCAAAGGGAACCTATTATTTTTATATGTAATCAGAGATAAAATGTTTACTATATGCCATTGAAAGAAATTTTATATAAACTGGATTTATTTTCAACTAATATTTATTGAGTACCTAAGTATTGTTCTAAATATGTTTATATATGTCTTATATATATTATATAAAGAACTAAAAACAGTGCCTGACATTTTAAAAGAACACTTTGTGTCAGCTATTATTGTTTATTGATTTACTGAGGTACAACTAAAATATAATAAACTGTACTTATTTAAAAGTCCAACTTGATAAGTATGAACATATGTACACACTCCTTAAGCTGTCACAACAATCAAGATAATGAAGATATCTCTCAATCCCAAGAGTTGCCTCCTGTGTTTTTTTTCTCACAGCTCCCCATAATTCTCTGAACCACCAACAGCCTTTCCCCCAACCCATCCAGGCAACCAGTGATCTGCTTTCTCTCATTAGATTTGTTTTTATATTCTAAAATGTTATATAAATTAAATGATATAGTATGCATTCTTTTTCACCTGGCTTCTTACACTCACAATTATATGGAGACTAATTCATGTTATTGCATGTAGTTATAGTTTCTTCTATTTTAATACTAAATAGAATTCCATGGTATATCCATATCACAATTCACCTGCTTACAGACATTACAAATAAGGCTGCTACGAACACTCCTGTCCAAGTGTTTGTGTGTATATGCTTTTATTTATCTTGGGTGTTACCTAGGAGTAGAATGACTGTGTCAAATAACAGGTATATGTTTAATTTTTTAAAAAGCTGCCAAACTCTTTTCCAAAGTGGTTGTACCATTTTACATCCCCACCAGCAGTATATGAGGATTCTCGTTTTTTTTACTTCCTTGCCAGCACTTAGTATCATCAATATTTTTAATTTTAATAACTCTAGCAAGGATAGTGGTATTATATTGTGGCTTTAATTTACAGTCCCCTAATGACTAACGATGTTATGCACTTTTCATATGTTTATTTGCAATCCATACATCTCTTTAGTAAAGTATACATTGCAAACTTCTGCTTATTTTCAATTGTATTTGAGTGTTTTTAAAAAATATACTCTGGATATAAGCCCTGTATCAAATATATGATGTATAATCCTTCTCCTGGATCATAGATTGTCTTCATTTAGTTAATAGTTTCTTTGGAAAAGCAAAAGTTCTTAATCTCGATGAAACCCAGTTTAAATTTCAGAATCATCTTATTTCTATAAAATAGCCTCCTGTTATTTTGATTGGGATTGTGTCAGAGTTATAAAACATTTTGGGTATAACTAACATATTAATGATAGAGTCTTCCAAACCATGAGCATGGCATATCTCCCATTTATTTAGATCTTCTTTAATATCTCCTAGTGCTATTTGATTGCTTTCATGGTATAGGTCTTGAGCATTTTCTGTCAGATTTACCCTTAAGTAATTCATATTTTTTGTCTTGTGAGTTGTATATTTCAATGACAATTTCTAATTTTTTCTTGATAATTTATACAAATACAACTGCTTTTTAAAATACTGACCTGGTGTCCTGCCACCTTAGCAAACTCACTTTGCATTCTAGAAGAATTTTGTTGAGTACTTATAATTTTTTACTTAAAAAATAATTTTTTCTGCAAATAATTTTTATTTGTCCTTCCTGACATAGATTTTTTTTAAAATTTCCTTTTCTTGCCTTATTGCACTGGCTAGAATCTCTAGTAAAATGCTGAATAGAAATGATGCTAGTGAACATCTTTGGTTTGTTCCTAATTTTAGGGGGAAAATACTGTCTTTCACCAATAAATATAATGTTAACTGTAGGGTTTGTCATTCTTTATTAGATTGAGGAGGTTCTTTTCTAATCCCAGTTTTTGAGAGGTTTTATCATAAAGAGATGTTGAATTTTGTCTAATTCTTCTTCTGCATCTATTGAGATGATCATAATTTTTCTCCTTTAGTCTATTAATATGGCAATTTACAATGTTTGATTTTCAAATGTGATTCCAATCTTATATCCTGAGATAAACTCCATTTGCTCATTATATAGTGTCTTTTTTTAAAGTATTATTGGCTTTGATTTGCTAAAATTTTGTTTAAAATTTTGTATCTATGTTCATAAAGGATTTTGTATCTATGTTCATAGAGGATGATTTTCTTGTGTTGTATCAGAGTGGTTCTAGCCTCACAGAAAGAGCTGAAAAGTATACCCTTCTCTTTGGATTTCCAGATGACTTTGTATTGGTATTCTTTCTTTCTTAAATTTTAGATAAAATTTACCAGTGAAAATTTTTTATGGGAATATTTCAAGCTAAAAATTCAATTTTTAAAATAAATATAGTACTATGCAGGTGATCTATTTCTTCATGAGTGGCAAACTTTGGTAGTTTGTATCTCTCAAGGAATTTGTTCATTTCTTCCAAGTTGTCAAATGTATTGGCATTAAATTGTTCATAATAATTATCCTTTATTATTCTTTGAATATCTATAGGACATCTAAGTATGTACCTTTCTCCTTTCTGATATTTTTAATTTGTATTTTCATTCTTTTTATGCCAATTAGTATACATAAAAGTGTATCAATTTTGTTGATCTTCTCAAATAACCAGATTTTGGTTTCATTGATTTTCTCAATTGTTTTTCTGTTTTCTATTTCATTGATTTCAGCTCTGATCATTGCTATTTTCTTTTCTCTGCTTATTTTAGGTTTAACTTGCTCTTCTTTTTCCTAGTTACTTAAAGTGGAAGTTGGGATTACTGTTTTGAGGCTTTTATTCTTTTCTAACACAGACCTTGCCTTCTAAGCACTGCTTTAGCTGCATCTTACAGATTTTGAAATGTTGTATTTTCATATTTATTCCACTCAAAATACTTGCAAATTTTTCTTTTGATTTCCTTTTTAACTTGTGGGTTTTTAAAAGTGTGTTATTTTAATGTGCAAATATTGAAAAATTGACTAGAGATATTTTTGTTATTAATTTCTAACTTAATTCCACTGTGTTCAGAGAACATACTTCATATAATTTGAATCATTTAAAATTCATTGAAACTAGTTTTATGGCCCATAATATAGTCTATCTTAGTAAATGTTGCCTGTGCAAATTAAAAAGAATGTGGACTCTGTCCCTGTTGGGTGGAGTGTTCTATAAACATTGGTCAGGTCAAGTTGGTTGATGATAGTGTTTTTCAAGTCTTCTATGTCCTTACTGCTTACTGATTTTTTTGTCTTTTTTTTTCCTATCAATTTTTCTGTTTGATGTTTCCATATGGTTAAATTGAAGTGAAATACGATTGACTATGTGATGTTCTGTCTTCCTCAAGGTATCACATCTGGAGACACATCTGTCCTTCACTGATGATGGTAATTTTGATCATTAGGTCAAAGTGTTGCCCAATGTACCCATTCTAGAAGTACTGCTTTTTATTAATCTGCCTTGCAATTAATAAGCAATTTATGGGGAAGCACGTTAAGATCATGCAGATATCCTACTCCTCATCAACACTTCCTCCTGGATATAGCACCTGCTGATGATTCTCATCGTCTTCAAATAGCTCGGGGAAAAAAAGTATATATTTGCCTGCTCTTAACATTATGTGTTTGTATGTGTGTGTGTGTGTGTGTGTGTGTGTGTGTGTGTGTGTGTGTGAGAGAGAGAGAGAGAGAGAGCACTCAAATAGGATAAAATGTTAAGAGTAGGTGAATTTGGGTAAAGGTTAAGGAGTGTTTGTTCTTTATACTGTTTTTATTTTTGCAATATATTATATGTTTAAAATTCTTTCTGTATAAATTAATCACAAAATTTATTGCAAATGTTAATTCACCTTTAAATAATACATATATGCTTTAAATATATCTTTAAAATATGTATAGTAGATATTATATAATAAATATATTATACATAATAAATTATATATAATTTAATTTATTTTAAAATATATAATATAAATATATAATTTAACATGTATAATATGTATTACATATTAAACATATATTAATGTATATTATATATTTAATATATTATACATATATTAATGTATATTATATATTTAATATATTATACATATATTTATATATTCTTTTAATTTATTGAAAAATAAATATATTAAAATACATATTGATATTTAAATATATAAATATATATTGTATATTTATATTTTTCAATATATATTTTTATATATATTTATAGGACTTTTTTATATAAAAGTTTTATATCTATCTTTAAAGATACATTATATCTTTATAATCTTACAAATAAATATATCTTTAAAAATATATGTTTACATATTCTTCATACAGATATACATAGTTAAATAATAGTTTAAACCCCAAATGATATTACCAGAGATTAAGGAGTGGAGGAGGACAAGTATGAGGAAATAAAAACATTCTCATCTGTTAAGGTAGACTGAGTCGAAAGTCAGTTTCAATCTTGACTTCCATAATTAGAAACCTCTTTGTTCAAGAGTAAGTACAAACAAGAACGGAAAACCATACAAATCAATGCAGAAGATAAAAGCAAAAGAAGCCTATTCTTTGTATTGAAAGAGTAAAAACTGGCACTGAAACATAATAAAAACTTAAAACAAGATGGCAGACATTAGAACAAACATTATAGTTATACAAAGATTTTTAGAGACGTCGGGATTTTAAGAAAATGTTCATAATATAACATTAAGTAAAATGTGTAAGATGTGAAATATATTCAAAATGACCTCAGTTATGTTAAACACACACGCATATATTCAACATGGAAAAAAGGACTATAAGGAAATAATCAGTGTAGTTGTTTCTGGCTAGTGGGATTTTACATATTTTTTACTTGCTTAGTTATAATTTTATGTTTTTGAAAATTATCTGTAGTGTGCACAAATTACTTTTATACCAAAATATGAGTTATATTTTTAAAAAGAAAAATATAGCCTTTTCCATTCCTATTTCTGAAGCTAAATCTGATTAAATGGTGCAAGAAATGACATCAAGACCTTCTGCCTAACATTTTTCATGAAATATGTAAGTCTGCCCCTCAGGCAACATTGCTGAGGTAACATGTTTTATCACTTAAGTTGTTTTACCTAGAACACTATCCTCCACATCGATTTTAGTTTCATCTTGGGTATATAAAAGGTTATATCAAGAAGCTACAGGTATAAACATTAATGTCAGTCACTTTTGATTAAGGTGAAGAATTGTCTCCCATTTCAGAGGACACAGAAGAGGGGGAGTTTTCTCTTTATATTTGCAGTTGAAGTTTGCACTACTCAATGGTATGGGATCACCCTCAGCAGTGTCTTGTGTTCCACTTGATGGATTTGAAAAGGCAGCATACAGTGTGGGCACTGGAGTCAGGTGACCTGGGCTGGCGTCCTGGCCTGTGAGTTAGTAAATGTATTCATGCCTCAGTTCTCTTATCTGTGAAATGGGGGTGACAATAATAGTACCTACCCTATAGGGTTATTTTGAGGATTTCATGAATTAATATTTGTAATGTGCTCTGAACAGTGCCTGCCACACAGTGAGCGATGTAGAAATCTTAATAAATAAAATTCACTATTACTAAATTACAGACTAAGGCACTTCTTCAGTCTTTTGTTCCCTATAGTAACAAGAAATAGTTCTGAGTCTTGCCTTACTCAAAATTGTGAAACACTTCATTTCTCCATTAGGCTCCCACTCCCTTTTGGCCTTCCCATCTTTTGGGTACAGTGATTTTCAGTCCTTTCTTGATTCTTCATCACTTCCTCAGAAGTTACGTCTCCTCATGAATGCTGCTCTCTTGCAGCTCTGCTCTCTACTTCAGAGGACTGTGGCTGGTGATAATTTCCACACTAACTTACTTACTGTTGCTCCATTGCACAGGGCCTTTCTGGAGACAAGACCTTCATCTGTCTTTTCCAGAATTTTGCTAAACAGAACACTAGTCAGAGGGATATTGACAAGCATGCTGAAAGAAAAAGTATTCTGACCTCCTATAAAGTTAGTAAATACACTGGGTTTAGCAAAATTAACCTTTGCAATTTCAAAGACTCCATAATATGCTAATATATATATCCAAGTGGGGAGGACAAAGTGTACAGCATTTTCCAAATAAAAGTCAAATTAGCCTTTTATTTCTTCTATATATTACTATTAATACCTGGAAGTATTGGCAGAACATCACATTGAAAAATGCCGCCTTTACTGAAAGGAGTGGCATTCTACAGTGAAAACACCCTATGCCTATGGTCTTGTGGAAAAGAAATGTTTCTGAAGGCACGATTCAAATTACTCCATTTTGCTTTCGTGGCCAGAGCTGGTTTACCACCATA